>NC_000009.12:44851372-45518558 GCF_000001405.40 Homo sapiens | reverse complement strand
TCTCTCTAGGTTTTATATGTAATCCCGTTTCCAACGAAATCCTCAAAGCTATCCAAATATCCACTTTCAGATTCCACAAAAAGAGTGTTTCAAAACTGCTCTGTAAAAAGAAAGGTTCATCTCTGTTAGTTGAATACACACATCACAAACAAGTTTCTGAGAATGCTTCTGTCTAGTTTTTATGGGAAGATATTTCCTTTTTCAACATAGGCCTCAAAGCGCTCCAAATGTCCACTTCCAGGTAGTGCAGAAAGAGTGTTTCAAACCTGCTCTATAAAAGGGAATATTCAACTCTGTGACTTGAATGCAAACATCACAAAGCACTTTCTGAGAATGCTTCCGTCTTGATTTTATATGAAGATATTCTCGTTTCCAACGAAACCTTCAAAGCTATCCAAATATCCACTAGCAGATTCTACAAAAAGAGTGTTTCCAACAATTGTTGTATCAAAACAAAGGTTCAACTCTGTTAGTTGAGAACACACATCGCAAATAAGTTTCTGAGAATGCTTCTGTCTAGTTTTTATTTGAAGATATTTCCTTTCTCACCATAGGCCTGAAAGCGCTTGAAATGTCCGTTTGCAGATACTACAGAAAGAGTGTTTCAAACATGCTCTATGAAAGGGAATGTTCAGTTCTGTGACTTGAATGCAAACATCACAAAGAAGTTCCTGAGAATGCTTCTCCCTAGATTTCATATGTAATCCCGTTTCCAACGAAATCCTCAAAGTTATCCAAATATCCACTTTCAGATTCCACAAAAAGAGTGTTTCAAAACTGCTCTGTAAAAAGAAAGGTTCATCTCTGTTAGTTGAATACACACATCACAAACAAGTTTCTGAGAATGCTTCTGTCTAGTTTTTATGGGAAGATATTACCTTTTTCATAATAGGCCTCAAAGCGCTGCAAAAGTCCACTTCCAAATATTACAAAAAGAGTGTTTCAAACCTGCTGTATGAAGGGAAGTGTTCAACTCTATGAGTTGAATGCAAACATCACAGAGAAGTTTCTGAGAATGCTTCTGTCTTGATTTTATATGAAGATATTCCCGTTTCCAACGAAACCTTCAAAGCTATCCAAATATCCACTTGCAGATTCTACAAAAAGAGTGTTTCCAAAATGTTGTATCAAAACAAAGGTTCAACTCTGTTAGTTGAGGACACACATCGCAAATAAGTTTCTGAGAATGCTTCTGTCTAGTTTTTATTTGAAGATATTTCCTTTCTTACCATAGGCCTGAAAGCGCTTGAAATGTCCGTCTGCAGATACTACAGAAAGAGTGTTTCAAACATGCTCTATGAAAGGGAATGTTCAGTTCTGTGACGTGAATGGAAACATCACAAAGAAGTTCCTGAGAATGCTTCTCTCTAGATTTTATATGTAATCCCGTTTCCAACGAAATCCTCAAAGCTATCCAAATATCCACTTTCAGATTCCACAAAAAGATTTGTTTCAAAACTGCTCTGTAAAAAGAAAGGTTCATCTCTGTTAGTTGAATACACACATCACAAACAAGTTTCTGAGAATGCTTCTGTCTAGTTTTTATGGGAAGATATTTCCTTTTTCAACATAGGCCTCAAAGCGCTCCAAACGTCCACTTCCAGGTAGTGCAGAAAGAGTGTCTCAAACCTGGTATATAACAGGGAACATTCTACTCTGTGACTTGAATGAAAACATCACAAAGCAGTTTCTGAGAATGCTTCCGTCTAGATTTTATATGAAGATATTCCCGTTTCCAACGAAACCTTCAAAGCTATCCGAATATCCACCTGCAGATTCTACAAAAAGAGTGTTTCCAAAATGCCATATCAAAACAAAGGTTCAACTCTGTTAGTTGAGAACACACATCGCAAATAAGTTTCTGAGAATGCTTCTGTCTAGTTTTTATTTGAAGATATTTCCTTTCTCACCATAGGCCTGAAAGCGTTTGAAATGTCCGTTTGCAGATACTACAGAAAGAGTGTTTCAAACATGCTCTATGAAAGGGAATGTTCAGTTCTGTGACGTGAATGCAAACATCACAAAGAAGTTCCTGAGAATGCTTCTCCCTAGATTTTATATGTAATCCCGTTTCCAACGAAATCCGCAAAGCTATCCAAATATCCACTTTCAGATTCCACAAAAAGAGTGTTTCAAAACTGCTCTGTAAAAAGAAAGGTTCATCTCTGTTAGTTGAATACACACATCACAAACAAGTTTCTGAGAATGCTTCTGTCTAGTTTTTATGGGAAGTTATTTCCTTTTTCAACATAGGCCTCAAAGCGCTCCAAATGTCCACTTCCAGGTAGTGCAGAAAGAGTGTTTCAAACCTGCTCTTTAAAAAGGGAATATTCAACTCTGTGACTTGAATGCAAACATCACAAAGCACTTTCTGAGAATGCTTCCGTCTAGATTTTATATGAAGATATTCCCGTTTCCAACGAAACCTTCAAAGCTATCCGAATATCCACCTGCAGATTCTACAAAAAGAGTGTTTCCAAAATGCCGTATCAAAACAAAGGTTCAACTCTGTTAGTTGAGAACACACATGGCAAATAAGTTTCTGAGAATGCTTCTGTCTAGTTTTTATTTGAAGATATTTCCTTTCTCACCACAGGCCTGAAAGCGCTTAAAACGTCCGCTTGCAGATACTACAGAAAGAGTGTTTCAAACCTGCTCTATGAAAGGGAATGTTCAGTTCTGTGACTTGAATGCAAACATCACAAAGAAGTTCCTGAGAATGCTTCTCTCTAGGTTTTATATGTAATCCCGTTTCCAACGAAATCCTCAAAGCTATCCAAATATCCACTTTCAGATTCCACAAAAAGAGTGTTTCAAAACTGCTCTGTAAAAAGAAAGGTTCATCTCTGTTAGTTGAATACACACATCACAAACAAGTTTCTGAGAATGCTTCTGTCTAGTTTTTATGGGAAGATATTTCCTTTTTCAACATAGGCCTCAAAGCGCTCCAAATGTCCACTTCCAGGTAGTGCAGAAAGAGTGTTTCAAACCTGCTCTATAAAAGGGAATATTCAACTCTGTGACTTGAATGCAAACATCACAAAGCACTTTCTGAGAATGCTTCTGTCTTGATTTTATATGAAGATATTCCCGTTTCCAACGAAACCTTCAAAGCTATTCAAATATCCACTTGCAGATTCTACAAAAAGAGTGTTTCCAAAATGTTGTATCAAAAGAAAGGTTCAACTCTGTTAGTTGAGGACACACATCGCAAATAAGTTTCTGAGAATGCTTCTGTCTAGTTTTTACTTGAAGATATTTCCTTTCTCACCATAGGCCTGAAAGCGTTTGAAATGTCCGTTTGCAGATACTACAGAAAGAGTGTTTCAAACATGCTCTATGAAAGGGAATGTTCAGTTCTGTGACGTGAATGCAAACATCACAAAGAAGTTCCTGAGAATGCTTCTCTCTAGATTTTATATGTAATCCCGTTTCCAACGAAATCCTCAAAGCTATCCAAATATCCACTTCCAGATTCCACAAAAAGAGTGTTTCAAAACTGCTCTGTAAAAAGAAAGGTTCATCTCTGTTAGTGGAATACACACATCACAAACAAGTTTCTGAGAATGCTTCTGTCTAGTTTTTATGGGAAGATATTTCCTTTTTCATCATAGGCCTCAAAGCGCTGTAAATGTCCACTTCCAAATATTACAAAAAGAGGGTTTCAAACCTGCTGTATGAAGGGAAGTGTTCAACTCTATGAGTTGAATGCAAACATCACAGAGAAGTTTCTGAGAATGCTTCTGTCTTGATTTTATATGAAGATATTCCCGTTTCCAACGAAACCTTCAAAGCTATTCAAATATCCACTTGCAGATTCTACAAAAAGAGTGTTTCCAAAATGTTGTATCAAAAGAAAGGTTCAACTCTGTTAGTTGAGGACACACATCGCAAATAAGTTTCTGAGAATGCTTCTGTCTAGTTTTTATTTGAAGATAATTCCTTTCTCACCATAGGCCTGAAAGCGCTTGAAATGTCCGCTTGCAGATACTACAGAAACAGTGTTTCAAACATGCTCTATGAAAGGGAATGTTCAGTTCTGTGACTTGAATGCAAACATCACAAAGAAATTCCTGAGAATGCTTCTCTCTAGATTTTATATGTAATCCCGTTTCCAACGAAATCCTCAAAGCTATCCAAATATGCACTTTCAGATTCCACAAAAAGAGTGTTTCAAAACTGCTCTGTAAAAAAAAAGGTTCATCTCTGTTAGTTGAATACACACATCACAAACAAGTTTCTGAGAATGCTTCTGTCTAGTTTTTATGGGAAGATATTTCCTTTTTCATCATAGGCCTCAAAGCGCTCCAAATGTCCACTTCCAGATAGTGCAGAAAGAGTGTCTGAAACCCTGGTATATAAAAGGGAACATTCTACTCTGTGACTTGAATGAAAACATCACAAAGCAGTTTCTGAGAATGCTTCCGTCTAGATTTTATATGAAGATATTCCCGTTTCCAAGGAAATCTTCCTAGCTATCTAAATATCAACTTGCAGATTCTACTAAAGGAATGTTTCCAAAATGCTGTATCCACACAAAGGTTCAACTCTGTTAATTGAGGACATACAGCACAAAGAAGTTTCTGAGAATGCTTCTGTCTAGTTTTTATTTGAAGATATTTCCTTTCTCACCATAGGCCTGAAAGCGTTTGAAATGTCCGTTTGCAGATACTACAGAAAGAGTGTTTCAAACATGCTCTATGAAAGGGAATGTTCAGTTCTGTGACGTGAATGCAAACATCACAAAGAAGTTCCTGAGAATGCTTCTCTCTAGATTTTATATGTAATCCCGTTTCCAACGAAATCCTCAAAGCTATCCAAATATCCACTTTCAGATTCCACAAAAAGAGTGTTTCAAAACTGCTCTGTAAAAAGAAAGGTTCATCTCTGTTAGTTGAATACACACATCAAAAACAAGTTTCTGAGAATGCTTCTGTCTAGTTTTTATGGGAAGATATTTCCTTTTTCAGCATAGGCCTCAAAGCGCTCCAAATGTCCACTTCCAGGTAGTGCAGAAAGAGTGTCTCAAACCTGGTATATAACAGGGAACATTCTACTCTGTGACTTGAATGAAAACATCACAAAGCAGTTTCTGAGAATGCTTCTGTCTTGATTTTATATGAAGATATTCCCGTTTCCAACGAAACCTTCAAAGCTATTCAAATATCCACTTGCAGATTCTACAAAAAGAGTGTTTCCAAAATGTTGTATCAAAAGAAAGGTTCAACTCTGTTAGTTGAGGACACACATCGCAAATAAGTTTCTGAGAATGCTTCTGTCTAGTTTTTATTTGAAGATATTTCCTTTCTCACCATAGGCCTGAAAGCGTTTGAAATGTCCGTTTGCAGATACTACAGAAAGAGTGTTTCAAACATGCTCTATGAAAGGGAATGTTCAGTTCTGTGACGTGAATGCAAACATCACAAAGAAGTTCCTGAGAATGCTTCTCTCTAGATTTTATATGTAATCCCGTTTCCAACGAAATCCTCAAAGCTATCCAAATATCCACTTTCAGATTCCACAAAAAGTGTTTCAAAACTGCTCTGTAAAAAGAAAGGTTCATCTCTGTTAGTTGAATACACACATCACAAACAAGTTTCTGAGAATGCTTCTGTCTAGTTTTTATGGGAAGATATTTCCTTTTTCAACATAGGCCTCAAAGCGCTCCAAACGTCCACTTCCAGGTAGTGCAGAAAGAGTGTCTCAAACCTGGTATATAACAGGGAACATTCTACTCTGTGACTTGAATGAAAACATCACAAAGCAGTTTCTGAGAATGCTTCCGTCTAGATTTTATATGAAGATATTCCCGTTTCCAACGAAACCTTCAAAGCTATCCGAATATCCACCTGCAGATTCTACAAAAAGAGTGTTTCCAAAATGCCGTATCAAAACATAGGTTCAACTCTGTTAGTTGAGAACACACATGGCAAATAAGTTTCTGAGAATGCTTCTGTCTAGTTTTTATTTGAAGATATTTCCTTTCTCACCACAGGCCTGAAAGCGCTTAAAACGTCCGCTTGCAGATACTACAGAAAGAGTGTTTCAAACCTGCTCTATGAAAGGGAATGTTCAGTTCTGTGACTTGAATGCAAACATCACAAAGAAGTTCCTGAGAATGCTTCTCTCTAGGTTTTATATGTAATCCCGTTTCCAACGAAATCCTCAAAGCTATCCAAATATCCACTTTCAGATTCCACAAAAAGAGTGTTTCAAAACTGCTCTGTAAAAAGAAAGGTTCATCTCTGTTAGTTGAATACACACATCACAAACAAGTTTCTGAGAATGCTTCTGTCTAGTTTTTATGGGAAGATATTTCCTTTTTCATCATAGGCCTCAAAGCGCTCCAAATGTCCACTTCCAGGTAGTGCAGAAAGAGTGTCTCAAACCTGGTATATAACAGGGAACATTCTACTCTGTGACTTGAATGAAAACATCACAAAGCAGTTTCTGAGAATGCTTCCGTCTAGATTTTATATGAAGATATTCCCGTTTCCAACGAAACCTTCAAAGCTATCCGAATATCCACCTGCAGATTCTACAAAAAGAGTGTTTCCAAAATGCCATATCAAAACAAAGGTTCAACTCTGTTAGTTGAGAACACACATCGCAAATAAGTTTCTGAGAATGCTTCTGTCTAGTTTTTATTTGAAGATATTTCCTTTCTCACCATAGGCCTGAAAGCGTTTGAAATGTCCGTTTGCAGATACTACAGAAAGAGTGTTTCAAACATGCTCTATGAAAGGGAATGTTCAGTTCTGTGACGTGAATGCAAACATCACAAAGAAGTTCCTGAGAATGCTTCTCTCTAGGTTTTATATGTAATCCCGTTTCCAACGAAATCCTCAAAGCTATCCAAATATCCACTTTCAGATTCCACAAAAAGAGTGTTTCAAAACTGCTCTGTAAAAAGAAAGGTTCATCTCTGTTAGTTGAATACACACATCACAAACAAGTTTCTGAGAATGCTTCTGTCTAGTTTTTATGGGAAGATATTACCTTTTTCATCATAGGCCTCAAAGCGCTGCAAATGTCCACTTCCAAATATTACAAAAAGAGTGTTTCAAACCTGCTGTATGAAGGGAAGTGTTCAACTCTATGAGTTGAATGCAAACATCACAGAGAAGTTTCTGAGAATGCTTCTGTCTTGATTTTATATGAAGATATTCCCGTTTCCAACGAAATCTTCAAAGCTATCCAAATATCCACTTGCAGATTCCACAAAAAGAGTGTTTCCAAAATGTTGTATCAAAAGAAAGGTTCAACTCTGTTAGTTGAGGACACACATCGCAAATAAGTTTCTGAGAATGCTTCTGTCTAGTTTTTACTTGAAGATATTTCCTTTCTCACCATAGGCCTGAAAGCGTTTGAAATGTCCGTTTGCAGATACTACAGAAAGAGTGTTTCAAACATGCTCTATGAAAGGGAATGTTCAGTTCTGTGACGTGAATGCAAACATCACAAAGAAGTTCCTGAGAATGCTTCTAGTCTAGATTTTATATGAAGATATCCCGTGTCCAACGAAATCCTCAAAGGTATCAAAATATCCACTTGCAGATTCTACAAAAAGAGTGCTTCAAAACTGCTCTGTCAAAAGGAAGGTTCAACTCTGTTACTTGAGTACACACATCACAAGGAAGTTTCTGAGAATGCTTCTGTCTGGTTTTTAGGAGAAGATATCTCCTTTTTCACCATAGGCTTCAAAGCGCTGCCAATGTCCACTTCCAAATATTACAAAAAGAGTATTTCAAACCAGCTCTATGAAAGGAAGTGTTCAACTCTATGAGTTGAATGCAAACATCACAGAGAAGTTTCTGAGAATGCTTCTGTGTTGATTTTATATGAAGATATTCCCCTTTCCAACGAAACCTTCAAACCTATCCAAATATCCACCTGCAGATCCTACAAAAAGAGTGTTTCCAAAATGCTGTATCAAAACAAAGGTTCAACTCTGTTAGTTGAGAACACACATGGCAAATAAGTTTCTGAGAATGCTTCTGTCTAGTTTTTATTTGAAGATATTTCCTTTCTCACCATAGGCCTGAAAGCGTATGAAATGTCCGTTTGCAGATACTACAGAAAGAGTGTTTCAAACATACTCTATGAAAGGGAATGTTCAGTTCTGTGACTTGAATGCAAACATCACAAAGAAGTTCCTGAGAATGCTTCTCTCTAGATTTTATATGTAATCCCGTTTCCAACGAAATCCTCAAAGCTATCCAAATATCCACTTTCAGATTCCACAAAAAGAGTGTTTCAAAACTGCTCTGTAAAAAGAAAGGTTCATCTCTGTTAGTTGAATACACACATCACAAACAAGTTTCTCAGAATGCTTCTGTCTAGTTTTTATGGGAAGATATTTCCTTTTTCATCATAGGCCTCAAAGCGCTGCAAATGTCCACTTCCAGGTAGTGCAGAAAGAGTGTCTCAAACCTGGTATATAACAGGGAACATTCTACTCTGTGACTTGAATGAAAACATCACAAAGCAGTTTCTCAGAATGCTTCCGTCTAGATTTTATATGAAGATATTCCCGTTTCCAACGAAACCTTCAAAGCTATCCGAATATCCACCTGCAGATTCTACAAAAAGAGTGTTTCCAAAATGCCGTATCAAAACAAAGGTTCAACTCTGTTAGTTGAGAACACACATGGCAAATAAGTTTCTGAGAATGCTTCTGTCTAGTTTTTACTTGAAGATATTTCCTTTCTCACCATAGGCCTGAAAGCGCTTGAAACGTCAGCTTGCAGATACTACAGAAAGAGTGTTTCAAACCTGCTCTATGAAAGGGAATGTTCAGTCCTGTGACTTGAATGCAAACATCACAAAGAAGTTCCTGAGAATGCTTCTCCCTAGATTTTATATGTAATCCCGTTTCCAACGAAATCCTCAAAGCTATCCAAATATCCACTTTCAGATTCCACAAAAAGAGTGTTTCAAAACTGCTCTGTAAAAAGAAAGGTTCATCTCTGTTAGTTGAATACACACATCACAAACAAGTTTCTGAGAATGCTTCTGTCTAGTTTTTATGGGAAGATATTTCCTTTGTCATCATAGGCCTCAAAGCGCTGCAAATGTCCACTTCCAGGTAGTGCAGAAAGAGTGTGTCAAACCTGGTATATAACAGGGAACATTCTACTCTGTGACTTGAATGAAAACATCACAAAGCAGTTTCTGAGAATGCTTCCGTCTAGATTTTATATGAAGATACTCCCGTTTCCAACGAAACCTTCAAAGCTATCCGAATATCCACCTGCAGATTCTACAAAAAGAGTGTTTCCAAAATGCCGTATCAAAACAAAGGTTCAACTCTGTTAGTTGAGAACACACATGGCAAATAAGTTTCTGAGAATGCTTCTGTCTAGTTTTTACTTGAAGATATTTCCTTTCTCACCATAGGCCTGAAAGCGCTTGAAACGTCAGCTTGCAGATACTACAGAAAGAGTGTTTCAAACCTGCTCTATGAAAGGGAATGTTCAGTTCTGTGACTTGAATGCAAACATCACAAAGAAGTTCCTGAGAATGCTTCTCTCTAGGTTTTATATGTAATCCCGTTTCCAACGAAATCCTCAAAGCTATCCAAATATCCACTTTCAGATTCCACAAAAAGAGTGTTTCAAAACTGCTCTGTAAAAAGAAAGGTTCATCTCTGTTAGTTGAATACACACATCACAAACAAGTTTCTGAGAATGCTTCTGTCTAGTTTTTATGGGAAGATATTTCCTTTTTCAACATAGGCCTCAAAGCGCTCCAAATGTCCACTTCCAGGTAGTGCAGAAAGAGTGTTTCAAACCTGCTCTATAAAAGGGAATATTCAACTCTGTGACTTGAATGCAAACATCACAAAGCACTTTCTGAGAATGCTTCTGTCTTGATTTCATATGAAGATATTCCCGTTTCCAACGAAACCTTCAAAGTTATCCAAATATCCACTTGCAGATTCTACAAAAAGAGTGTTTCCAAAATGTTGTATCAAAAGAAAGGTTCAACTCTGTTAGTTGAGGACACACATCGCAAATAAGTCTCTGAGAATGCTTCTGTCTAGTTTTTATTTGAAGATATTTCCTTTCTCACCACAGGCCTGAAAGCGCTTAAAACGTCCGCTTGCAGATACTACAGAAAGAGTGTTTCAAACCTGCTCTATGAAAGGGAATGTTCAGTTCTGTGACTTGAATGCAAACATCACAAAGAAGTTCCTGAGAGTGCTTCTCCCTAGATTTTATATGTAATCCCGTTTCCAACGAAATCCGCAAAGCTATCCAAATATCCACTTTCAGATTCCACAAAAAGAGTGTTTCAAAACTGCTCTGTAAAAAGAAAGGTTCATCTCTGTTAGTTGAATACACACATCACAAACAAGTTTCTGAGAATGCTTCTGTCTAGTTTTTATGGGAAGATATTTCCTTTTTCATCATAGGCCTCAAAGCGCTGCAAATGTCCACTTCCAGGTAGTGCAGAAAGAGTGTCTCAAACCTGGTATATAACAGGGAACATTCTACTCTGTGACTTGAATGAAAACATCACAAAGCAGTTTCTGAGAATGCTTCTGTCTTGATTTTATATGAAGATATTCCCGTTTCCAACGAAACCTTCAAAGCTATCCAAATATCCACTTGCAGATTCTACAAAAAGAGTGGTTCCAAAATGTTGTATCAAAAGAAAGGTTCAACTCTGTTAGTTGAGGACACACATCGCAAATAAGTTTCTGAGAATGCTTCTGTCTAGTTTTTATTTGAAGATATTTCCTTTCTCAACATAGGCCTGAAAGCGTTTGAAATGTCCGTTTGCAGATACTACAGAAAGAGTGTTTCAAACATGCTCTATGAAAGGGAATGTTCAGTTCTGTGACGTGAATGCAAACATCACAAAGAAGTTCCTGAGAATGCTTCTCTCTAGGTTTTATATGTAATCCCGTTTCCAACGAAATCCTCAAAGCTATCCAAATATCCACTTTCAGATTCCACAAAAAGAGTGTTTCAAAACTGCTCTGTAAAAAGAAAGGTTCATCTCTGTTAGTTGAATACACACATCACAAACAAGTTTCTGAGAATGCTTCTGTCTAGTTTTTATGGGAAGATATTTCCTTTTTCAACATAGGCCTCAAAGCGCTCCAAATGTCCACTTCCAGGTAGTGCAGAAAGAGTGTTTCAAACCTGCTCTATAAAAGGGAATATTCAACTCTGTGACTTGAATGCAAACATCACAAAGCACTTTCTGAGAATGCTTCCGTCTAGATTTTATATGAAGATATTCCCGTTTCCAACGAAACCTTCAAAGCTATCCGAATATTCACCTGCAGATTCTACAAAAAGAGTGTTTCCAAAATGCCGTATCAAAACAAAGGTTCAACTCTGTTAGTTGAGAACACACATGGCAAATAAGTTTCTGAGAATGCTTCTGTCTAGTTTTTATTTGAAGATATTTCCTTTCTCACCATAGGCCTGAAAGCGTTTGAAATGTCCGTTTGCAGATACTACAGAAAGAGTGTTTCAAACATGCTCTATGAAAGGGAATGTTCAGTTCTGTGACGTGAATGCAAACATCACAAAGACGTTCCTCAGAATGCTTCTCCCTAGATTTTATATGTAATCCCGTTTCCAACGAAATCCGCAAAGGTATCCAAATATCCACTTTCAGATTCCACAAAAAGAGTGTTTCAAAACTGCTCTGTAAAAAGAAAGGTTCATCTCTGTTAGTTGAATACACACATCACAAACAAGTTTCTGAGAATGCTTCTGTCTAGTTTTTATGGGAAGATATTTCCTTTTTCAACATAGGCCTCAAAGCGCTCCAAATGTCCACTTCCAGGTAGTGCAGAAAGAGTGTTTCAAACCTGCTCTATAAAAGGGAATATTCAACTCTGTGACTTGAATGCAAACATCACAAAGCACTTTCTGAGAATGCTTCCGTCTAGATTTTATATGAAGATATTCCCGTTTCCAACGAAACCTTCAAAGCTATCCGAATATCCACCTGCAGATTCTACAAAAAGAGTGTTTCCAAAATGCCGTATCAAAACAAAGGTTCAACTCTGTTAGTTGAGAACACACATGGCAAATAAGTTTCTGAGAATGCTTCTGTCTAGTTTTTACTTGAAGATATTTCCTTTCTCACCATAGGCCTGAAAGCGCTTGAAACGTCCGCTTGCAGATACTACAGAAAGAGTGTTTCAAACATGCTCAATGAAAGGGAATGTTCAGTTCTGTGACTTGAATGCAAACATCACAAAGAAGTTCCTGAGAATGCTTCTCTCTAGATTTTATATGTAATCCCGTTTCCAACGAAATCCTCAAAGCTATCCAAATATCCACTTTCAGATTCCACAAAAAGAGTGTTTCAAAACTGCTCTGTAAAAAGAAAGGTTCATCTCTGTTAGTTGAATACACACATCACAAACAAGTTTCTGAGAATGCTTCTGTCTAGTTTTTATGGGAAGATATTTCCTTTTTCAACATAGGCCTCAAAGCGCTCCAAACGTCCACTTCCAGGTAGTGCAGAAAGAGTGTCTCAAACCTGGTATATAACAGGGAACATTCTACTCTGTGACTTGAATGAAAACATCACAAAGCAGTTTCTGAGAATGCTTCTGTCTTGATTTTATATGAAGATATTCCCGTTTCCAACGAAACCTTCAAAGCTATTCAAATATCCACTTGCAGATTCTACAAAAAGAGTGTTTCCAAAATGTTGTATCAAAAGAAAGGTTCAACTCTGTTAGTTGAGGACACACATCGCAAATAAGTTTCTGAGAATGCTTCTGTCTAGTTTTTATTTGAAGATATTTCCTTTTTCACCACAGGCCTGAAAGCGCTTGAAACGTCCGCTTGCAGATACTACAGAAAGAGTGTTTCAAAGCTGCTCTATGAAAGGGAATGTTCAGTTCTGTGACTTGAATGCAAACATCACAAAGAAGTTCCTGAGAATGCTTCTCTCTAGGTTTTATATGTAATCCCGTTTCCAACGAAATCCTCAAAGCTATCCAAATATCCACTTTCAGATTCCACAAAAAGAGTGTTTCAAAACTGCTCTGTAAAAAGAAAGGTTCATCTCTGTTAGTTGAATACACACATCACAAACAAGTTTCTGAGAATGCTTCTGTCTAGTTTTTATGGGAAGATATTACCTTTTTCATCATAGGCCTCAAAGCGCTGCAAATGTCCACTTCCAAATATTACAAAAAGAGTGTTTCAAACCTGCTGTATGAAGGGAAGTGTTCAACTCTATGAGTTGAATGCAAACATCACAGAGAAGTTTCTGAGAATGCTTCTGTCTTGATTTTATATGAAGATATTCCCGTTTCCAACGAAACCTTCAAAGCTATCCAAATATCCACTTGCAGATTCTACAAAAAGAGTGTTTCCAAAATGTTGTATCAAAACAAAGGTTCAACTCTGTTAGTTGAGGACACACATCGCAAATAAGTTTCTGAGAATGCTTCTGTCTAGTTTTTATTTGAAGATATTTCCTTTCTTACCATAGGCCTGAAAGCGCTTGAAATCTCCGTTTGCAGATACTACAGAAAGAGTGTTTCAAACATGCTCTATGAAAGGGAATGTTCAGTTCTGTGACTTGAATGCAAACATCACAAAGAAGTTCCTGAGAATGCTTCTCTCTAGATTTTATATGTAATCCCGTTTCCAACGAAATCCTCAAAGCTATCCAAATATCCACTTTCAGATTCCACAAAAAGAGTGTTTCAAAACTGCTCTGTAAAAAGTAAGGTTCATCTCTGTTAGTTGAATACACACATCACAAACAAGTTTCTGAGAATGCTTCCGTCTATATTTTATGTGAAGATATTCCCGTTTCCAAGGAAATCTTCCTAGCTATCTATATATCAACTAGCAGATTCTACTAAAGGAGTGTTTCCAAAATGCTGTATCCACACAAAGGTTCAACTCTGTTAATTGAGGACATACAGCACAAAGAAGTTTCTGAGAATGCTTCCGTCTAGATTTTATATGAAGATATTCCCGTTTCCAACGAAACCTTCAATGCTATCCGAATATCCACCTGCAGATTCTACAAAAAGAGTGTTTCCAAAATGCCGTATCAAAACAAAGGTTCAACTCCTGTTAGTTGAGAACACACATGGCAAATAAGTTTCCTGAGAATGCTTCTGTCTAGTTTTTACTTGAAGATATTTCCTTTCTCACCATAGGCCTGAAAGCGCTTGAAACGTCAGCTTGCAGATACTACAGAAAGAGTGTTTCAAACCTGCTCTATGAAAGGGAATGTTCAGTCCTGTGACTTGAATGCAAACATCAAAAAGAAGTTCCTGAGAATGCTTCTCTGTAGGTTTTATATGTAATCCCGTTTCCAACGAAATCCTGAAAGCTATCCAAATATCCACTTTCAGATTCCACAAAAAGAGTGTTTCAAAACTGCTCTGTAAAAAGAAAGGTTCATCTCTGTTAGTTGAATACACACATCACAAACAAGTTTCTGAGAATGCTTCTGTCTAGTTTTTATGGGAAGATATTTCCTTTTTCAACATAGGCCTCAAAGCGCTCCAAACGTCCACTTCCAGGTAGTGCAGAAAGAGTGTCTCAAACCTGGTATATAACAGGGAACATTCTACTCTGTGACTTGAATGAAAACATCACAAAGCAGTTTCTGAGAATGCTTCTGTCTTGATTTCATATGAAGATATTCCCGTTTCCAACGAAACCTTCAAAGCTATCCAAATATCCACTTGCAGATTCTACAAAAAGAGTGTTTCCAAAATGTTGTATCAAAAGAAAGGTTCAACTCTGTTAGTTGAGGACACACATCGCAAATAAGTTTCTGAGAATGCTTCTGTCTAGGTTTTATTTGAAGATATTTCCTTTTTCACCACAGGCCTGAAAGCGCTTGAAACGTCCACTTGCAGATACTACAGAAAGAGTGTTTCAAACCTGCTCTATGAAAGGGAATGTTCAGTTCTGTGACTTGAATGCAAACATCACAAAGAAGTTCCTGAGAATGCTTCTCCCTAGATTTTATATGTAATCCCGTTTCCAACGAAATCCGCAAAGCTATCCAAATATCCACTTTCAGATTCCACAAAAAGAGTGTTTCAAAACGACTCTGTAAAAAGAAAGGTTCATCTCTGTTAGTTGAATACACACATCAGAAACAAGTTTCTGAGAATGCTTCTGTCTAGTTTTTATGGGAAGATATTTCCTTTTTCATCATAGGCCTCAAAGCGCTGCAAATGTCCACTTCCAGGTAGTGCAGAAAGAGTGTCTCAAACCTGGTATATAACAGGGAACATTCTACTCTGTGACTTGAATGAAAACATCACAAAGCAGTTTCTGAGAATGCTTCTGTCTTGATTTTATATGAAGATATTCCCGTTTCCAACGAAACCTTCAAAGCTATCCAAATATCCACTTGCAGATTCTACAAAAAGAGTGTTTCCAAAGTGCTGTATCCAAACAAAGGTTCAACTCTTTTAGTTGAGAACACACATCGCAAATAAGTTTCTGAGAATGCTTCTGTCTAGTTTTTATTTGAAGATATTTCCTTTTTCACCACAGGCCTCTAAGCGCTTGAAACGTCCGCTTGCAGATACTACAGAAAGAGTGTTTCAAACCTGCTCTATGAAAGGGAATGTTCAGTTCTGTGACTTGAATGCAAACATCACAAAGAAGTTCCTGAGAATGCTTCTCTCTAGATTTTATATGTAATCCCGTTTCCAACGAAATCCTCAAAGCTATCCAAATATCCACTTTCAGATTCCACAAAAAGAGTGTTTCAAAACTGCTCTGTAAAAAGAAAGGTTCATCTCTGTTAGTTGAATACACACATCACAAACAAGTTTCTGAGAATGCTTCTGTCTAGTTTTTATGGGAAGATATTTCCTTTTTCAACATAGGCCTCAAAGCGCTCCAAATGTCCACTTCCAGGTAGTGCAGAAAGAGTGTTTCAAACCTGCTCTATAAAAGGGAATATTCAACTCTGTGACTTGAATGCAAACATCACAAAGCACTTTCTGAGAATGCTTCCGTCTAGATTTTATATGAAGGTATTCCCGTTTCCAACGAAACCTTCAAAGCTATCCGAAAATCCACCTGCAGATTCTACAAAAAGAGTGTTTCCAAAATGCCGTATCAAAACAAAGGTTCAACTCTGTTAGTTGAGAACACACATGGCAAATAAGCTTCTGAGAATGCTTCTGTCTAGTTTTTATTTGAAGATATTTCCTTTCTTACCATAGGCCTGAAAGCGCTTGAAATGTCCGTTTGCAGATACTACAGAAAGAGTGTTTCAAACATGCTCTATGAAAGGGAATGTTCAGTTCTGTGACTTGAATGCAAACATCACAAAGAAGTTCCTGAGAATGCTTCTCTCTAGATTTTATATGTAATCCCGTTTCCAACGAAATCCTCAAAGATATCCAAATATCCACTTTCAGATTCCACAAAAAGAGTGTTTCAAAACTGCTCTGTAAAAAGAAAGGTTCATCACTGTTAGTTGAATACACACATCACAAACAAGTTTCTGAGAATGCTTCTGTCTAGTTTTTATGGGAAGATATTACCTTTTTCATCATAGGCCTCAAAGCGCTGCAAATGTCCACTTCCAAATATTACAAAAAGAGTGTTTCAAACCTGCTGTATGAAGGGAAGTGTTCAACTCTATGAGTTGAATGCAAACATCACAGAGAAGTTTCTGAGAATGCTTCTGTCTTGATTTTATATGAAGATATTCCCGTTTCCAACGAAACCTTCAAAGCTATCCAAATATCCACTTGCAGATTCTTCAAAAAGAGTGTTTCCAAAATGTTGTATCAAAAGAAAGGTTCAACTCTGTTAGTTGAGGACACACATCGCAAATAAGTTTCTGAGAATGCTTCTGTCTAGTTTTTATTTGAAGATATTTCCTTTCTCACCACAGGCCTGAAAGCGCTTAAAACGTCCGCTTGCAGATACTACAGAAAGAGTGTTTCAAACCTGCTCTATGAAAGGGAATGTTCAGTTCTGTGACTTGAATGCAAACATCACAAAGAAGTTCCTGAGAATGCTTCTCTCTAGATTTTATATGTAATCCCGTTTTCAACGAAATCCTCAAAGCTATCCAAATATCCACTTTCAGATTCCACAAAAAGAGTGTTTCAAAACTGCTCTGTAAAAAGAAAGGTTCATCTCTGTTAGTTGAATACACACATCACAAACAAGTTTCTGAGAATGCTTCTGTCTAGTTTTTATGGGAAGATATTTCCTTTTTCAACATAGGCCTCAAAGCGCTCCAAATGTCCACTTCCAGGTAGTGCAGAAAGAGTGTTTCAAACCTGCTCTATAAAACGGAATATTCAACTCTGTGACTTGAATGCAAACATCACAAAGCACTTTCTGAGAATTCTTCTGTCTTGATTTCATATGAAGATATTCCCGTTTCCAACGAAACCTTCAAAGCTATCCAAATATCCACTTGCAGATTCTACAAAAAGAGTGTTTCCAAAATGTTGTATCAAAAGAAAGGTTCAACTCTGTTAGTTGAGGACACACATCGCAAATAAGTTTCTGAGAATGTTTCTGTCTAGTTTTTATTTGAAGATATTTCCTTTCTCACCATAGGCCTGAAAGCGTTTGAAATGTCCGTTTGCAGATACTACAGAAAGAGTGTTTCAAACATGCTCTATGAAAGGGAATGTTCAGTTCTGTGACGTGAATGCAAACATCACAAAGAAGTTCCTGAGAATGCTTCTCTCTAGATTTTATATGTAATCCCGTTTCCAACGAAATCCTCAAAGCTATCCAAATATCCACTTTCAGATTCCACAAAAAGAGTGTTTCAAAACTGCTCTGTAAAAAGAAAGGTTCATCTCTGTTAGTTGAATACACACATCACAAACAAGTTTCTGAGAATGCTTCTGTCTAGTTTTTATGGGAAGATATTTCCTTTTTCAACATAGGCCTCAAAGCGCTCCAAATGTCCACTTCCAGGTAGTGCAGAAAGAGTGTTTCAAACCTGCTCTATAAAAGGGAATATTCAACTCTGTGACTTGAATGCAAACATCACAAAGCACTTTCTGAGAATGCTTCCGTCTAGATTTTATATGAAGATATTCCCGTTTCCAAGGAAATCTTCCTAGCTATCTAAATATCAACTTGCAGATTCTACTAAAGGAATGTTTCCAAAATGCTGTATCCACACAAAGGTTCAACTCTGTTAACTGAGGACATACAGCACAAAGAAGTTTCTGAGAATGCTTCTGTCTAGATTTTATATGAAGATATCCCGTGTCTAACGAAATCCTCAAAGGTATCAAAATATCCACTTGCAGATTCTACAAAAAGAGTGCTTCAAAACTGCTCTGTCAAAATGAAGGTTCACCTCTGTTACTTGAGTACACACATCACGAGAAAGATTCTGAGAATGCTTCTCTCTAGGTTTTATATGTAATCCCGTTTCCAACGAAATCCTCAAAGCTATCCAAATATCCACTTTCAGATTCCACAAAAAGAGTGTTTCAAAACTGCTCTGTAAAAAGAAAGGTTCATCTCTGTTAGTTGAATACACACATCACAAACAAGTTTCTGAGAATGCTTCTGTCTAGTTTTTATGGGAAGATATTTCCTTTTTCAACATAGGCCTCAAAGCGCTCCAAACGTCCACTTCCAGGTAGTGCAGAAAGAGTGTCTCAAACCTGGTATATAACAGGGAACATTCTACACTGTGACTTGAATGAAAACATCACAAAGCAGTTTCTGAGAATGCTTCCGTCTAGATTTTATATGAAGATATTCCCGTTTCCAACGAAACCTTCAAAGCTATCCGAATATCCACCTGCAGATTCTACAAAAAGAGTGTTTCCAAAATGCCGTATCAAAACAAAGGTTCAACTCTGTTAGTTGAGAACACACATGGCAAATAAGTTTCTGACAATGTTTCTGTCTAGTTTTTATTTGAAGATATTTCCTTTTTCACCACAGGCCTGAAAGCGCTTGAAACGTCCACTTGCAGATACTACAGAAAGAGTGTTTCAAACCTGCTCTATGAAAGGGAATGTTCAGTTCTGTGACTTGAATGCAAACATCACAAAGAAGTTCCTGAGAATGCTTCTCTCTAGATTTTATATGTAATCCCGTTTCCAACGAAATCCTCAAAGCTATCCAAATATCCACTTTCAGATTCCACAAAAAGAGTGATTCAAAACTGCTCTGTAAAAAGAAAGGTTCATCTCTGTTAGTTGAATACACACATCACAAACAAGTTTCTGAGAATGCTTCTGTCTAGTTTTTATGGGAAGATATTTCCTTTTTCATCATAGGCCTCAAAGCGCTCCAAATGTCCACTTCCAGGTAGTGCAGAAAGAGTGTCTCAAACCTGGTATATAACAGGGAACATTCTACTCCGTGACTTGAATGAAAACATCACAAAGCAGTTTCTGAGAATGCTTCCGTCTAGATTTTATATGAAGATATTCCCGTTTCCAAGGAAATCTTCCTAGCTATCTAAATATCAACTTGCAGATTCTACTAAAGGAATGTTTCCAAAATGCTGTATCCACACAAAGGTTCAACTCTGTTAATTGAGGACATACAGCACAAAGAAGTTTCTGAGAATGCTTCTGTCTAGTTTTTATTTGAAGATATTTCCTTTCTCACCATAGGCCTGAAAGCGTTTGAAATGTCCGTTTGCAGATACTACAGAAAGAGTGTTTCAAACATGCTCTATGAAAGGGAATGTTCAGTTCTGTGACGTGAATGCAAACATCACAAAGAAGTTCCTGAGAATGCTTCTCTCTAGATTTTATATGTAATCCCGTTTCCAACGAAATCCTCAAAGCTATCCAAATATCCACTTTCAGATTCCACAAAAAGAGTGTTTCAAAACTGCTCTGTAAAAAGAAAGGTTCATCTCTGTTAGTTGAATACACACATCACAAACAAGTTTCTGAGAATGCTTCTGTCTAGTTTTTATGGGAAGATATTTCCTTTTTCATCATAGGCCTCAAAGCGCTCCAAATGTCCACTTCCAGGTAGTGCCGAAAGAGTGTCTCAAACCTGGTATATAACAGGGAACATTCTACTCTGTGACATGAATGAAAACATCACAAAGCAGTTTCTGAGAATGCTTCCGTCTAGATTTTATATGAAGATATTCCCGTTTCCAACGACACCTTCAAAGCTATCCGAATATCCACCTGCAGATTCTACAAAAAGAGTGTTTCCAAAATGCCGTATCAAAACAAAGCTTCAACTCTGTTAGTTGAGAACACACATGGCAAATAAGTTTCTGAGAATGCTTCTGTCTAGTTTTTACTTGAAGATATTTCCTTTCTCACCATAGGCCTGAAAGCGCTTGAAACGTCAGCTTGCAGATACTACAGAAAGAGTGTTTCAAACCTGCTCTATGAAAGGGAATGTTCAGTCCTGTGACTTGAAGGCAAACATCACAAAGAAGTTCCTGAGAATGCTTCTCTCTAGATTTTATATGTAATCCCGTTTCCAACGAAATCCTCAAAGCTATCCAAATATCCACTTTCAGATTCCACAAAAAGAGTGTTTCAAAACTGCTCTGTAAAAAGAAAGGTTCATCTCTGTTAGTTGAATACACACATCACAAACAAGTTTCTGAGAATGCTTCTGTCTAGTTTTTATGGGAAGATATTTCCTTTTTCAACATAGGCCTCAAAGCGCTCCAAACGTCCACTTCCAGGTAGTGCAGAAAGAGTGTCTCAAACCTGGTATATAACAGGGAAGATTCTACTCTGTGACTTGAATGAAAACATCACAAAGCAGTTTCTGAGAATGCTTCCGTCAAGATTTTATATGAAGATATTCCCGTTTCCAACGAAACCTTCAAAGCTATCCGAATATCCACCTGCAGATTCTACAAAAAGAGTGTTTCCAAAATGCCGTATCAAAACAAAGGTTCAACTCTGTTAGTTGAGAACACACATGGCAAATAAGTTTCGGAGAATGCTTCTGTCTAGTTTTTACTTGAAGATATTTCCTTTCTCACCATAGGCCTGAAAGCGCTTGAAACGTCAGCTTGCAGATACTACAGAAAGAGTGTTTCAAACCTGCTCTATGAAAGGGAATGTTCAGTTCTGTGACTTGAATGCAAACATCACAAAGAAGTTCCTGAGAATGCTTCTCTCTAGATTTTATATGTAATCCCGTTTCCAACGAAATCCTCAAAGCTATCCAAATATCCACTTTCAGATTCCACAAAAAGAGTGTTTCAAAACTGCTCTGTAAAAACAAATGTTCATCTCTGTTAGTTGAATACACACATCACAAACAAGTTTCTGAGAATGCTTCTGTCTAGTTTTTATGGGAAGATATTTCCTTTTTCAACATAGGCCTCAAAGCGCTCCAAATGTCCACTTCCAGGTAGTGCAGAAAGAGTGTTTCAAACCTGCTCTATAAAAGGGAATATTCAACTCTGTGACTTGAATGCAAACATCACAAAGCACTTTCTGAGAATGCTTCCGTCTAGATTTTATATGAAGATATTCCCGTTTCCAACGAAACGTTCAAAGCTATCCGAATATCCACCTGCAGATTCTACAAAAAGAGTGTTTCCAAAATGCCATATCAAAACAAAGGTTCAACTCTGTTAGTTGAGAACACACATCGCAAATAAGTTTCTGAGAATGCTTCTGTCTAGTTTTTACTTGAAGATATTTCCTTTCTCACCATAGGCCTGAAAGCGCTTGAAACGTCAGCTTGCAGATACTACAGAAAGAGTGTTTCAAACCTGCTGTATGAAAGGGAATGTTCAGTTCTGTGACTTGAATGCAAACATCACAAAGAAGTTCGTGAGAATGCTTCTCCCTAGATTTTATATGTAATCCCGTTTCCAACGAAATCCGCAAAGCTATCCAAATATCCACTTTCAGATTCCACAAAAAGAGTGTTTCAAAACTGCTCTGTAAAAAGAAAGGTTCATCTCTGTTAGTTGAATACACACATCACAAACAAGTTTCTGAGAAAGCTTCTGTCTAGTTTTTATGGGAAGATATTTCCTTTTTCATCATAGGCCTCAAAGCGCTGCAAATGTCCACTTCCAGGTAGTGCAGAAAGAGTGTCTGAAACCTGGTATATAACAGGGAAGATTCTACTCTGTGACTTGAATGAAAACATCACAAAGCAGTTTCTGAGAATGCTTCCGTCTAGATTTTATATGAACATATTCCCGTTTCCAACGAAACCTTCAAAGCTATCCGAATATCCACCTGCAGATTCTACAAAAAGAGTGTTTCCAAAATGCCATATCAAAACAAAGGTTCAACTCTGTTAGTTGAGAACACACATCGCAAAGAAG
Organism: Homo sapiens; assembly: GCF_000001405.40. Taxonomy (NCBI): domain Eukaryota; kingdom Metazoa; phylum Chordata; class Mammalia; order Primates; family Hominidae; genus Homo; species Homo sapiens. The sequence continues at coordinate 45,496,295 of NC_000009.12, read as the reverse complement.
TTTCTGAGAATGCTTCTGTCTAGTTTTTATTTGAAGATATTTCCTTTCTCACCACAGGCCTGAAAGCGCTTAAAACGTCCGCTTGCAGATACTACAGAAAGAGTGTTTCAAACCTGCTCTATGAAAGGGAATGTTCAGTTCTGTGACTTGAATGCAAACATCACAAAGAAGTTCCTGAGAATGCTTCTCTCTAGGTTTTATATGTAATCCCGTTTCCAACGAAATCCTCAAAGCTATCCAAATATCCACTTTCAGATTCCACAAAAAGAGTGTTTCAAAACTGCTCTGTAAAAAGAAAGGTTCATCTCTGTTAGTTGAATACACACATCACAAACAAGTTTCTGAGAATGCTTCTGTCTAGTTTTTATGGGAAGATATTACCTTTTTCATCATAGGCCTCAAAGCGCTGCAAATGTCCACTTCCAAATATTACAAAAAGAGTGTTTCAAACCTGCTGTATGAAGGGAAGTGTTCAACTCTATGAGTTGAATGCAAACATCACAGAGAAGTTTCTGAGAATGCTTCTGTCTTGATTTCATATGAAGATATTCCCGTTTCCAACGAAACCTTCAAAGCTATCCAAATATCCACTTGCAGATTCTACAAAAAGAGTGTTTCCAAAATGTTGTATCAAAAGAAAGGTTCAACTCTGTTAGTTGAGGACACACATCGCAAATAAGTTTCTGAGAATGCTTCTGTCTAGTTTTTATTTGAAGATATTTCCTTTCTCACCATAGGCCTGAAAGCGTTTGAAATGTCCGTTTGCAGATACTACAGAAAGAGTGTTTCAAACATGCTCTATGAAAGGGAATGTTCAGTTCTGTGACGTGAATGCAAACATCACAAAGAAGTTCCTGAGAATGCTTCTCCCTAGATTTTATATGTAATCCCGTTTCCAACGAAATCCGCAAAGCTATCCAAATATCCACTTTCAGATTCCACAAAAAGAGTGTTTCAAAACTGCTCTGTAAAAAGAAAGGTTCATCTCTGTTAGTTGAATACACACATCACAAACAAGTTTCTGAGAATGCTTCTGTCTAGTTTTTATGGGAAGATATTTCCTTTTTCATCATAGGCCTCAAAGCGCTCCAAATGTCCACTTCCAGATAGTGCAGAAAGAGTGTCTCAAACCTGGTATATAAAAGGGAACATTCTACTCTGTGACTGGAATGAAAACATCACAAAGCAGTTTCTGAGAATGCTTCTGTCTTGATTTCATATGAAGATATTCCCGTTTCCAACGAAACCTTCAAAGCTATCCAAATATCCACTTGCAGATTCTACAAAAAGAGTGTTTCCAAAATGTTGTATCAAAAGAAAGGTTCAACTCTGTTAGTTGAGGACACACATCGCAAATAAGTTTCTGAGAATGCTTCTGTCTAGTTTTTACTTGAAGATATTTCCTTTCTCACCATAGGCCTGAAAGCGCTTGAAACGTCAGCTTGCAGATACTACAGAAAGAGTGTTTCAAACCTGCTCTATGAAAGGGAATGTTCAGTCCTGTGACTTGAAGGCAAACATCACAAAGAAGTTCCTGAGAATGCTTCTCTCTAGATTTTATATGTAATCCCGTTTCCAACGAAATCCTCAAAGCTATCCAAATATCCACTTTCAGATTCCACAAAAAGAGTGTTTCAAAACTGCTCTGTAAAAGGAAAGGTTCATCTCTGTTAGTTGAATACACACATCACAAACAAGTTTCTGAGAATGCTTCTGTCTAGTTTTTATGGGAAGATATTTCCTTTTTCAACATAGGCCTCAAAGCGCTCCAAATGTCCACTTCCAGGTAGGGCAGAAAGAGTGTTTCAAACCTGCTCTATAAAAGGGAATATTCAACTCTGTGACTTGAATGCAAACATCACAAAGCACTTTCTGAGAATGCTTCTGTCTTGATTTTATATGAAGATATTCCCGTTTCCAACGAAACCTTCAAAGCTATCCAAATATCCAGCTGCAGATTCTACAAAAAGAATGTTTCCAAAATGCCATATCAAAACAAAGGTTCAACTCTGTTAGTTGAGAACACACATCGCAAATAAGTTTCTGAGAATGCTTCTGTCTAGTTTTTACTTGAAGATATTTCCTTTCTCACCATAGGCCTGAAAGCGCTTGAAACGTCCGCTTGCAGATACTACAGAAAGAGTGTTTCAAACATGCTCTATGAAAGGGAATGTTCAGTTCTGTGACTTGAATGCAAACATCACAAAGAAGTTCCTGAGAATGCTTCTCTCTAGGTTTTATATGTAATCCCGTTTCCAACGAAATCCTCAAAGCTATCCAAATATCCACTTTCAGATTCCACAAAAAGAGTGTTTCAAAACTGCACTGTAATAAGAAAGGTTCATCCCTGTTAGTTGAATACACACATCACAAACAAGTTTCTGAGAATGCTTCTGTCTAGTTTTTATGGGAAGATATTTCCTTTTTCAACATAGGCCTCAAAGCGCTCCAAATGTCCACTTCCAGGTAGTGCAGAAAGAGTGTTTCAAACCTGCTCTATAAAAGGGAATATTCAACTCTGTGACTTGAATGCAAACATCACAAAGCACTTTCTGAGAATGCTTCCGTCTAGATTTTATATGAAGATATTCCCGTTTCCAACGAAACCTTCAAAGCTATCCGAATATCCACCTGCAGATTCTACAAAAAGAGTGTTTCCAAAATGCCGTATCAAAACAAAGGTTCAACTCTGTTAGTTAAGAACACACATGGCAAATAAGTTTCTGAGAATGCTTCTGTCTAGTTTTTACTTGAAGATATTTCCTTTCTCACCATAGGCCTGAAAGCGCTTGAAACGTCAGCTTGCAGATACTACAGAAAGAGTGTTTCAAACCTGCTCTATGAAAGGGAATGTTCAGTTCTGTGACTTGAATGCAAACATCACAAAGAAGTTCCTGAGAATGCTTCTCTCTAGATTTTATATGTAATCCCGTTTCCAACGAAATCCTCAAAGCTATCCAAATATCCACTTTCAGATTCCACAAAAAGAGTGTTTCAAAACTGCTCTGTAAAAAGAAAGGTTCATCTCTGTTAGTTGAATACACACATCACAAACAAGTTTCTGAGAATGCTTCTGTCTAGTTTTTATGGGAAGATATTACCTTTTTCATCATAGGCCTCAAAGCGCTGCAAATGTCCACTTCCAAATATTACAAAAAGAGTGTTTCAAACCTGCTGTATGAAGGGAAGTGTTCAACTCTATGAGTTGAATGCAAACATCACAGAGAAGTTTCTGAGAATGCTTCCGTCTAGATTTTCTATGAAGATATTCCCGTTTCCAACGAAACCTTCAAAGCTATCCGAATATCCACCTGCAGATTCTACAAAAAGAGTGTTTCCAAAATGCCGTATCAAAACAAAGGTTCAACTCTGTTAGTTGAGAACACACATGGCAAATAAGTTTCTGAGAATGCTTCTGTCTAGTTTTTACTTGAAGATATTTCCTTTATCACCATAGGCCTGAAAGCGCTTGAAACGTCAGCTTGCAGATACTACAGAAAGAGTGTTTCAAACCTGCTCTATGAAAGGGAATGTTCAGTCCTGTGACTTGAAGGCAAACATCACAAAGGAGTTCCTGAGAATGCTTCTCCCTAGATTTTATATGTAATCCCGTTTCCAACGAAATCCGCAAAGCTATCCAAATATCCACTTTCAGATTCCACAAAAAGAGTGTTTCAAAACTGCTCTGTAAAAAGAAAGGTTCATCTCTGTTAGTTGAATACACACATCACAAACAAGTTTCTGAGAATGCTTCTGTCTAGTTTTTATGGGAAGATATTTCCTTTTTCAACATAGGCCTCAAAGCGCTCCAAATGTCCACTTCCAGGTAGTGCAGAAAGAGTGTTTCAAACCTGCTCTATAAAAGGGAATATTCAACTCTGTGACTTGAATGCAAACATCACAAAGCACTTTCTGAGAATGCTTCCGTCTAGATTTTATATGAAGATATTCCCGTTTCCAACGAAACCTTCAAAGCTATCCGAATATCCACCTGCAGATTCTACAAAAAGAGTGTTTCCAAAATGCCGTATCAAAACAAAGGTTCAACTCTGTTAGTTGAGAACACACATGGCAAATAAGTTTCTGAGAATGCTTCTGTCTAGTTTTTACTTGAAGATATTTCCTTTCTCACCATAGGCCTGAAAGCGCTTGAAACGTCAGCTTGCAGATACTACAGAAAGAGTGTTTCAAACCTGCTCTATGAAAGGGAATGTTCAGTCCTGTGACTTGAAGGCAAACATCACAAAGAAGTTCCTGAGAATGCTTCTCCCTAGATTTTATATGTAATCCCGTTTCCAACGAAATCCGCAAAGCTATCCAAATATCCACTTTCAGATTCCACAAAAAGAGTGTTTCAAAACTGCTCTGTAAAAAGAAAGGTTCATCTCTGTTAGTTGAATACACACATCACAAACAAGTTTCTGAGAATGCTTCTGTCTAGTTTTTATGGGAAGATATTTCCTTTTTCAACATAGGCCTCAAAGCGCTCCAAATGTCCACTTCCAGGTAGTGCAGAAAGAGTGTTTCAAACCTGCTCTATAAAAGGGAATATTCAACTCTGTGACTTGAATGCAAACATCACAAAGCACTTTCTGAGAATGCTTCTGTCTTGATTTTATATGAAGATATTCCCGTTTCCAACGAAACCTTCAAAGCTATTCAAATATCCACTTGCAGATTCTACAAAAAGAGTGTTTCCAAAATGTTGTATCAAAAGAAAGGTTCAACTCTGTTAGTTGAGGACACACATCGCAAATAAGTTTCTGAGAATGCTTCTGTCTAGTTTTTATTTGAAGATATTTCCTTTCTCACCACAGGCCTGAAAGCGCTTAAAACGTCCGCTTGCAGATACTACAGAAAGAGTGTTTCAAACCTGCTCTATGAAAGGGAATGTTCAGTTCTGTGACTTGAATGCAAACATCACAAAGAAGTTCCTGAGAATGCTTCTCTCTAGATTTTATATGTAATCCCGTTTCCAACGAAATCCTCAAAGCTATCCAAATATCCACTTTCAGATTCCACAAAAAGAGTGTTTCAAAACTGCTCTGTAAAAAGAAAGGTTCATCTCTGTTAGTTGAATACACACATCACAAACAAGTTTCTGAGAATGCTTCTGTCTAGTTTTTATGGGAAGATATTTCCTTTTTCATCATAGGCCTCAAAGCGCTCCAAACGTCCACTTCCAGGTAGTGCAGAAAGAGTGTCTCAAACCTGGTATATAACAGGGAACATTCTACTCTGTGACTTGAATGAAAACATCACAAAGCAGTTTCTGAGAATGCTTCTGTCTTGATTTTATATGAAGATATTCCCGTTTCCAACGAAATCTTCAAAGCTATCCAAATATCCACTTGCAGATTCCACAAAAAGAGTGTTTCCAAAATGTTGTATCAAAAGAAAGGTTCAACTCTGTTAGTTGAGGACACACATCGCAAATAAGTTTCTGAGAATGCTTCTGTCTAGTTTTTACTTGAAGATATTTCCTTTCTCACCATAGGCCTGAAAGCGTTTGAAATGTCCGTTTGCAGATACTACAGAAAGAGTGTTTCAAACATGCTCTATGAAAGGGAATGTTCAGTTCTGTGACGTGAATGCAAACATCACAAAGAAGTTCCTGAGAATGCTTCTCTCTAGGTTTTATATGTAATCCCGTTTCCAACAAAATCCTCAAAGCTATCCAAATATCCACTTTCAGAATCCACAAAAAGAGTGTTTCAAAACTGCTCTGTAAAAAGAAAGGTTCATCTCTGTTAGTTGAATACACACATCACAAACAAATTTCTGAGAATGCTTCTGTCTAGTTTTTATGGGAAGATATTTCCTTTTTCAACATAGGCCTCAAAGCGCTCCAAATGTCCACTTCCAGGTAGTGCAGAAAGAGTGTTTCAAACCTGCTCTATAAAAGGGAATATTCAACTCTGTGACTTGAATGCAAACATCACAAAGCACTTTCTGAGAATGCTTCTGTCTTGATTTCATATGAAGATATTCCCGTTTCCAACGAAACCTTCAAAGCTATCCAAATATCCACTTGCAGATTCTACAAAAAGAGTGTTTCCAAAATGTTGTATCAAAAGAAAGGTTCAACTCTGTTAGTTGAGGACACACATCGCAAATAAGTTTCTGAGAATGCTTCTGTCTAGTTTTTATTTGAAGATATTTCCTTTCTCACCATAGGCCTGAAAGCGTTTGAAATGTCCGTTTGCAGATACTACAGAAAGAGTGTTTCAAACATGCTCTATGAAAGGGAATGTTCAGTTCTGTGACGTGAATGCAAACATCACAAAGAAGTTCCTGAGAATGCTTCTCTCTAGGTTTTATATGTAATCCCGTTTCCAACGAAATCCTCAAAGCTATCCAAATATCCACTTTCAGATTCCACAAAAAGAGTGTTTCAAAACTGCTCTGTAAAAAGAAAGGTTCATCTCTGTTAGTTGAATACACACATCACAAACAAGTTTCTGAGAATGCTTCTGTCTAGTTTTTGTGGGAAGATATTTCCTTTTTCATCATAGGCCTCAAAGCGCTGCAAATGTCCACTTCCAAATATTACAAAAAGAGTGTTTCAAACCTGCTGTATGAAGGGAAGTGTTCAACTCTATGAGTTGAATGCAAACATCACAGAGAAGTTTCTGAGAATGCTTCTGTCTTGATTTTATATGAAGATATTCCCGTTTCCAAAGAAACCTTCAAAGCTATTCAAATATCCACTTGCAGATTCTACAAAAAGAGTGTTTCCAAAATGTTGTATCAAAAGAAAGGTTCAACTCTGTTAGTTGAGGACACACATCGCAAATAAGTTTCTGAGAATGCTTCTGTCTAGTTTTTATTTGAAGATATTTCCTTTCTCACCATAGGCCTGAAAGCGTTTGAAATGTCCGTTTGCAGATACTACAGAAAGAGTGTTTCAAACATGCTCTATGAAAGGGAATGTTCAGTTCTGTGACTTGAATGCAAACATCACAAAGAAGTTCCTGAGAATGCTTCTCTCTAGGTTTTATATGTAATCCCGTTTCCAACGAAATCCTCAAAGCTATCCAAATATCCACTTTCAGATTCCACAAAAAGAGTGTTTCAAAACTGCTCTGTAAAAAGAAAGGTTCATCTCTGTTAGTTGAATACACACATCACAAACAAGTTTCTGAGAATGCTTCTGTCTAGTTTTTATGGGAAGATATTTCCTTTTTCAACATAGGCCTCAAAGCGCTCCAAACGTCCACTTCCAGGTAGTGCAGAAAGAGTGTCTCAAACCTGGTGTATAACAGGGAACATTCTACTCTGTGACTTGAATGAAAACATCACAAAGCAGTTTCTGAGAATGCTTCTGTCTTGATTTTATATGAAGATATTCCCGTTTCCAACGAAACCTTAAAAGCTATCCAAATATCCACCTGCAGATCCTACAAAAAGAGTGTTTCCAAAATGCTGTATCAAAACAAAGGTTCAACTCTGTTAGTTGAGGACACACATCGCAAATAAGTTTCTGAGAATGCTTCTGTCTGGTTTTTATTTGAAGATATTTCCTTTCTCACCATAGGCCTGAAAGCGCTTGGAATGTCCGTTTGCAGATACTACAGAAAGAGTGTTTCAAACCTGCTCTATGAAAGGGAATGTTCAGTTCTGTGATGAGAATGCAATCATCACAAAAAAATTCCTGAGAGTGCTTCTCCCTAGATTTTATATGTAATCCCGTTTCCAACGAAATCCGCAAAGCTATCCAAATATCCACTTTCAAATTCCACAAAAAGAGTGTTTCAAAACTGCTCTGTAAAAAGAAAGGTTCATCTCTGTTAGTTGAATACACACATCACAAACAAGTTTCTGAGAATGCTTCTGTCTAGTTTTTATGGGAAGATATTTCCTTTTTCAACATAGGCCTCAAAGCGCTCCAAACGTCCACTTCCAGGTAGTGCAGAAAGAGTGTCTCAAACCTGGTATATAACAGGGAACATTCTACTCTGTGACTTGAATGAAAACATCACAAAGCAGTTTCTGAGAATGCTTCTGTGTTGATTTTATATGAAGATATTCCCGTTTCCAACGAAACCTTCAAAGCTATCCAAATATCCACTTGCAGATTCTACAAAAAGAGTGGTTCCAAAATGTTGTATCAAAAGAAAGGTTCAACTCTGTTAGTTGAGGACACACATCGCAAATAAGTTTCTGAGAATGCTTCTGTCTAGTTTTTATTTGAAGATATTTCCTTTCTCACCATAGGCCTGAAAGCGTTTGAAATGTCCGTTTGCAGATACTACAGAAAGAGTGTTTCAAACATGCTCTATGAAAGGGAATGTTCAGTTCTGTGACGTGAATGCAAACATCACAAAGAAGTTCCTGAGAATGCTTCTCTCTAGGTTTTATATGTAATCCCGTTTCCAACGAAATCCTCAAAGCTATCCAAATATCCACTTTCAGATTCCACAAAAAGAGTGTTTCAAAACTGCTCTGTAAAAAGAAAGGTTCATCTCTGTTAGTTGAATACACACATCACAAACAAGTTTCTGAGAATGCTTCTGTCTAGTTTTTATGGGAAGATATTTCCTTTTTCAACATAGGCCTCAAAGCACTCCAAATGTCCACTTCCAGGTAGTGCAGAAAGAGTGTTTCAAACCTGCTCTATAAAAGGGAACATTCAACTCTGTGACTTGAATGCAAACATCACAAAGCACTTTCTGAGAATGCTTTCTGTCTTGATTTTATATGAAGATATTCCCGTTTCCAACGAAACCTTCAAAGCTATTCAAATATCCACTTGCAGATTCTACAAAAAGAGTGTTTCCAAAATGTTGTATCAAAAGAAAGGTTCAACTCTGTTAGTTGAGGACACACATCGCAAATAAGTTTCTGAGAAAGCTTCTGTCTAGTTTTTATTTGAAGATATTTCTTTTCTCACCACAGGCCTGAAAGCGCTTAAAACGTCCGCTTGCAGATACTACAGAAAGAGTGTTTCAAACCTGCTCTATGAAAGGGAATGTTCAGTTCTGTGACTTGAATGCAAACATCACAAAGAAGTTCCTGAGAATGCTTCTCTCTAGGTTTTATATGTAATCCCGTTTCCAACGAAATCCTCAAAGCTATCCAAATATCCACTTTCAGATTCCACAAAAAGAGTGTTTCAAAACTGCTCTGTAAAAAGAAAGGTTCATCTCTGTTAGTTGAATACACACATCACAAACAAGTTTCTGAGAATGCTTCTGTCTAGTTTTTATGGGAAGATATTTCCTTTTTCATCATAGGCCTCAAAGCGCTGCAAATGTCCACTTCCAAATATTACAAAAAGAGTGCTTCAAACCTGCTGTATGCAGGGAAGTGTTCAACTCTATGAGTTGAATGCAAACATCACAGAGAAGTTTCTGAGAATGCTTCTGTCTTGATTTCATATGAAGATATTCCCGTTTCCAACGAAACCTTCAAAGCTATCCAAATATCCACTTGCAGATTCTACAAAAAGAGTGTTTCCAAAATGTTGTATCAAAAGAAAGGTTCAACTCTGTTAGTTGAGGACACACATCGCAAATAAGTTTCTGAGAATGCTTCTGTCTAGTTTTTACTTGAAGATATTTCCTTTCTCACCATAGGCCTGAAAGCGCTTGAAACGTCAGCTTGCAGATACTACAGAAAGAGTGTTTCACACCTGCTCTATGAAAGGGAATGTTCAGTTCTGTGACTTGAATGCAAACATCACAAAGAAGTTCCTGAGAATGCTTCTCTCTAGATTTTATATGTAATCCCGTTTCCAACGAAATCCTCAAAGCTATCCAAATATCCACTTTCAGATTCCACAAAAAGAGTGTTTCAAAACTGCTCTGTAAAAAGAAAGGTTCATCTCTGTTAGTTGAATACACACATCACAAACAAGTTTCTGAGAATGCTTCTGTCTAGTTTTTATGGGAAGATATTTCCTTTTTCAACATAGGCCTCAAAGCGCTCCAAACGTCCACTTCCAGGTAGTGCAGAAAGAGTGTCTCAAACCTGGTATATAACAGGGAACATTCTACTCTGTGACTTGAATGAAAACATCACAAAGCAGTTTCTCAGAATGCTTCTGTCTTGATTTCATATGAAGATATTCCCGTTTCCAACGAAACCTTCAAAGCTATCCAAATATCCACTTGCAGATTCTACAAAAAGAGTGTTTCCAAAATGTTGTATCAAAAGAAAGGTTCAACTCTGTTAGTTGAGGACACACATCGCAAATAAGTTTCTGAGAATGCTTCTGTCTAGTTTTTACTTGAAGATATTTCCTTTCTCACCATAGGCCTGAAAGCGCTTGAAACGTCAGCTTGCAGATACTACAGAAAGAGTGTTTCAAACCTGCTCTATGAAAGGGAATGTTCAGTCCTGTGACTTGAAGGCAAACATCACAAAGAAGTTCCTGAGAATGCTTCTCTCTAGGTTTTATATGTAATCCCGTTTCCAACGAAATCCTCAAAGCTATCCAAATATCCACTTTCAGATTCCACAAAAAGAGTGTTTCAAAACTGCTCTGTAAAAAGAAAGGTTCATCTCTGTTAGTTGAATACACACATCACAAACAAGTTTCTGAGAATGCTTCTGTCTAGTTTTTATGGGAAGATATTTCCTTTTTCATCATAGGCCTCAAAGCGCTCCAAATGTCCACTTCCAGATAGTGCAGAAAGAGTGTCTCAAACCTGGTATATAAAAGGGAACATTCTACTCTGTGACTTCAATGAAAACATCACAAAGCAGTTTCTGAGAATGCTTCTGTCTTGATTTCATATGAAGATATTCCCGTTTCCAACGAAACCTTCAAAGCTATCCAAATATCCACTTGCAGATTCTACAAAAAGAGTGTTTCCAAAATGTTGTATCAAAAGAAAGGTTCAACTCTGTTAGTTGAGGACACACATCGCAAATAAGTCTCTGAGAATGCTTCTGTCTAGTTTTTATTTGAAGATATTTCCTTTCTCACCACAGGCCTGAAAGCGCTTAAAACGTCCGCTTGCAGATACTACAGAAAGAGTGTTTCAAACCTGCTCTATGAAAGGGAATGTTCAGTTCTGTGACTTGAATGCAAACATCACAAAGAAGTTCCTGAGAATGCTTCTCTCTAGATTTTATATGTAATCCCGTTTCCAACGAAATCCTCAAAGCTATCCAAATATCCACTTTCAGATTCCACAAAAAGAGTGTTTCAAAACTGCTCTGTAAAAAGAAAGGTTCATCTCTGTTAGTTGAATACACACATCACAAACAAGTTTCTGAGAATGCTTCCTGTCTAGTTTTTATGGGAAGATATTTCCTTTTTCATCATAGGCCTCAAAGCGCTGCAAATGTCCACTTCCAAATATTACAAAAAGAGTGTTTCAAACCTGCTGTATGAAGGGAAGTGTTCAACTCTATGAGTTGAATGCAAACATCACAGAGAAGTTTCTGAGAATGCTTCCGTCTAGATTTTATATGAAGATATTCCCGTTTCCAAGGAAATCTTCCTAGCTATCTAAATATCAACTTGCAGATTCTACTAAAGGAATGTTTCCAAAATGCTGTATCCACACAAAGGTTCAACTCTGTTAATTGAGGACATACAGCACAAAGAAGTTTCTGAGAATGCTTCTGTCTAGTTTTTATTTGAAGATATTTCCTTTCTCACCACAGGCCTGAAAGCGCTTAAAATGTCCGCTTGCAGATACTACAGAAAGAGTGTTTCAAACCTGCTCTATGAAAGGGAATGTTCAGTTCTATGACTTGAATGCAAACATCACAAAGAAGTTCCTGAGAATGCTTCTCCCTAGATTTTCTATGTAATCCCGTTTCCAACGAAATCCGCAAAGCTATCCAAATGTCCACTTTCAGATTCCACAAAAAGAGTGTTTCAAAACTGCTCTGTAAAAAGAAGGGTTCATCTCTGTTAGTTGAATACACACATCACAAACAAGTTTCTGAGAATGCTTCTGTCTAGTTTTTATGGGAAGATATTTCCTTTTTCAACATAGGCCTCAAAGCGCTCCAAACGTCCACTTCCAGGTAGTTCAGAAAGAGTGTTTCAAACCTGCTCTATAAAAGGGAACATTCAACTCTGTGACTTGAATGCAAACATCACAAAGCACTTTCTGAGAATGCTTCCGTCTAGATTTTATATGAAGATATTCCCGTTTCCAAGGAACTCTTCCTAGCTATCTAAATATCAACTTGCAGATTCTACTAAAGGAATGTTTCCAAAATGCTGTATCCACACAAAGGTTCAACTCTGTTAATTGAGGACATACAGCACAAAGAAGTTTCTGAGAATGCTTCTGTCTAGATTTTATATGAAGATATCCCATGTCCAACGAAATCCTCAATGGTATCAAAATATCCACTTGCAGATTCTACAAAAAGAGTGCTTCAAAACTGCTCTGTAAAAAGAAAGGTTCATCTCTGTTAGTTGAATACACACATCACAAACAAGTTTCTGAGAATGCTTCTGTCTAGTTTTTATGGGAAGATATTTCCTTTTTCATCATAGGCCTCAAAGCGCTGCAAATGTCCACTTCCAGGTAGTGCAGAAAGAGTGTCTCAAACCTGGTATATAACAGGGAACATTCTACTCTGTGACTTGAATGAAAACATCACAAAGCAGTTTCTGAGAATGCTTCCGTCTAGATTTTATATGAAGATATTCCCGTTTCCAACGAAACCTTCAAAGCTATCCGAATATCCACCTGCAGATTCTACAAAAAGAGTGTTTCCAAAATGCCATATCAAAACAAAGGTTCAACTCTGTTAGTTGAGAACACACATCGCAAATAAGTTTCTGAGAATGCTTCTGTCTAGTTTTTACTTGAAGATATTTCCTTTCTCACCATAGTCCTGAAAGCGCTTGAAACGTCAGCTTGCAGATACTACAGAAAGAGTGTTTCAAACCTGCTCTATGAAAGGGAATGTTCAGTTCTGTGACTTGAATGCAAACATCACAAAGAAGTTCCTGAGAATGCTTCTCTCTAGGTTTTATATGTAATCCCGTTTCCAACGAAATCCTCAAAGCTATCCAAATATCCACTTTCAGATTCCACAAAAAGAGTGTTTCAAAACTGCTCTGTAAAAAGAAAGGTTCATCTCTGTTAGTTTGAATACACACATCACAAACAAGTTTCTGAGAATGCTTCTGTCTAGTTTTTATGGGAAGATATTACCTTTTTCATCATAGGCCTCAAAGCGCTGCAAATGTCCACTTCCAAATATTACAAAAAGAGTGTTTCAAACCTGCTGTATGAAGGGAAGTGTTCAACTCTATGAGTTGAATGCAAACATCACAGAGAAGTTTCTGAGAATGCTTCCGTCTAGATTTTATATGAAGATATTACCGTTTCCAAGGAAATCTTCCTAGCTATCTAAATATCAACTTGCAGATTCTACTAAAAGAATGTTTCCAAAATGCTGTATCCACACAAAGGTTCAACTCTGTTAATTGAGGACATACAGCACAAAGAAGTTTCTGAGAATGCTTCTGTCTAGTTTTTATTTGAAGATATTTCCTTTTTCACCACAGGCCTGAAAGCGCTTGAAACGTCCGCCTGCAGATACTACAGAAAGAGTGTTTCAAAGCTGCTCTATGAAAGGGAATGTTCAGTTCTGTGACTTGAATGCAAATATCACAAAGAAGTTCCTGAGAATGCTTCTCTCTAGGTTTTATATGTAATCCCGTTTCCAACGAAATCCTCAAAGCTATCCAAATATCCACTTTCAGATTCCACAAAAAGAGTGTTTCAAAACTGCTCTGTAAAAAGAAAGGTTCATCTCTGTTAGTTGAATACACACATCACAAACAAGTTTCTGAGAATGCTTCTGTCTAGTTTTTATGGGAAGATATTTCCTTTTTCAACATAGGCCTCAAAGCGCTCCAAATGTCCACTTCCAGGTAGTGCAGAAAGAGTGTTTCAAACCTGCTCTATAAAAGGGAATATTCAACTCTGTGACTTGAATGCAAACATCACAAAGCACTTTCTGAGAATGCTTCTGTCTTGATTTCATATGAAGATATTCCCGTTTCCAACGAAACCTTCAAAGCTATCCAAATATCCACTTGCAGATTCTACAAAAAGAGTGTTTCCAAAATGTTGTATCAAAAGAAAGGTTCAACTCTGTTAGTTGAGGACACACATCGCAAATAAGTTTCTGAGAATGCTTCTGTCTAGTTTTTACTTGAAGATATTTCCTTTCTCACCATAGGCCTGAAAGCGCATGAAACGTCAGCTTGCAGATACTACAGAAAGACTGTTTCAAACCTGCTCTATGAAAGGGAATGTTCAGTCCTGTGACTTGAAGGCAAACATCACAAAGAAGTTCCTGAGAATGCTTCTCTCTAGGTTTTATATGTAATCCCGTTTCCAACGAAATCCTCAAAGCTATCCAAATATCCACTTTCAGATTCCACAAAAAGAGTGTTTCAAAACTGCTCTGTAAAAAGAAAGGTTCATCTCTGTTAGTTGAATACACACATCACAAACAAGTTTCTGAGAATGCTTCTGTCTAGTTTTTATGGGAAGATATTTCCTTTTTCAACATAGGCCTCAAAGCGCTCCAAATGTCCACTTCCAGGTAGTGCAGAAAGAGTGTTTCAAACCTACTCTATAAAAGGGAATATTCAACTCTGTGACTTGAATGCAAACATCACAAAGCACTTTCTGAGAATGCTTCTGTCTTGATTTCATATGAAGATATTCCCGTTTCCAACGAAACCTTCAAAGCTATCCAAATATCCACTTGCAGATTCTACAAAAAGAGTGTTTCCAAAATGTTGTATCAAAAGAAAGGTTCAACTCTGTTAGTTGAGGACACACATCGCAAATAAGTTTCTGAGAATGCTTCTGTCTAGTTTTTACTTGAAGATATTTCCTTTCTCACCATAGGCCTGAAAGCGTTTGAAATGTCCGTTTGCAGATACTACAGAAAGAGTGTTTCAAACATGCTCTATGAAAGGGAATGTTCAGTTCTGTGACGTGAATGCAAACATCACAAAGAAGTTCCTGAGAATGCTTCTCTCTAGATTTTATATGTAATCCCGTTTCCAACGAAATCCTCAAAGCTATCCACATATCCACTTTCAGATTCCACAAAAAGAGTGTTTCAAAACTGCTCTGTAAAAAGAAAGGTTCATCTCTGTTAGTTGAATACACACATCACAAACAAGTTTCTGAGAATGCTTCTGTCTAGTTTTTATGGGAAGATATTTCCTTTTTCCGCATAGGCCTCAAAGCGCTCCAAATGTCCACTTCCATGTAGTGCACAGAGTGTTTCAAACCTGCTCTATAAAAGGGAACATTCTCCTCTGTGACATGAATGAAAATATCTCAAAGCAGTTTCTGAGAATGCTTCCGGCTAGATTTTATATGAACATATTCCCGTTTCCAAGGCAATCTTCCTAGCTATCTAAATATCAACTTGCAGATTCTACTAAAGGAATGTTTCCAAAATGCTGTATCCACACAAAGGTTCAACTCTGTTAATTGAGGACATACAGCACAAAGAAGTTTCTGAGAATGCTTCTGTCTAGTTTTTACTTGAAGATATTTCCTTTGTCACCATAGGCCTGAAAGCGCTTGAAACGTCAGCTTGCAGATACTACAGAAAGAGTGTTTCAAACCTGCTCTATGAAAGGGAATGTTCAGTCCTGTGACTTGAAGGCAAACATCACAAAGAAGTTCCTGAGAATGCTTCTCTCTAGGTTTTATATGTAATCCCGTTTCCAACGAAATCCTCAAAGCTATCCAAATATCCACTTTCAGATTCCACAAAAAGAGTGTTTCAAAACTGCTCTGTAAAAAGAAAGGTTCATCTCTGTTAGTTGAATACACACATCACAAACAAGTTTCTGAGAATGCTTCTGTCTAGTTTTTATGGGAAGATATTTCCTTTTTCATCATAGGCCTCAAAGCGCTGCAAATGTCCACTTCCAGGTAGTGCAGAAAGAGTGTCTCAAACCTGGTATATAACAGGGAACATTCTACTCTGTGACTTGAATGAAAACATCACAAAGCAGTTTCTGAGAATGCTTCCGTCTAGATTTTATATGAAGATATTCCCGTTTCCAAGGAAATCTTCCTAGCTATCTAAATATCAACTTGCAGATTCTACTAAAGGAATGTTTCCAAAATGCTGTATCCACACAAAGGTTCAACTCTGTTAATTGAGGACATACAGCACAAAGAAGTTTCTGAGAATGCTTCTGTCTAGTTTTTACTTGAAGATATTTCCTTTCTCACCATAGGCCTGAAAGCGTTTGAAATGTCCGTTTGCAGATACTACAGAAAGAGTGTTTCAAACATGCTCTATGAAAGGGAATGTTCAGTTCTGTGACGTGAATGCAAACATCACAAAGAAGTTCCTGAGAATGCTTCTCTCTAGGTTTTATATGTAATCCCGTTTCCAACGAAATCCTCAAAGCTATCCAAATATCCACTTTCAGATTCCACAAAAAGAGTGTTTCAAAACTGCTCTGTAAAAAGAAAGGTTCATCTCTGTTAGTTGAATACACACATCACAAACAAGTTTCTGAGAATGCTTCTGTCTAGTTTTTATGGGAAGATATTTCCTTTTTCATCATAGGCCTCAAAGCGCTGCAAATGTCCACTTCCAGGTAGTGCAGAAAGAGTGTCTCAAACCTGGTATATAACAGGGAACATTCTACTCTGTGACTTGAATGAGAACATCACAAAGCAGTTTCTGAGAATGCTTCTGTCTTGATTTCATATGAAGATATTCCCGTTTCCAACGAAACCTTCAAAGCTATCCAAATATCCACTTGCAGATTCTACAAAAAGAGTGTTTCCAAAATGTTGTATCAAAAGAAAGGTTCAACTCTGTTAGATGAGGACACACATCGCAAATAAGTTTCTGAGAATGCTTCTGTCTAGTTTTTATTTGAAGATATTTCCTTTCTCACCACAGGCCTGAAAGCGCTTAAAACGTCCGCTTGCAGATACTACAGAAAGAGTGTTTCAAACCTACTCTATGAAAGGGAATGTTCAGTTCTGTGACTTGAATGCAAACATCACAAAGAAGTTCCTGAGAATGCTTCTCTCTAGGTTTTATATGTAATCCCGTTTCCAACGAAATCCGCAAAGCTATCCAAATATCCACTTTCAGATTCCACAAAAAGAGTGTTTCAAAACTGCTCTGTAAAAAGAAAGGTTCATCTCTGTTAGTTGAATACACACATCACAAACAAGTTTCTGAGAATGCTTCTGTCTAGTTTTTATGGGAAGATATTTCCTTTTTCAACATAGGCCTCAAAGCGCTCCAAATGTCCACTTCCAGGTAGTGCAGAAAGAGTGTTTCAAACCTGCTCTATAAAAGGGAACATTCAACTCTGTGACTTGAATGCAAACATCACAAAGCACTTTCTGAGAATGCTTCTGTCTTGATTTCATATGAAGATATTCCCGTTTCCAACGAAACCTTCAAAGCTATCCAAATATCCACTTGCAGATTCTACAAAAAGAGTGTTTCCAAAATGTTGTATCAAAAGAAAGGTTCAACTCTGTTAGTTGAGGACACACATCGCAAATAAGTTTCTGAGAATGCTTCTGTCTAGTTTTTACTTGAAGATATTTCCTTTCTCACCATAGGCCTGAAAGCGCTTGAAACGTCAGCTTGCAGATACTACAGAAAGAGTGTTTCAAACCTGCTCTATGAAAGGGAATGTTCAGTTCTGTGACTTGAATGCAAACATCACAAAGAAGTTCCTGAGAATGCTTCTCTCTAGGTTTTATATGTAATCCCGTTTCCAACGAAATCCTCAAAGCTATCCAAATATCCACTTTCAGATTCCACAAAAAGAGTGTTTCAAAACTGCTCTGTAAAAAGAAAGGTTCATCTCTGTTAGTTGAATACACACATCACAAACAAGTTTCTGAGAATGCTTCTGTCTAGTTTTTATGGGAAGATATTTCCTTTTTCAACATAGGCCTCAAAGCGCTCCAAACGTCCACTTCCAGGTAGTGCAGAAAGAGTGTCTCAAACCTGGTATATAACAGGGAACATTCTACTCTGTGACTTGAATGCAAACATCACAAAGCACTTTCTGAGAATGCTTCTGTCTTGATTTTATATGAAGATATTCCCGTTTCCAACGAAATCTTCAAAGCTATCCAAATATCCACTTGCAGATTCCACAAAAAGAGTGTTTCCAAAATGTTGTATCAAAAGAAAGGTTCAACTCTGTTAGTTGAGGACACACATCGCAAATAAGTTTCTGAGAATGCTTCTGTCTAGTTTTTATTTGAAGATATTTCCTTTCTCACCATAGGCCTGAAAGCGTTTGAAATGTCCGTTTGCAGATACTACAGAAAGAGTGTTTCAAACATGCTCTATGAAAGGGAATGTTCAGTTCTGTGACGTGAATGCAAACATCACAAAGAAGTTCCTGAGAATGCTTCTCTCTAGATTTTATATGTAATCCCGTTTCCAACGAAATCCACAAAGCTATCCAAATATCCACTTTCAGATTCCACAAAAAGAGTGTTTCAAAACTGCTCTGTAAAAAGAAAGGTTCATCTCTGTTAGTTGAATACACACATCACAAACAAGTTTCTGAGAATGCTTCTGTCTAGTTTTTATGGGAAGATATTTCGTTTTTCAACATAGGCCTCAAAGCGCTCCAAATGTCCACTTCCAGGTAGTGCAGAAAGAGTGTTTCAAACCTGCTCTATAAAAGGGAATATTCAACTCTGTGACTTGAATGCAAACATCACAAAGCACTTTCTGAGAATGCTTCCGTCTAGATTTTATATGAAGATATTCCCGTTTCCAACGAAACCATCAAAGCTATCCGAATATCCACCTGCAGATTCTACAAAAAGAGTGTTTCCAAAATGCCATATCAAAACAAAGGTTCAACTCTGTTAGTTGAGAACACACATCGCAAATAAGTTTCTGAGAATGCTTCTGTCTAGTTTTTATTTGAAGATATTTCCTTTCTCACCACAGGCCTGAAAGCGCTTAAAACGTCTGCTTGCAGATACTACAGAAAGAGTGTTTCAAACCTGCTCTATGAAAGGGAATGTTCAGTTCTGTGACTTGAATGCAAACATCACAAAGAAGTTCCTGAGAATGCTTTCTCTCTAGGTTTTATATGTAATCCCGTTTCCAACGAAATCCTCAAAGCTATCCAAATATCCACTTTCAGATTCCACAAAAAGAGTGTTTCAAAACTGCTCTGTAAAAAGAAAGGTTCATCTCTGTTAGTTGAATACACACATCACAAACAAGTTTCTGAGAATCCTTCTGTCTAGTTTTTATGGGAAGATATTTCCTTTTTCAACATAGGCCTCAAAGCGCTCCAAACGTCCACTTCCAGGTAGTGCAGAAAGAGTGTCTCAAACCTGGTATATAACAGGGAACATTCTACACTGTGACTTGAATGAAAACATCACAAAGCAGTTTCTGAGAATGCTTCTGTCTTGATTTTATATGAAGATATTCCCGTTTCCAACGAAACCTTCAAAGCTATCCAAATATCCACTTGCAGATTCCACAAAAAGAGTGTTTCCAAAATGTTGTATCAAAAGAAAGGTTCAACTCTGTTAGTTGAGGACACACATCGCAAATAAGTTTCTGAGAATGCTTCTGTCTAGTTTTTATTTGAAGATATTTCCTTTCTCACCACAGGCCTGAAAGCGCTTAAAACGTCCGCTTGCAGATACTACAGAAAGAGTGTTTCAAACATGCTCTATGAAAGGGAATGTTCAGTTCTGTGACTTGAATGCAAACATCACAAAGAAGTTCCTGAGAATGCTTCTCCCTAGATTTTATATGTAATCCCGTTTCCAACGAAATCCTCAAAGCTATCCAAATATCCAATTTCAGATTCCACAAAAAGAGTGTTTCAAAACTGCTCTGTAAAAAGAAAGGTTCATCTCTGTTAGTTGAATACACACATCACAAACAAGTTTCTGAGAATGCTTCTGTCTAGTTTCTATGGGAAGATATTTCCTTTTTCAACATGGGCCTCAAAGCGCTCCAAATGTCCACTTCCAGGTAGTGCACTGAGTGTTTCAAACCTGCTCTATAAAAGGGAACATTCTACTCTGTGACTTGAATGAAGACATCACAAAGCAGTTTCTGAGAATGCTTCCGTCTAGATTTTATATGAAGATATTCCCGTTTCCAAGGAAATCTTCCTAGCTATCTAAATATCAACTTGCAGATTCTACTAAAGGAATGTTTCCAAAATGCTGTATCCACACAAAGGTTCAACTCTGTTAATTGAGGACATACAGCACAAAGAAGTTTCTGAGAATGCTTCTGTCTAGTTTTTACTTGAAGATATTTCCTTTCTCACCATAGGCCTGAAAGCGTTTGAAATGTCCGTTTGCAGATACTACAGAAAGAGTGTTTCAAACATGCTCTATGAAAGGGAATGTTCAGTTCTGTGACGTGAATGCAAACATCACAAAGAAGTTCCTGAGAATGCTTCTCTCTAGATTTTATATGTAATCCCGTTTCCAACGAAATCCTCAAAGCTATCCAAATATCCACTTTCAGATTCCACAAAAAGAGTGTTTCAAAACTGCTCTGTAAAAAGAAAGGTTCATCTCTGTTAGTTGAATACACACATCACAAACAAGTTTCTGAGAATGCTTCTGTCTAGTTTTTATGGGAAGATATTTCGTTTTTCAACATAGGCCTCAAAGCGCTCCAAATGTCCACTTCCAGGTAGTGCAGAAAGAGTGTTTCAAACCTGCTCTATAAAAGGGAATATTCAACTCTGTGACTTGAATGCAAACATCACAAAGCACTTTCTGAGAATGCTTCCGTCTAGATTTTATATGAAGATATTCCCGTTTCCAAGGAAATCTTCCTAGCTATCTAAATATCAACTTGCAGATTCTACTAAAGGAATGTTTCCAAAATGCTGTATCCACACAAAGGTTCAACTCTGTTAATTGAGGACATACAGCACAAAGAAGTTTCTGAGAATGCTTCTGTCTAGTTTTTACTTGAAGATATTTCCTTTCTCACCATAGGCCTGAAAGCGCTTGAAACGTCAGCTTGCAGATACTACAGAAAGAGTGTTTCAAACCTGCTCTATGAAAGGGAATGTTCAGTCCTGTGACTTGAAGGCAAACATCACAAAGAAGTTCCTGAGAATGCTTCTCCCTAGATTTTATATGTAATCCCGTTTCCAACGAAATCCGCAAAGCTATCCAAATATCCACTTTCAGATTCCACAAAAAGAGTGTTTCAAAACTGCTCTGTAAAAAGAAAGGTTCATCTCTGTTAGTTGAATACACACATCACAAACAAGTTTCTGAGAATGCTTCTGTCTAGTTTTTATGGGAAGATATTTCCTTTTTCAACATAGGCCTCAAAGCGCTCCAAATGTCCACTTCCAGGTAGTGCAGAAAGAGTGTTTCAAACCTGCTCTATAAAAGGGAATATTCAACTCTGTGACTTGAATGCAAACATCACAAAGCACTTTCTGAGAATGCTTCCGTCTAGATTTTATATGAAGATATTCCCGTTTCCAACGAAACCTTCAAAGCTATCCGAATATCCACCTGCAGATTCTACAAAAAGAGTGTTTCCAAAATGCCGTATCAAAACAAACGTTCAACTCTGTTAGTTGAGAACACACATCGCAAATAAGTTTCTGAGAATGCTTCTGTCTAGTTTTTACTTGAAGATATTTCCTTTCTCACCATAGGCCTGAAAGCGCTTGAAACGTCCGCTTGCAGATACTACAGAAAGAGTGTTTCAAACATGCTCTATGAAAGGGAATGTTCAGTTCTGTGACTTGAATGCAAACATCACAAAGAAGTTCCTGAGAATGCTTCTCTCTAGATTTTATATGTAATCCCGTTTCCAAGGAAATCCTCAAAGCTATCCAAATATCCACTTTCAGATTCCACAAAAAGAGTGTTTCAAAACTGCTCTGTAAAAAGAAAGGTTCATCTCTGTTAGTTGAATACACACATCAAAAACAAGTTTCTGAGAATGCTTCTGTCTAGTTTTTATGGGAAGATATTTCCTTTTTCAACATAGGCCTCAAAGCGCTCCAAACGTCCACTTCCGGGTAGTGCAGAAAGAGTGTCTCAAACCTGGTATATAACAGGGAACATTCTACTCTGTGACTTGAATGAAAACATCACAAAGCAGTTTCTGAGAATGCTTCCGTCTAGATTTTATATGAAGATATTCCCGTTTCCAAGGAAATCTTCCTAGCTATCTAAATATCAACTTGCAGATTCTACTAAAGGAATGTTTCCAAAATGCTGTATCCACACAAAGGTTCAACTCTGTTAATTGAGGACATACAGCACAAAGAAGTTTCTGAGAATGCTTCTGTCTAGTTTTTACTTGAAGATATTTCCTTTCTCACCATAGGCCTGAAAGCGCTTGAAACGTCAGCTTGCAGATACTACAGAAAGAGTGTTTCAAACCTGCTCTATGAAAGGGAATGTTCAGTCCTGTGACTTGAAGGCAAACATCAAAAAGAAGTTCCTGAGAATGCTTCTGTCTAGATTTTATATGAAGATATCCCGTGTCCAACGAAATCCTCAAAGGTATCAAAATATCCACTTGCAGATTCTACAAAAAGAGTGCTTCAAAACTGCTCTGTCAAAAGGAAGGTTCAACTCTGTTACTTGAGTACACACATCACAAGGAAGTTTCTGAGAATGCTTCTGTCTGGTTTTTAGGAGAAGATATTTCCTTTTTCAACATAGGCCTCAAAGCGCTGCAAATGTCCACTTCCAAATATTAGAAAAAGAGTGTTTCAAACCTGCTGTATGAAGGGAAGTGTTCAACTCTATGAGTTGAATGCAAACATCACAGAGAAGTTTCTGAGAATGCTTCTGTCTTGATTTTATATGAAGATATTCCCGTTTCCAACGAAACCTTCAAAGCTATCCAAATATCCACTTGCAGATTCTACAAAAAGAGTGTTTCCAAAATGCTGTATCCAAACAAAGGTTCAACTCTTTTAGTTGAGAACACACATCGCTAATAAGTTTCTGAGAATGCTTCTGTCTAGTTTTTATTTCAAGATATTTCCTTTTTCACCACAGGCCTGAAAGCGCTTCAAACGTCCGCTTGCAGATACTACAGAAAGAGTGTTTCAAACCTGCTCTATGAAAGGGAATGTTCAGTTCTGTGACTTGAATGCAAACATCACAAAGAAGTTGCCTGAGAATGCTTCTCTCTAGATTTTATATGTAATCCCGTTTCCAACGAAATCCTCAAAGCTATCCAAATATCCACTTTCAGATTCCACAAAAAGAGTGTTTCAAAACTGCTCTGTAAAAAGAAAGGTTCATCTCTGTTAGTTGAATACACACATCACAAACAAGTTTCTGAGAATGCTTCTTTCTAGTTTTTATGGGAAGATATTACCTTTTTCATCATAGGCTTCAAAGCGCTGCAAAAGTCCACTTCCAAATATTAGAAAAAGAGTGTTTCAAACCTGCTGTATGAAGGGAAGTGTTCAACTCTATGAGTTGAATGCAAACATCACAGAGAAGTTTCTGAGAATGCTTCTGTCTTGATTTTATATGAAGATATTCCCGTTTCCAACGAAACCTTCAAAGCTATCCAAATATCCACTTGCAGATTCCACAAAAAGAGTGTTTCCAAAATGTTGTATCAAAAGAAAGGTTCAACTCTGTTAGTTGAGGACACACATCGCAAATAAGTTTCTGAGAATGCTTCTGTCTAGTTTTTACTTGAAGATATTTCCTTTCTCACCATAGGCCTGAAAGCGCTTGAAACGTCAGCTTGCAGATACTACAGAAAGAGTGTTTCAAACCTGCTCTATGAAAGGGAATGTTCAGTCCTGTGACTTGAAGGCAAACATCACAAAGAAGTTCCTGAGAATGCTCTTCTCTCTAGAATTTTATATGTAATCCCGTTTCCAACGAAATCCTCAAAGCTATCCAAATATCCACTTTCAGATTCCACAAAAAGAGTGTTTCAAAACTGCTCTGTAAAAAGAAAGGTTCATCTCTGTTAGTTGAATACACACATCACAAACAAGTTTCTGAGAATGCTTCTGTCTAGTTTTTATGGGAAGATATTTCCTTTTTCAACATAGGCCTCAAAGCGCTCCAAACGTCCACTTCCAGGTAGTGCAGAAAGAGTGTCTTAAACCTGGTATATAACAGGGAACATTCTACTCTGTGACTTGAATGAAAACATCACAAAGCAGTTTCTGAGAATGGTTCTGTCTTGATTTTATATGAAGATATTCCCGTTTCCAACGAAACCTTCAAAGCTATCCAAATATCCACTTGCAGATTCTACAAAAAGAGTGTTTCCAAAATGTTGTATCAAAACAAAGGTTCAACTCTGTTAGTTGAGGACACACATCGCAAATAAGTTTCTGAGAATGCTTTTTGTCTAGTTTTTATTTGAAGATATTTCCTTTCTTACCATAGGCCTGAAAGCGCTTGAAATGTCCGTTTGCAGATACTACAGAAAGAGTGTTTCAAACATGCTCTATGAAAGGGAATGTTCAGTTCTGTGACGTGAATGCAAACATCACAAAGAAGTTCCTGAGAATGCTTCTCCCTAGATTTTATATGTAATCCCGTTTCCAACGAAATCCGCAAAGCTATCCAAATATCCACTTTCAGATTCCACAAAAAGAGTGTTTCAAAACTGCTCTGTAAAAAGAAAGGTTCATCTCTGTTAGTTGAATACACACATCACAAACAAGTTTCTGAGAATGCTTCTGTCTAGTTTTTATGGGAAGATATTTCCTTTTTCAACATAGGCCTCAAAGCGCTCCAAACGTCCACTTCCAGGTAGTGCAGAAAGAGTGTCTCAAACCTGGTATATAACAGGGAACATTCTACTCTGTGACTTGAATGAAAACATCACAAAGCCAGTTTCTGAGAATGCTTCCGTCTAGATTTTATATGAAGATATTCCCGTTTCCAAGGAAATCTTCCTAGCTATCTAAATATCAACTTGCATATCCTACTAAAGGAGTGTTTCCAAAATGCTGTATCCACACAAAGGTTCAACTCTGTTAATTGAGGACATACAGCACAAAGAAGTTTCTGAGAATGCTTCTGTCTAGTTTTTATTTGAAGATATTTCCTTTCTCACCACAGGCCTGAAAGCGCTTAAAACGTCCGCTTGCAGATACTACAGAAAGAGTGTTTCAAACCTGCTCTATGAAAGGGAATGTTCAGTTCTGTGACTTGAATGCAAACATCACAAAGAAGTTCCTGAGAATGCTTCTCTCTAGGTTTTATATGTAATCCCGTTTCCAACGAAATCCTCAAAGCTATCCAAATATCCACTTTCAGATTCCACAAAAAGAGTGTTTCAAAACTGCTCTGTAAAAGAAAGGTTCATCTCTGTTAGTTGAATACACACATCACAAACAAGTTTCTGAGAATGCTTCTGTCTAGTTTTTATGGGAAGATATTACCTTTTTCATCATAGGCCTCAAAGCGCTGCAAATGTCCACTTCCAAATATTACAAAAAGAGTGTTTCAAACCTGCTGTATGAAGGGAAGTGTTCAACTCTATGAGTTGAATGCAAACATCACAGAGAAGTTTCTGAGAATGCTTCTGTCTTGATTTTATATGAAGATATTCCCGTTTCCAACGAAACCTTCAAAGCTATTCAAATATCCACTTGCAGATTCTACAAAAAGAGTGTTTCCAAAATGTTGTATCAAAAGAAAGGTTCAACTCTGTTAGTTGAGGACACACATCGCAAATAAGTTTCTGAGAATGCTTCTGTCTAGTTTTTACTTGAAGATATTTCCTTTCTCACCATAGGCCTGAAAGCGCTTGAAACGTCAGCTTGCAGATACTACAGAAAGAGTGTTTCAAACCTGCTCTATGAAAGGGAATGTTCAGTTCTGTGACTTGAATGCAAACATCACAAAGAAGTTCCTGAGAATGCTTCTCTCTAGGTTTTATATGTAATCCCGTTTCCAACGAAATCCTCAAAGCTATCCAAATATCCACTTTCAGATTCCACAAAAAGAGTGTTTCAAAACTGCTCTGTAAAAAGAAAGGTTCATCTCTGTTAGTTGAATACACACATCACAAACAAGTTTCTGAGAATGCTTCTGTCTTGTTTTTATGGGAAGATATTTCCTTTTTCATCATAGGCCTCAAAGCGCTCCAAATGTCCACTTCCAGATAGTGCAGAAAGAGTGTCTCAAACCTGGTATATAAAAGGGAACATTCTACTCTGTGACTTGAATGAAAACATCACAAAGCAGTTTCTGAGAATGCTTCTGTCTTGATTTTATATGAAGATATTCCCGTTTCCAACGAAACCTTCAAAGCTATTCAAATATCCACTTGCAGATTCTACAAAAAGAGTGTTTCCAAAATGTTGTATCAAAAGAAAGGTTCAACTCTGTTAGTTGAGGACACACATCGCAAATAAGTTTCTGAGAATGCTTCTGTCTAGTTTTTATTTGAAGATATTTCCTTTCTCACCATAGGCCTGAAAGCGTTTGAAATGTCCGTTTGCAGATACTACAGAAAGAGTGTTTCAAACATGCTCTATGAAAGGGAATGTTCAGTTCTGTGACGTGAATGCAAACATCACAAAGAAGTTCCTGAGAATGCTTCTCTCTAGATTTTATATGTAATCCCGTTTCCAACGAAATCCTCAAAGCTATCCAAATATCCACATTCAGATTCCACAAAAAGAGTGTTTCAAAACTGCTCTGTAAAAAGAAAGGTTCATCTCTGTTAGTTGAATACACACATCACAAACAAGTTTCTGAGAATGCTTCTGTCTAGTTTTTATGGGAAGATATTTCCTTTTTCAACATAGGCCTCAAAGCGCTCCAAACGTCCACTTCCAGGTAGTGCAGACAGAGTGTCTCAAACCTGGTATATAACAGGGAATATTCTACTCTGTGACTTGAATGAAAACATCACAAAGCAGGTTCTGAGAATGCTTCTGTCTTGATTTTATATGAAGATATTCCCGTTTCCAACGAAACCTTCAAAGCTATGCAAATATCCACTTGCAGATTCTACAAAAAGAGTGTTTCCAAAATGTTGTATCAAAAGAAAGGTTCAACTCTGTTAGTTGAGGACACACATCGCAAATAACTTTCTGAGAATGCTTCTGTCTAGTTTTTATTTGAAGATATTTCCTTTCTCACCATAGGCCTGAAAGCGTTTGAAATGTCCGTTTGCAGATACTACAGAAAGAGTGTTTCAAACATGCTCTGTGAAAGGGAATGTTCAGTTCTGTGACGTGAATGCAAACATCACAAAGAAGTTCCTGAGAATGCTTCTCTCTAGGTTTTATATGTAATCCCGTTTCCAACGAAATCCTCAAAGCTATCCAAATATCCACTTTCAGATTCCACAAAAAGAGTGTTTCAAAACTGCTCTGTAAAAAGAAAGGTTCATCTCTGTTAGTTGAATACACACATCACAAACAAGTTTCTGAGAATGCTTCTGTCTAGTTTTTATGGGAAGATATTTCCTTTTTCATCATAGGCCTCAAAGCGCTGCAAATGTCCACTTCCAGGTAGTGCAGAAAGAGTGTCTCAAACCTGGTATATAACAGGGAACATTCTACTCTGTGACTTGAATGAAAACATCACAAAGCAGTTTCTGAGAATGCTTCTGTCTTGATTTTATATGAAGATATTCCCGTTTCCAACGAAACCTTCAAAGCTATTCAAATATCCACTTGCAGATTCTACAAAAAGAGTGTTTCCAAAATGTTGTATCAAAAGAAAGGTTCAACTCTGTTAGTTGAGGACACACATCGCAAATAAGTTTCTGAGAATGCTTCTGTCTAGTTTTTATTTGAAGATATTTCCCTTTTCACCACAGGCCTGAAAGCGCTTGAAACGTCCGCTTGCAGATACTACAGAAAGAGTGTTTCAAAGCTGCTCAATGAAAGGGAATGTTCACTTCTGTGACTTGAATGCAAACATCACAAAGAAGTTCCTGAGAATGCTTCTCCCTAGATTTTATATGTAATCCCGTTTCCAACGAAATCCTCAAAGCTATCCAAATATCCACTTTCAGATTCCACAAAAAGAGTGTTTCAAAACTGCTCTGTAAAAGGAAAGGTTCATCTCTGTTAGTTGAATACACACATCACAAACAAGTTTCTGAGAATGCTTCTTTCTGGTTTTTAGGAGAAGATATTTCCTTTTTCAACGTAGGCCTCAAAGCGCTGCAAATGTCCACTTCCAAATATTAGAAAAAGAGTGTTTCAAACCTGCTGTATGAAGGGAAGTGTTCAACTCTATGAGTTGAATGCAAACATCACAGAGAAGTTTCTGAGAATGCTTCTGTCTTGATTTCATATGAAGATATTCCCGTTTCCAACGAAACCTTCAAATCTATCCAAATATCCACTTGCAGATTCTACAAAAAGAGTGTTTCCAAAATGTTGTATCAAAAGAAAGGTTCAACTCTGTTAGTTGAGGACACACATCGCAAATAAGTTTCTGAGAATGCTTCTGTCTAGTTTTTATTTGAAGATATTTCCTTTCTCACCACAGGCCTGAAAGCGCTTAAAACGTCCGCTTGCAGATACTACAGAAAGAGTGTTTCAAACCTGATCTATGAAAGGGAATGTTCAGTTCTGTGACTTGAATGCAAACATCACAAAGAAGTTCCTGAGAATGCTTCTCTCTAGATTTTATATGTAATCCCGTTTCCAACGAAATCCTCAAAGCTATCCAAATATCCACTTTCAGATTCCACAAAAAGAGTGTTTCAAAACTGCTCTGTAAAAAGAAAGGTTCATCTCTGTTAGTTGAATACACACATCACAAACAAGTTTCTGAGAATGCTTCTGTCTAGTTTTTATGGGAAGATATTTCCTTTTTCAACATAGGCCTCAAAGCGCTCCAAATGTCCACTTCCAAATATTACAAAAAGAGTGTTTCAAACCTGCTGTATGAAGGGAAGTGTTCAACTCTATGAGTTGAATGCAAACATCACAGAGAAGTTTCTGAGAATGCTTCCGTCTAGATTTTATATGAAGATATTCCCGTTTCCAAGGAAATCTTCCTAGCTATCTAAATATCAACTTGCAGATTCTACTAAAGGAATGTTTCCAAAATGCTGTATCCACACAAAGGTTCAACTCTGTTAATTGAGGACATACAGCACAAAGAAGTTTCTGAGAATGCTTCTGTCTAGTTTTTACTTGAAGATATTTCCTTTCTCACCATAGGCCTGAAAGCGCTTGAAACGTCAGCTTGCAGATACTACAGAAAGAGTGTTTCAAACCTGCTCTATGAAAGGGAATGTTCAGTCCTGTGACTTGAAGGCAAACATCACAAAGAAGTTCCTGAGAATGCTTCTCTCTAGATTTTATATGTAATCCCGTTTCCAACGAAATCCTCAAAGCTATCCAAATATCCACTTTCAGATTCCACAAAAAGAGTGTTTCAAAACTGCTCTGTAAAAAGAAAGGTTCATCTCTGTTAGTTGAATACACACATCACAAACAAGTTTCTGAGAATGCTTCTGTCTAGTTTTTATGGGAAGATATTACCTTTTTCATCATAGGCCTCAAAGCGCTGCAAATGTCCACTTCCAAATATTACAAAAAGAGTGTTTCAAACCTGCTGTATGAAGGGAAGTGTTCAACTCTATGAGTTGAATGCAAACATCACAGAGAAGTTTCTGAGAATGCTTCTGTCTTGATTTTATATGAAGATATTCCCGTTTCCAACGAAACCTTCAAAGCTATCCGAATATCCACTTGCAGATTCTACTAAAAGAGTGTTTCCAAAATGTTGTATCAAAAGAAAGGTTCAACTCTGTTAGTTGAGGACACACATCGCAAATAAGTTTCTGAGAATGCTTCTGTCTAGTTTTTATTTGAAGATATTTCCTTTCTTACCATAGGCCTGAAAGCGCTTGAAATGTCCGTTTGCAGATACTACAGAAAGAGTGTTTCAAACATGCTCTATGAAAGGGAATGTTCAGTTCTGTGACGTGAATGCAAACATCACAAAGAAGTTCCTGAGAATGCTTCTCTCTAGGTTTTATATGTAATCCCGTTTCCAACGAAATCCTCAAAGCTATCCAAATATCCACTTTCAGATTCCACAAAAAGAGTGTTTCAAAACTGCTCTGTAAAAAGAAAGGTTCATCTCTGTTAGTTGAATACACACATCACAAACAAGTTTCTGAGAATGCTTCTGTCTAGTTTTTATGGGAAGATATTTCCTTTTTCATCATAGGCCTCAAAGCGCTCCAAATGTCCACTTCCAGGTAGTGCAGAAAGAGTGTCTCAAACCTGGTATATAACAGGGAACATTCTACTCTGTGACTTGAATGAAAACATCACAAAGCAGTTTCTGAGAATGCTTCTGTCTTGATTTCATATGAAGATATTCCCGTTTCCAACGAAACCTTCAAAGCTATCCAAATATCCACTTGCAGATTCTACAAAAAGAGTGTTTCCAAAATGTTGTATCAAAAGAAAGGTTCAACTCTGTTAGTTGAGGACACACATCGCAAATAAGTTTCTGAGAATGCTTCTGTCTAGTTTTTACTTGAAGATATTTCCTTTCTCACCATAGGCCTGAAAGCGCTTGAAACGTCAGCTTGCAGATACTACAGAAAGAGTGTTTCAAACATGCTCTATGAAAGGGAATGTTCAGTTCTGTGACTTGAATGCAAACATCACAAAGAAGTTCCTGAGAATGCTTCTCTCTAGATTTTATATGTAATCCCGTTTCCAACGAAATCCTCAAAGCTATCCAAATATCCACTTTCAGATTCCACAAAAAGAGTGTTTCAAAACTGCTCTGTAAAAAGAAAGGTTCATCTCTGTTAGTTGAATACACACATCACAAACAAGTTTCTGAGAATGCTTCTGTCTAGTTTTTATGGGAAGATATTTCCTTTTTCATCATAGGCCTCAAAGCGCTCCAAATGTCCACTTCCAGATAGTGCAGAAAGAGTGTCTCAAACCTGGTATATAAAAGGGAACATTCTACTCTGTGACTTGAATGAAAACATCACAAAGCAGTTTCTGAGAATGCTTCCGTCTAGATTTTATATGAAGATATTCCCGTTTCCAACGAAACCTTCAAAGCTATCCGAATATCCACCTGCAGATTCTACAAAAAGAGTGTTTCCAAAATGCCGTATCAAAACAAAGGTTCAACTCTGTTAGTTGAGAACACACATGGCAAATAAGTTTCTGAGAATGCTTCTGTCTAGTTTTTATTTGAAGATATTTCCTTTCTCACCACAGGCCTGAAAGCGCTTAAAACGTCCGCTTGCAGATACTACAGAAAGAGTGTTTCAAACCTGCTCTATGAAAGGGAATGTTCAGTTCTGTGACTTGAATGCAAACATCACAAAGAAGTTCCTGAGAATGCTTCTCCCTAGATTTTATATGTAATCCCGTTTCCAACGAAATCCGCAAAGCTATCCAAATATCCACTTTCAGATTCCACAAAAAGAGTGTTTCAAAACTGCTCTGTAAAAAGAAAGGTTCATCTCTGTTAGTTGAATACACACATCACAAACAAGTTTCTGAGAATGCTTCTGTCTAGTTTTTATGGGAAGATATTTCCTTTTTCAACATAGGCCTCAAAGCGCTCCAAACGTCCACTTCCGGGTAGTGCAGAAAGAGTGTCTCAAACCTGGTATATAACAGGGAACATTCTACTCTGTGACTTGAATGAAAACATCACAAAGCAGTTTCTGAGAATGCTTCTGTCTTGATTTTATATGAAGATATTCCCGTTTCCAACGAAACCTTCAAAGCTATTCAAATATCCACTTGCAGATTCTACAAAAAGAGTGTTTCCAAAATGTTGTATCAAAAGAAAGGTTCAACTCTGTTAGTTGAGGACACACATCGCAAATAAGTTTCTGAGAATGCTTCTGTCTAGTTTTTACTTGAAGATATTTCCTTTGTCACCATAGGCCTGAAAGCGCTTGAAACGTCAGCTTGCAGATACTACAGAAAGAGTGTTTCAAACCTGCTCTATGAAAGGGAATGTTCAGTCCTGTGACTTGAAGGCAAACATCACAAAGAAGTTCCTGAGAATGCTTCTCTCTAGGTTTTATATGTAATCCCGTTTCCAACGAAATCCTCAAAGCTATCCAAATATCCACTTTCAGATTCCACAAAAAGAGTGTTTCAAAACTGCTCTGTAAAAAGAAAGGTTCATCTCTGTTAGTTGAATACACACATCACAAACAAGTTTCTGAGAATGCTTCTGTCTAGTTTTTATGGGAAGATATTACCTTTTTCATCATAGGCCTCAAAGCGCTGCAAATGTCCACTTCCAAATATTACAAAAAGAGTGTTTCAAACCTGCTGTATGAAGGGAAGTGTTCAACTCTATGAGTTGAATGCAAACATCACAGAGAAGTTTCTGAGAATGCTTTCTGTCTTGATTTTATATGAAGATATTCCCGTTAACAACGAAACCTTCAAAGCTATCCAAATATCCACTTGCAGATTCTACAAAAAGAGTGTTTCCAAAATGTTGTATCAAAACAAAGGTTCAACTCTGTTAGTTGAGGACACACATCGCAAATAAGTTTCTGAGAATGCTTCTGTCTAGTTTTTATTTGAAGATATTTCCTTTCTTACCATAGGCCTGAAAGCGCTTGAAATGTCCGTTTGCAGATACTACAGAAAGAGTGTTTCAAACATGCTCTATGAAAGGGAATGTTCAGTTCTGTGACGTGAATGCAAACATCACAAAGAAGTTCCTGAGAATGCTTCTCTCTAGATTTTATAGGTAATCCCGTTTCCAACGAAATCCTCAAAGCTATCCAAATATCCACTTTCAGATTCCACAAAAAGAGTGTTTCAAAACTGCTCTGTAAAAAGAAAGGTTCATCTCTGTTAGTTGAATACACACATCACAAACAAGTTTCTGAGAATGCTTCTGTCTAGTTTTTATGGGAAGATATTTCCTTTTTCAACATAGGCCTCAAAGCGCTCCAAACGTCCACTTCCAGGTAGTGCAGAAAGAGTGTCTCAAACCTGGTGTATAACAGGGAACATTCTACTCTGTGACTTGAATGAAAACATCACAAAGCAGTTTCTGAGAATGCTTCCGTCTAGATTTTATATGAAGATATTCCCGTTTCCAACGAAACCTTCAAAGCTATCCGAATATCCACCTGCAGATTCTACAAAAAGAGTGTTTCCAAAATGCCATATCAAAACAAAGGTTCAACTCTGTTAGTTGAGAACACACATCGCAAATAAATTTCTGAGAATGCTTCTGTCTAGTTTTTATTTGAAGATATTTCCTTTCTCACCATAGGCCTGAAAGCGTTTGAAATGTCCGTTTGCAGATACTACAGAAAGAGTGTTTCAAACATGCTCTATGAAAGGGAATGTTCAGTTCTGTGACGTGAATGCAAACATCACAAAGAAGTTCCTGAGAATGCTTCTCTCTAGGTTTTATATGTAATCCCGTTTCCAACGAAATCCTCAAAGCTATCCAAATATCCACTTTCAGATTCCACAAAAAGAGTGTTTCAAAACTGCTCTGTAAAAAGAAAGGTTCATCTCTGTTAGTTGAATACACACATCACAAACAAGTTTCTGAGAATGCTTCTGTCTGGTTTTTAGGAGAAGATATTTCCTTTTTCAACATAGGCCTCAAAGCGCTGCAAATGTCCACTTCCAAATATTACAAAAAGAGTGTTTCAAATCTGCTCTATGAAGGGAAGTGTTCAACTCTATGAGTTGAATGCAAACATCACAGAGAAGTTTCTGAGAATGCTTCCGTCTAGATTTTATATGAAGATATTCCCGTTTCCAACGAAACCTTCAAAGCTATCCGAATATCCACCTGCAGATTCTACAAAAAGAGTGTTTCCAAAATGCCGTATCAAAACAAAGGTTCAACTCTGTTAGTTGAGAACACACATGGCAAATAAGTTTCTGAGAATGCTTCTGTCTAGTTTTTACTTGAAGATATTTCCTTTCTCACCATAGGCCTGAAAGCGCTTGAAACGTCAGCTTGCAGATACTACAGAAAGAGTGTTTCAAACCTGCTCTATGAAAGGGAATGTTCAGTCCTGTGACTTGAATGCAAACATCACAAAGAAGTTCCTGAGAATGCTTCTCTCTAGGTTTTATATGTAATCCCGTTTCCAACGAAATCCTCAAAGCTATCCAAATATCCACTTTCAGATTCCACAAAAAGAGTGTTTCAAAACTGCTCTGTAAAAAGAAAGGTTCATCTCTGTTAGTTGAATACACACATCACAAACAAGTTTCTGAGAATGCTTCTGTCTAGTTTTTATGGGAAGATATTTCCTTTTTCATCATAGGCCTCAAAGCGCTGCAAATGTCCACTTCCAGGTAGTGCAGAAAGAGTGTCTCAAACCTGGTATATAACAGGGAACATTCTACTCTGTGACTTGAATGAAAACATCACAAAGCAGTTTCTGAGAATGCTTCCGTCTAGATTTTATATGAAGATATTCCCGTTTCCAACGAAACCTTCAAAGCTATCCGAATATCCACCTGCAGATTCTACAAAAAGAGTGTTTCCAAAATGCCATATCAAAACAAAGGTTCAACTCTGTTAGTTGAGAACACACATCGCAAATAAGTTTCTGAGAATGCTTCTGTCTAGTTTTTATTTGAAGATATTTCCTTTCTCACCATAGGCCTGAAAGCGTTTGAAACGTCCGTTTGCAGATACTACAGAAAGAGTGTTTCAAACATGCTCTATGAAAGGGAATGTTCAGTTCTGTGACTTGAATGCAAACATCACAAAGAAGTTCCTGAGAATGCTTCTCTCTAGGTTTTATATGTAATCCCGTTTCCAACGAAATCCTCAAAGCTATCCAAATATCCACTTTCAGATTCCACAAAAAGAGTGTTTCAAAACTGCTCTGTAAAAAGAAAGGTTCATCTCTGTTAGTTGAATACACACATCACAAACAAGTTTCTGAGAATGCTTCTGTCTAGTTTTTATGGGAAGATATTTCCTTTTTCAACATAGGCCTCAAAGCGCTCCAAACGTCCACTTCCAGGTAGTGCAGAAAGAGTGTCTCAAACCTGGTATATAACAGGGAACATTCTACTCTGTGACTTGAATGAAAACATCACAAAGCAGTTTCTGAGAATGCTTCCGTCAAGATTTTATATGAAGATATTCCCGTTTCCAACGAAACCTTCAAAGCTATCCGAATATCCACCTGCAGATTCTACAAAAAGAGTGTTTCCAAAATGCCGTATCAAAACAAAGGTTCAACTCTGTTAGTTGAGAACACACATGGCAAATAAGTTTCTGAGAATGCTTCTGTCTAGTTTTTATTTGAAGATATTTCCTTTCTCACCACAGGCCTGAAAGCGCTTAAAACGTCCGCTTGCAGATACTACAGAAAGAGTGTTTCAAACCTGCTCTATGAAAGGGAATGTTCAGTTCTGTGACTTGAATGCAAACATCACAAAGAAGTTCCTGAGAATGCTTCTCTCTAGGTTTTATATGTAATCCCGTTTCCAACGAAATCCTCAAAGCTATCCAAATATCCACTTTCAGATTCCACAAAAAGAGTGTTTCAAAACTGCTCTGTAAAAAGAAAGGTTCATCTCTGTTAGTTGAATACACACATCACAAACAAGTTTCTGAGAATGCTTCTGTCTAGTTTTTATGGGAAGATATTTCCTTTTTCATCATAGGCCTCAAAGCGCTCCAAACGTCCACTTCCAGGTAGTGCAGAAAGAGTGTCTCAAACCTGGTATATAACAGGGAACATTCTACTCTGTGACTTGAATGAAAACATCACAAAGCACTTTCTGAGAATGCTTCCGTCTAGATTTTATATGAAGATATTCCCGTTTCCAACGAAACCTTCAAAGCTATCCGAATATCCACCTGCAGATTCTACAAAAAGAGTGTTTCCAAAATGCCGTATCAAAACAAAGGTTCAACTCTGTTAGTTGAGAACACACATGGCAAATAAGTTTCTGAGAATGCTTCTGTCTGGTTTTTAGGAGAAGATATTTCCTTTTTCAACATAGGCCTCAAAGCGCTGCAAATGTCCACTTCCAAATATTACAAAAAGAGTGTTTCAAACCTGCTCTATGAAGGGAAGTGTTCACCTCTATGAGTTGAATGCAAACATCACAGAGAAGTTTCTGAGAATGCTTCTCCTCTAGATTTTATATGTAATCCCGTTTCCAACGAAATCCCTCAAAGCTATCCAAATATCCACTTTCAGATTCCACAAAAAGAGTGTTTCAAAACTGCTCTGTAAAAAGAAAGGTTCATCTCTGTTAGTTGAATACACACATCACAAACAAGTTTCTGAGAATGCTTCTGTCTAGTTTTTATGGGAAGATATTTCCTTTTTCAA
This sequence comes from Homo sapiens, assembly GCF_000001405.40. Taxonomy (NCBI): domain Eukaryota; kingdom Metazoa; phylum Chordata; class Mammalia; order Primates; family Hominidae; genus Homo; species Homo sapiens. The sequence continues at coordinate 45,460,022 of NC_000009.12, read as the reverse complement.
CATAGGCCTCAAAGCGCTCCAAACGTCCACTTCCAGGTAGTGCAGAAAGAGTGTCTCAAACCTGGTATATAACAGGGAACATTCTACTCTGTGACTTGAATGAAAACATCACAAAGCAGTTTCTGAGAATGCTTCCGTCTAGATTTTATATGAAGATATTCCCGTTTCCAACGAAACCTTCAAAGCTATCCGAATATCCACCTGCAGATTCTACAAAAAGAGTGTTTCCAAAATGCCATATCAAAACAAAGGTTCAACTCTGTTAGTTGAGAACACACATCGCAAATAAGTTTCTGAGAATGCTTCTGTCTAGTTTTTACTTGAAGATATTTCCTTTCTCACCATAGGCCTGAAAGCGCTTGAAACGTCCGCTTGCAGATACTACAGAAAGAGTGTTTCAAACATGCTCTATGAAAGGGAATGTTCAGTTCTGTGACTTGAATGCAAACATCACAAAGAAGTTCCTGAGAATGCTTCTCTCTAGGTTTTATATGTAATCCCGTTTCCAACGAAATCCTCAAAGCTATCCAAATATCCACTTTCAGATTCCACAAAAAGAGTGTTTCAAAACTGCTCTGTAAAAAGAAAGGTTCATCTCTGTTAGTTGAATACACACATCACAAACAAGTTTCTGAGAATGCTTCTGTCTAGTTTTTATGGGAAGATATTTCCTTTTTCATCATAGGCCTCAAAGCGCTGCAAATGTCCACTTCCAAATATTACAAAAAGAGTGTTTCAAACCTGCTGTATGAAGGGAAGTGTTCAACTCTATGAGTTGAATGCAAACATCACAGAGAAGTTTCTGAGAATGCTTCTGTCTTGATTTTATATGAAGATATTCCCGTTTCCAACGAAACCTTCAAAGCTATTCAAATATCCACTTGCAGATTCTACAAAAAGAGTGTTTCCAAAATGTTGTATCAAAAGAAAGGTCCAACTCTGTTAGTTGAGGACACACATCGCAAATAAGTTTCTGAGAATGCTTCTGTCTAGTTTTTACTTGAAGATATTTCCTTTCTCACCATAGGCCTGAAAGCGCTTGAAACGTCAGCTTGCAGATACTACAGAAAGAGTGTTTCAAACCTGCTCTATGAAAGGGAATGTTCAGTTCTGTGACTTGAATGCAAACATCACAAAGAAGTTCCTGAGAATGCTTCTGTCTAGATTTTATATGAAGATATCCCGTGTCCAACGAAATCCTCAAAGGTATCAAAATATCCACTTGCAGATTCTACAAAAAGAGTGCTTCAAAACTGCTCTGTCAAAAGGAAGGTTCAACTCTGTTACTTGAGTACACACATCACAAGGAAGTTTCTGAGAATGCTTCTGTCTGGTTTTTAGGAGAAGATATTTCCTTTTTCAACATAGGCCTCAAAGCGCTGCAAATGTCCACTTCCAAATATTAGAAAAAGAGTGTTTCAAACCTGCTGTATGAAGGGAAGTGTTCAACTCTATGAGTTGAATGCAAACATCACAGAGAAGTTTCTGAGAATGCTTCTGTCTTGATTTCATATGAAGATATTCCCGTTTCCAACGAAACCTTCAAAGCTATCCAAATATCCACTTGCAGATTCTACAAAAAGAGTGTTTCCAAAATGTTGTATCAAAAGAAAGGTTCAACTCTGTTAGTTGAGGACACACATCTCAAATAAGTTTCTGAGAATGCTTCTGTCTAGTTTTTATTTGAAGATATTTCCTTTCTCACCACAGGCCTGAAAGCGCTTAAAACGTCCGCTTGCAGATACTACAGAAAGAGTGTTTCAAACCTGATCTATGAAAGGGAATGTTCAGTTCTGTGACTTGAATGCAAACATCACAAAGAAGTTCCTGAGAATGCTTCTCCCTAGATTTTATATGTAATCCCGTTTCCAACGAAATCCGCAAAGCTATCCAAATATCCACTTTCAGATTCCACAAAAAGAGTGTTTCAAAACTGCTCTGTAAAAAGAAAGGTTCATCTCTGTTAGTTGAATACACACATCTCAAACAAGTTTCTGAGAATGCTTCTGTCTAGTTTTTATGGGAAGATATTCCCTTTTTCAACATAGGCCTCAAAGCGCTCCAAATGTCCACTTCCAGGTAGTGCAGAAAGAGTGTTTCAAACCTGCTCTATAAAAGGGAATATTCAACTCTGTGACTTGAATGCAAACATCACAAAGCACTTTACTGAGAATGCTTCTGTCTTGATTTTATATGAAGATATTCCCGTTTCCAACGAAACCTTCAAAGCTATCCAAATATCCACTTGCAGATTCTACAAAAAGAGTGTTTCCAAAATGCTGTATCCAAACAAAGGTTCAACTCTTTTAGTTGAGAACACACATCGCAAATAAGTTTCTGAGAATGCTTCTGTCTAGTTTTTACTTGAAGATATTTCCTTTCTCACCATAGGCCTGAAAGCGCTTGAAACGTCCGCTTGCAGATACTACAGAAAGAGTGTTTCAAACATGCTCTATGAAAGGGAATGTTCAGTTCTGTGACTTGAATGCAAACATCACAAAGAAGTTCCTGAGAATGCTTCTCTCTAGATTTTATATGTAATCCCGTTTCCAACGAAATCCTCGAAGCTATCCAAATATCCACTTTCAGATTCCACAAAAAGAGTGTTTCAAAACTGCTCTGTAAAAAGAAAGGTTCATCTCTGTTAGTTGAATACACACATCACAAACAAGTTTCTGAGAATGCTTCTGTCTAGTTTTTATGGGAAGATATTTCCTTTTTCATCATAGGCCTCAAAGCGCTCCAAATGTCCACTTCCAGATAGTGCAGAAAGAGTGTCTCAAACCTGGTATATAAAAGGGAACATTCTACTCTGTGACTGGAATGAAAACATCACAAAGCAGTTTCTGAGAATGCTTCCGTCTAGATTTTATATGAAGATATTCCCGTTTCCAACGAAACCTTCAAAGCTATCCGAATATGCACCTGCAGATTCTACAAAAAGAGTGTTTCCAAAATGCCGTATCACAACAAAGGTTTAATTCTGTTAGTTGAGAACACACATGGCAAATAAGTTTCTGAGAATGCTTCTGTCTAGTTTTTACTTGAAGATATTTCCTTTCGCACCATAGGCCTCAAAGCGCTTGAAACGTCCGCTTGCAGATACTACAGAAAGAGTGTTTCAAACATGCTCTATGAAAGGGAATGTTCAGTTCTGTGACTTGAATGCAAACATCACAAAGAAGTTCCTGAGAATGCTTCTCTCTAGGTTTTATATGTAATCCCGTTTCCAACGAAATCCTCAAAGCTATCCAAATATCCACTTTCAGATTCCACAAAAAGAGTGTTTCAAAACTGCTCTGTAAAAAGAAAGGTTCATCTCTGTTAGTTGAATACACACATCACAAACAAGTTTCTGAGAATGCTTCTGTCTAGTTTTTATGGGAAGATATTACCTTTTTCATCATAGGCCTCAAAGCGCTGCAAATGTCCACTTCCAAATATTACAAAAAGAGTGTTTCAAACCTGCTGTATGAAGGGAAGTGTTCAACTCTATGAGTTGAATGCAAACATCACAGAGAAGTTTCTGAGAATGCTTCCGTCTAGATTTTATATGAAGATATTCCCGTTTCCAAGGAAATCTTCCTAGCTATCTAAATATCAACTTGCAGATTCTACTAAAGGAATGTTTCCAAAATGCTGTATCCACACAAAGGTTCAACTCTGTTAATTGAGGACATACAGCACAAAGAAGTTTCTGAGAATGCTTCTGTCTAGTTTTTATTTGAAGATATTTCCTTTCTCACCATAGGCCTGAAAGCGTTTGAAATGTCCGTTTGCAGATACTACAGAAAGAGTGTTTCAAACATGCTCTATGAAAGGGAATGTTCAGTTCTGTGACGTGAATGCAAACATCACAAAGAAGTTCCTGAGAATGCTTCTCTCTAGGTTTTATATGTAATCCCGTTTCCAACGAAATCCTCAAAGCTATCCAAATATCCACTTTCAGATTCCACAAAAAGAGTGTTTCAAAACTGCTCTGTAAAAAGAAAGGTTCATCTCTGTTAGTTGAATACACACATCACAAACAAGTTTCTGAGAATGCTTCTGTCTAGTTTTTATGGGAAGATATTTCCTTTTTCAACATAGGCCTCAAAGCGCTCCCAATGTCCACTTCCAGGTAGTGCAGAAAGAGTGTTTCAAACCTACTCTATAAAAGGGAATATTCAACTCTGTGACTTGAATGCAAACATCACAAAGCACTTTCTGAGAATGCTTCTGTCTTGATTTTATATGAAGATATTCCCGTTTCCAACGAAACCTTCAAAGCTATCCAAATATCCACTTGCTGATTCTACAAAAAGAGTGGTTCCAAAATGTTGTATCAAAACAAAGGTTCAACTCTGTTAGTTGAGGACACACATCGCAAATAAGTTTCTGAGAATGCTTCTGTCTAGTTTTTATTTGAAGATATTTCCTTTCTCACCATAGGCCTGAAAGCGTTTGAAATGTCCGTTTGCAGATACTACAGAAAGAGTGTTTCAAACATGCTCTATGAAAGGGAATGTTCAGTTCTGTGACGTGAATGCAAACATCACAAAGAAGTTCCTGAGAATGCTTCTCTCTAGATTTTATATGTAATCCCGTTTCCAACGAAATCCTCAAAGCTATCCAAATATGCACTTTCAGATTCCACAGAAAGAGTGTTTCAAAACTGCTCTGTAAAAAGAAAGGTTCATCTCTGTTAGTTGAATACACACATCACAAACAAGTTTCTGAGAATGCTTCTGTCTAATTTTTATGGGAAGATATTTCCTTTTTCATCATAGGCCTCAAAGCGCTCCAAATGTCCACTTCCAGATAGTGCAGAAAGAGTGTCTCAAACCTGGTATATAAAAGAGAACATTCTACTCTGTGACTTGAATGAAAACATCACAAAGCAGTTTCTGAGAATGCTTCTGTCTTGATTTTATATGAAGATATTCCCGTTTCCAACGAAACCTTCAAAGCTATTCAAATATCCACTTGCAGATTCTACAAAAAGAGTGTTTCCAAAATGTTGTATCAAAAGAAAGGTTCAACTCTGTTAGTTGAGGACACACATCGCAAATAAGTTTCTGAGAATGCTTCTGTCTAGTTTTTACTTGAAGATATTTCCTTTCTCACCATAGGCCTGAAAGCGCTTGAAACGTCAGCTTGCAGATACTACAGAAAGAGTGTTTCAAACCTGCTCTATGAAAGGGAATGTTCAGTCCTGTGACTTGAAGGCAAACATCACAAAGAAGTTCCTGAGAATGCTTCTCCCTAGATTTTATATGTAATCCCGTTTCCAACGAAATCCGCAAAGCTATCCAAATATCCACTTTCAGATTCCACAAAAAGAGTGTTTCAAAACTGCTCTGTAAAAAGAAAGGTTCATCTCTGTTAGTTGAATACACACATCACAAACAAGTTTCTGAGAATGCTTCCTGTCTAGTTTTTATGGGAAGATATTTCCTTTTTCATCATAGGCCTCAAAGCGCTGCAAATGTCCACTTCCAAATATTACAAAAAGAGTGTTTCAAACCTGCTGTATGAAGGGAAGTGTTCAACTCTATGAGTTGAATGCAAACATCACAGAGAAGTTTCTGAGAATGCTTCTGTCTTGATTTTATATGAAGATATTCCCGTTTCCAACGAAACCTTCAAAGCTATCCAAATATCCACTTGCAGATTCCACAAAAAGAGTGTTTCCAAAATGTTGTATCAAAAGAAAGGTTCAACTCTGTTAGTTGAGGACACACATCGCAAATAAGTTTCTGAGAATGCTTCTGTCTAGTTTTTATTTGAAGATATTTCCTTTCTCACCACAGGCCTGAAAGCGCTTAAAACGTCCGCTTGCAGATACTACAGAAAGAGTGTTTCAAACCTGCTCTATGAAAGGGAATGTTCAGTTCTGTGACTTGAATGCAAACATCACAAAGAAGTTCCTGAGAATGCTTCTCTCTAGGTTTTATATGTAATCCCGTTTCCAACGAAATCCTCAAAGCTATCCAAATATCCACTTTCAGATTCCACAAAAAGAGTGTTTCAAAACTGCTCTGTAAAAAGAAAGGTTCATCTCTGTTAGTTGAATACACACATCACAAACAAGTTTCTGAGAATGCTTCTGTCTAGTTTTTATGGGAAGATATTTCCTTTTTCAACAAAGGCCTCAAAGCGCTCCAAACGTCCACTTCCAGGTAGTGCAGAAAGAGTGTCTCAAACCTGGTATATAACAGGGAACATTCTACTCTGTGACTTGAATGAGAACATCACAAAGCAGTTTCTGAGAATGCTTCCGTCTAGATTTTATATGAAGATATTCCCGTTTCCAACGAAACCTTCAAAGCTATCCGAATATCCACCTGCAGATTCTACAAAAAGAGTGTTTCCAAAATGCCGTATCAAAACAAAGGTTCAACTCTGTTAGTTGAGAACACACATGGCAAATAAGTTTCTGAGAATGCTTCTGTCTAGTTTTTACTTGAAGATATTTCCTTTCTCACCATAGGCCTGAAAGCGCATGAAACGTCAGCTTGCAGATACTACAGAAAGAGTGTTTCAAACCTGCTCTATGAAAGAGAATGTTCAGTCCTGTGACTTGAAGGCAAACATCACAAAGAAGTTCCTGAGAATGCTTCTCTCTAGGTTTTATATGTAATCCCGTTTCCAACGAAATCCTCAAAGCTATCCAAATATCCACTTTCAGATTCCACAAAAAGAGTGTTTCAAAACTGCTCTGTAAAAAGAAAGGTTCATCTCTGTTAGTTGAATACACACATCACAAACAAGTTTCTGACAATGCTTCTGTCTAGTTTTTATGGGAAGATATTTCCTTTTTCAACATAGGCCTCAAAGTGCTCCAAATGTCCACTTCCAGGTAGTGCAGAAAGAGTGTTTCAAACCTGCTCTATAAAACGGAATATTCAACTCTGTGACTTGAATGCAAACATCACAAAGCACTTTCTGAGAATGCTTCCATCTAGATTTTATATGAAGATATTCCCGTTTCCAAGGAAATCTTCCTAGCTATCTAAATATCAACTTGCAGATTCTACTAAAGGAATGTTTCCAAAATGCTGTATCCACAGAAAGGTTCAACTCTGTTAATTGAGGACATACAGCACAAAGAAGTTTCTGAGAATGCTTCTGTCTAGTTTTTACTTGAAGATATTTCCTTTCTCACCATAGGCCTGAAAGCGCTTGAAACGTCAGCTTGCAGATACTACAGAAAGAGTGTTTCAAACCTGCTCTATGAAAGGGAATGTTCAGTTCTGTGACTTGAATGCAAACATCACAAAGAAGTTCCTGAGAATGCTCTTCTCTCTAGAATTTTATATGTAATCCCGTTTCCAACGAAATCCTCAAAGCTATCCAAATATCCACTTTCAGATTCCACAAAAAGAGTGTTTCAAAACTGCTCTGTAAAAAGAAAGGTTCATCTCTGTTAGTTGAATACACACATCACAAACAAGTTTCTGAGAATGCTTCTGTCTAGTTTTTATGGGAAGATATTTCCTTTTTCATCATAGGCCTCAAAGCGCTGCAAATGTCCACTTCCGGGTAGTGCAGAAAGAGTGTCTCAAACCTGGTATATAACAGGGAACATTCTACTCTGTGACTTGAATGAAAACATCACAAAGCAGTTTCTGAGAATGCTTCCGTCTAGATTTTATATGAAGATATTCCCGTTTCCAACGAAACCTTCAAAGCTATCCGAATATCCACCTGCAGATTCTACAAAAAGAGTGTTTCCAAAATGCCATATCAAAACAAAGGTTCAACTCTGTTAGTTGAGAACACACATCGCAAATAAGTTTCTGAGAATGCTTCTGTCTAGTTTTTATTTGAAGATATTTCCTTTCTCACCATAGGCCTGAAAGCGTTTGAAATGTCCGTTTGCAGATACTACAGAAAGAGTGTTTCAAACATGCTCTATGAAAGGGAATGTTCAGTTCTGTGACGTGAATGCAAACATCACAAAGAAGTTCCTGAGAATGCTTCTCTCTAGGTTTTATATGTAATCCCGTTTCCAACGAAATCCTCAAAGCTATCCAAATATCCACTTTCAGATTCCACAAAAAGAGTGTTTCAAAACTGCTCTGTAAAAAGAAAGGTTCATCTCTGTTAGTTGAATACACACATCACAAACAAGTTTCTGAGAATGCTTCTGTCTAGTTTTTATGGGAAGATATTTCCTTTTTCAACATAGGCCTCAAAGCGCTCCAAACGTCCACTTCCAGGTAGTGCAGAAAGAGTGTCTCAAACCTGGTATATAACAGGGAACATTCTACTCTGTGACTTGAATGAAAACATCACAAAGCAGTTTCTGAGAATGCTTCCGTCTAGATTTTATATGAAGATATTCCCGTTTCCAAGGAAATCTTCCTAGCTATCTAAATATCAACTTGCAGATTCTACTAAAGGAATGTTTCCAAAATGCTGTATCCACACAAAGGTTCAACTCTGTTAATTGAGGACATACAGCACAAAGAAGTTTCTGAGAATGCTTCTGTCTAGTTTTTATTTGAAGATATTTCCTTTCTCACCATAGGCCTGAAAGCGTTTGAAATGTCCGTTTGCAGATACTACAGAAAGAGTGTTTCAAACATGCTCTATGAAAGGGAATGTTCAGTTCTGTGACGTGAATGCAAACATCACAAAGAAGTTCCTGAGAATGCTTCTCCCTCTAGATTTTATATGTAATCCCGTTTCCAACGAAATCCTCAAAGCTATCCAAATATCCACTTTCAGATTCCACAAAAAGAGTGTTTCAAAACTGCTCTGTAAAATGAAAGGTTCATCTCTGTTAGTTGAATACACACATCACAAACAAGTTTCTGAGAATGCTTCTGTCTAGTTTTTATGGGAAGATATTACCTTTTTCATCATAGGCCTCAAAGCGCTGCAAATGTCCACTTCCAAATATTACAAAAAGAGTGTTTCAAACCTGCTGTATGAAGGGAAGTGTTCAACTCTATGAGTTGAATGCAAACATCACAGAGAAGTTTCTGAGAATGCTTCTGTCTTGATTTTATAAGAAGATATTCCCGTTTCCAACGAAACCTTCAAAGCTATTCAAATATCCACTTGCAGATTCTACAAAAAGAGTGTTTCCAAAATGTTATATCAAAAGAAAGGTTCAACTCTGTTAGTTGAGGACACACATCGCAAATAAGTTTCTGAGAATGCTTCTGTCTAGTTTTTATTTGAAGATATTTCCTTTCTCACCATAGGCCTGAAAGCGTTTGAAATGTCCGTTTGCAGATACTACAGAAAGAGTGTTTCAAACATGCTCTATGAAAGGGAATGTTCAGTTCTGTGACTTGAATGCAAACATCACAAAGAAGTTCCTGAGAATGCTTCTCTCTAGATTTTATATGTAATCCCGTTTCCAACGAAATCCTCAAAGCTATCCAAATATGCACTTTCAGATTCCACAAAAAGAGTGTTTCAAAACTGCTCTGTAAAAAGAAAGGTTCATCTCTGTTAGTTGAATACACACATCACAAACAAGTTTCTGAGAATGCTTCTGTCTAGTTTTTATGGGAAGATATTACCTTTTTCATCATAGGCCTCAAAGCGCTGCAAATGTCCACTTCCAAATATTACAAAAAGAGTGTTTCAAACCTGCTGTATGAAGGGAAGTGTTCAACTCTATGAGTTGAATGCAAACATCACAGAGAAGTTTCTGAGAATGCTTCTGTCTTGATTTTATATGAAGATATTCCCGTTTCCAACGAAACCTTCAAAGCTATCCAAATATCCACTTGCAGATTCCACAAAAAGAGTGTTTCCAAAATGTTGTATCAAAAGAAAGGTTCAACTCTGTTAGTTGAGGACACACATCGCAAATAAGTTTCTGAGAATGCTTCTGTCTAGTTTTTACTTGAAGATATTTCCTTTCTCACCATAGGCCTGAAAGCGCTTGAAACGTCAGCTTGCAGATACTACAGAAAGAGTGTTTCAAACCTGCTCTATGAAAGGGAATGTTCAGTTCTGTGACTTGAATGCAAACATCACAAAGAAGTTCCTGAGAATGCTTCTCTCTAGATTTTATATGTAATCCCGTTTCCAACGAAATCCTCAAAGCTATCCAAATATCCACTCTCAGATTCCACAAAAAGAGTGTTTCAAAACTGCTCTGTAAAAAGAAAGGTTCATCTCTGTTAGTTGAATACACACATCACAAACAAGTTTCTGAGAATGCTTCTGTCTAGTTTTTATGGGAAGATATTTCCTTTTTCATCATAGGCCTCAAAGCGCTGCAAATGTCCACTTCCAAATATTACAAAAAGAGTGTTTCAAACCTGCTGTATGAAGGGAAGTGTTCAACTCTATGAGTTGAATGCAAACATCACAGAGAAGTTTCTGAGAATGCTTCTGTGTTGATTTTATATGAAGATATTCCCGTTTCCAACGAAACCTTCAAAGCTATCCAAATATCCACTTGCAGATTCTACAAAAAGAGTGGTTCCAAAATGTTGTATCAAAAGAAAGGTTCAACTCTGTTAGTTGAGGACACACATCGCAAATAAGTTTCTGAGAATGCTTCTGTCTAGTTTTTACTTGAAGATATTTCCTTTCTCACCATAGGCCTGAAAGCGTTTGAAATGTCCGTTTGCAGATACTACAGAAAGAGTGTTTCAAACATGCTCTATGAAAGGGAATGTTCAGTTCTGTGACGTGAATGCAAACATCACAAAGAAGTTCCTGAGAATGCTTCTCTCTAGGTTTTATATGTAATCCCGTTTCCAACGAAATCCTCAAAGCTATCCAAATATCCACTTTCAGATTCCACAAAAAGAGTGTTTCAAAACTGCTCTGTAAAAAGAAAGGTTCATCTCTGTTAGTTGAATACACACATCACAAACAAGTTTCTGAGAATGCTTCTGTCTAGTTTTTATGGGAAGATATTTCCTTTTTCAACATAGGCCTCAAAGCGCTCCAAATGTCCACTTCCAGGTAGTGCAGAAAGAGTGTTTCAAACCTGCTCTATAAAAGGGAATATTCAACTCTGTGACTTGAATGCAAACATCACAAAGCACTTTCTGAGAATGCTTCCGTCTAGATTTTATATGAAGATATTCCCGTTTCCAACGAAACCTTCAAAGCTATCCGAATATCCACCTGCAGATTCTACAAAAAGAGTGTTTCCAAAATGCCATATCAAAACAAAGGTTCAACTCTGTTAGTTGAGAACACACATCGCAAATAAGTTTCTGAGAATGCTTCTGTCTAGTTTTTACTTGAAGAAATTTCCTTTCTCACCATAGGCCTGAAAGCGCTTGAAACGTCAGCTTGCAGATACTACAGAAAGAGTGTTTCAAACCTGCTCTATGAAAGGGAATGTTCAGTTCTGTGACTTGAATGCAAACATCGCAAAGAAGTTCCTGAGAATGCTTCTCTCTAGGTTTTATATGTAATCCCGTTTCCAACGAAATCCTCAAAGCTATCCAAATATCCACTTTCAGATTCCACAAAAAGAGTGTTTCAAAACTGCTCTGTAAAAAGAAAGGTTCATCTCTGTTAGTTGAATACACACATCACAAACAAGTTTCTGAGAATGCTTCTGTCTAGTTTTTATGGGAAGATATTTCCTTTTTCAACATAGGCCTCAAAGCGCTCCAAACGTCCACTTCCATGTAGTGCAGAAAGAGTGTCTCAAACCTGGTATATAACAGGGAACATTCTACTCTGTGACTTGAATGAAAACATCACAAAGCAGTTTCTGAGAATGCTTCTGTCTTGATTTTATATGAAGATATTCCCGTTTCCAACGAAACCTTCAAAGCTATTCAAATATCCACTTGCAGATTCTACAAAAAGAGTGTTTCCAAAATGTTGTATCAAAAGAAAGGTTCAACTCTGTTAGTTGAGGACACACATCGCAAATAAGTTTCTGAGAATGCTTCTGTCTAGTTTTTATTTGAAGATATTTCCTTTCTCACCACAGGCCTGAAAGCGCTTAAAACGTCCGCTTGCAGATACTACAGAAAGAGTGTTTCAAACCTGCTCTATGAAAGGGAATGTTCAGTTCTGTGACTTGAATGCAAACATCACAAAGAAGTTCCTGAGAATGCTTCTCTCTAGGTTTTATATGTAATCCCGTTTCCAACGAAATCCTCAAAGCTATCCAAATATCCACTTTCAGATTCCACAAAAAGAGTGTTTCAAAACTGCTCTGTAAAAAGAAAGGTTCATCTCTGTTAGTTGAATACACACATCACAAACAAGTTTCTGAGAATGCTTCTGTCTAGTTTTTATGGGAAGATATTTCCTTTTTCAACATAGGCCTCAAAGCGCTCCAAATGTCCACTTCCAGGTAGTGCAGAAAGAGTGTTTCAAACCTGCTCTATAAAAGGGAATATTCAACTCTGTGACTTGAATGCAAACATCACAAAGCACTTTCTGAGAATGCTTCCGTCTAGATTTTATATGAAGATATTCCCGTTTGCAAGGAAATCTTCCTAGCTATCTAAATATGAACTTGCAGATTCTACTAAAGGAATGTTTCCAAAATGCCGTATCGAAACAAAGGTTCAACTCTGTTAATGGAGGATATACAGCACAAAGAAGTGTCTGCGAATGCTTCTGTCTAGATTTTATATGAAGATATCCCATGTCCAACGAAATCCTCAAAGGTATCAAAATATCCACTTGCAGATTCTACAAAAAGAGTGCTTCAAAACTGCTCTGGCAAAAGGAAGGTTCAACTCTGTTACTTGAGTACACACATCAGAAGGAAGTTTCTGAGAATGCTTCTGTCTGGTTTTTAGGAGAAGATATTTCCTTTTTCAACATAGGCCTCAAAGCGCTGCAAATGTCCACTTCCAAATATTACAAAAAGAGTGTTTCTAACCTGCTCTATGAAGGGAAGTGTTCACCTCTATGAGTTGAATGCAAACATCACAGAGAAGTTTCTGAGCATGCTTCTGTCTTGATTTTATATGAAGATATTCCCGTTTCCAACGAAACCTTCAAAGCTATCCAAATATCCACTTGCAGATTCTACAAAAAGAGTGGTTCCAAAATGTTGTATCAAAACAAAGGTTCAACTCTGTTAGTTGAGGACACACATCGCAAATAAGTTTCTGAGAATGCTTCTGTCTTGATTTTATATGAAGATATTCCCGTTTCCAACGAAACCTTCAAAGCTATTCAAATATCCACTTGCAGATTCTACAAAAAGAGTGTTTCCAAAATGTTGTATCAAAAGAAAGGTTCAACTCTGTTAGTTGAGGACACACATCGCAAATAAGTTTCTGAGAATGCTTCTGTCTAGTTTTTATTTGAAGATATTTCCTTTCTCACCACAGGCCTGAAAGCGCTTAAAACGTCCGCTTGCAGATACTACAGAAAGAGTGTTTCAAACATGCTCTATGAAAGGGAATGTTCAGTTCTGTGACTTGAATGCAAACATCACAAAGAAGTTCCTGAGAATGCTTCTCTCTAGGTTTTATATGTAATCCCGTTTCCAACGAAATCCTCAAAGCTATCCAAATATCCACTTTCAGATTCCACAAAAAGAGTGTTTCAAAACTGCTCTGTAAAAAGAAAGGTTCATCTCTGTTAGTTGAATACACACATCACAAACAAGTTTCTGAGAATGCTTCTGTCTAGTTTTTATGGGAAGATATTTCCTTTTTCATCATAGGCCTCAAAGCGCTGCAAATGTCCACTTCCAGGTAGTGCAGAAAGAGTGTCTCAAACCTGGTATATAACAGGGAACATTCTACTCTGTGACTTGAATGAAAACATCACAAAGCAGTTTCTGAGAATGCTTCTGTCTTGATTTCATATGAAGATATTCCCGTTTCCAACGAAACCTTCAAAGCTATCCAAATATCCACTTGCAGATTCTACAAAAAGAGTGTTTCCAAAATGTTGTATCAAAAGAAAGGTTCAACTCTGTTAGTTGAGGACACACATCGCAAATAAGTTTCTGAGAATGCTTCTGTCTAGTTTTTATTTGAAGATATTTCCTTTCTCACCATAGGCCTGAAAGCGTTTGAAATGTCCGTTTGCAGATACTACAGAAAGAGTGTTTCAAACATGCTCTATGAAAGGGAATGTTCAGTTCTGTGACGTGAATGCAAACATCACAAAGAAGTTCCTGAGAATGCTTCTCTCTAGATTTTATATGTAATCCCGTTTCCAACGAAATCCTCAAAGCTATCCAAATATCCACTTTCAGATTCCACAAAAAGAGTGTTTCAAAACTGCTCTGTAAAAAGAAAGGTTCATCTCTGTTAGTTGAATACACACATCACAAACAAGTTTCTGAGAATGCTTCTGTCTAGTTTTTATGGGAAGATATTTCCTTTTTCAACATAGGCCTCAAAGCGCTCCAAATGTCCAATTCCAGGTAGTGCAGAAAGAGTGTTTCAAACCTGCTCTATAAAAGGGAATATTCAACTCTGTGACTTGAATGCAAACATCACAAAGCACTTTCTGAGAATGCTTCCGTCTAGATTTTATATGAAGATATTCCCGTTTCCAACGAAACCTTCAAAGCTATCCGAATATCCACCTGCAGATTCTACAAAAAGAGTGTTTCCAAAATGCCGTATCAAAACAAAGGTTCAACTCTGTTAGTTGAGAACACACATGGCAAATAAGTTTCTGAGAATGCTTCTGTCTAGTTTTTACTTGAAGATATTTCCTTTCTCACCATAGGCCTGAAAGCGCTTGAAACGTCCGCTTGCAGATACTACAGAAAGAGTGTTTCAAACATGCTCTATGAAAGGGAATGTTCAGTTCTGTGACTTGAATGCAAACATCACAAAGAAGTTCCTGAGAATGCTTCTCTCTAGGTTTTATATGTAATCCCGTTTCCAACGAAATCCTCAAACCTATCCAAATATCCACTTTCAGATTCCACAAAAAGAGTGTTTCAAAACTGCTCTGTAAAAAGAAAGGTTCATCTCTGTTAGTTGAATACACACATCACAAACAAGTTTCTGAGAATGCTTCTGTCTAGTTTTTATGGGAAGATATTTCCTTTTTCATCATAGGCCTCAAAGCGCTCCAAATGTCCACTTCCAGATAGTGCAGAAAGAGTGTCTCAAACCTGGTATATAAAAGGGAACATTCTACTCTGTGACTTCAATGAAAACATCACAAAGCAGTTTCTGAGAATGCTTCCGTCTAGATTTTATATGAAGATATTCCCGTTTCCAAGGAAATCTTCCTAGCTATCTAAATATCAACTTGCAGATTCTACTAAAGGAATGTTTCCAAAATGCTGTATCCACACAAAGGTTCAACTCTGTTAATTGAGGACATACAGTACAAAGAAGTTTGCTGAGAATGCTTCTGTCTAGTTTTTATTTGAAGATATTTCCTTTCTCACCATAGGCCTGAAAGCGCTTGAAATATCCGTTTGCAGATACTACAGAAAGAGTGTTTCAAACATGCTCTATGAAAGGGAATGTTCAGTTCTGTGACGTGAATGCAAACATCACAAAGAAGTTCCTGAGAATGCTTCTCTCTAGGTTTTATATGTAATCCCGTTTCCAACGAAATCCTCAAAGCTATCCAAATATCCACTTTCAGATTCCACAAAAAGAGTGTTTCAAAACTGCTCTGTAAAAAGAAAGGTTCATCTCTGTTAGTTGAATACACACATCACAAACAAGTTTCTGAGAATGCTTCTGTCTAGTTTTTATGGGAAGATATTACCTTTTTCATCATAGGCCTCAAAGCGCTGCAAATGTCCACTTCCAAATATTACAAAAAGAGTGTTTCAAACCTGCTGTATGAAGGGAAGTGTTCAACTCTATGAGTTGAATGCAAACATCACAGAGAAGTTTCTGAGAATGCTTCCGTCTAGATTTTATATGAAGATATTCCCGTTTCCAAGGAAATCTTCCTAGCTATCTAAATATCAACTTGCAGATTCTACTAAAGGAATGTTTCCAAAATGCTGTATCCACACAAAGGTTCAACTCTGTTAATTGAGGACATACAGCACAAAGAAGTTTCTGAGAATGCTTCTGTCTAGTTTTTATTTGAAGAAATTTCCTTTCTTACCATAGGCCTGAAAGCGCTTGAAATGTCCGTTTGCAGATACTACAGAAAGAGTGTTTCAAACATGCTCTATGAAAGGGAATGTTCAGTTCTGTGACGTGAATGCAAACATCACAAAGAAGTTCCTGAGAATGCTTCTCCCTAGATTTTATATGTAATCCCGTTTCCAACGAAATCCGCAAAGCTATCCAAATATCCACTTTCAGATTCCACAAAAAGAGTGTTTCAAAACTGCTCTGTAAAAAGAAAGGTTCATCTCTGTTAGTTGAATACACACATCACAAACAAGTTTCTGAGAATGCTTCTGTCTAGTTTTTATGGGAAGATATTACCTTTTTCATCATAGGCCTCAAAGCGCTGCAAATGTCCACTTCCAAATATTACAAAAAGAGTGTTTCAAACCTGCTGTATGAAGGGAAGTGTTCAACTCTATGAGTTGAATGCAAACATCACAGAGAAGTTTCTGAGAATGCTTCCGTCTAGATTTTATATGAAGATATTCCCGTTTCCAACGAAACCTTCAAAGCTATCCGAATATCCACCTGCAGATTCTACAAAAAGAGTGTTTCCAAAATGCCGTATCAAAACAAAGGTTCAACTCTGTTAGTTGAGAACACACATGGCAAATAAGTTTCTGAGAATGCTTCTGTCTAGTTTTTACTTGAAGATATTTCCTTTCTCACCATAGGCCTGAAAGCGCTTGAAACGTCAGCTTGCAGATACTACAGAAAGAGTGTTTCAAACCGGCTCTATGAAAGGGAATGTTCAGTTCTGTTACTTGAATGCAAACATCACAAAGAAGTTCCTGAGAATGCTTCTCTCTAGGTTTTATATGTAATCCCGTTTCCAACGAAATCCTCAAAGCTATCCAAATATCCACTTTCAGATTCCACAAAAAGAGTGTTTCAAAACTGCTCTGTAAAAAGAAAGGTTCATCTCTGTTAGTTGAATACACACATCACAAACAAGTTTCTGAGAATGCTTCTGTCTAGTTTTTATGGGAAGATATTTCCTTTTTCAACATAGGCCTCAAAGCGCTCTAAATGTCCACCTCCAGGTAGTGCAGAAAGAGTGTTTCAAACCTGCTCTATAAAAGGGAATATTCAACTCTGTGACTTGAATGCAAACATCACAAAGCACTTTGCTGAGAATGCTTCTGTCTTGATTTCATATGAAGATATTCCCTTTTCCAACGAAACCTTCAAAGCTATCCAAATATCCACTTGCAGATTCTACAAAAAGAGTGTTTCCAAAATGTTGTATCAAAAGAAAGGTTCAACTCTGTTAGTTGAGGACACACATCGCAAATAAGTTTCTGAGAATGCTTCTGTCTAGTTTTTATTTGAAGATATTTCCTTTTTCACCACAGGCCTGAAAGCGCTTGAAACGTCCGCTTGCAGATACTACAGAAAGAGTGTTTCAATCCTACTCTATGAAAGGGAATGTTCAGTTCTGTGACTTGAATGCAAACATCACAAAGAAGTTCCTGAGAATGCTTCTCCCTAGATTTTATATGTCATCCCGTTTCCAACGAAATCCTCAAAGCTATCCAAATATCCACTTTCAGATTCCACAAAAAGAGTGTTTCGAAACTGCTCTGTAAAAAGAAAGGTTCATCTCTGTTAGTTGAATACACACATCACAAACAAGTTTCTGAGATAACTTCTGTCTAGTTTTTATGGGAAGATATTTCCTTTTTCATCATAGGCCTCAAAGCGCTGCAAATGTCCACTTCCAGGTAGTGCAGAAAGAGTGTCTCAAACCTGGTATATAACAGGGAACATTCTACTCTGTGACTTGAATGAAAACATCACAAAGCAGTTTCTGAGAATGCTTCTGTCTTGATTTTATATGAAGATATTCCCGTTTCCAACGAAACCTTCAAAGCTATTCAAATATCCACTTGCAGATTCTACAAAAAGAGTGTTTCCAAAATGTTGTATCAAAAGAAAGGTTCAACTCTGTTAGTTGAGGACACACATCGCAAATAAGTTTCTGAGAATGCTTCTGTCTAGTTTTTACTTGAAGATATTTCCTTTCTCACCATAGGCCTGAAAGCGCTTGAAACGTCAGCTTGCAGATACTACAGAAAGAGTGTTTCAAACCTGCTCTATGAAAGGGAATGTTCAGTTCTGTGACTTGAATGCAAACATCACAAAGAAGTTCCTGAGAATGCTTCTCTCTAGGTTTTATATGTAATCCCGTTTCCAACGAAATCCTCAAAGCTATCCAAATATCCACTTTCAGATTCCACAAAAAGAGTGTTTCAAAACTGCTCTGTAAAAAGAAAGGTTCATCTCTGTTAGTTGAATACACACATCACAAACAAGTTTCTGAGAATGCTTCTGTCTAGTTTTTATGGGAAGATATTACCTTTTTCATCATAGGCCTCAAAGCGCTGCAAATGTCCACTTCCAAATATTACAAAAAGAGTGTTTCAAACCTGCTGTATGAAGGGAAGTGTTCAACTCTATGAGTTGAATGCAAACATCACAGAGAAGTTTCTGAGAATGCTTCCGTCTAGATTTTATATGAAGATATTCCCGTTTCCTACGAAACCTTCAAAGCTATCCGAATATCCACCTGCAGATTCTACAAAAAGAGTGTTTCCAAAATGCCGTATCAAAACAAAGGTTCAACTCTGTTAGTTGAGAACACACATGGCAAATAAGTTTCTGAGAATGCTTCCGTCTAGATTTTATATGAAGATATTCCCGTTTCCAAGGAAATCTTCCTAGCTATCTAAATATCAACTTGTAGATTCTACTAAAGGAATGTTTCCAAAAGGCTGTATCGAAACAAAGGTTCAACTCTGTTAATTGAGGACATACAGCACAAAGAAGTTTCTGAGAATGCTTCTGTCTAGATTTTATATGAAGATATCCCGTGTCCAAAGAAATCCTCAAAGGTATCAAAATATCCACTTGCAGATTCTACAAAAAGAGTGCTTCAAAACTGCTCTGTCAAAAGGAAGGTTCAACTCTGTTACTTGAGTACACACATCACAAGAAAGATTCTGAGAATGCTTCTGTCTGGTTTTTACGAGAAGATATCTCCTTTTTCACCATAGGCTTCAAAGCGCTGCCAGTGTCCACTTCCAAATATTACAAAAAGAGTATTTCAAACCAGCTCTATGAAAGGAAGTGTTCAACTCTATGAGTTGAATGCAAACATCACAGAGAAGTTTCTGAGAATGCTTCTGTGTTGATTTTATATGAAGATATTCCCGTTTCCAACGAAACCTTCATAGCTATCCAAATATCCACCTGCAGATCCTACAAAAAGAGTGTTTCCAAAATGCTGTATCAAAACAAAGGTTCAACTCTGTTAGTTGAGAACACACATCGCAAATAAGTTTCTGAGAATGCTTCTGTCTGGTTTTTAGGAGAAGATATTTCCTTTTTCAACATAGGCCTCAAAGCGCTGCAAATGTCCACTTCCAAATATTACAAAAAGAGTGTTTCAAACCTGCTGTATGAAGGGAAGTGTTCAACTCTATGAGTTGAATGCAAACATCACAGAGAAGTTTCTGAGAATGCTTCTGTCTTGATTTTATATGAAGATATTCCCGTTTCCAACGAAACCTTCAAAGCTATTCAAATATCCACTTGCAGATTCTACAAAAAGAGTGTTTCCAAAATGTTGTATCAAAAGAAAGGTTCAACTCTGTTAGTTGAGGACACACATCGCAAATAAGTTTCTGAGAATGCTTCTGTCTAGTTTTTATTTGAAGATATTTCCTTTCTCACCACAGGCCTGAAAGCGCTTAAAACGTCCGCTTGCAGATACTACAGAAAGAGTGTTTCAAACCTGCTCTATGAAAGGGAATGTTCAGTTCTGTGACTTGAATGCAAACATCACAAAGAAGTTCCTGAGAATGCTTCTCTCTAGGTTTTATATGTAATCCCGTTTCCAACGAAATCCTCAAAGCTATCCAAATATCCACTTTCAGATTCCACAAAAAGAGTGTTTCAAAACTGCTCTGTAAAAAGAAAGGTTCATCTCTGTTAGTTGAATACACACATCACAAACAAGTTTCTGAGAATGCTTCTGTCTAGTTTTTATGGGAAGATATTTCCTTTTTCAACATAGGCCTCAAAGCCCTCCAAATGTCCACTTCCAGGTAGTGCAGAAAGAGTGTTTCAAACCTGCTCTATAAAAGGGAATATTCTACTCTGTGACTTCAATGAAAACATCACAAAGCAGTTTCTGAGAATGCTTCTGTCTTGATTTTATATGAAGATATTCCCGTTTCCAACGAAACCTTCAAAGCTATCCAAATCTCCACTTGCAGATTCTACAAAAAGAGTGTTTCCAAAATATTGTATCAAAACAAAGGTTCAACTCTGTTAGTTGAGGACACACATCGCAAATAAGTTTCTGAGAATGCTTCTGTCTGGTTTTTAGGAGAAGATATCTCCTTTTTCACCATAGGCTTCAAAGCGCTGCCAATGTCCACTTCCAAATATTACAAAAAGAGTATTTCAAACCAGCTCTATGAAAGGAAGTGTTCAACTCTATGAGTTGAATGCAAACATCACAGAGAAGTTTCTGAGAAGGCTTCTGTGTTGATTTTATATGAAGATATTCCCGTTTCCAACGAAAACTTCAAAGCTATCCAAATATCCACCTGCAGATCCTACAAAAAGAGTGTTTCCAAAATGCTGTATCAAAACAAAGGTTCAACTCTGTTAGTTGAGAACACACATCGCAAATAAGTTTCTGAGAATGCTTCTGTCTACTTTTTATTTGAAGATATTTCCTTTTTCTCCACAGGCCTGAAAGCGCTTGAAACGTCCACTTGCAGATACTACAGAAAGAGTGTTTCAAACCTGCTCTATGAAAGGGAATGTTCAGTTCTGTGACTTGAATGCAAACATCACAAAGAAGTTCCTGAGAATGCTTCCGTCTAGATTTTATATGAAGATATTCCCGTTTCCAAGGAAATCTTCCTAGCTATCTAAATATCAACTTGCAGATTCTACTAAAGGAATGTTTCCAAAATGCTGTATCCACACAAAGGTTCAACTCTGTTAATTGAGGACATACAGCACAAAGAAGTTTCTGAGAATGCTTCTGTCTAGTTTTTACTTGAAGATATTTCCTTTGTCACCATAGGCCTGAAAGCGCTTGAAACGTCAGCTTGCAGATACTACAGAAAGAGTGTTTCAAACCTGCTCTATGAAAGGGAATGTTCAGTCCTGTGACTTGAAGGCAAACATCACAAAGAAGTTCCTGAGAATGCTTCTCTCTAGATTTTATATGTAATCCCGTTTCCAACGAAATCCTCAAAGCTATCCAAATATCCACTTTCAGATTCCACAAAAAGAGTGTTTCAAAACTGCTCTGTAAAAAGAAAGGTTCATCTCTGTTAGTTGAATACACACATCACAAACAAGTTTCTGAGAATGCTTCTGTCTAGTTTCTATGGGAAGATATTTCCTTTTTCAACATAGGCCTCAAAGCGCTCCAAATGTCCACTTCCAGGTAGTGCACTGAGTGTTTCAAACCTGCTCTATAAAAGGGAACATTCTGCTCTGTGACTTGAATGAAGACATCACAAAGCAGTTTCTGAGAATGCTTCTGTCTTGATTTTATATGAAGATATTCCCGTTTCCAACGAAACCTTCAAAGCTATTCAAATATCCACTTGCAGATTCTACAAAAAGAGTGTTTCCAAAATGTTGTATCAAAAGAAAGGTTCAACTCTGTTAGTTGAGGACACACATCGCAAATAAGTTTCTGAGAATGCTTCTGTCTAGTTTTTATTTGAAGATATTTCCTTTCTTACCATAGGCCTGAAAGCGCTTGAAATGTCCGTTTGCAGATACTACAGAAAGAGTGTTTCAAACATGCTCTATGAAAGGGAATGTTCAGTTCTGTGACGTGAATGCAAACATCACAAAGAAGTTCCTGAGAATGCTTCTCTCTAGATTTTATATGTAATCCCGTTTCCAACGAAATCCTCAAAGCTATCCAAATATCCACTTTAAGATTCCACAAAAAGAGTGTTTCAAAACTGTTCTCTAAAAAGAAAGGTTCATCTCTGTTAGTTGAATACACACATCACAAACAAGTTTCTGAGAATGCTTCTGTCTAGTTTTTATGGGAAGATATTTCCTTTTTCAACATAGGCCTCAAAGCGCTCCAAATGTCCACTTCCAGGTAGTGCAGAAAGAGTGTTTCAAACCTGCTCTATAAAAGGGAATATTCAACTCTGTGACTTGAATGCAAACATCACAAAGCACTTTCTGAGAATGCTTCTGTCTTGATTTTATATGAAGATATTCCCGTTTCCAACGAAATCTTCAAAGCTATCCAAATATCCACTTGCAGATTCCACAAAAAGAGTGTTTCCAAAATGTTGTATCAAAAGAAAGGTTCAACTCTGTTAGTTGAGGACACACATCGCAAATAAGTTTCTGAGAATGCTTCTGTCTAGTTTTTACTTGAAGATATTTCCTTTCTCACCATAGGCCTGAAAGCGCTTGAAACGTCAGCTTGCAGATACTACAGAAAGAGTGTTTCAAACCTGCTCTATGAAAGGGAATGTTCAGTCCTGTGACTTGAAGGCAAACATCACAAAGAAGTTCCTGAGAATGCTTCTCTCTAGATTTTATATGTAATCCCGTTTCCAACGAAATCCTCAAAGCTATCCAAATATCCACTTTCAGATTCCACAAAAAGAGTGTTTCAAAACTGCTCTGTAGAAAGAAAGGTTCATCTCTGTTAGTTGAATACACACATCACAAACAAGTTTCTGAGAATTCTTCTGTCTAGTTTTTATGGGAAGATATTTCCTTTTTCAACATAGGCCTCAAAGCGCTCCAAATGTCCACTTCCACGTAGTGCAGAAAGAGTGTTTCAAACCTGCTCTATAAAACGGAATATTCAACTCTGTGACTTGAATGCAAACATCACAAAGCACTTTCTGAGAATGCTTCCGTCTAGATTTTATATGAAGATATTCCCTTTTCCAAGGAAATCTTCCTAGCTATCTAAATATCAACTTGCAGATTCTACTAAAGGAATGTTTCCAAAATGCTGTATCCACACAAAGGTTCAACTCTGTTAATTGAGGACATACAGCACAAAGAAGTTTCTGAGAATGCTTCTGTCTAGTTTTCACTTGAAGATATTTCCTTTCTCACCATAGGCCTGAAAGCGTTTGAAATGTCCGTTTGCAGATACTACAGAAAGAGTGTTTCAAACATGCTCTATGAAAGGGAATGTTCAGTTCTGTGACGTGAATGCAAACATCACAAAGAAGTTCCTGAGAATGCTTCTCTCTAGATTTTATATGTAATCCCGTTTCCAACGAAATCCTCAAAGCTATCCAAATATCCACTTTCAGATTCCACAAAAAGAGTGTTTCAAAACTGCTCTGTAAAAAGAAAGGTTCATCTCTGTTAGTTGAATACACACATCACAAACAAGTTTCTGAGAATGCTTCTGTCTAGTTTTTATGGGAAGATATTTCCTTTTTCATCATAGGCCTCAAAGCGCTCCAAATGTCCACTTCCAGATAGTGCAGAAAGAGTGTCTCAAACCTGGTATATAAAAGGGAACATTCTACTCTGTGACTTGAATAAAAACATCACAAAGCAGTTTCTGAGAATGCTTTCTGTCTTGATTTTATATGAAGATATTCCCGTTTCCAACGAAACCTTCAAAGCTATCCAAATATCCACTTACAGATTCTACAAAAAGAGTGTTTCCGAAATGTTGTATCCAAACAAAGGTTCAACTCTTTTAGTTGAGAACACACACCGCAAATAAGTTTCTGAGAATGCTTCTGTCTAGTTTTTACTTGAAGATATTTCCTTTCTCACCATAGGCCTGAAAGCGCTTGAAACGTCCGCTTGCAGATACTACAGAAAGAGTGTTTCAAACATGCTCTATGACAGGGAATGTTAAGTTCTGTGACTTGAATGCAAACA
Organism: Homo sapiens; assembly: GCF_000001405.40. Lineage (NCBI taxonomy): Eukaryota > Metazoa > Chordata > Mammalia > Primates > Hominidae > Homo > Homo sapiens. The sequence continues at coordinate 45,436,089 of NC_000009.12, read as the reverse complement.
TCACAAAGAAGTTCCTGAGAATGCTTCTCTCTAGGTTTTATATGTAATCCCGTTTCCAACGAAATCCTCAAAGCTATCCAAATATCCACTTTCAGATTCCACAAAAAGAGTGTTTCAAAACTGCTCTGTAAAAAGAAAGGTTCATCTCTGTTAGTTGAATACACACATCACAAACAAGTTTCTGAGAATGCTTCCTGTCTGGTTTTTAGGAGAAGATATTTCCTTTTTCAACATAGGCCTCAAAGCGCTGCAAATGTCCACTTCCAAATATTACAAAAAGAGTGTTTCAAACCTGCTCTATGAAGGGAAGTGTTCAACTCTATGAGTTGAATGCAAACATCACAGAGAAGTTTCTGAGAATGCTTCTGTCTTGATTTCATATGAAGATATTCCCGTTTCCAACGAAACCTTCAAAGCTATCCAAATATCCACTTGCAGATTCTACAAAAAGAGTGTTTCCAAAATGTTGTATCAAAAGAAAGTTTCAACTCTGTTAGTTGAGGACACACATCGCAAATAAGTTTCTGAGAATGCTTCTGTCTAGTTTTTACTTGAAGATATTTCCTTTCTCACCATAGGCCTGAAAGCGCTTGAAACGTCAGCTTGCAGATACTACAGAAAGAGTGTTTCAAACCTGCTCTATGAAAGGGAATGTTCAGTTCTGTGACTTGAATGCAAACATCACAAAGAAGTTCCTGAGAATGCTTCTCTCTAGGTTTTATATGTAATCCCGTTTCCAATGAAATCCTCAAAGCTATCCAAATATCCACTTTCAGATTCCACAAAAGGAGTGTTTCAAAACTGCTCTGTAAAAAGAAAGGTTCATCTCTGTTAGTTGAATACACACATCACAAACAAGTTTCTGAGAATGCTTCTGTCTAGTTTTTATGGGAAGATATTTCCTTTTTCAACATAGGCCTCAAAGCGTTCCAAATGTCCACTTCCAGGTAGTGCAGAAAGAGTGTTTCAGACCTGCTCTATAAAAGGGAATATTCAACTCTGTGACTTGAATGCAAACATCACAAAGCACTTTCTGAGAATGCTTCTGTCTTGATTTTATATGAAGATATTCCCGTTTCCAAAGAAACCTTCAAAGCTATCCAAATATCCACCTGCAGATCCTACAAAAAGAGTGTTTCCAAAATGCTGTATCAAAACAAAGGTTCAACTCTGTTAGCTGAGAACACACATCGCAAATAAGTTTCTGAGAATGCTTCTGTCTAGTTTTTACTTGAAGATATTTCCTTTCTCACCATAGGCCTGAAAGCGCATGAAACGTCAGCTTGCAGATACTACAGAAAGAGTGTTTCAAACCTGCTCTATGAAAGGGAATGTTCAGTTCTGTGACTTGAATGCAAACATCACAAAGAAGTTCCTGAGAATGCTTCTCTCTAGGTTTTATATGTAATCCCGTTTCCAACGAAATCCTCAAAGCTATCCAAATAACCACTTTCAGATTCCACAAAAAAAGTGTTTCAAAACTGCTCTGTAAAAAGAAAGATTCATCTCTGTTAGTTGAATACACACATCACAAACAAGTTTCTGAGAATGCTTCTGTCTAGTTTTTATGGGAAGATATTTCCTTTTTCAACATAGGCCTCAAAGCGTTCCAAATGTCCACTTCCAGGTAGTGCAGAAAGAGTGTTTCAGACCTGCTCTATAAAAGGGAATATTCAACTCTGTGACTTGAATGCAAACATCACAAAGCACTTTCTGAGAATGCTTCCGTCTAGATTTTATATGAAGATATTCCCGTTTCCAACGAAACCTTCAAAGCTATCCGAATATCCACCTGCAGATTCTACAAAAAGAGTGTTTCCAAAATGCCGTATCAAAACAAAGGTTCAACTCTGTTAGTTGAGAACACACATGGCAAATAAGTTTCTGAGAATGCTTCTGTCTAGTTTTTATTTGAAGATATTTCCTTTTTCACCACAGGCCTGAAAGCGCTTGAAACGTCAGCTTGCAGATACTACAGAAAGAGTGTTTCAAACCTGCACTATGAAAGGGAATGTTCAGTTCTGTGACTTGAATGCAAACATCACGAAGAAGTTCCTGAGAATGCTTCTCCCTAGATTTTATATGTAATCCCGTTTCCAACGAAATCCGCAAAGCTATCCAAATATCCACTTTCAGATTCCACAAAAAGAGTGTTTCAAAACTGCTCTGTAAAAAGAAAGGTTCATCTCTGTTAGTTGAATACACACATCACAAACAAGTTTCTGAGAATGCTTCTGTCTAGTTTTTATGGGAAGATATTTCCTTTTTCATCATAGGCCTCAAAGCGCTGCAAATGTCCACTTCCAGGTAGTGCAGAAAGAGTGTCTCAAACCTGGTATATAACAGGGAACATTCTACTCTGTGACTTGAATGAAAACATCACAAAGCAGTTTCTGAGAATGCTTCCGTCTAGATTTTATATGAAGATATTCCCGTTTCCAACGAAACCTTCAAAGCTATCCGAATATCCACCTGCAGATTCTACAAAAAGAGTGTTTCCAAAATGCCATATCAAAACAAAGGTTCAACTCTGTTAGTTGAGAACACACATCGCAAAGAAGTTTCTGAGAATGCTTCTGTCTAGTTTTTACTTGAAGATATTTCCTTTCTCACCATAGGCCTGAAAGCGCTTGAAACGTCAGCTTGCAGATACTACAGAAAGAGTGTTTCAAACCTGCTCTATGAAAGGGAATGTTCAGTTCTGTGACTTGAATGAAAACATCACAAAGAAGTTCCTGAGAATGCTTCTCTCTAGGTTTTATATGTAATCCCGTTTCCAACGAAATCCTCAAAGCTATCCAAATATCCACTTTCAGATTCCACAAAAAGAGTGTTTCAAAACTGCTCTGTAAAAAGAAAGGTTCATCTCTGTTAGTTGAATACACACATCACAAACAAGTTTCTGAGAATGCTTCTGTCTAGTTTTTATGGGAAGATATTTCCTTTTTCAACATAGGCCTCAAAGCGCTCCAAATGTCCACTTCCAGGTAGTGCAGAAAGAGTGTTTCAAACCTGCTCTATAAAAGGGAATATTCAACTCTGTGACTTGAATGCAAACATCACAAAGCACTTTCTGAGAATGCTTCCGTCTAGATTTTATATGAAGATATTCCCGTTTCCAACGAAACGTTCAAAGCTATCCGAATATCCACCTGCAGATTCTACAAAAAGAGTGTTTCCAAAATGCCATATCAAAACAAAGGTTCAACTCTGTTAGTTGAGAACACACATCGCAAATAAGTTTCTGAGAATGCTTCTGTCTAGTTTTTATTTGAAGATATTTCCTTTCTCACCACAGGCCTGAAAGCGCTTAAAACGTCCGCTTGCAGATACTACAGAAAGAGTGTTTCAAACCTGCTCTATGAAAGGGAATGTTCAGTTCTGTGACTTGAATGCAAACATCACAAAGAAGTTCCTGAGAATGCTTCTCTCTAGATTTTATATGTAATCCCGTTTCCAACGAAATCCTCAAAGCTATCCAAATATCCACTTTCAGATTCCACAAAAAGAGTGTTTCAAAACTGCTCTGTAAAAAGAAAGGTTCATCTCTGTTAGTTGAATACACACATCACAAACAAGTTTCTGAGAATGCTTCTGTCTAGTTTTTATGGGAAGATATTTCCTTTTTCAACATAGGCCTCAAAGCGCTCCAAACGTCCACTTCCAGGTAGTGCAGAAAGAGTGTCTCAAACCTGGTATGTAACAGGGAACATTCTACTCTGTGACTTGAATGAAAACATCACAAAGCAGTTTCTGAGAATGCTTCTGTCTTGATTTTATATGAAGATATTCCCGTTTCCAACGAAACCTTCAAAGCTATTCAAATATCCACTTGCAGATTCTACAAAAAGAGTGTTTCCAAAATGTTGTATCAAAAGAAAGGTTCAACTCTGTTAGTTGAGGACACACATCGCAAATAAGTTTCTGAGAATGCTTCTGTCTAGTTTTTACTTGAAGATATTTCCTTTCTCACCATAGGCCTGAAAGCGCTTGAAACGTCAGCTTGCAGATACTACAGAAAGAGTGTTTCAAACCTGCTCTATGAAAGGGAATGTTCAGTTCTGTGACGTGAATGCAAACATCACAAAGAAGTTCCTGAGAATGCTTCTCTCTAGGTTTTATATGTAATCCCGTTTCCAACGAAATCCTCAAAGCTATCCAAATATCCACTTTCAGATTCCACAAAAAGAGTGTTTCAAAACTGCTCTGTAAAAAGAAAGGTTCATCTCTGTTAGTTGAATACACACATCACAAACAAGTTTCTGAGAATGCTTCTGTCTAGTTTTTATGGGAAGATATTTCCTTTTTCAACATAGGCCTCAAAGCGCTCCAAATGTCCACTTCCAGGTAGTGCAGAAAGAGTGTTTCAAACCTGCTCTATAAAAGGGAATACTCAACTCTGTGACTTGAATGCAAACATCACAAAGCACTTTCTGAGAATGCTTCTGTCTTGATTTTATATGAAGATATTCCCGTTTCCAAAGAAACCTTCAAAGCTATCCAAATATCCACTTGCAGATTCTACAAAAAGAGTGTTTCCAAAATGTTGTATCAAAAGAAAGGTTCAACTCTGTTAGTTGAGGAAACACATCGCAAACAAGTTTCTGAGAATGCTTCTGTCTAGTTTTTATTTGAAGATATTTCCTTTCTCACCATAGGCCTGAAAGCGTTTGAAATGTCCGTTTGCAGATACTACAGAAAGAGTGTTTCAAACATGCTCTATGAAAGGGAATGTTCAGTTCTGTGACGTGAATGCAAACATCACAAAGAAGTTCCTGAGAATGCTTCTCTCTAGGTTTTATATGTAATCCCGTTTCCAACGAAATCCTCAAAGCTATCCAAATATCCACTTTCAGATTCCACAAAAAGAGTGTTTCAAAACTGCTCTGTAAAAAGAAAGGTTCATCTCTGTTAGTTGAATACACACATCACAAACAAGTTTCTGAGAATGCTTCTGTCTAGTTTTTATGGGAAGATATTTCCTTTTTCAACACAGGCCTCAAAGCGCTCCAAACGTCCACTTCCAGGTAGTGCAGAAAGAGTGTCTCAAACCTGGTATATAACAGGGAACATTCTACTCTGTGACTTGAATGAAAACATCACAAAGCAGTTTCTGAGAATGCTTCCGTCTAGATTTTATATGAAGATATTCCCGTTTCCAACGAAACCTTCAAAACTATCCGAATATCCACCTGCAGATTCTACAAAAAGAGTGTTTCCAAAATGCCGTATCAAAACAAAGGTTCAACTCTGTTAGTTGAGAACACACATGGCAAATAAGTTTCTGAGAATGCTTCTGTCTAGTTTTTACTTGAAGATATTTCCTTTCTCACCATGGGCCTGAAAGCGTTTGAAATGTCCGTTTGCAGATACTACAGAAAGAGTGTTTCAAACATGCTCTATGAAAGGGAATGTTCAGTTCTGTGACGTGAATGCAAACATCACAAAGAAGTTCCTGAGAATGCTTCTCCCTAGATTTTATATGTAATCCCGTTTCCAACGAAATCCGCAAAGCTATCCAAATATCCACTTTCAGATTCCACAAAAAGAGTGTTTCAAAACTGCTCTGTAAAAAGAAAGGTTCATCTCTGTTAGTTGAATACACACATCACAAACAAGTTTCTGAGAATGCTTCTGTCTAGTTTTTATGGGAAGATATTTCCTTTTTCAACATAGGCCTCAAAGCGCTCCAAATGTCCACTTCCAGGTAGTGCAGAAAGAGTGTTTCAAACCTGCTCTATAAAAGGGAATATTCAACTCTGTGACTTGAATGCAAACATCACAAAGCACTTTCTGAGAATGCTTCTGTCTTGATTTCATATGAAGATATTCCCGTTTCCAACGAAACCTTCAAAGCTATCCAAATATCCACTTGCAGATTCTACAAAAAGAGTGTTTCCAAAATGTTGTATCAAAAGAAAGGTTCAACTCTGTTAGTTGAGGACACACATCGCAAATAAGTTTCTGAGAATGCTTCTGTCTAGTTTTTATTTGAAGATATTTCCTTTCTCACCACAGGCCTGAAAGCGCTTAAAACGTCCGCTTGCAGATACTACAGAAAGAGTGTTTCAAACCTGCTCTATGAAAGGGAATGTTCAGTTCTGTGACTTGAATGCAAACATCACAAAGAAGTTCCTGAGAATGCTTCTCTCTAGGTTTTATATGTAATCCCGTTTCCAACGAAATCCTCAAAGCTATCCAAATATCCACTTTCAGATTCCACAAAAAGAGTGTTTCAAAACTGCTCTGTAAAAAGAAAGGTTCATCTCTGTTAGTTGAATACACACATCACAAACAAGTTTCTGAGAATGCTTCTGTCTAGTTTTTATGGGAAGATATTTCCTTTTTCATCATAGGCCTCAAAGCGCTCCAAATGTCCACTTCCAGATAGTGCAGAAAGAGTGTCTCAAACCTGGTATATAAAAGGGAACATTCTACTCTGTGACTTCAATGAAAACATCACAAAGCAGTTTCTGAGAATGCTTCCGTCTAGATTTTATATGAAGATATTCCCGTTTCCAACGAAACCTTCAAAGCTATCCGAATATCCACCTGCAGATTCTACAAAAAGAGTGTTTCCAAAATGCCGTATCAAAACAAAGGTTCAACTCTGTTAGTTGAGAACACACATGGCAAATAAGTTTCTGAGAATGCTTCTGTCTAGTTTTTACTTGAAGATATTTCCTTTCTCACCATAGGCCTGAAAGCGCTTGAAACGTCAGCTTGCAGATACTACAGAAAGAGTGTTTCAAACCTGCTCTATGAAAGGGAATGTTCAGTTCTGTGACTTGAATGCAAACATCACAAAGAAGTTCCTGAGAATGCTTCTCTCTAGGTTTTATATGTAATCCCGTTTCCAACGAAATCCTCAAAGCTATCCAAATATCCACTTTCAGATTCCACAAAAAGAGTGTTTCAAAACTGCTCTGTAAAAAGAAAGGTTCATCTCTGTTAGTTGAATACACACATCACAAACAAGTTTCTGAGAATGCTTCTGTCTAGTTTTTATGGGAAGATATTTCCTTTTTCAACATAGGCCTCAAAGCGCTCCAAATGTCCACTTCCAGGTAGTGCAGAAAGAGTGTTTCAAACCTGCTCTATAAAAGGGAATATTCAACTGTGTGACTTGAATGCAAACATCACAAAGCACTTTCTGAGAATGCTTCCGTCTAGATTTTATATGAAGATATTCCCGTTTCCAAGGAAATCTTCCTAGCTATCTAAATATCAACTTGCATATCCTACTAAAGGAGTGTTTCCAAAATGCTGTATCCACACAAAGGTTCAACTCTGTTAATTGAGGACATACAGCACAAAGAAGTTTCTGAGAATGCTTCTGTCTAGTTTTTATTTGAAGATATTTCCTTTTTCACCACAGGCCTGAAAGCGCTTGAAACGTCCACTTGCAGATACTACAGAAAGAGTGTTTCAAACCTGCTCTATGAAAGGGAATGTTCAGTTCTGTGACTTGAATGCAAACATCACAAAGAAGTTCCTGAGAATGCTTCTCTCTAGATTTTATATGTAATCCCGTTTCCAACGAAATCCTCAAAGCTATCCAAATATCCACTTTCAGATTCCACAAAAAGAGTGTTTCCAAACTGCTCTGTAAAAAGAAAGGTTCATCTCTGTTAGTTGAATACACACATCACAAACAAGTTTCTGAGAATGCTTCTGTCTAGTTTTTATGGGAAGATATTTCCTTTTTCAACATAGGCCTCAAAGCGCTCCAAATGTCCACTTCCAGGTAGTGCAGAAAGAGTGTTTCAAACCTGCTCTATAAAAGGGAATATTCAACTCTGTGACTTGAATGCAAACATCACAAAGCACTTTCTGAGAATGCTTCCGTCTAGATTTTATATGAAGATATTCCCGTTTCCAACGAAACCTTCAAAGCTATCCGAATATCCACCTGCAGATTCTACAAAAAGAGTGGTTCCAAAATGTTGTATCAAAAGAAAGGTTCAACTCTGTTAGTTGAGAACACACATCTCAAATAAGTTTCTGAGAATGGTTCTGTCTGGTTTTTAGGAGAAGATATCTCCTTTTTCACCATAGGCTTCAAAGCGCTGCCAATGTCCACTTCCAAATATTACAAAAAGAGTATTTCAAACCAGCTCTATGAAAGGAAGTGTTCAACTCTATGAGTTGAATGCAAACATCACAGAGAAGTTTCTGAGAATGCTTCTCTCTAGATTTTATATGTAATCCCGTTTCCAACGAAATCCTCAAAGCTATCCAAATATCCACTTTCAGATTCCACAAAAAGAGTGTTTCAAAACTGCTCTGTAAAAAGAAAGGTTCATCTCTGTTAGTTGAATACACACATCACAAACAAGTTTCTGAGAATGCTTCTGTCTAGTTTTTATGGGAAGATATTACCTTTTTCATTATAGGCTTCAAAGCGCTGCAAAAGTCCACTTCCAAATATTAGAAAAAGAGTGTTTCAAACCTGCTGTATGAAGGGAAGTGTTCAACTCTATGAGTTGAATGCAAACATCACAGAGAAGTTTCTGAGAATGCTTCTGTCTTGATTTTATATGAAGATATTCCCGTTTCCAACGAAACCTTCAAAGCTATCCAAATATCCACTTGCAGATTCCACAAAAAGAGTGTTTCCAAAATGTTGTATCAAAAGAAAGGTTCAACTCTGTTAGTTGAGGACACACATCGCAAATAAGTTTCTGAGAATGCTTCTGTCTAGTTTTTATTTGAAGATATTTCCTTTCTCACCACAGGCCTGAAAGCGCTTAAAACGTCCGCTTGCAGATACTACAGAAAGAGTGTTTCAAACCTGCTCTATGAAAGGGAATGTTCAGTTCTGTGACTTGAATGCAAACATCACAAAGAAGTTCCTGAGAATGCTTCTCCCTAGATTTTATATGTAATCCCGTTTCCAACGAAATCCGCAAAGCTATCCAAATATCCACTTTCAGATTCCACAAAAAGAGTGTTTCAAAACTGCTCTGTAAAAAGAAAGGTTCATCTCTGTTAGTTGAATACACACATTCACAAACAAGTTTCTGAGAATGCTTCTGTCTAGTTTTTATGGGAAGATATTTCCTTTTTCAACATAGGCCTCAAAGCGCTCCAAACGTCCACTTCCAGGTAGTGCAGAAAGAGTGTCTCAAACCTGGTATATAACAGGGAACATTCTACTCTGTGACTTGAATGAAAACATCACAAAGCAGTTTCTGAGAATGCTTCTGTCTTGATTTTATATGAAGATATTCCCGTTTCCAACGAAACCTTCAAAGCTATCCAAATATCCACTTGCAGATTCTACAAAAAGAGTGTTTCCAAAATGTTGTATCAAAACAAAGGTTCAACTCTGTTAGTTGAGGACACACATCGCAAATAAGTTTCTGAGAATGCTTCTGTCTAGTTTTTATTTGAAGATATTTCCTTTCTCACCATAGGCCTGAAAGCGTTTGAAATGTCCGTTTGCAGATACTACAGAAAGAGTGTTTCAAACATGCTCTATGAAAGGGAATGTTCAGTTCTGTGACGTGAATGCAAACATCACAAAGAAGTTCCTGAGAATGCTTCCTCTCTCTAGATTTTATATGTAATCCCGTTTCCAACGAAATCCTCAAAGCTATCCAAATATCCACTTTCAGATTCCACAAAAAGAGTGTTTCAAAACTGCTCTGTAAAAAGAAAGGTTCATCTCTGTTAGTTGAATACACACATCACAAACAAGTTTCTGAGAATGCTTCTGTCTAGTTTTTATGGGAAGATATTTCCTTTTTCAACATAGGCCTCAAAGCGCTCCAAATGTCCACTTCCAGGTAGTGCAGAAAGAGTGTTTCAAACCTGCTCTACAAAAGGGAATATTCAACTCTGTGACTTGAATGCAAACATCACAAAGCACTTTCTGAGAATGCTTCCGTCTAGATTTTATATGAAGATATTCCCGTTTCCAACGAAACCTTCAAAGCTATCCGAATATCCACCTGCAGATTCTACAAAAAGAGTGTTTCCAAAATGCCATATCAAAACAAAGGTTCAACTCTGTTAGTTGAGAACACACATCGCAAATAAGTTTCTGAGAATGCTTCTGTCTAGTTTTTACTTGAAGATATTTCCTTTCTCACCATAGGCCTGAAAGCGCTTGAAACGTCCGCTTGCAGATACTACAGAAAGAGTGTTTCAAACATGCTCTATGAAAGGGAATGTTCAGTTCTGTGACTTGAATGCAAACATCACAAAGAAGTTCCTGAGAATGCTTCTCTCTAGGTTTTATATGTAATCCCGTTTCCAACGAAATCCTCAAAGCTATCCAAATATCCACTTTCAGATTCCACAAAAAGAGTGTTTCAAAACTGCTCTGTAAAAAGAAAGGTTCATCTCTGTTAGTTGAATACACACATCACAAACAAGTTTCTGAGAATGCTTCTGTCTAGTTTTTATGGGAAGATATTACCTTTTTCATCATAGGCCTCAAAGCGCTGCAAATGTCCACTTCCAAATATTACAAAAAGAGTGTTTCAAACCTGCTGTATGAAGGGAAGTGTTCAACTCTATGAGTTGAATGCAAACATCACAGAGAAGTTTCTGAGAATGCTTCCGTCTAGATTTTATATGAAGATATTCCCGTTTCCAACGAAACCTTCAAAGCTATCCGAATATCCACCTGCAGATTCTACAAAAAGAGTGTTTCCAAAATGCCATATCAAAACAAAGGTTCAACTCTGTTAGTTGAGAACACACATCGCAAATAAGTTTCTGAGAATGCTTCTGTCTAGTTTTTATTTGAAGATATTTCCTTTCTCACCATAGGCCTGAAAGCGTTTGAAATGTCCGTTTGCAGATACTACAGAAAGAGTGTTTCAAACATGCTCTATGAAAGGGAATGTTCAGTTCTGTGACGTGAATGCAAACATCACAAAGAAGTTCCTGAGAATGCTTCTCTCTAGGTTTTATATGTAATCCCGTTTCCAACGAAATCCTCAAAGCTATCCAAATATCCACTTTCAGATTCCACAAAAAGAGTGTTTCAAAACTGCTCTGTAAAAAGAAAGGTTCATCTCTGTTAGTTGAATACACACATCACAAACAAGTTTCTGAGAATGCTTCTGTCTAGTTTTTATGGGAAGATATTTCCTTTTTCAACATAGGCCTCAAAGCGCTCCAAATGTCCACTTCCAGGTAGTGCAGAAAGAGTGTTTCAAACCTGCTCTATAAAAGGGAATATTCAACTCTGTGACTTGAATGCAAACATCACAAAGCACTTTCTGAGAATGCTTCCGTCTAGATTTTATATGAAGATATTCCCGTTTCCAACGAAACCTTCAAAGCTATCCGAATATCCACCTGCAGATTCTACAAAAAGAGTGTTTCCAAAATGCCATATCAAAACAAAGGTTCAACTCTGTTAGTTGAGAACACACATCGCAAATAAGTTTCTGAGAATGCTTCTGTCTAGTTTTTATTTGAAGATATTTCCTTTCTCACCACAGGCCTGAAAGCGCTTAAAACGTCCGCTTGCAGATACTACAGAAAGAGTGTTTCAAACCTGCTCTATGAAAGGGAATGTTCAGTTCTGTGACTTGAATGCAAACATCACAAAGAAGTTCCTGAGAATGCTTCTCTCTAGGTTTTATATGTAATCCCGTTTCCAACGAAATCCTCAAAGCTATCCAAATATCCACTTTCAGATTCCACAAAAAGAGTGTTTCAAAACTGCTCTGTAAAAAGAAAGGTTCATCTCTGTTAGTTGAATACACACATCACAAACAAGTTTCTGAGAATGCTTCTGTCTAGTTTTTATGGGAAGATATTTCCTTTTTCAACATAGGCCTCAAAGCGCTCCAAATGTCCACTTCCAGGTAGTGCAGAAAGAGTGTTTCAAACCTGCTCTATAAAAGGGAATATTCAACTCTGTGACTTGAATGCAAACATCACAAAGCACTTTCTGAGAATGCTTCTGTCTTGATTTCATATGAAGATATTCCCGTTTCCAACGAAACCTTCAAAGCTATCCAAATATCCACTTGCAGATTCTACAAAAAGAGTGTTTCCAAAATGTTGTATCAAAAGAAAGGTTCAACTCTGTTAGTTGAGGACACACATCGCAAATAAGTTTCTGAGAATGCTTCTGTCTAGTTTTTACTTGAAGATATTTCCTTTCTCACCAAAGGCCTGAAAGCGCTTGAAACGTCCGCTTGCAGATACTACAGAAAGAGTGTTTCAAACATGCTGTATGAAAGGGAATGTTCAGTTTTGTGTCTTGAATGCAAACATCACAAAGAAGTTCCTGAGAATGCTTCTCTCTAGATTTTATATGTAATCCCGTTTCCAACGAAATCCTCAAAGCTATCCACATATCCACTTTCAGATTCCACAAAAAGAGTGTTTGAAAACTGCTCTGTAAAAAGAAAGGTTCATCTCTGTTAGTTGAATACACACATCACAAACAAGTTTCTGAGAATGCTTCTGTCTAGTTTTTATGGGAAGATATTTCCTTTTTCAACATAGGCCTCAAAGCGCTCCAAATGTCCACTTCCAGGTAGTGCAGAAAGAGTGTTTCAAACATGCTCTATAAAAGGGAATATTCAACTCTGTGACTTGAATGCAAACACCACAAATCACTTTGTGAGAATGCTTCCGTCTAGATTTTATATGAAGATATTCCCGTTTCCAACGAATCCTTCAAAGCTATCCGAATATCCACCTGCAGATTCTACAAAAAGAGTGTTTCCAAAATGCCGTATCAAAACAAAGGTTCAACTCTGTTAGTTGAGAACACACATGGCAAATAAGTTTCTGAGAATGCTTCTGTCTAGTTTTTACTTGAAGATATTTCCTTTCTCACCATAGGCCTGAAAGCGCTTGAAACGTCAGCTTGCAGATACTACAGAAAGAGTGTTTCAAACATGCTCTATGAAAGGGAATGTTCAGTTCTGTGACTTGAATGCAAATATCACAAAGAAGTTCCTGAGAATGCTTCTCTCTAGGTTTTATATGTAATCCCGTTTCCAACGAAATCCTCAAAGCTATCCAAATATCCACTTTCAGATTCCACAAAAAGAGTGTTTCAAAACTGCTCTGTAAAAAGAAAGGTTCATCTCTGGTAGTTGAATACACACATCACAAACAAGTTTCTGAGAATGCTTCTGTCTAGTTTTTATGGGAAGATATTTCCTTTTTCAACATAGGCCTCAAAGCGCTCCAAATGTCCACTTCCAGGTAGTGCAGAAAGAGTGTTTCAAACCTACTCTGTAAAAGGGAATATTCAACTCTGTGACTTGAATGCAAACATCACAAAGCACTTTCTGAGAATGCTTTCCGTCTAGATTTTATATGAAGATATTCAAGTTTCCAACGAAACCTTCAAAGCTATCCGAATATCCACCTGCAGATTCTACAAAAAGAGTGTTTCCAAAATGCCGTATCAAAACAAAGGTTCACCTCTGTTAGTTGAGAACACACATGGCAAATAAGTTTCTGAGAATGCTTCTGTCTAGTTTTTACTTGAAGATATTTCCTTTCTCACCATAGGCCTGAAAGCGCTTGAAACGTTCGCTTGCAGATACTACAGAAAGAGTGTTTCAAACCTGCTCTATGAAAGGGAATGTTCAGTTCTGTGACTTGAATGCAAACATCACAAAGAAGTTCCTGAGAATGCTTCTCTCTAGATTTTATATGTAATCCCGTTTCCAACGAAATCCTCAAAGCTATCCAAATATCCACTTTCAGATTCCACAAAAAGAGTGTTTCAAAACTGCTCTGTAAAAAGAAAGGTTCATCTCTGTTAGTTGAATACACACATCACAAACAAGTTTCTGAGAATGCTTCTGTCTAGTTTTTATGGGAAGATATTTCCTTTTTCAACATAGGCCTCAAAGCGCTCCAAATGTCCACTTCCAGGTAGTGCAGAAAGAGTGTTTCAAACCTGCTCTATAAAAGGGAATATTCAACTCTGTGACTTGAATGCAAACATCACAAAGCACTTTGTGAGAATGCTTCCGTCTAGATTTTATATGAAGATATTCCCGTTTCCAAGGAAATCTTCCTAGCTATCTAAATATCAACTTGCAGATTCTACTAAAGGAATGTTTCCAAAATGCTGTATCCACACAAAGGTTCAACTCTGTTAATTGAGGACATACAGCACAAAGAAGTTTCTGAGAATGCTTCTGTCTAGTTTTTACTTGAAGATATTTCCTTTCTCACCATAGGCCTGAAAGCGTTTGAAATGTCCGTTTGCAGATACTACAGAAAGAGTGTTTCAAACATGCTCTATGAAAGGGAATGTTCAGTTCTGTGACGTGAATGCAAACATCACAAAGAAGTTCCTGAGGAATGCTTCTCTCTAGGTTTTATATGTAATCCCGTTTCCAACGAAATCCTCAAAGCTATCCAAATATCCACTTTCAGATTCCACAAAAAGAGTGTTTCAAAACTGCTCTGTAAAAAGAAAGGTTCATCTCTGTTAGTTGAATACACACATCACAAACAAGTTTCTGAGAATGCTTCTGTCTAGTTTTTATGGGAAGATATTTCCTTTTTCATCATAGGCCTCAAAGCGCTGCAAATGTCCACTTCCAGGTAGTGCAGAAAGAGTGTCTCAAACCTGGTATATAACAGGGAACATTCTACTCTGTGACTTGAATGAAAACATCACAAAGCAGTTTCTGAGAATGCTTCCGTCTAGATTTTATATGAAGATATTCCCGTTTCCAACGAAACCTTCAAAGCTATCCGAATATCCACCTGCAGATTCTACAAAAAGAGTGTTTCCAAAATGCCATATCAAAACAAAGGTTCAACTCTGTTAGTTGAGAACACACATCGCAAATAAGTTTCTGAGAATGCTTCTGTCTAGTTTTTACTTGAAGATATTTCCTTTCTCACCATAGGCCTGAAAGCGCTTGAAACGTCAGCTTGCAGATACTACAGAAAGAGTGTTTCAAACCTGCTCTATGAAAGGGAATGTTCAGTTCTGTGACTTGAATGCAAACATCGCAAAGAAGTTCCTGAGAATGCTTCTCTCTCTAGATTTTATATGTAATCCCGTTTCCAAAGAAATCCTCAAAGATATCCAAATATCCACTTTCAGATTCCACAAAAAGAGTGTTTCAAAACTGCTCTGTAAAAAGAAAGGTTCATCTCTGTTAGTTGAATACACACATCACAAACAAGTTTCTGAGAATGCTTCTGTCTAGTTTTTATGGGAAGATATTTCCTTTTTCATCATAGGCCTCAAAGCGCTGCAAATGTCCACTTCCAGGTAGTGCAGAAAGAGTGTCTGAAACCTGGTATATAACAGGGAAGATTCTACTCTGTGACTTGAATGAAAACATCACAAAGCAGTTTCTGAGAATGCTTCCGTCTAGATTTTATATGAAGATATTCCCGTTTCCAACGAAACCTTCAAAGCTATCCGAATATCCACCTGCAGATTCTACAAAAAGAGTGTTTCCAAAATGCCGTATCAAAACAAAGGTTCAACTCTGTTAGTTGAGAACACACATGGCAAATAAGTTTCTGAGAATGCTTCTGTCTAGTTTTTACTTGAAGATATTTCCTTTCTCACCATAGGCCTGAAAGCGCTTGAAACGTCCGCTTGCAGATACTACAGAAAGAGTGTTTCAAACATGCTCTATGAAAGGGAATGTTCAGTTTTGTGTCTTGAATGCAAACATCACAAAGAAGTTCCTGAGAATGCTTCTCCCTAGATTTTATATGTAATCCCGTTTCCAACGAAATCCGCAAAGCTATCCAAATATCCACGTTCAGATTCAACAAAAAGAGTGTTTCAAAACTGCTCTGTAAAAAGAAAGGTTCATCTCTGTTAGTTGAATACACACATCACAAACAAGTTTCTGAGAATGCTTCTGTCTAGTTTTTATGGGAAGATATTTCCTTTTTCATCATAGGCCTCAAAGCGCTGCAAATGTCCACTTCCAAATATTACAAAAAGAGTGTTTCAAACCTGCTGTATGAAGGGAAGTGTTCAACTCTATGAGTTGAATGCAAACATCACAGAGAAGTTTCTGAGAATGCTTTCCGTCTAGATTTTCTATGAAGATATTCCCGTTTCCAACGAAACCTTCAAAGCTATCCGAATATCCACCTGCAGATTCTACAAAAAGAGTGTTTCCAAAATGCCGTATCAAAACAAAGGTTCAACTCTGTTAGTTGAGAACACACATCGCAAATAAGTTTCTGAGAATGCTTCTGTCTAGTTTTTATTTGAAGATATTTCCTTTCTCACCACAGGCCTGAAAGCGCTTAAAACGTCCGCTTGCAGATACTACAGAAAGAGTGTTTCAAACCTGCTCTATGAAAGGGAATGTTCAGTTTTGTGACTTGAATGCAAACATCACAAAGAAGTTCCTGAGAATGCTTCTCTCTAGGTTTTATATGTAATCCCGTTTCCAACGAAATCCTCAAAGCTATCCAAATATCCACTTTCAGATTCCACAAAAAGAGTGTTTCAAAACTGCTCTGTAAAAAGAAAGGTTCATCTCTGTTAGTTGAATACACACATCACAAACAAGTTTCTGAGAATGCTTCTGTCTAGTTTTTATGGGAAGATATTACCTTTTTCATCATAGGCCTCAAAGCGCTGCAAATGTCCACTTCCAAATATTACAAAAAGAGTGTTCCAAACCTGCTGTATGAAAGGAAGTGTTCAACTCTATGAGTTGAATGCAAACATCACAGAGAAGTTTCTGAGAATGCTTCCGTCTTGATTTTATATGAAGATATTCCCGTTTCCAACGAAACCTTCAAAGCTATCCAAATATCCACTTGCAGATTCTACAAAAAGAGTGTTTCCAAAATGTTGTATCCAAACAAAGGTTCAACTCTTTTAGTTGAGAACACACATCGCAAATAAGTTTCTGAGAATGCTTCTGTCTAGTTTTTATTTGAAGATATTTCCTTTTTCACCACAGGCCTGGAAGCGCTTGAAACGTCCGCTTGCAGATACTACAGAAAGAGTGTTTCAAACCTGCTCTATGAAAGGGAATGTTCAGTTCTGTGACTTGAATGCAAACATCACAAAGAAGTTCCTGAGAATGCTTCTCTCTAGGTTTTATATGTAATCCCGTTTCCAACGAAATCCTCAAAGCTATCCAAATATCCACTTTCAGATTCCACAAAAAGAGTGTTTCAAAACTGCTCTGTAAAAAGAAAGGTTCATCTCTGTTAGTTGAATACACACATCACAAACAAGTTTCTGAGAATGCTTCTGTCTAGTTTTTATGGGAAGATATTTCCTTTTTCAACATAGGCCTCAAAGCGCTCCAAATGTCCACTTCCAGGTAGTGCAGAAAGAGTGTTTCAAACCTGCTCTATAAAAGGGAATATTCAACTCTGTGACTTGAATGCAAACATCACAAAGCACTTTCTGAGAATGCTTCTGTCTTGATTTTATATGAAGATATTCCCGTTTCCAACGAAACCTTCAAAGCTATCCAAATATCCACTTGCAGATTCTACAAAAACAGTGTTTCCAAAATGTTGTATCAAAACAAAGGTTCAACTCTGTTAGTTGAGGACACACATCGCAAATAAGTTTCTGAGAATGCTTCTGTCTAGTTTTTATTTGAAGATATTTCCTTTCTCACCACAGGCCTGAAAGCGCTTAAAACGTCCGCTTGCAGATACTACAGAAAGAGTGTTTCAAACCTGCTCTATGAAAGGGAATGTTCAGTTCTGTGACTTGAATGCAAACATCACAAAGAAGTTCCTGAGAATGCTTCTCCCTAGATTTTATATGTAATCCCGTTTCCAACGAAATCCGCAAAGCTATCCAAATATCCACTTTCAGATTCCACAAAAAGAGTGTTTCAAAACTGCTCTGTAAAAAGAAAGGTTCATCTCTGTTAGTTGAATACACACATCACAAACAAGTTTCTGAGAATGCTTCTGTCTAGTTTTTATGGGAAGATATTTCCTTTTTCATCATAGGCCTCAAAGCGCTGCAAATGTCCACTTCCAAATATTACAAAAAGAGTGTTTCAAACCTGCTGTATGAAGGGAAGTGTTCAACTCTATGAGTTGAATGCAAACATCACAGAGAAGTTTCTGAGAATGCTTCCGTCTAGATTTTATATGAAGATATTCCCGTTTCCAACGAAACCTTCAAAGCTATCCGAATATCCACCTGCAGATTCTACAAAAAGAGTGTTTCCAAAATGCCGTATCAAAACAAAGGTTCAACTCTGTTAGTTGAGAACACACATGGCAAATAAGTTTCTGAGAATGCTTCTGTCTAGTTTTTATTTGAAGATATTTCCTTTCTCACCACAGGCCTGAAAGCGCTTAAAACGTCCGCTTGCAGATACTACAGAAAGAGTGTTTCAAACCTGCTCTATGAAAGGGAATGTTCAGTTCTGTGACTTGAATGCAAACATCACAAAGAAGTTCCTGAGAATGCTTCTCCCTAGATTTTATATGTAATCCGGTTTCCAACGAAATCCGCAAAGCTATCCAAATATCCACTTTCAGATTCCACAAAAAGAGTGTTTCAAAACTGCTCTGTAAAAAGAAAGGTTCATCTCTGTTAGTTGAATACACACATCACAAACAAGTTTCTGAGAACGCTTCTGTCTAGTTTTTATGGGAAGATATTTCCTTTTTCAACATAGGCCTCAAAGCGCTCCAAACGTCCACTTCCAGGTAGTGCAGAAAGAGTGTCTCAAACCTGGTATATAACAGGGAACATTCTACTCTGTGACTTGAATGAAAACATCACAAAGCAGTTTCTGAGAATGCTTCCGTCTAGATTTTATATGAAGATATTCCCGTTTCCAACGAAACCTTCAAAGCTATCCGAATATCCACCTGCAGATTCTACAAAAAGAGTGTTTCCAAAATGCCGTATCAAAACAAAGGTTCAACTCTGTTAGTTGAGAACACACATGGCAAATAAGTTTCTGACAATGCTTCTGTCTAGTTTTTATTTGAAGATATTTCCTTTTTCACCACAGGCCTGAAAGCGCTTGAAACGTCAGCTTGCAGATACTACAGAAAGAGTGTTTCAAACCTGCACTATGAAAGGGAATGTTCAGTTCTGTGACTTGAATGCAAACATCACAAAGAAGTTCCTGAGAATGCTTCTCCCTAGATTTTATATGTAATACCGTTTCCAACGAAATCCTCAAAGCTATCCAAATATCCACTTTCAGATTCCACAAAAAGAGTGTTTCAAAACTGCTCTGTAAAAAGAAAGGTTCATCTCTGTTAGCTGAATACACACATCACAAACAAGTTTCTGAGAATGCTTCTGTCTAGTTTTTATGGGAAGATATTTCCTTTTTCAACATAGGCCTCAAAGCGCTCCGAATGTCCACTTCCAGGTAGTGCAGAAAGAGTGTTTCAAACCTGCTCTATAAAAGGGAATATTCAACTCTGTGACTTGAATGCAAACATCACAAAGCACTTTCTGAGAATGCTTCTGTCTTGATTTTATATGAAGATATTCCCGTTTCCAACGAAACCTTCAAAGCTATTCAAATATCCACTTGCAGATTCTACAAAAAGAGTGTTTCCAAAATGTTGTATCAAAAGAAAGGTTCAACTCTGTTAGTTGAGGACACACATCGCAAATAAGTTTCTGAGAATGCTTCTGTCTAGTTTTTACTTGAAGATATTTCCTTTCTCACCATAGGCCTGAAAGCGCTTGAAACGTCAGCTTGCAGATACTACAGAAAGAGTGTTTCAAACCTGCTCTATGAAAGGGAATGTTCAGTTCTGTGACTTGAATGCAAACATCACAAAGAAGTTCCTGAGAATGCTTCTCTCTAGGTTTTATATGTAATCCCGTTTCCAACGAAATCCTCAAAGCTATCCAAATATCCACTTTCAGATTCCACAAAAAGAGTGTTTCAAAACTGCTCTGTAAAAAGAAAGGTTCATCTCTGTTAGTTGAATACACACATCACAAACAAGTTTCTGAGAATGCTTCTGTCTAGTTTTTATGGGAAGATATTTCCTTTTTCATCATAGGCCTCAAAGCGCTGCAAATGTCCACTTCCAAATATTACAAAAAGAGTGTTTCAAACCTGCTGTATGAAGGGAAGTGTTCAACTCTATGAGTTGAATGCAAACATCACAGAGAAGTTTCTGAGAATGCTTCTGTCTTGATTTTATATGAAGATATTCCCGTTTCCAACGAAACCTTCAAAGCTATTCAAATATCCACTTGCAGATTCTACAAAAAGAGTGTTTCCAAAATGTTGTATCAAAAGAAAGGTTCAACTCTGTTAGTTGAGGACACACATCGCAAATAAGTTTCTGAGAATGCTTCTGTCTAGTTTTTATTTGAAGATATTTCCTTTCTCACCATAGGCCTGAAAGCGTTTGAAATGTCCGTTTGCACATACTACAGAAAGAGTGTTTCAAACATGCTCTATGAAAGGGAATGTTCAGTTCTGTGACTTGAATGCAAACATCACAAAGAAGTTCCTGAGAATGCTTCTCTCTAGATTTTATATGTAATCCCGTTTCCAACGAAATCCGCAAAGCTATCCAAATATCCACTTTCAGATTCCACAAAAAGAGTGTTTCAAAACTACTCTGTAAAAAGAAAGGTTCATCTCTGTTAGTTGAATACACACATCAGAAACAAGTTTCTGAGAATGCTTCTGTCTAGTTTTTATGGGAAGATATTTCCTTTTTCAACATAGGCCTCAAAGCGCTCCAAACGTCCACTTCCAGGTAGTGCAGAAAGAGTGTCTCAAACCTGGTATAGAACAGGGAACATTCTACACTGTGACTTGAATGAAAACATCACAAAGCAGTTTCTGAGAATGCTTCCGTCTAGATTTTATATGAAGATATTCCCTTTTCCAACGAAACCTTCAAAGCTATCCGAATATCCACCTGCAGATTCTACAAAAAGAGTGTTTCCAAAATGCCGTATCAAAACAAAGGTTCAACTCTGTTAGTTGAGAACACACATGGCAAATAAGTTTCTGACAATGCTTCTGTCTAGTTTTTATTTGAAGATATTTCCTTTCTCACCATAGGCCTGAAAGCGTTTGAAATGTCCGTTTGCAGATACTACAGAAAGAGTGTTTCAAACATGCTCTATGAAAGGGAATGTTCAGTTCTGTGACGTGAATGCAAACATCACAAAGAAGTTCCTGAGAATGCTTCTCCCTAGATTTTATATGTAATCCCGTTTCCAACGAAATCCGCAAAGCTATCCAAATATCCACTTTCAGATTCCACAAAAAGAGTGTTTCAAAACTGCTCTGTAAAAAGAAAGGTTCATCTCTGTTAGTTGAATACACACATCACAAACAAGTTTCTGAGAATGCTTCTGTCTAGTTTTTATGGGAAGATATTTCCTTTTTCAACATAGGCCTCAAAGCGCTCCAAATGTCCACTTCCAGGTAGTGCAGAAAGAGTGTTTCAAACCTGCTCTATAAAAGGGAACATTCAACTCTGTGACTTGAATGCAAACATCACAAAGCACTTTCTGAGAATGCTTCTGTCTTGATTTCATATGAAGATATTCCCGTTTCCAACGAAACCTTCAAAGTTATCCAAATATCCACTTGCAGATTCTACAAAAAGAGTGTTTCCAAAATGTTGTATCAAAAGAAAGGTTCAACTCTGTTAGTTGAGGACACACATCGCAAATAAGTTTCTGAGAATGCTTCTGTCTAGTTTTTATTTGAAGATATTTCCTTTCTCACCACAGGCCTGAAAGCGCTTAAAACGTCCGCTTGCAGATACTACAGAAAGAGTGTTTCAAACCTGCTCTATGAAAGGGAATGTTCAGTTCTGTGACTTGAATGCAAACATCACAAAGAAGTTCCTGAGAGTGCTTCTCCCTAGATTTTATATGTAATCCCGTTTCCAACGAAATCCGCAAAGCTATCCAAATATCCACTTTCAGATTCCACAAAAAGAGTGTTTCAAAACTGCTCTGTAAAAAGAAAGGTTCATCTCTGTTAGTTGAATACACACATCACAAAACAAGTTTCTGAGAATGCTTCTGTCTAGTTTTTATGGGAAGATATTTCCTTTTTCAACATAGGCCTCAAAGCGATCCAAATGTCCACTTCCAGGTAGTGCAGAAAGAGTGTTTCAAACCTGCTCTATAAAAGGGAATATTCAACTCTGTGACTTGAATGCAAACATCACAAAGCACTTTCTGAGAATGCTTCCGTCTAGATTTTATATGAAGATATTCCCGTTTCCAACGAAACCTTCAAAGCTATCCGAATATCCACCTGCAGATTCTACAAAAAGAGTGTTTCCAAAATGCCATATCAAAACAAAGGTTCAACTCTGTTAGTTGAGAACACACATCGCAAATAAGTTTCTGAGAATGCTTCTGTCTAGTTTTTACTTGAAGATATTTCCTTTCTCACCATAGGCCTGAAAGCGCTTGAAACGTCAGCTTGCAGATACTACAGAAAGAGTGTTTCAAACCTGCTCTATGAAAGGGAATGTTCAGTTCTGTGACTTGAATGCAAACATCACAAAGAAGTTCCTGAGAATGCTTTCTCTCTAGGTTTTATATATAATCCCGTTTCCAACGAAATCCTCAAAGCTATCCAAATATCCACTTTCAGATTCCACAAAAAGAGTGTTTCAAAACTGCTCTGTAAAAAGAAAGGTTCATCTCTGTTAGTTGAATACACACATCACAAACAAGTTTCTGAGAATGCTTCTGTCTAGTTTTTATGGGAAGATATTTCCTTTTTCATCATAGGCCTCAAAGCGCTGCAAATGTCCACTTCCAAATATTACAAAAAGAGTGTTTCAAACCTGCTGTATGAAGGGAAGTGTTCAACTCTATGAGTTGAATGCAAACATCACAGAGAAGTTTCTGAGAATGCTTCCGTCTAGATTTTATATGAAGATATTCCCGTTTCCAAGGAAATCTTCCTAGCTATCTAAATATCAACTTGCAGATTCTACTAAAGGAATGTTTCCAAAATGCTGTATCCACACAAAGGTTCAACTCTGTTAATTGAGGACATACAGCACAAAGAAGTTTCTGAGAATGCTTCTGTCTAGTTTTTACTTGAAGATATTTCCTTTCTCACCATAGGCCTGAAAGCGCTTGAAACGTCAGCTTGCAGATACTACAGAAAGAGTGTTTCAAACCTGCTCTATGAAAGGGAATGTTCAGTCCTGTGACTTGAAGGCAAACATCACAAAGAAGTTCCTGAGAATGCTTCTCTCTAGGTTTTATATGTACTCCCGTTTCCAACGAAATCCTCAAAGCTATCCAAATATCCACTTTCAGATTCCACAAAAAGAGTGTTTCAAAACTGCTCTGTAAAAAGAAAGGTTCATCTCTGTTAGTTGAATACACACATCACAAACAAGTTTCTGAGAATGCTTCTGTCTAGTTTTTATGGGAAGATATTTCCTTTTTCAACATAGGCCTCAAAGCGCTGTAAATGTCCACTTCCAAATATTACAAAAAGAGTGTTTCAAACCTGCTCTATGAAGGGAAGTGTTCAACTCTATGAGTTGAATGCAAACATCACAGAGAAGTTTCTGACAATGCTTCTGTCTTGATTTCATATGAAGATATTCCCGTTTCCAACGAAACCTTCAAAGCTATCCAAATATCCACTTGCAGATTCTACAAAAAGAGTGTTTCCAAAATGTTGTATCAAAAGAAAGGTTCAACTCTGTTAGTTGAGGACACACATCGCAAATAAGTTTCTGAGAATGCTTCTGTCTAGTTTTTATTTGAAGATATTTCCTTTCTCACCACAGGCCTGAAACCGTTTGAAATGTCCGTTTGTAGATACTACAGAAAGAGTGTTTCAAACATGCTCTATGAAAGGGAATGTTCAGTTCTGTGACGTGAATGCAAACATCACAAAGAAGTTCCTGAGAATGCTTCTCTCTAGATTTTATATGTAATCCCGTTTCCAACGAAATCCTCAAAGCTATCCAAATATCCACTTTCAGATTCCACAAAAAGAGTGTTTCAAAACTGCTCTGTAAAAAGAAAGGTTCATCTCTGTTAGTTGAATACACACATCACAAACAAGTTTCTGAGAATGCTTCTGTCTAGTTTCTATGGGAAGATATTTCCTTTTTCAACATAGGCCTCAAAGCGCTCCAAATGTCCACTTCCAGGTAGTGCACTGAGTGTTTCAAACCTGCTCTATAAAAGGGAACATTCTACTCTGTGACTTGAATGAAGACATCACAAAGCAGTTTCTGAGAATGCTTCTGTCTTGATTTTATATGAAGATATTCCCGTTTCCAACGAAACCTTCAAAGCTATCCAAATATCCACTTGCAGATTCTACAAAAAGAGTGTTTCCAAAATGTTGTATCAAAACAAAGGTTCAACTCTGTTAGTTGAGGACACACATCGCAAATAAGTTTCTGAGAATGCTTCTGTCTAGTTTTTATTTGAAGATATTTCCTTTCTCACCATAGGCCTGAAAGCGTTTGAAATGTCCGTTTGCAGATACTACAGAAAGAGTGTTTCAAACATGCTCTATGAAAGGGAATGTTCAGTTCTGTGACGTGAATGCAAACATCACAAAGAAGTTCCTGAGAATGCTTCTCCCTAGATTTTATATGTAATCCCGTTTCCAACGAAATCCTCAAAGCTATCCAAATATCCACTTTCAGATTCCACAAAAAGAGTGTTTCAAAACTGCTCTGTAAAAAGAAAGGTTCATCTCTGTTAGTTGAATACACACATCACAAACAAGTTTCTGAGAATGCTTCTGTCTAGTTTTTATGGGAAGATATTTCCTTTTTCAACATAGGCCTCAAAGCGCTCCAAATGTCCACTTCCAGGTAGTGCACAGAGTGTTTCAAACCTGCTCTATGAAAGGAAGTGTTCAACTCTATGAGTTGAATGCAAACATCACAGAGAAGTTTCTGAGAATGCTTCTGTCTTGAGTTTATATGGGGATATTCCCGTTTCCAACGAAACCTTCAAAGCTATCCAAATATCCACTTGCAGATTCTACAAAAAGAGTGTTTCCGAAATGTTGTATCCAAACAAAGGTTCAACTCTTTTAGTTGAGAACACACATGGCAAATAAGTTTCTGAGAATGCTTCTGTCTGGTTTTTAGGAGAAGATATTACCTTTTTCACCATCGGCCTCAAAGCGGTGCTAAAGTCCACTTCCGAATATCACAAAGAGTGTTTCAAACGTGCTCTATGAAAGGAAGTGTTCAACTCTATGAGTTGAATGCAAACATCACAGAGAAGTTTCTGAGAATGCTTCTGTTTTGATTTTATATGAAGATATTCCCGTTTCTAAAGAAACCTTCAAAGCTATCCAAGTATTCACCTGCAGATTCTCCCAAAAGAGTGTTTGCAAAATGTTGTATCAAAACAAAGGTTCAACTCTGTTAGTTGAGGACACACATCGCAAATAAGTTTCTGAGAATGCTTCTGTCTAGTTTTTATTTGAAGATAATTCCTTTCTCACCATAGGCCTGAAAGCGCTTGAAATGTCCGCTTGCAGATACTACAGAAAGAGTGTTTCAAACATGCTCTATGAAAGGGAATGTTCAGTTCTGTGACTTGAATGCAAACATCACAAAGAAATTCCTGAGAATGCTTCTCTCTAGATTTTATATGTAATCCCGTTTCCAACGAAATCGTCAAAGCTATCCACATATCCACTTTCAGATTCCACAAAAAGAGTGTTTCAAAACTGCTCTGTAAAAAGAAAGGTTCATCTCTGTTAGTTGAATACACACATCACAAACAAGTTTCTGAGAATGCTTCTTTCTAGTTTTTATGGGAAGATATTACCTTTTTCATCATAGGCTTCAAAGCGCTGCAAAAGTCCACTTCCAAATATTAGAAAAAGAGTGTTTCAAACCTGCTGTATGAAGGGAAGTGTTCAACTCTATGAGTTGAATGCAAACATCACAGAGAAGTTTCTGAGAATGCTTCTGTCTTGATTTCATATGAAGATATTCCCGTTTCCAACGAAACCTTCAAAGCTATCCAAATATCCACTTGCAGATTCTACAAAAAGAGTGTTTCCAAAATGTTGTATCAAAAGAAAGGTTCAACTCTGTTAGTTGAGGACACACATCGCAAATAAGTTTCTGAGAATGCTTCTGTCTAGTTTTTATTTGAAGATATTTCCTTTCTCACCATAGGCCTGAAAGCGTTTGAAATGTCCGTTTGCAGATACTACAGAAAGAGTGTTTCAAACATGCTCTATGAAAGGGAATGTTCAGTTCTGTGACGTGAATGCAAACATCACAAAGAAGTTCCTGAGAATGCTTCTCTCTAGATTTTATATGTAATCCCGTTTCCAACGAAATCCTCAAAGCTATCCAAATATCCACTTTCAGATTCCACAAAAAGAGTGTTTCAAAACTGCTCTGTAAAAAGAAAGGTTCATCCCTGTTAGTTGAATACACACATCACAAACAAGTTTCTGAGAATGCTTCTGTCTAGTTTTTATGGGAAGATATTTCCTTTTTCAACATAGGCCTCAAAGCGCTCCAAACGTCCACTTCCAGGTAGTGCAGAAAGAGTGTCTCAAACCTGGTGTATAACAGGGAACATTCTACTCTGTGACTTGAATGAAAACATCACAAAGCAGTTTCTGAGAATGCTTCCGTCTAGATTTTATATGAAGATATTCCCGTTTCCAACGAAACCTTCAAAGCTATCCGAATATCCACCTGCAGATTCTACAAAAAGAGTGTTTCCAAAATGCCATATCAAAACAAAGGTTCAACTCTGTTAGTTGAGAACACACATGGCAAATATGTTTCTGAGAATGCTTCTGTCTAGTTTTTACTTGAAGATATTTCCTTTCTCACCATAGGCCTGAAAGCGCTTGAAACGTCAGCTTGCAGATACTACAGAAAGAGTGTTTCAAACCTGCTCTATGAAAGGGAATGTTCAGTCCTGTGACTTGAAGGCAAACATCAAAAAGAAGTTCCTGAGAATGCTTCTCCCTAGATTTTATATGTAATCCCGTTTCCAACGAAATCCGCAAAGCTATCCAAATATCCACTTTCAGATTCCACAAAAAGAGTGTTTCAAAACTGCTCTGTAAAAAGAAAGGTTCATCTCTGTTAGTTGAATACACACATCACAAACAAGTTTCTGAGAATGCTTCTGTCTGGTTTTTAGGAGAAGATATTTCCTTTTTCAACATAGGCCTCAAAGCGCTGCAAATGTCCACTTCCAAATATTACAAAAAGAGTGTTTCAAACCTGCTGTATGAAGGGAAGTGTTCAACTCTATGAGTTGAATGCAAACATCACAGAGAAGTTTCTGAGAATGCTTCTGTCTTGATTTTATATGAGGATATTCCCGTTTCCAACGAAACCATCAAAGCTATCCAAATATCCACCTGCAGATCCTACAAAAAGAGTGTTTCCAAAATGCTGTATCAAAACAAAGGTTCAACTCTGTTAGTTGAGAACACACATCGCAAATAAGTTTCTGAGAATGCTTCTGTCTAGTTTTTATTTGAAGATATTTCCTTTTTCACCACAGGCCTGAAAGCGCTTGAAACGTCCGCATGCAGATGCTACAGAAAGAGTGTTTCAAAGCTGCTCTATGAAAGGGAATGTTCAGTTCTGTGACTTGAATGCAAATATCACAAAGAAGTTCCTGAGAATGCTTCTCCCTAGATTTTATATGTAATCCCTTTTCCAACGAAACCCTCAAAGCTATCCAAATATCCACTTTCAGATTCCACAAAAAGAGTGTTTCAAAACTGCTCTGTAAAAAGAAAGGTTCATCTCTGTTAGTTGAATACACACATCACAAACAAGTTTCTGAGAATGCTTCTGTCTAGTTTTTATGGGAAGATATTTCCTTTTTCAACATAGGCCTCAAAGCGCTCCAAATGTCCACTTCCAGATAGTGCAGAAAGAGTGTCTCAAACCTGATATATAACAGGGAACATTCTACTCTGTGACTTGAATGAAAACATCACAAAGCACTTTCTGAGAATGCTTCCGTCTAGATTTTATACGAAGATATTCCCGTTTCCAAGGAAATCTTCCTAGCTATCTAAATATCAACTTGCAGATTCTACTAAAGGAATGTTTCCAAAATGCTGTATCCACACAAAGGTTCAACTCTGTTAATTGAGGACATACAGCACAAAGAAGTTTCTGAGAATGCTTTTGTCTAGTTTTTACTTGAAGATATTTCCTTTCTCACCATAGGCCTGAAAGCGCTTGAAACGTCAGCTTGCAGATACTACAGAAAGAGTGTTTCAAACCTGCTCTATGAAAGGGAATGTTGAGTTCTGTGACTTGAATGCAAACATCACAAAGGAGTTCCTGAGAATGCTTCTCTCTAGATTTTATATGTAATCCCGTTTCCAACGAAATCCTCAAAGCTATCCAAATATCCACTTTCAGATTCCACAAAAAGAGTGTTTCAAAACTGCTCTGTAAAAAGAAATGTTCATCTCTGTTAGTTGAATACACACATCACAAACAAGTTTCTGAGAATGCTTCTGTCTAGTTTTTATGGGAAGATATTCCGTTTTTCAACATAGGCCTCAAAGCGCTCCAAATGTCCACTTCCAGGTAGTGCAGAAAGAGTGTTTCAAACCTGCTCTATAAAAGGGAATATTCAACTCTGTGACTTGAATGCAAACATCACAAAGCACTTTCTGAGAATGCTTCTGTCTTGATTTTATATGAAGATATTCCCGTTTCCAACGAAACCTTCAAAGCTATCCAAATATCCACTTGCAGATTCTACAAAAAGAGTGTTTCCAAAATGTTGTATCAAAACAAAGGTTCACCTCTGTTAGTTGA
Organism: Homo sapiens; assembly: GCF_000001405.40. Classification (NCBI taxonomy): domain Eukaryota; kingdom Metazoa; phylum Chordata; class Mammalia; order Primates; family Hominidae; genus Homo; species Homo sapiens. The sequence continues at coordinate 45,407,361 of NC_000009.12, read as the reverse complement.
GGACACACATCGCAAATAAGTTTCTGAGAATGCTTCTGTCTAGTTTTTACTTGAAGAAATTTCCTTTCTCACCATAGGCCTGAAAGCGCTTGAAACGTCAGCTTGCAGATACTACAGAAAGAATGTTTCAAACCTGCTCTATGAAAGGGAATGTTCAGTTTTGTGACTTGAATGCAAACATCGCAAAGAAGTTCCTGAGAATGCTTCTCTCTAGATTTTATATGTAATCCCGTTTCCAACGAAATCCTCAAAGCTATCCAAATATCCACTTTCAGATTCCACAAAAAGAGTGTTTCAAAACTGCTCTGTAAAAAGAAAGGTTCATCTCTGTTAGTTGAATACACACATCACAAACAAGTTTCTGAGAATGCTTCTGTCTGGTTTTTAGGAGAAGATATTTCCTTTTTCAACATAGGCCTCAAAGCGCTGCAAATGTCCACTTCCAAATATTAGAAAAAGAGTGTTTCAAACCTGCTGTATGAAGGGAAGGGTTCAACTCTATGAGTTGAATGCAAACATCACAGAGAAGTTTCTGAGAATGCTTCTGTCTTGATTTTATATGAAGATATTCCCGTTTCCAACGAAACCTTCAAAGCTATCCAAATATCCACTTGCAGATTCTACAAAAAGAGTGTTTCCAAAATGCTGTATCCAAACAAAGGTTCAACTCTTTTAGTTGAGAACACACATCGCAAATAAGTTTCTGAGAATGCTTCTGTCTAGTTGTTATTTGAAGATATTTCCTTTTTCACCACAGGCCTGAAAGCGCTTCAAACGTCCGCTTGCAGATACTACAGAAAGAGTGTTTCAAACCTGCTCTATGAAAGGGAATGTTCAGTTCTGTGACTTGAACGCAAACATCACAAAGAAGTTCCTGAGAATGCTTCTCTCTAGATTTTATATGTAATCCCGTTTCCAACGAAATCCTCAAAGCTATCCAAATATCCACTTTCAGATTCCACAAAAAGAGTGTTTCAAAACTGCTCTGTAAAAAGAAAGGTTCATCTCTGTTAGTTGAATACACACATCACAAACAAGTTTCTGAGAATGCTTCTGTCTAGTTTTTATGGGAGGATATTTCCTTTTTCAACATAGGCCTCAAAGCGCTCCAAATGTCCACTTCCAGGTAGTGCAGAAAGAGTGTTTCAAACCTGCTCTATAAAAGGGAATATTCAACTCTGTGTCTTGAATGCAAACATCACAAAACACTTTCTGAGAATGCTTCCGTCTAGATTTTATATGAAGATATTCCCGTTTCCAACGAAATCTTCCTAGCTATATAAATATCAACTTGCAGATTCTACTAAAGGAATGTTTCCAAAATGCTGTATCGAAACAAAGGTTCAACTCTGTTAATTGAGGACATACATCACAAAGAAGTTTCTGAGAATGCTTCTGTCTAGTTTTTACTTGAAGATATTTCCTTTCTCACCATAGGCCTGAAAGCGCTTGAAACGTCAGCTTGCAGATACTACAGAAAGAGTGTTTCAAACCTGCTCTATGAAAGGGAATGTTCAGTCCTGTGACTTGAAGGCAAACATCACAAAGAAGTTCCTGAGAATGCTTCTCCCTAGATTTTATATGTAATCCCGTTTCCAACGAAATCCTCAAAGCTATCCAAATATCCACTTTCAGATTCCACAAAAAGATTGTTTCAAAACTACTCTGTAAAAAGAAAGGTTCATCTCTGTTAGTTGAATACACACATCACAAACAAGTTTCTGAGAATGCTTCTGTCTAGTTTCTATGGGAAGATATTTCCTTTTTCAACATAGGCCTCAAAGCGCTCCAAATGTCCACTTCCAGGTAGTGCACAGAGTGTTTCAAACCTGCTCTATAAAAGGGAACATTCTACTCTGTGACTTGAATGAAGACATCACAAAGCAGTTTCTGAGAATGCTTCCGTCTAGATTTTATATGAAGGTATTCCCGTTTCCAAGGAAATCTTCCTAGCTATCTAAATATCAACTTGCAGATTCTACTAAAGGAATGTTTCCAAAATGCTGTATCCACACAAAGGTTCAACTCTGTTAATTGAGGACATACAGCACAAAGAAGTTTCTGAGAATGCTTCTGTCTAGATTTTATATGAAGATATCCCGTTTCCAAAGAAATCCTCAAAGGTATCCAAATATCTACTTCCAGATTCTACAAAAAGACTGTTTCAAAATGGCTCTGTCAAAAGTAAGGTTCAACTCTGTTACCTGAGTACACACATCACAAGGAAGTTTCTGAGAATGCTTCTCTCTAGGTTTTATATGTAATCCCGTTTCCAACGAAATCCTCAAAGCTATCCAAATATCCACTTTCAGATTCCACAAAAAGAGTGTTTCAAAACTGCTCTGTAAAAAGAAAGGTTCATCTCTGTTAGTTGAATACACACATCACAAACAAGTTTCTGAGAATGCTTCTGTCTAGTTTTTATGGGAAGATATTTCCTTTTTCATCATAGGCCTCAAAGCGCTGCAAATGTCCACTTCCAGGTAGTGCAGAAAGAGTGTCTCAAACCTGGTATATAACAGGGAACATTCTACTCTGTGACTTGAATGAAAACATCACAAAGCAGTTTCTGAGAATGCTTCTGTCTTGATTTTATATGAAGATATTCCCGTTTCCAACGAAACCTTCAAAGCTATCCAAATATCCACTTGCAGATTCTACAAAAAGAGTGTTTCCAAAATGTTGTATCAAAACAAAGGTTCAACTCTGTTAGTTGAGGACACACATCGCAAATAAGTTTCTGAGAATGCTTCTGTCTAGTTTTTATTTGAAGATATTTCCTTTCTTACCATTGGACTGAAAGCGCTTGAAATGTCCGTTTGCAGATACTACAGAAAGAGTGTTTCAAACATGCTCTATGAAAGGGAATGTTCAGTTCTGTGACGTGAATGCAAACATCACAAAGAAGTTCCTGAGAATGCTTCTCTCTAGATTTTATATGTAATCCCGTTTCCAACGAAATCCTCAAAGCTATCCAAATATCCACTTTCAGATTCCACAAAAAGAGTGTTTCAAAACTGCTCTGTAAAAAGAAAGGTTCATCTCTGTTAGTTGAATACACACATCACAAACAAGTTTCTGAGAATGCTTCCTGTCTAGTTTTTATGGGAAGATATTTCCTTTTTCATCATAGGCCTCAAAGCGCTGCAAATGTCCACTTCCAAATATTACAAAAAGAGTGTTTCAAACCTGCTGTATGAAGGGAAGTGTTCAACTCTATGAGTTGAATGCAAACATCACAGAGAAGTTTCTGAGAATGCTTCCGTCTAGATTTTATATGAAGATATTCCCGTTTCCAACGAAACCTTCAAAGCTATCCGAATATCCACCTGCAGATTCTACAAAAAGAGTGTTTCCAAAATGCCGTATCAAAACAAAGGTTCAACTCTGTTAGTTGAGAACACACATGGCAAATAAGTTTCTGAGAATGCTTCTGTCTAGTTTTTACTTGAAGATATTTCCTTTCTCACCATAGGCCTGAAAGCGCTTGAAACGTCAGCTTGCAGATACTACAGAAAGAGTGTTTCAAACCTGCTCTATGAAAGGGAATGTTCAGTCCTGTGACTTGAAGGCAAACATCACAAAGAAGTTCCTGAGAATGCTTCTCTCTAGGTTTTATATGTAATCCCGTTTCCAACGAAATCCTCAAAGCTATCCAAATATCCACTTTCAGATTCCACAAAAAGAGTGTTTCAAAACTGCTCTGTAAAAAGAAAGATTCATCTCTGTTAGTTGAATACACACATCACAAACAAGTTTCTGAGAATGCTTCCGTCTAGTTTTTATGGGAAGATATTTCCTTTTTCAACATAGGCCTCAAAGCGTTCCAAATGTCCACTTCCAGGTAGTGCAGAAAGAGTGTTTCAAACCTGCTCTATAAAAGGGAATATTCAACTCTGTGACTTGAATGCAAACATCACAAAGCACTTTGTGAGAATGCTTCCGTCTAGATTTTATATGAAGATATTCCCGTTTCCAAGGAAATCTTCCTAGCTATCTAAATATCAACTTGCAGATTCTACTAAAGGAATGTTTCCAAAATGCGGTATCCACACAAAGGTTCAACTCTGTTAATTGAGGACATACAGCACAAAGAAGTTTCTGAGAATGCTTCTGTCTAGTTTTTAGTTGAAGATATTTCCTTTGTCACCATAGGCCTGAAAGCGCTTGAAACGTCAGCTTGCAGATACTACAGAAAGAGTGTTTCAAACCTGCTCTATGAAAGGGAATGTTCAATCCTGTGACTTCAAGGCAAACATCACAAAGAAGTTCCTGAGAATGCTTCTCTCTAGGTTTTATATGTAATCCCGTTTCCAACGAAATCCTCAAAGCTATCCAAATATCCACTTTCAGATTCCACAAAAAGAGTGTTTCAAAACTGCTCTGTAAAAAGAAAGGTTCATCTCTGTTAGTTGAATACACACATCACAAACAAGTTTCTGAGAATGCTTCTGTCTAGTTTTTATGGGAAGATATTTCCTTTTTCAACATAGGCCTCAAAGCGCTCCAAACGTCCACTTCCAGGTAGTGCAGAAAGAGTGTCTCAAACCTGGTATATAACAGGGAACATTCTACTCTGTGACTTGAATGAAAACATCACAAAGCAGTTTCTGAGAATGCTTCTGTCTTGATTTTATATGAAGATATTCCCGTTTCCAACGAAACCTTCAAAGCTATTCAAATATCCACTTGCAGATTCTACAAAAAGAGTGTTTCCAAAATGTTGTATCAAAAGAAAGGTTCAACTCTGTTAGTTGAGGACACACATCGCAAATAAGTTTCTGAGAATGCTTCTGTCTAGTTTTTACTTGAAGATATTTCCTTTCTCACCATAGGCCTGAAAGCGCTTGAAACGTCAGCTTGCAGATACTACAGAAAGAGTGTTTCAAACCTGCTCTATGAAAGGGAATGTTCAGTCCTGTGACTTGAAGGCAAACATCACAAAGAAGTTCCTGAGAATGCTTCTCCCTAGATTTTATATGTAATCCCGTTTCCAACGAAATCCGCAAAGCTATCCAAATATCCACTTTCAGATTCCACAAAAAGAGTGTTTCAAAACTGCTCTGTAAAAAGAAAGGTTCATCTCTGTTAGTTGAATACACACATCACAAACAAGTTTCTGAGAATGCTTCTGTCTAGTTTTTATGGGAAGATATTTCCTTTTTCAACATAGGCTTCAAAGCGCTCCAAATGTCCACTTCCAGGTAGTGCAGAAAGAGTGTTTCAAACCTGCTCTATAAAAGGGAATATTCAAGTCTGTGACTTGAATGCAAACATCACAAAGCACTTTCTGAGAATGCTTCTGTCTTGATTTTATATAAAGATATTCCCGTTTCCAACGAAACCTTCAAAGCTATCCAAATATCCACTTGCAGATTCCACAAAAAGAGTGTTTCCAAAATGTTGTATCAAAAGAAAGGTTCAACTCTGTTAGTTGAGGACACACATCGCAAATAAGTTTCTGAGAATGCTTCTGTCTAGTTTTTATTTGAAGATATTTCCTTTCTCACCATAGGCCTGAAAGCGCTTGTAATGTCCGTTTGCAGATACTACAGAAAGAGTGTTTCAAACATGCTCTATGAAAGGGAATGTTCAGTTCTGTGACGTGAATGCAAACATCACAAAGAAGTTCCTGAGAATGCTTCTCCCTAGATTTTATATGTAATCCCGTTTCCAAAGAAATCCTCAAAGCTATCCAAATATCCACTTTCGGATTCCACAAAAAGAGTGTTTCAAAACTACTCTGTAAAAAGAAAGGTTCATCTCTGTTAGTTGAATACACAAATCACAAACAAGTTTCTGAGAATGCTTCTGTCTAGTTTTTATGGGAAGATATTTCCTTTTTCATCATAGGCCTCAAAGCGCTGCAAATGTCCACTTCCAGGTAGTGCAGAAAGAGTGTCTCAAACCTGGTATATAACAGGGAACATTCTACTCTGTGACTTGAATGAAAACATCACAAAGCAGTTTCTGAGAATGCTTCCGTCTAGATTTTATATGAAGATATTCCCGTTTCCAACGAAACCTTCAAAGCTATCCGAATATCCACCTGCAGATTCTACAAAAAGAGTGTTTCCAAAATGCCGTATCAAAACAAAGGTTCAACTCTGTTAGTTGAGAACACACATGGCAAATAAGTTTCTGACAATGCTTCTGTCTAGTTTTTACTTGAAGATATTTCCTTTCTCACCATAGGCCTGAAAGCGCTTGAAACGTCAGCTTGCAGATACTACAGAAAGAGTGTTTCAAACCTGCTCTATGAAAGGGAATGTTCAGTTCTGTGACTTGAATGCAAACATCACAAAGAAGTTCCTGAGAATGCTTCTCTCTAGGTTTTATATGTAATCCCGTTTCCAACAAAATCCTCAAAGCTATCCAAATATCCACTGTCAGAATCCACAAAAAGAGTGTTTCAAAACTGCTCTGTAAAAAGAAAGGTTCATCTCTGTTAGTTGAATACACACATCACAAACAAATTTCTGAGAATGCTTCTGTCTAGTTTTTATGGGAAGATATTACCTTTTTCATCATAGGCCTCAAAGCGCTGCAAATGTCCACTTCCAAATATTACAAAAAGAGTGTTTCAAACCTGCTGTATGAAGGGAAGTGTTCAACTCTATGAGTTGAATGCAAACATCACAGAGAAGTTTCTGAGAATGCTTCCGTCTAGATTTTATATGAAGATATTCCCGTTTCCAACGAAACCTTCAAAGCTATCCGAATATCCACCTGCAGATTCTACAAAAAGAGTGTTTCCAAAATGCCGTATCAAAACAAAGGTTCAACTCTGTTAGTTGAGAACACACATGGCAAATAAGTTTCTGAGAATGCTTCTGTCTAGTTTTTATTTGAAGATATTTCCTTTCTCACCACAGGCCTGAAAGCGCTTAAAACGTCCGCTTGCAGATACTACAGAAAGAGTGTTTCAAACCTGCTCTATGAAAGGGAATGTTCAGTTCTGTGACTTGAATGCAAACATCACAAAGAAGTTCCTGAGAATGCTTCTCTCTAGGTTTTATATGTAATCCCGTTTCCAACGAAATCCTCAAAGCTATCCAAATATCCACTTTCAGATTCCACAAAAAGAGTGTTTCAAAACTGCTCTGTAAAAAGAAAGGTTCATCTCTGTTAGTTGAATACACACATCACAAACAAGTTTCTGAGAATGCTTCTGTCTAGTTTTTATGGGAAGATATTTCCTTTTTCATCATAGGCCTCAAAGCGCTCCAAATGTCCACTTCCAGATAGTGCAGAAAGAGTGTCTCAAACCTGGTATATAAAAGGGAACATTCTACTCTGTGACTTGAATGAAAACATCACAAAGCAGTTTCTGAGAATGCTTCCGTCTAGATTTTATATGAAGATATTCCCGTTTCCAACGAAACCTTCAAAGCTATCCGAATATCCACCTGCAGATTCTACAAAAAGAGTGTTTCCAAAATGCCGTATCAAAACAAAGGTTCAACTCTGTTAGTTGTGAACACACATGGCAAATAAGTTTCTGAGAATGCTTCTGTCTAGTTTTTATTTGAAGATATTTCCTTTCTCACCATAGGCCTGAAAGCGTTTGAAATGTCCGTTTGCAGATACTACAGAAAGAGTGTTTCAAACATGCTCTATGAAAGGGAATGTTCAGTTCTGTGACGTGAATGCAAACATCACAAAGAAGTTCCTGAGAATGCTTCTGTCTAGATTTTATATGAAGATATCCCGTGTCCAACGAAATCCTCAAAGGTATCAAAATATCCACTTGCAGATTCTACAAAAAGAGTGCTTCAAAACTGCTCTGTCAAAAGGAAGGTTCAACTCTGTTACTTGACTACACACATCACAAGAAAGATTCTGAGAATGCTTCTGTCTAGTTTTTATGGGAAGATATTTCCTTTTTCAACATAGGCCTCAAAGCGCTCCAAATGTCCACTTCCAGGTAGTGCAGAAAGAGTGTTTCAAACCTGCTCTATAAAAGGGAATATTCAACTCTGTGACTTGAATGCAAACATCACAAAGCACTTTCTGAGAATGCTTCTGTCTTGATTTTATATGAAGATATTCCCGTTTCCAAAGAAACCTTCAAAGCTATCCAAATATCCACCTGCAGATCCTACAAAAAGAGTGTTTCCAAAATGCTGTATCAAAACAAAGGTTCAACTCTGTTAGCTGAGAACACACATCGCAAATAAGTTTCTGAGAATGCTTCTGTCTAGTTTTTATTTGAAGATATTTCCTTTCTCACCATAGGCCTGAAAGCGTTTGAAATGTCCGTTTGCAGATACTACAGAAAGAGTGTTTCAAACATGCTCTATGAAAGGGAATGTTCAGTTCTGTGACGTGAATGCAAACATCACAAAGAAGTTCCTGAGAATGCTTCTCCCTAGATTTTATATGTAATCCCGTTTCCAACGAAATCCGCAAAGCTATCCAAATATCCACTTTCAGATTCCACAAAAAGAGTGTTTCAAAACTGCTCTGTAAAAAGAAAGGTTCATCTCTGTTAGTTGAATACACACATCACAAACAAGTTTCTGAGAATGCTTCTGTCTAGTTTTTATGGGAAGATATTTCCTTTTTCAACATAGGCCTCAAAGCGCTCCAAACGTCCACTTCCAGGTAGTGCAGAAAGAGTGTCTCAAACCTGGTGTATAACAGGGAACATTCTACTCTGTGACTTGAATGAAAACATCACAAAGCAGTTTCTGAGAATGCTTCCGTCTAGATTTTATATGAAGATATTCCCGTTTCCAACGAAACCTTCAAAGCTATCCGAATATCCACCTGCAGATTCTACAAAAAGAGTGTTTCCAAAATGCCATATCAAAACAAAGGTTCAACTCTGTTAGTTGAGAACACACATCGCAAATAAGTTTCTGAGAATGCTTCTGTCTAGTTTTTACTTGAAGATATTTCCTTTCTCACCATAGGCCTGAAAGCGCTTGAAACGTCAGCTTGCAGATACTACAGAAAGACTGTTTCAAACCTGCTCTATGAAAGGGAATGTTCAGTTCTGTGACTTGAATGCAAACATCACAAAGAAGTTCCTGAGAATGCTTCTCCCTAGATTTTATATGTAATCCCGTTTCCAACGAAATCCGCAAAGCTATCCAAATATCCACTTTCAGATTCCACAAAAAGAGTGTTTCAAAACTGCTCTGTAAAAAGAAAGGTTCATCTCTGTTAGTTGAATACACACATCACAAACAAGTTTCTGAGAATGCTTCTGTCTAGTTTTTATGGGAAGATATTTCCTTTTTCAACATAGGCCTCAAAGCGCTCCAAATGTCCACTTCCAGATAGTGCAGAAAGAGTGTCTCAAACCTGGTATATAACAGGGAACATTCTACTCTGTGACTTGAATGAAAACATCACAAAGCACTTTCTGAGAATGCTTCCGTCTAGATTTTATATGAAGATATTCCCGTTTCCAAGGAAATCTTCCTAGCTATCTAAATATCAACTTGCAGATTCTACTAAAGGAATGTTTCCAAAATGCTGTATCCACACAAAGGTTCAACTCTGTTAATTGAGGACATACAGCACAAAGGAGTTTCTGAGAATGCTTCTGTCTAGTTTTTATTTGAAGATATTTCCTTTCTCACCATAGGCCTGAAAGCGTTTGAAATGTCCGTTTGCAGATACTACAGAAAGAGTGTTTCAAACATGCTCTATGAAAGGGAATGTTCAGTTCTGTGACGTGAATGCAAACATCACAAAGAAGTTCCTGAGAATGCTTCTCCCTAGATTTTATATGTAATCCCGTTTCCAACGAAATCCGCAAAGCTATCCAAATATCCACTTTCAGATTCCACAAAAAGAGTGTTTCAAAACTGCTCTGTAAAAAGAAAGGTTCATCTCTGTTAGTTGAATACACACATCACAAACAAGTTTCTGAGAATGCTTCTGTCTAGTTTTTATGGGAAGATATTTCCTTTTTCAACATAGGCCTCAAAGCGCTCCCAATGTCCACTTCCACGTAGTGCACAGAGTGTTTCAAACCTGCTCTATAAAAGGGAACATTCTACTCTGTGACTTGAATGAAGACATCACAAAGCAGTTTCTGAGAATGCTTCTGTCTTGATTTCATATGAAGATATTCCCGTTTCCAACGAAACCTTCAAAGCTATCCAAATATCCACTTGCAGATTCTACAAAAAGAGTGTTTCCAAAATGTTGTATCAAAAGAAAGGTTCAACTCTGTTAGTTGAGGACACACATCGCAAATAAGTTTCTGAGAATGCTTCTGTCTAGTTTTTATTTGAAGATATTTCCTTTCTCACCACAGGCCTGAAAGCGCTTAAAACGTCCGCTTGCAGATACTACAGAAAGAGTGTTTCAAACCTGCTCTATGAAAGGGAATGTTCAGTTCTGTGACTTGAATGCAAACATCACAAAGAAGTTCCTGAGAATGCTTCTGTCTAGATTTTATATGAAGATATCCCGTTTCCAAAGAAATCCTCAAAGGTATCCAAATATCTACTTCCAGATTCTACAAAAAGACTGTTTCAAAACGGCTCTGTCAAAAGGAAGGTTCAACTCTGTTACTTGAGTACACACATCACAAGGAAGTTTCTGAGAATGCTTCTGTCTGGTTTTTAGGAGAAGATATTTCCTTTTTCAACATAGGCCTCAAAGCGCTGCAAATGTCCACTTCCAAATATTACAAAAAGAGTGTTTCAAACCTGCTCTATGAAGGGAAGTGTTCACCTCTATGAGTTGAATGCAAACATCACAGAGAAGTTTCTGAGAATGCTTCTGTCTTGATTTTATATGAAGATATTCCCGTTTCCAACGAAACCTTCAAAGCTATCCAAATATCCACTTGCAGATACTACAAAAAGAGTGTTTCCAAAATGTTGTATCAAAACAAAGGTTCAACTCTGTTAGTTGAGGACACACATCGCAAATAAGTTTCTGAGAATGCTTCTGTCTAGTTTTTATTTGAAGATATTTCCTTTCTTACCATAGGCCTGAAAGCGCTTGAAATGTCCGTTTGCAGATACTACAGAAAGAGTGTTTCAAACATGCTCTATGAAAGGGAATGTTCAGTTCTGTGACGTGAATGCAAACGTCACAAAGAAGTTCCTGAGAATGCTTCTCCCCTGCATTTTATATGTAATCCCGTTTCCAACGAAATCCTCAAAGCTATCCAAATATCCACTTTCAGATTCCACAAAAAGATTGTTTCAAAACTACTCTGTAAAAAGAAAGGTTCATCTCTGTTAGTTGAATACACACATCACAAACAAGTTTCTGAGAATGCTTCTGTCTAGTTTTTATGGGAAGATATTTCCTTTTTCATCATAGGCCTCAAAGCGCTGCAAATGTCCACTTCCAGGTAGTGCAGAAAGAGTGTCTCAAACCTGGTATATAACAGGGAACATTCTACTCTGTGACTTGAATGAAAACATCACAAAGCAGTTTCTGAGAATGCTTCTGTCTTGATTTTATATGAAGATATTCCCGTTTCCAACGAAACCTTCAAAGCTATCCAAATATCCACTTGCAGATTCTACAAAAAGAGTGTTTCCAAAATGTTGTATCAAAAGAAAGGTTCAACTCTGTTAGTTGAGGACACACATCGCAAATAAGTTTCTGAGAATGCTTCTGTCTAGTTTTTATTTGAAGATATTTCCTTTCTCACCATAGGCCTGAAAGCGTTTGAAATGTCCGTTTGCAGATACTACAGAAAGAGTGTTTCAAACATGCTCTATGAAAGGGAATGTTAAGTTCTGTGACGTGAATGCAAACATCCTAAAGAAGTTCCTGAGAATGCTTCTCTCTAGATTTTATATGTAATCCCGTTTCCAACGAAATCCTCAAAGCTATCCAAATATCCACTTTCAGATTCCACAAAAAGAGTGTTTAAAAACTGCTCTGTAAAAAGAAAGGTTCATCTCTGTTAGTTGAATACACACATCACAAACAAGTTTCTGAGAATGCTTCTGTCTAGTTTATATGGGAAGATATTTCCTTTTTCAACATAGGCCTCAAAGCGCTCCAAATGTCCACTTCCAGGTAGTGCAGAAAGAGTGTTTGAAACCTGCTCTATAAAAGGGAACATTCTACTCTGTGACTTGAATGAAAACATCACAAAGCAGTTTCTGAGAATGCTTCCGTCAAGATTTTATATGAAGATATTCCCGTTTCCAACGAAACCTTCAAAGCTATCCGAATATCCACCTGCAGATTCTACAAAAAGAGTGTTTCCAAAATGCCGTATCAAAACAAAGGTTCAACTCTGTTAGTTGAGAACACACATGGCAAATAAGTTTCTGAGAATGCTTCTGTCTAGTTTTTACTTGAAGATATTTCCTTTCTCACCATAGGCCTGAAAGCGTTTGAAATGTCCGTTTGCAGATACTACAGAAAGAGTGTTTCAAACATGCTCTATGAAAGGGAATGTTCAGTTCTGTGACGTGAATGCAAACATCACAAAGAAGTTCCTGAGAATGCTTCTCCCTAGATTTTATATGTAATCCCGTTTCCAATGAAATCCTCAAAGCTATCCAAATATCCTCTTTCAGATTCCACAAAAAGAGTGTTTCAAAACTGCTCTGTAAAAAGAAAGGTTCATCTCTGTTAGTTGAATACACACATCACAAACAAGTTTGTGAGAATGCTTCTGTCTAGTTTTTATGGGAAGATATTTCCTTTTTCAACATAGGCCTCAAAGCGCTCCAAATGTCCACTTCCAGGTAGTGCAGAAAGAGTGTTTCAAACCTGCTCTATAAAAGGGAATATTCAACTCTGTGACTTGAATGCAAACATCACAAAGCACTTTCTGAGAATGCTTCTGTCTTGATTTTATATGAAGATATTCCCATTTCCAACGAAACCTTTAAAGCTATCCAAATATCCACCTGCAGATCCTACAAAAATACTGTTTCCAAAATGCTGTATCAAAACAAAGGTTCAACTCTGTTAGTTGGAAACACACATCGCAAATAAGTTTCTGAGAATACTTCTGTCTAGTTTTTATTTGAAGATATTTCCTTTTGCACCACAGGCCTGAAAGCGCTTGAAACGTCAGCTTGCAGATACTACAGAAAGAGTGTTTCAAACCTGCACTATGAAAGGGAATGTTCAGTTCTGTGACTTGAATGCAAACATCACAAAGAAGTTCCTGAGAATGCTTCTCTCTAGGTTTTATATGTAATCCCGTTTCCAACGAAATCCTCAAAGCTATCCAAATATCCACTTTCAGATTCCACAAAAAGAGTGTTTCAAAACTGCTCTGTAAAAAGAAAGGTTCATCTCTGTTAGTTGAATAAACACATCACAAACAAGTTTCTGAGAATGCTTCTGTCTAGTTTTTATAGGAAGATATTTCCTTTTTCAACATAGGCCTCAAAGCGCTCCAAACGTCCACTTCCAGGTAGTGCAGAAAGAGTGTCTCAAACCTGGTATATAACAGGGAACATTCTACTCTGTGACTTGAATGAAAACATCCCAAAGCAGTTTCTGAGAATGCTTCCGTCTAGATTTTATATGAAGATATTCCCGTTTCCAAGGAAATCTTCCTAGCTATCTAAATATCAACTTGCAGATTCTACTAAAGGAATGTTTCCAAAATGCTGTATCCACACAAAGGTTCAACTCTGTTAATTGAGGACATACAGCACAAAGAAGTTTCTGAGAATGCTTCTGTCTAGTTTTTATTTGAAGATATTTCCTTTCTCACCACAGGCCTGAAAGCGCTTAAAACGTCCGCTTGCAGATACTACAGAAAGAGTGTTTCAAACCTGCTCTATGAAAGGGAATGTTCAGTTCTGTGACTTGAATGCAAACATCACAAAGAAGTTCCTGAGAATGCTTCTCTCTAGGTTTTATATGTAATCCCGTTTCCAACGAAATCCTCAAAGCTATCCAAATATCCACTTTCAGATTCCACAAAAAGAGTGTTTCAAAACTGCTCTGTAAAAAGAAAGGTTCATCTCTGTTAGTTGAATACACACATCACAAACAAGTTTCTGAGAATGCTTCTGTCTGGTTTTTAGGAGAAGATATTTCCTTTTTCAACATAGGCCTCAAAGCGCTCCAAATGTCCACTTCCAGGTAGTGCAGAAAGAGTGTTTCAAACCTGCTCTATAAAAGGGAATATTCAACTCTGTGACTTGAATGCAAATATCACAAAGCACTTTCTGAGAATGCTTCCGTCTAGATTTTATATGAAGATATTCCCGTTTCCAACGAAACCTTCAAAGCTATCCGAATATCCACCTGCAGATTCTACAAAAAGAGTGTTTCCAAAATGCCGTATCAAAACAAAGGTTCAACTCTGTTAGTTGAGAACACACATGGCAAATAAGTTTCTGAGAATGCTTCTGTCTAGTTTTTATTTGAAGATATTTCCTTTCTCACCATAGGCCTGAAAGCGTTTGAAATGTCCGTTTGCAGATACTACAGAAAGAGTGTTTCAAACATACTCTATGAAAGGGAATGTTCAGTTCTGTGACTTGAATGCAAACATCACAAAGAAGTTCCTGAGAATGCTTCTCTCTAGATTTTATATGTACTCCCGTTTCCAACGAAATCCTCAAAGCTATCCAAATATCCACTTTCAGATTCCACAAAAAGAGTGTTTCAAAACTGCTCTGTAAAAAGAAAGGTTCATCTCTGTTAGTTGAATACACACATCACAAACAAGTTTCTGAGAATGCTTCTGTCTAGTTTTTATGGGAAGATATTTCCTTTTTCAACATAGGCCTCAAAGCGCTCCAAATGTCCACTTCCAGGTAGTGCAGAAAGAGTGTTTCAAACCTGCTCTATAAAAGGGAACATTCAACTCTGTGACTTGAATGCAAACATCACAAAGCACTTTCTGAGAATGCTTCCGTCTAGATTTTATATGAAGATATTCCCGTTTCCAACGAAACCTTCAAAGCTATCCGAATATCCACCTGCAGATTCTACAAAAAGAGTGTTTCCAAAATGCCGTATCAAAACAAAGGTTCAACTCTGTTAGTTGAGAACACACATGGCAAATAAGTTTCTGAGAATGCTTCTGTCTAGTTTTTATTTGAAGATATTTCCTTTCTCACCACAGGCCTGAAAGCGCTTAAAACGTCCGCTTGCAGATACTACAGAAAGAGTGTTTCAAACCTGCTCTATGAAAGGGAATGTTCAGTTCTGTGACTTGAATGCAAACATCACAAAGAAGTTCCTGAGAATGCTTCTCTCTAGGTTTTATATGTAATCCCGTTTCCAACGAAATCCTCAAAGCTATCCAAATATCCACTTTCAGATTCCACAAAAAGAGTGTTTCAAAACTGCTCTGTAAAAAGAAAGGTTCATCTCTGTTAGTTGAATACACACATCACAAACAAGTTTCTGAGAATGCTTCTGTCTAGTTTTTATGGGAAGATATTACCTTTTTCATCATAGGCCTCAAAGCGCTGCAAATGTCCACTTCCAAATATTACAAAAAGAGTGTTTCAAACCTGCTGTATGAAGGGAAGTGTTCAACTCTATGAGTTGAATGCAAACATCACAGAGAAGTTTCTGAGAATGCTTCCGTCTAGTATTTTATATGAAGATATTCCCGTTTCCAACGAAACCTTCAAAGCTATCCGAATATCCACCTGCGGATTCTACAAAAAGAGTGTTTCCAAAATGCCGTATCAAAACAAAGGTTCAACTCTGTTAGTTGAGAACACACATGGCAAATAAGTTTCTGAGAATGCTTCTGTCTAGTTTTTATTTGAAGATATTTCCTTTCTCACCACAGGCCTGAAAGCGCTTAAAACGTCCGCTTGCAGATACTACAGAAAGAGTGTTTCAAACCTGCTCTATGAAAGGGAATGTTCAGTTCTGTGACTTGAATGCAAACATCACAAAGAAGTTCCTGAGAATGCTTCTCCCTAGATTTTATATGTAATCCCGTTTCCAACGAAATCCGCAAAGCTATCCAAATATCCACTTTCAGATTCCACAAAAAGAGTGTTTCAAAACTGCTCTGTAAAAAGAAAGGTTCATCTCTGTTAGTTGAATACACACATCACAAACAAGTTTCTGAGAATGCTTCTGTCTAGTTTTTATGGGAAGATATTTCCTTTTTCATCATAGGCCTCAAAGCGCTGCAAATGTCCACTTCCAGGTAGTGCAGAAAGAGTGTCTGAAACATGGTATATAACAGGGAAGATTCTACTCTGTGACTTGAATGAAAACATCACAAAGCAGTTTCTGAGAATGCTTCTGTGTTGATTTTATATGAAGATATTCCCGTTTCCAAAGAAACCTTCAAAGCTATCCAAATATGCACCTGCAGATCCTACAAAAAGAGTGTTTCAAAATGCTGTATCAAAACAAAGGTTCAACTCTGTTAGCTGAGAACACACATCGCAAATAAGTTTCTGAGAATGCTTCTGTCTACTTTTTATTTGAAGATATTTCCTTTTTCACCACAGGCCTGAAAGCGCTTGAAACGTCCGCTTGCAGATACTACAGAAAGAGTGTTTCAAACCTGCTCTATGAAAGGGAATGTTCAGTTCTGTGACTTGAATGCAAACATCACAAAGAAGTTCCTGAGAATGCTTCTCTCTAGATTTTATATGTAATCCCGTTTCCAACGAAATCCTCAAAGCTATCCAAATATCCACTTTCAGATTCCACAAAAAGAGTGTTTCAAAACTGCTCTGTAAAAAGAAAGGTTCATCTCTGTTAGTTGAATACACACATCACAAACAAGTTTCTGAGAATGCTTCTGTCTAGTTTTTAAGGGAAGATATTTCCTTTTTCATCATAGGCCTCAAAGCGCTCCAAATGTCCACTTCCAGGTAGTGCAGAAAGAGTGTCTCAAACCTGGTATATAACAGGGAACATTCTACTCTGTGACTTGAATGAAAACATCACAAAGCAGTTTGTGAGAATGCTTCCGTCTAGATTTTATATGAAGATATTCCCGTTTCCAACGAAACCTTCAAAGCTATCCGAATATCCACCTGCAGATTCTACAAAAAGAGTGTTTGCAAAATGCCGTATCAAAACAAAGGTTCAACTCTGTTAGTTGAGAACACACATGGCAAATAAGTTTCTGAGAATGCTTCTGTCTAGTTTTTATTTGAAGATATTTCCTTTTTCACCACAGGCCTGAAAGCGCTTGAAACGTCCACTTGCAGATACTACAGAAAGAGTGTTTCAAACCTGCTCTATGAAAGGGAATGTTCAGTTCTGTGACTTGAATGCAAACATCACAAAGAAGTTCCTGAGAATGCTTCTCCCTAGATTTTATATGTAATCCCGTTTCCAACGAAATCCGCAAAGCTATCCAAATATCCACTTTCAGATTCCACAAAAAGAGTGTTTCAAAACTACTCTGTAAAAAGAAAGGTTCATCTCTGTTAGTTGAATACACACATAAGAAACAAGTTTCTGAGAATGCTTCTGTCTAGTTTTTATGGGAAGATATTTCCTTTTTCATCATAGGCCTCAAAGCGCTCCAAATGTCCACTTCCAGATAGTGCAGAAAGAGTGTCTCAAACCTGGTATATAAAAGGGAACATTCTACTCTGTGACTTGAATGAAAACATCACAAAGCAGTTTCTGAGAATGCTTCTGTCTTGATTTTATATGAAGATATTCCCGTTTCCAACGAAACCTTCAAAGCTATTCAAATATCAACTTGCTGATTCTACAAAAAGAGTGTTTCCAAAATGTTGTATCAAAAGAAAGGTTCAACTCTGATAGTTGAGGACACACATCGCAAATAAGTTTCTGAGAATGCTTCTGTCTAGTTTTTACTTGAAGATATTTCCTTTCTCACCATAGGCCTGAAAGCGTTTGAAATGTCCGTTTGCAGATACTACAGAAAGAGTGTTTCAAACATGCTCTATGAAAGGGAATGTTCAGTTCTGTGACGTGAATGCAAACATCACAAAGAAGTTCCTGAGAATGCTTCTCTCTAGATTTTATATGTAATCCCGTTTCCAACGAAATCCTCAAAGCTATCCAAATATCCACTTTCAGATTCCACAAAAAGAGTGTTTCAAAACTGCTCTGTTAAAAGAAAGGTTCATCTCTGTTAGTTGAATACACACATCACAAACAAGTTTCTGAGAATGCTTCTGTCTAGTTTTTATGGGAAGATATTACCTTTTTCATCATAGGCCTCAAAGCGCTGCAAATGTCCACTTCCAAATATTACAAAAAGAGTGTTTCAAACCTGCTGTATGAAGGGAAGTGTTCAACTCTATGAGTTGAATGCAAACATCACAGAGAAGTTTCTGAGAATGCTTCTGTCTTGATTTTATATGAAGATATTCCCGTTTCCAAAGAAACCTTCAAAGCTATCCAAATATCCACCTGCAGATCCTACAAAAAGAGTGTTTCCAAAATGCTGTATCAAAACAAAGGTTCAACTCTGTTAGCTGAGAACACACATCGCAAATAAGTTTCTGAGAATGCTTCTGTCTAGTTTTTACTTGAAGATATTTCCTTTCTCACCATAGGCCTGAAAGCGCTTGAAACGTCAGCTTGCAGATACTACAGAAAGAGTGTTTCAAACCTGCTCTATGAAAGGGAATGTTCAGTCCTGTGACTTGAAGGCAAACATCACAAAGAAGTTCCTGAGAATGCTTCTCTCTAGGTTTTATATGTAATCCCGTTTCCAACGAAATCCTCAAAGCTATCCAAATATCCACTTTCAGATTCCACAAAAAGAGTGTTTCAAAACTGCTCTGTAAAAAGAAAGGTTCATCTCTGTTAGTTGAATACACACATCACAAACAAGTTTCTGAGAATGCTTCTGTCTAGTTTTTATGGGAAGATATTACCTTTTTCATCATAGGCCTCAAAGCGCTGCAAATGTCCACTTCCAAATATTACAAAAAGAGTGTTTCAAACCTGCTGTATGAAGGGAAGTGTTCAACTCTATGAGTTGAATGCAAACATCACAGAGAAGTTT
Source organism: Homo sapiens (assembly GCF_000001405.40). Taxonomy (NCBI): domain Eukaryota; kingdom Metazoa; phylum Chordata; class Mammalia; order Primates; family Hominidae; genus Homo; species Homo sapiens. The sequence continues at coordinate 45,388,466 of NC_000009.12, read as the reverse complement.
CTGAGAATGCTTCCGTCTAGATTTTATATGAAGATATTCCCGTTTCCAACGAAACCTTCAAAGCTATCCGAATATCCACCTGCAGATTCTACAAAAAGAGTGTTTCCAAAATGCCGTATCAAAACAAAGGTTCAACTCTGTTAGTTGAGAACACACATGGCAAATAAGTTTCTGAGAATGCTTCTGTCTAGTTTTTACTTGAAGATATTTCCTTTCTCACCATAGGCCTGAAAGCGCATGAAACGTCAGCTTGCAGATACTACAGAAAGAGTGTTTCAAACCTGCTCTATGAAAGGGAATGTTCAGTTCTGTGACTTGAAGGCAAACATCACAAAGAAGTTCCTGAGAATGCTTCTCTCTAGGTTTTATATGTAATCCCGTTTCCAACGAAATCCTCAAAGCTATCCAAATATCCACTTTCAGATTCCACAAAAAGAGTGTTTCAAAACTGCTCTGTAAAAAGAAAGGTTCATCTCTGTTAGTTGAATACACACATCACAAACAAGTTTCTGAGAATGATTCTGTCTAGTTTTTATGGGAAGATATTTCCTTTTTCAACATAGGCCTCAAAGCGCTCCAAACGTCCACTTCCAGGTAGTGCAGAAAGAGTGTCTCAAACCTGGTGTATAACAGGGAACATTCTACTCTGTGACTTGAATGAAAACATCACAAAGCAGTTTCTGAGAATGCTTCCGTCTAGATTTTATATGAAGATATTCCCGTTTCCAACGAAACCTTCAAAGCTCTCCGAATATCCACCTGCAGATTCTACAAAAAGAGTGTTTCCAAAATGCCGTATCAAAACAAAGGTTCAACTCTGTTAGTTGAGAACACACATGGCAAATAAGTTTCTGAGAATGCTTCTGTCTAGTTTTTATTTGAAGATATTTCCTTTCTTACCATAGGCCTGAAAGCGCTTGAAATGTCCGTTTGCAGATACTACAGAAAGAGTGTTTCAAACATGCTCTATGAAAGGGAATGTTCAGTTCTGTGACGTGAATGCAAACATCACAAAGAAGTTCCTGAGAATGCTTCTCTCTAGGTTTTATATGTAATCCCGTTTCCAACGAAATCCTCAAAGCTATCCAAATATCCACTTTCAGATTCCACAAAAAGAGTGTTTCAAAACTGCTCTGTAAAAAGAAAGGTTCATCTCTGTTAGTTGAATACACACATCACAAACAAGTTTCTGAGAATGCTTCTGTCTAGTTTTTATGGGAAGTTATTTCCTTTTTCAACATAGGCCTCAAAGCGCTCCAAATGTCCACTTCCAGGTAGTGCAGAAAGAGTGTTTCAAACCTGCTCTATAAAAGGGAATATTCAACTCTGTGACTTGAATGCAAACATCACAAAGCACTTTCTGAGAATGCTTCCGTCTAGATTTTATATGAAGATATTCCCGTTTCCAAGGAAATCTTCCTAGCTATCTAAATATCAACTTGCATATACTACTAAAGGAGTGTTTCCAAAATGCTGTATCCACACAAAGGTTCAACTCTGTTAATTGAGGACATACAGCACAAAGAAGTTTGTGAGAATGCTTCTGTCTAGTTTTTACTTGAAGATATTTCCTTTCTCACCATAGGCCTGAAAGCGCTTGAAACGTCAGCTTGCAGATACTACAGAAAGAGTGTTTCAAACCTGCTCTATGAAAGGGAATGTTCAGTTCTGTGACTTGAATGCAAACATCACAAAGAAGTTCCTGAGAATGCTTCTCTCTAGGTTTTATATGTAATCCCGTTTCCAACGAAATCCTCAAAGCTATCCAAATATCCACTTTCAGATTCCACAAAAAGAGTGTTTCAAAACTGCTCTGTAAAAAGAAAGGTTCATCTCTGTTAGTTGAATACACACATCACAAACAAGTTTCTGAGAATGCTTCTGTCTGGTTTTTAGGAGAAGATATTTCCTTTTTCAACATAGGCCTCAAAGCGCTGCAAATGTCCACTTCCAAATATTACAAAAAGAGTGTTTCAAACCTGCTGTATGAAGGGAAGTGTTCAACTCTATGAGTTGAATGCAAACATCACAGAGAAGTTTCTGAGAATGCTTCTGTCTTGATTTTATATGAAGATATTCCCGTTTCCAACGAAACCTTCAAAGCTATCCAAATATCCACCTGCAGATTCTACAAAAAGAGTGTTTCCAAAATGCCATATCAAAACAAAGGTTCAACTCTGTTAGTTGAGAACACACATGGCAAATAAGTTTCTGAGAATGCTTCTGTCTAGTTTTTACTTGAAGATATTTCCTTTCTCACCATAGGCCTGAAAGCGCTTGAAACGTCAGCTTGCAGATACTACAGAAAGAGTGTTTCAAACCTGCTCTATGAAAGGGAATGTTCAGTTCTGTGACTTGAATGCAAACATCACAAAGAAGTTCCTGAGAATGCTTCTCTCTAGGTTTTATATGTAATCCCGTTTCCAACGAAATCCTCAAAACTATCCAAATATCCACTTTCAGATTCCACAAAAAGAGTGTTTCAAAACTGCTCTGTAAAAAGAAAGGTTCATCTCTGTTAGTTGAATACACACATCACAAACAAGTTTCTGAGAATGCTTCTGTCTAGTTTTTATGGGAAGATATTTCCTTTTTCATCATAGGCCTCAAAGCGCTCCAAATGTCCACTTCCAGATAGTGCAGAAAGAGTGTCTCAAACCTGGTATATAAAAGGGAACATTCTACTCTGTGACTTGAATGAAAACATCACAAAGCAGTTTCTGAGAATGCTTCCGTCTAGATTTTATATGAAGATATTCCCGTTTCCAAGGAACTCTTCCTAGCTATCTAAATATCAACTTGCAGATTCTACTAAAGGAATGTTTCCAAAATGCTGTATCCACACAAAGGTTCAACTCTGTTAATTGAGGACATACAGCACAAAGAAGTTTCTGAGAATGCTTCTGTCTAGTTTTTACTTGAAGATATTTCCTTTCTCACCATAGGCCTGAAAGCGCATGAAACGTCAGCTTGCAGATACTACCGAAAGAGTGTTTCAAACCTGCTCTATGAAACGGAATGTTCAGTCCTGTGACTTGAAGGAAAACATCACAAAGAAGTTCCTGAGAATGCTTTCTCTCTAGTTTTATATGTAATCCCGTTTCCAACGAAATCCTCAAGCTATCCAAATATCCACTTTCAGATTCCACAAAAAGAGTGTTTCAAAACTGCTCTGTAAAAAGAAAGGTTCATCTCTGTTAGTTGAATACACACATCACAAACAAGTTTCTGAGAATGCTTCTGTCTAGTTTTTATGGGAAGATATTTCCTTTTTCATCATAGGCCTCAAAGCGCTGCAAATGTCCACTTCCAGGTAGTGCAGAAAGAGTGTCTCAAACCTGGTATATAACAGGGAACATTCTACTCTGTGACTTGAATGAAAACATCACAAAGCAGTTTCTGAGAATGCTTCTGTCTTGATTTCATATGAAGATATTCCCGTTTCCAACGAAACCTTCAAAGCTATCCAAATATCCACTTGCAGATTCTACAAAAAGAGTGTTTCCAAAATGTTGTATCAAAAGAAAGGTTCAACTCTGTTAGTTGAGGACACACATCGCAAATAAGTTTCTGAGAATGCTTCTGTCTAGTTTTTACTTGAAGATATTTCCTTTCTCACCATAGGCCTGAAAGCGCTTGAAACGTCAGCTTGCAGATACTACAGAAAGAGTGTTTCAAACCTGCTCTATGAAAGGGAATGTTCAGTCCTGTGACTTGAAGGCAAACATCACAAAGAAGTTCCTGAGAATGCTTCTGTCTAGATTTTATATGAAGATATCCCGTGTCCAACGAAATCCTCAATGGTATCAAAATATCCACTTGCAGATTCTACAAAAAGAGTGCTTCAAAACTGCTCTGTAAAAAGAAAGGTTCATCTCTGTTAGTTGAATACACACATCACAAACAAGTTTCTGAGAATGCTTCTGTCTAGTTTTTATGGGAAGATATTTCCTTTTTCATCATAGGCCTCAAAGCGCTGCAAATGTCCACTTCCAGGTAGTGCAGAAAGAGTGTCTGAAACCTGGTATATAACAGGGAAGATTCTACTCTGTGACTTGAATGAAAACATCACAAAGCAGTTTCTGAGAATGCTTCTGTCTTGATTTCATATGAAGATATTCCCGTTTCCAACGAAACCTTCAAAGCTATCCAAATATCCACTTGCAGATTCTACAAAAAGAGTGTTTCCAAAATGTTGTATCAAAAGAAAGGTTCAACTCTGTTAGTTGAGGACACACATCGCAAATAAGTTTCTGAGAATGCTTCTGTCTAGTTTTTATTTGAAGATATTTCCTTTCTCACCATAGGCCTGAAAGCGTTTGAAATGTCCGTTTGTAGATACTACAGAAAGAGTGTTTCAAACATGCTCTATGAAAGGGAATGTTCAGTTCTGTGACGTGAATGCAAACATCACAAAGAAGTTCCTGAGAATGCTTCTGTCTAGATTTTATATGAAGATATCCCGTGTCCAACGAAATCCTCAATGGTATCAAAATATCCACTTGCAGATTCTACAAAAAGAGTGCTTCAAAACTGCTCTGTCAAAAGGAAGGTTCAACTCTGTTACTTGAGTACACACATCACTAGGAAGTTTCTGAGAATGCTTCTTTCTAGTTTTTATGGGAAGATATTACCTTTTTCATCATAGGCTTCAAAGCGCTGCAAAAGTCCACTTCCAAATATTAGAAAAAGAGTGTTTCAAACCTGCTGTATGAAGGGAAGTGTTCAACTCTATGAGTTGAATGCAAACATCACAGAGAAGTTTCTGAGAATGCTTCTGTCTTGATTTTATATGAAGATATTCCCGTTTCCAACGAAACCTTCAAAGCTATCCAAATATGCACTTGCAGATTCCACAAAAAGAGTGTTTCCAAAATGCCGTATCAAAACAAAGGTTCAACTCTGTTAGTTGAGAACACACATGGCAAATAAGTTTCTGAGAATGCTTCTGTCTAGTTTTTATTTGAAGATATTTCCTTTCTCACCATAGGCCTGAAAGCGTTTGAAATGTCCGTTTGCAGATACTACAGAAAGAGTGTTTCAAACATGCTCTATGAAAGGGAATGTTCAGTTCTGTGACGGTGAATGCAAACATCACAAAGAAGTTCCTGAGAATGCTTCTCTCTAGGTTTTATATGTAATCCCGTTTCCAACGAAATCCTCAAAGCTATCCAAATATCCACTTTCAGATTCCACAAAAAGAGTGTTTCAAAACTGCTCTGTAAAAAGAAAGGTTCATCTCTGTTAGTTGAATACACACATCACAAACAAGTTTCTGAGAATGCTTCTGTCTAGTTTTTATGGGAAGATATTTCCTTTTTCAACATAGGCCTCAAAGCGCTCCAAACGTCCACTTCCAGGTAGTGCAGAAAGAGTGTCTCAAACCTGGTATATAACAGGGAACATTCTACTCTGTGACTTGAATGAAAACATCACAAAGCAGTTTCTGAGAATGCTTCCGTCTAGATTTTATATGAAGATATTCCCGTTTCCAACGAAACCTTCAAAGCTATCCGAATATCCACCTGCAGATTCTACAAAAAGAGTGTTTCCAAAATGCCGTATCAAAACAAAGGTTCAACTCTGTTAGTTGAGAACACACATGGCAAATAAGTTTCTGAGAATGCTTCTGTCTAGTTTTTATTTGAAGATATTTCCTTTCTTACCATAGGCCTGAAAGCGCTTGAAATGTCCGTTTGCAGATACTACAGAAAGAGTGTTTCAAACATGCTCTATGAAAGGGAATGTTCAGTTCTGTGGCGTGAATGCAAACATCACAAAGAAGTTCCTGAGAATGCTTCTCCCTAGATTTTATATGTAATCCCGTTTCCAACGAAATCCGCAAAGCTATCCAAATATCCACTTTCAGATTCCACAAAAAGAGTGTTTCAAAACTGCTCTGTAAAAAGAAAGGTTCATCTCTGTTAGTTGAATACACACATCACAAACAAGTTTCTGAGAATGCTTCTGTCTAGTTTTTATGGGAAGATATTTCCTTTTTCAACATAGGCCTCAAAGCGCTCCAAATGTCCACTTCCAGGTAGTGCAGAAAGAGTGTTTCAAACCTGCTCTATAAAAGGGAATATTCAACTCTGTGACTTGAATGCAAACATCACAAAGCACTTTCTGAGAATGCTTCTGTCTTGATTTCATATGAAGATATTCCCGTTTCCAACGAAACCTTCAAAGCTATCCAAATATCCACTTGCAGATTCTACAAAAAGAGTGTTTCCAAAATGTTGTATCAAAAGAAAGGTTCAACTCTGTTAGTTGAGGAGACACATCGCAAATAAGTTTCTGAGAATGCTTCTGTCTAGTTTTTATTTGAAGATATTTCCTTTCTCACCACAGGCCTGAAAGCGCTTAAAACGTCCGCTTGCAGATACTACAGAAAGAGTGTTTCAAACCTGCTCTATGAAAGGGAATGTTCAGTTCTGTGACTTGAATGCAAACATCACAAAGAAGTTCCTGAGAATGCTTCTCTCTAGATTTTATATGTAATCCCGTTTCCAACGAAATCCTCAAAGCTATCCAAATATCCACTTTCAGATTCCACAAAAAGAGTGTTTCAAAACTGCTCTGTAAAAAGAAAGGTTCATCTCTGTTAGTTGAATACACACATCACAAACAAGTTTCTGAGAATGCTTCTGTCTAGTTTTTATGGGAAGATATTTCCTTTTTCAACATAGGCCTCAAAGCGCTCCAAACGTCCACTTCCAGGTAGTGCAGAAAGAGTGTCTCAAACCTGGTGTATAACAGGGAACATTCTACTCTGTGACTTGAATGAAAACATCACAAAGCAGTTTCTGAGAATGCTTCCGTCTAGATTTTATATGAAGATATTCCCGTTTGCAACGAAACCTTCAAAGCTATCCGAATATCCACCTGCAGATTCTACAAAAAGAGTGTTTCCAAAATGCCGTATCAAAACAAAGGTTCAACTCTGTTAGTTGAGAACACACATGGCAAAGAAGTTTCTGAGAATGCTTCTGTCTAGTTTGTATTTGAAGATATTTCCTTTCTCACCATAGGCCTGAAAGCGTTTGAAATGTCCGTTTGCAGATACTAAAGAAAGAGTGTTTCAAACATGCTCTATGAAAGGGAATGTTCAGTTCTGTGACGTGAATGCAAACATCACAAAGAAGTTCCTGAGAATGCTTCTCTCTAGGTTTTATATGTAATCCCGTTTCCAACGAAATCCTCAAAGCTATCCAAATATCCACTTTCAGATTCCACAAAAAGAGTGTTTCAAAACTGCTCTGTAAAAAGAAAGGTTCATCTCTGTTAGTTGAATACACACATCACAAACAAGTTTCTGAGAATGCTTCTGTCTAGTTTTTATGGGAAGATATTTCCTTTTTCATCATAGGCCTCAAAGCGCTGCAAATGTCCACTTCCAAATATTACAAAAAGAGTGTTTCAAACCTGCTGTATGAAGGGAAGTGTTCAACTCTATGAGTTGAATGCAAACATCACAGAGAAGTTTCTGAGAATGCTTCTGTCTTGATTTTATATGAAGATATTCCCGTTTCCAACGAAACCTTCAAAGCTATTCAAATATCCACTTGCAGATTCTACAAAAAGAGTGTTTCCAAAATGTTGTATCAAAAGAAAGGTTCAACTCTGTTAGTTGAGGACACACATCGCAAATAAGTTTCTGAGAATGCTTCTGTCTAGTTTTTATTTGAAGATATTTCCTTTCTCACCACAGGCCTGAAAGCGCTTAAAACGTCCGCTTGCAGATACTACAGAAAGAGTGTTTCAAACCTGCTCTATGAAAGGGAATGTTCAGTTCTGTGACTTGAATGCAAACATCACAAAGAAGTTCCTGAGAATGCTTCTCTCTAGATGTTGTATGTAATCCCGTTTCCAACGAAATCCTCAAAGCTATCCAAATATCCACTTTCAGATTCCACAAAAAGAGTGTTTCAAAACTGCTCTGTAAAAAGAAAGGTTCATCTCTGTTAGTTGAATACACACATCACAAACAAGTTTCTGAGAATGCTTCTGTCTAGTTTTTATGGGAAGATATTTCCTTTTTCATCATAGGCCTCAAAGCGCTCCAAATGTCCACTTCCAGGTAGTGCAGAAAGAGTGTCTCAAACCTGGTATATAAAAGGGAACATTCTACTCTGTGACTTGAATGAAAACATCACAAAGCAGTTTCTGAGAATGCTTCCGTCTAGATTTTATATGAAGATATTCCCGTTTCCAACGAAACCTTCAAAGCTATCCGAATATCCACCTGAAGATTCTACAAAAAGAGTGTTTCCAAAATGCCGTATCAAAACAAAGGTTCAACTCTGTTAGTTGAGAACACACATGGCAAATAAGTTTCTGAGAATGTTTCTGTCTAGTTTTTATTTGAAGATATTTCCTTTCTCACCACAGGCCTGAAAGCGTTTGAAATGTCCGTTTGCAGATACTACAGAAAGAGTGTTTCAAACATGCTCTATGAAAGGGAATGTTCAGTTCTGTGACGTGAATGCAAACATCACAAAGAAGTTCCTGAGAATGCTTCTCCCTAGATTTTATATGTAATCCCGTTTCCAACGAAATCCGCAAAGCTATCCAAATATCCACTTTCAGATTCCACAAAAAGAGTGTTTCAAAACTGCTCTGTAAAAAGAAAGGTTCATCTCTGTTAGTTGAATACACACATCACAAACAAGTTTCTGAGAATGCTTCTGTCTAGTTTTTATGGGAAGATATTTCCTTTTTCAACATAGGCCTCAAAGCGCTCCAAATGTCCACTTCCAGGTAGTGCAGAAAGAGTGTTTCAAACCTACTCTATAAAAGGGAATATTCAACTCTGTGACTTGAATGCAAACATCACAAAGCACTTTCTGAGAATGCTTCTGTCTTGATTTTATATGAAGATATTCCCGTTTCCAACGAAACCTTCAAAGCTATCCAATTATCCACTTGCAGATTCTACAAAAAGAGTGTTTCCAAAATGTTGTATCAGAACAAAGGTTCAACTCTGTTAGTTGAGGACACACATCGCAAATAAGTTTCTGAGAATGCTTCTCTCTAGTTTTTATTTGAAGATATTTCCTTTCTTACCATAGGCCTGAAAGCGCTTGAAATGTCCGTTTTCAGATACTACAGAAAGAGTGTTTCAAACATGCTCTATGAAAGGGAATGTTCAGTTCTGTGACGTGAATGCAAACATCACAAAGAAGTTCCTGAGAATGCTTCTCCCTAGATTTTATATGTAATCCCGTTTCCAACGAAATCCGCAAAGCTATCCAAATATCCACTTTCAGATTCCACAAAAAGAGTGTTTCAAAACTGCTCTGTAAAAAGAAAGGTTCATCTCTGTTAGTTGAATACACACATCACAAACAAGTTTCTGAGAATGCTTCCGTCTAGATTTTATGTGAAGATATTCCCGTTTCCAAGGAAAACTTCCTAGCTATCTAAATATCAACTTGCAGATTCTACTAAAGGAGTTTTTCCAAAATGCTGTATCCACACAAAGGTTCAACACTGTTAATTGAGGACATACAGCACAAAGAAGTTTCTGAGAATGCTTCTGTCTAGATTTTATATGAAGATATCCCGTGTCCAACGAAATCCTCAAAGGTATCAAAATATCCACTTGTAGATTCTGCAAAAAGAGTGCTTCAAAACTGCTCTGTCAAAATGAAGGTTCAACTCTGTTACTTGAGTACACACATCACAAGAAAGATTCTGAGAATACTTCTGTCTGGTTTTTAGGAGAAGATATCTCCTTTTTCACCATAGGCTTCAAAGCGCTGCCAATGTCCACTTCCAAATATTACAAAAACAGTATTTCAAACCAGCTCTATGAAAGGAAGTGTTCAACTCTATGAGTTGAATGCAAACATCACAGAGAAGTTTCTGAGAATGCTTCTGTGTTGATTTTATATGAAGATATTCCCGTTTCCAACGAAACCTTCAAAGCTATCCAAATATCCACCTGCAGATCCTACAAAAAGAGTGTTTCCAAAATGCTGTATCAAAACAAAGGTTCAACTCTGTTAGTTGAGAACACACATCGCAAATAAGTTTCTGTGAATGCTTCTGTCTAGTTTTTATTTGAAGATATTTCCTTTCTCACCACAGGCCTGAAAGCGCTTAAAACGTCCGCTTGCAGATACTACAGAAAGAGTGTTTCAAACCTGCTCTATGAAAGGGAATGTTCAGTTCTGTGACTTGAATGCAAACATCACAAAGAAGTTCCTGAGAATGCTTCTCCCTAGATTTTATATGTAATCCCGTTTCCAACGAAATCCTCAAAGCTATCCAAATATCCACTTTCAGATTCCACAAAAAGAGTGTTTCAAAACTGCTCTGTAAAAAGAAAGGTTCATCTCTGTTAGTTGAATACACACATCACAAACAAGTTTCTGAGAATGCTTCTGTCTAGTTTTTATGGGAAGATATTTCCTTTTTCAACATAGGCCTCAAAGCGCTCCAAATGTCCACTTCCAGGTAGTGCACTGAGTGTTTCAAACCTGCTCTATAAAAGGGAACATTCTACTCTGTGACTTGAATGAAGACATCACAAAGCAGTTTCTGAGAATGCTTCTGTCTTGATTTCATATGAAGATATTCCCGTTTCCAACGAAACCTTCAAAGCTATCCAAATATCCACTTGCAGATTCTACAAAAAGAGTGTTTCCAAAATGTTGTATCAAAAGAAAGGTTCAACTCTGTTAGTTGAGGACACACATCGCAAATAAGTTTCTGAGAATGCTTCTGTCTAGTTTTTATTTGAAGATATTTCCTTTCTCACCATAGGCCTGAAAGCGTTTGAAATGTCCGTTTGCAGATACTACAGTAAGAGTGTTTCAAACATGCTCTATGAAAGGGAATGTTCAGTTCTGTGACTTGAATGAAAACATCACAAAGAAGTTCTTGAGAATGCTTCTCTCTAGGTTTTATATGTAATCCCGTTTCCAACAAAATCCTCAAAGCTATCCAAATATCCACTTTAAGATTCCACAAAAAGAGTGTTTCAAAACTGCTCTGTAAAAAGAAAGGTTCATCTCTGTTAGTTGAATACACACATCACAAACAAGTTTCTGAGAATGCTTCTGTCTAGTTTTTATGGGAAGATATTTCCTTTTTCAACATAGGCCTCAAAGCGCTCCAAATGTCAACTTCCAGGTAGTGCAGAAAGAGTGTTTCAAACCTGCTCTATAAAAGGGAATATTCAACTCTGTGACTTGAATGCAAATATCACAAAGCACTTTCTGAGAATGCTTCTGTCTTGATTTTATATGAAGATATTCCCGTTTCCAACGAAACCTTCAAAGCTATTCAAATATCCACTTGCAGATTCTACAAAAAGAGTGTTTCCAAAATGTTGTATCAAAAGAAAGGTTCAACTCTGTTAGTTGAGGACACACATCGCAAATAAGTTTCTGAGAATGCTTCTGTCTAGTTTTTATTTGAAGCATATTTCCTTTCTCACCATAGGCCTGAAAGCGTTTGAAATGTCCGTTTGCAGATACTACAGAAAGAGTGTTTCAAACATGCTCTATGAAAGGGAATGTTCAGTTCTGTGACGTGAATGCAAACATCACAAAGAAGTTCCTGAGAATGCTTCTCTCTAGATTTTATATGTAATCCCGTTTCCAACGAAATCCTCAAAGCTATCCAAATATCCACTTTCAGATTCCACAAAAAGAGTGTTTCAAAACTGCTCTGTAAAAAGAAAGGTTCATCTCTGTTAGTTGAATACACACATCACAAACAAGTTTCTGAGAATGCTTCTGTCTAGTTTTTATGGGAAGATATTTCCTTTTTCAACATAGGCCTCAAAGCGCTCCAAATGTCCACTTCCAGGTAGTGCAGAAAGAGTGTTTCAAACCTGCTCTATAAAAGGGAATATTCAACTCTGTGACTTGAATGCAAACATCACAAAGCACTTTCTGAGAATGCTTCTGTCTTGATTTTATATGAAGATATTCCCGTTTCCAACGAAATCTTCAAAGCTATCCAAATATCCACTTGCAGATTCCACAAAAAGAGTGTTTCCAAAATGTTGTATCAAAAGAAAGGTTCAACTCTGTTAGTTGAGGACACACATCGCAAATAAGTTTCTGAGAATGCTTCTGTCTAGTTTTTACTTGAAGATATTTCCTTTCTCACCATAGGCCTGAAAGCGCTTGAAACGTCAGCTTGCAGATACTACAGAAAGAGTGTTTCAAACCTGCTCTATGAAAGGGAATGTTCAGTTCTGTGACTTGAATGCAAACATCACAAAGAAGTTCCTGAGAATGCTTCTCTCTAGATTTTATATGTAATCCCGTTTCCAACGAAATCCTCAAAGCTATCCAAATATCCACTTTCAGATTCCACAAAAAGAGTGTTTCAAAACTTCTCTGTAAAAAGAAAGGTTCATCTCTGTTAGTTGAATACACACATCACAAACAAGTTTCTGAGAATGCTTCTGTCTAGTTTTTATGGGAAGATATTTCCTTTTTCATCATAGGCCTCAAAGCGCTGCAAATGTCCACTTCCAGGTAGTGCAGAAAGAGTGTCTCAAACCTGGTATATAACAGGGAACATTCTACTCGGTGACTTGAATGAAAACATCACAAAGCAGTTTCTGAGAATGCTTCCGTCTAGATTTTATGTGAAGATATTCCCGTTTCCAACGAAACCTTCAAAGCTATCCGAATATCCACCTGCAGATTCTACAAAAAGAGTGTTTCCAAAATGCCGTATCAAAATAAAGGTTCAACTCTGTTAGTTGAGAACACACATGGCAAATAAGTTTCTGAGAATGCTTCTGTCTAGTTTTTACTTGAAGATATTTCCTTTCTCACCATAGGCCTGAAAGCGCTTGAAACGTCAGCTTGCAGATACTACAGAAAGAGTGTTTCAAACCTGCTCTATGAAAGGGAATGTTCAGTCCTGTGACTTGAAGGCAAACATCACAAAGAAGTTCCTGAGAATGCTTCTCTCTAGGTTTTATATGTAATCCCGTTTCCAACGAAATCCTCAAAGCTATCCAAATATCCACTTTCAGATTCCACAAAAAGAGTGTTTCAAAACTGCTCTGTAAAAAGAAAGGTTCATCTCTGTTAGTTGAATACACACATCACAAACAAGTTTCTGAGAATGCTTCTGTCTAGTTTTTATGGGAAGATATTTCCTTTTTCAACATAGGCCTCAAAGCGCTCCAAATGTCCACTTCCAGGTAGTGCAGAAAGAGTGTTTCAAACCTGCTCTATAAAAGGGAATATTCAACTGCTGTGACTTGAATGCAAACATCACAAAGCACTTTCTGAGAATGCTTCTGTCTTGATTTTATATGAAGGTATTCCCGTTTCCAACGAAACCTTCAAAGCTATCCAAATATCCACTTGCAGATTCCACAAAAAGAGTGTTTCCAAAATGTTGTATCCAAACAAAGGTTCAACTCTTTTAGTTGAGAACACACATCGCAAATAAGTTTCTGAGAATGCTTCTGTCTAGTTTTTACTTGAAGATATTTCCTTTCTCACCATAGGCCTGAAAGCGCTTGAAACGTCAGCTTGCAGATACTACAGAAAGAGTGTTTCAAACCTGCTCTATGAAAGGGAATGTTCAGTCCTGTGACTTGAATGCAAACATCACAAAGATGTTCCTTAGAATGCTTCTCTCTAGATTTTATATGTAATCCCGTTTCCAACGAAATCCTCAAAGCTATCCAAATATCCACTTTCAGATTCCACAAAAAGAGTGTTTCAAAACTGCTCTGTAAAAAGAAAGGTTCATCTCTGTTAGTTGAATACACACATCACAAACAAGTTTCTGAGAATGCTTCTGTCTAGTTTTTATGGGAAGATATTTCCTTTTTCATCATAGGGCTCAAAGCGCTCCAAACGTCCACTTCCAGGTAGTGCAGAAAGAGTGTCTCAAACCTGGTATATAACAGCGAACATTCTACTCTGTGACTTGAATGAAAACATCACAAAGCAGTTTCTGAGAATGCTTCCGTCTAGACTTTATATGAAGATATTCCCGTTTCCAACGAAACCTTCAAAGCTATCCGTATATCCACCTGCAGATTCTACAAAAAGAGTGTTTCCAAAATGCCGTATCAAAACAAAGGTTCAACTCTGTTAGTTGAGAACACACATGGCAAATAAGTTTCTGAGAATGCTTCTGTCTAGTTTTTATTTGAAGATATTTCCTTTCTCACCATAGGCCTGAAAGCGTTTGAAATGTCCGTTTGCAGATACTACAGAAAGAGTGTTTCAAACATGCTCTATGAAAGGGAATGTTCAGTTCTGTGACGTGAATGCAAACATCACAAAGAAGTTCCTGAGAATGCTTCTCCCTAGATTTTATATGTAATCCCGTTTCCAACGAAATCCGCAAAGCTATCCAAATATCCACTTTCAGATTCCACAAAAAGAGTGTTTCAAAACTGCTCTGTAAAAAGAAAGGTTCATCTCTGTTAGTTGAATACACACATCACAAACAACTTTCTGAGAATGCTTCTGTCTAGTTTTTATGGGAAGATATTACCTTTTTCATCATAGGCCTCAAAGCGCTGCAAATGTCCACTTCCAAATATTACAAAAAGAGTGTCTCAAACCTGGTATATAACAGGGAACATTCTACTCTGTGACTTGAATGAAAACATCACAAAGCAGTTTCTGAGAATGCTTCCGTCTAGATTTTATATGAAGATATTCCCGTTTCCAAGGAAATCTTCCTAGCTATCTAAATATCAACTTGCAGATTCTACTAAAGGAATGTTTCCAAAATGCTGTATCCACACAAAGGTTCAACTCTGTTAATTGAGGACATACAGCACAAAGAAGTTTCTGAGAATGCTTCTGTCTAGTTTTTATTTGAAGATATTTCCTTTCTCACCACAGGCCTGAAAGCGCTTAAAACGTCCGCTTGCAGATACTACAGAAAGAGTGTTTCAAACCTGCTCTATGAAAGGGAATGTTCAGTTCTGTGACTTGAATGCAAACATCACAAAGAAGTTCCTGAGAATGCTTCTCTCTAGGTTTTATATGTAATCCCGTTTCCAACGAAATCCTCAAAGCTATCCAAATATCCACTTTCAGATTCCACAAAAAGAGTGTTTCAAAACTGCTCTGTAAAAAGAAAGGTTCATCTCTGTTAGTTGAATACACACATCACAAACAAGTTTCTGAGAATGCTTCTGTCTAGTTTTTATGGGAAGATATTTCCTTTTTCAACATAGGCCTCAAAGCGCTCCAAACGTCCACTTCCAGGTAGTGCAGAAAGAGTGTCTCAAACCTGGTATATAACAGGGAACATTCTACTCTGTGACTTGAATGAAAACATCACAAAGCAGTTTCTGAGAATGCTTCTGTCTTGATTTTATATGAAGATATTCCTGTTTCCAACGAAACCTTCAAAGCTATCCAAATATCCACTTGCAGATCCTACAAAAAGAGTGTTTCCAAAACGTTGTATCCAAACAAAGGTTCAACTCTTTTAGTTGAGAACACACATCGCAAATAAGTTTCTGAGAATGCTTCTGTCTAGTTTTTATTTGAAGATATTTCCTTTTTCACCACAGGCCTGAAAGCGCTTGAAACGTCCGCTTGCAGATACTACAGAAAGAGTGTTTCAAACCTGCTCTATGAAAGGGAATGTTCAGTTCTGTGACTTGAATGCAAACATCACAAAGAAGTTCCTGAGAATGCTTCTCTCTAGGTTTTATATGTAATCCCGTTTCCAACGAAATCCTCAAAGCTATCCAAATATCCACTTTCAGATTCCACAAAAAGAGTGTTTCAAAACTGCTCTGTAAAAAGAAAGGTTCATCTCTGTTAGTTGAATACACACATCACAAACAAGTTTCTGAGAATGCTTCTGTCTAGTTTTTATGGGAAGATATTTCCTTTTTCAACATAGGCCTCAAAGCGTTCCAAATGTCCACTTCCAGGTAGTGCAGAAAGAGTGTTTCAGACCTGCTCTATAAAAGGGAATATTCAACTCTGTGACTTGAATGCAAACATCACAAAGCACTTTCTGAGAATGCTTCCGTCTAGACTTTATATGAAGATATTCCCGTTTCCAACGAAACCTTCAAAGCTATCCGTATATCCACCTGCAGATTCTACAAAAAGAGTGTTTCCAAAATGCCGTATCAAAACAAAGGTTCAACTCTGTTAGTTGAGAACACACATGGCAAATAAGTTTCTGAGAATGCTTCTGTCTAGTTTTTATTTGAAGATATTTCCTTTCTCACCATAGGCCTGAAAGCGTTTGAAATGTCCGTTTGCAGATACTACAGAAAGAGTGTTTCAAACATGCTCTATGAAAGGGAATGTTCAGTTCTGTGACGTGAATGCAAACATCACAAAGAAGTTCCTGAGAATGCTTCTCCCTAGATTTTATATGTAATCCAGTTTCCAACGAAATCCGCAAAGCTATCCAAATATCCACTTTCAGATTCCACAAAAAGAGTGTTTCAAAACTGCTCTGTAAAAAGAAAGGTTCATCTCTGTTAGTTGAATACACACATCACAAACAAGTTTCTGAGAATGCTTCTGTCTAGTTTTTATGGGAAGATATTTCCTTTTTCAACATAGGCCTCAAAGCGCTCCAAACGTCCACTTCCAGGTAGTGCAGAAAGAGTGTCTCAAACCTGGTGTATAACAGGGAACATTCTACTCTGTGACTTGAATGAAAACATCACAAAGCAGTTTCTGAGAATGCTTCCGTCTAGATTTTATATGAAGATATTCCCGTTTCCAACGAAACCTTCAAAGCTATCCGAATATCCACCTGCAGATTCTACAAAAAGAGTGTTTCCAAAATGCCATATCAAAACAAAGGTTCAACTCTGTTAGTTGAGAACACACATCGCAAATAAGTTTCTGAGAATGCTTCTGTCTAGTTTTTACTTGAAGATATTTCCTTTCTCACCATAGGCCTGAAAGCGCTTGAAACGTCCGCTTGCAGAAACTACAGAAAGAGTGTTTCAAACATGCTCTACGAAAGGGAATGTTCAGTTCTGTGACTTGAATGCAAACATCACAAAGAAGTTCCTGAGAATGCTTCTCTCTAGATTTTATATGTAATCCCGTTTCCAACGAAATCCTCGAAGCTATCCAAATATCCACTTTCAGATTCCACAAAAAGAGAGTTTAAAAACTGCTCTGTAAAAAGAAAGGTTCATCTCTGTTAGTTGAATACACACATCACAAACAAGTTTCTGAGAATGCTTCCTGTCTAGTTTTTATGGGAAGATATTTCCTTTTTCATCATAGGCCTCAAAGCGCTGCAAATGTCCACTTCCAAATATTACAAAAAGAGTGTTTCAAACCTGCTGTATGAAGGGAAGTGTTCAACTCTATGAGTTGAATGCAAACATCACAGAGAAGTTTCTGAGAATGCTTCTGTCTTGATTATATATGAACATATTCCCGTTTCCAACGAAACCTTCAAAGCTATCCAAATATCCACTTGCAGATTCCACATAAAGAGTGTTTCCAAAATGTTGTATCAAAAGAAAGGTTCAACTGTGTTAGTTGAGGACACACATCGCAAATAAGTTTCTGAGAATGCTTCTGTCTAGTTTTTATTTGAAGATATTTCCTTTCTTACCATAGGCGTGAAAGCGCTTGAAATGTCCGTTTGCAGATACTACAGAAAGAGTGTTTCAAACATGCTCTGTGAAAGGGAATGTTCAGTTCTGTGATGTGAATGCAAACATCACAAAGTAGTTCCTGAGAATGCTTCTCTCTAGATTTTATATGTAATCCCGTTTCCAACGAAATCCTCAAAGCTATCCAAATATCCACTTTCAGATTCCACAAAAAGAGTGTTTCAAAACTGCTCTGAAAAAAGAAAGGTTCATCTCTGTTAGTTGAATACACACATCACAAACAAGTTTCTGAGAATGCTTCTGTCTAGTTTTTATGGGAAGATATTTCCTTTTTCATCATAGGCCTCAAAGCGCTCCAAATGTCCACTTCCAGATAGTGCAGAAAGAGTGTCTCAAACCTGGTATATAAAAGGGAACATTCTACTCTGTGACTTGAATGAAAACATCACAAAGCAGTTTCTGAGAATGCTTCCGTCTAGATTTTATATGAAGATATTCCCGTTTCCAACGAAACCTTCAAAGCTATCCGAATATCCACCTGCAGATTCTACAAAAAGAGTGTTTCCAAAATGCCGTATCAAAACAAAGGTTCAACTCTGTTAGTTGAGAACACACATGGCAAATAAGTTTCTGACAATGCTTCTGTCTAGTTTTTACTTGAAGATATTTCCTTTCTCACCATAGGCCTGAAAGCGTTTGAAATGTCCGTTTGCAGATACTACAGAAAGAGTGTTTCAAACATGCTCTATGAAAGGGAATGTTCAGTTCTGTGACGTGAATGCAAACATCACAAAGAAGTTCCTGAGAATGCTTCTCTCTAGATTTTATATGTAATCCCGTTTCCAACGAAATCCTCAAAGCTATCCAAATATCCACTTTCAGATTCCACAAAAAGAGTGTTTCAAAACTGCTCTGTAAAAAGAAAGGTTCATCTCTGTTAGTTGAATACACACATCACAAACAAGTTTCTGAGAATGCTTCTGTCTAGTTTTTATGGGAAGATATTTCCTTTTTCATCATAGGCCTCAAAGCGCTCCAAATGTCCACTTCCAGGTAGTGCAGAAAGAGTGTCTCAAACCTGGTATATAACAGGGAATATTCTACTCTCTGACTTGAATGCAAACATCACAAAGCAGTTTCTGAGAATGCTTCCTTCTTGATTTTATATGAAGATATTCCCGTTTCCAACGAAACCTTCAAATCTATCCAAGTATCCACCTGCAGATTCTACCAAAAGAGTGTTTCCAAAGTGCTGTATCAAAAAAAAGGTTCAACTCTGTTAGTTGAGGACACACATCGCAAATAAGTATCTGAGAATGCTTCTGTCTAGTTTTTATTTGAAGATATTTCCTTTCTCACCATAGGCCTGAAAGCGCTTGAAATGTCCGCTTGCAGGTAGTATAGAAAGAGTGTTTCAAACATGCTCTATGAAAAGGAAAGTTCAGTTCTGTGACGTGAATGCAAACATCACAAAGAAGTTCCTGAGAATGCTTCTCTCTAGATTTTATATGTAATCCCGTTTCCAACGAAATCCTCAAAGCTATCCAAATATCCACTTTCAGATTCCACAAAAAGAGTGTTTAAAAACTGCTCTGTAAAAAGAAAGGTTCATCTCTGTTAGTTGAATACACACATCACAAACAAGTTTCTGAGAATGCTTCTGTCTAGTTTTTATGGGAAGATATTCCCTTTTTCAACATAGGCCTCAAAGCGCTCCAAATGTCCACTTCCAGGTAGTGCAGAAAGAGTGTTTCAAACCTGCTCTATAAAAGGGAATATTCAACTCTGTGACTTGAATGCAAACATCACAAAGCACTTTACTGAGAATGCTTCCGTCTAGATTTTATATGAAGATATTCCCGTTTCCAACGAAACCTTCAAAGCTATCCGAATATCCACCTGCAGATACTACAAAAAGAGTGTTTCCAAAATGCCGTATCAAAACAAAGGTTCAACTCTGTTAGTTGAGAACACACATGGCAAATATGTTTCTGAGAATGCTTCTGTCTAGTTTTTATTTGAAGATATTTCCTTTCTCACCATAGGCCTGAAAGCGTTTGAAATGTCCGTTTGCAGATACTACAGAAAGAGTGTTTCAAACATGCTCTATGAAAGGGAATGTTCAGTTCTGTGACGTGAATGCAAACATCACAAAGAAGTTCCTGAGAATGCTTCTGTCTAGATTTTATATGAAGATATCCCGTTTCCAAAGAAATCCTCAAAGGTATCCAAATATCTACTTGCAGATTCTACAAAAAGAGTGTTTCAAAACGGCACTGTCAAAAGGAAGGTTCAACTCTGTTACCTGAGTACACACATAACAAGGAAGTTTCTGAGAATGCTTCTGTCTAGTTTTTATGGGAAGATATTTCCTTTTTCATCATAGGCCTCAAAGCGCTGCAAATGTCCACTTCCAGGTAGTGCAGAAAGAGTGTCTCAAACCTGGTATATAACAGGGAACATTCTACTCTGTGACTTGAATGAAAACATCACAAAGCAGTTTCTGAGAAAGCTTCCGTCTAGATTTTATATGAAGATATTCCCGTTTCCAACGAAACCTTCAAAGCTATCCGAATATCCACCTGCAGATTCTACAAAAAGAGTGTTTCCAAAATGCCGTATCAAAACAAAGGTTCAACTCTGTTAGTTGAGAACACACATGGCAAATAAGTTTCTGAGAATGCTTCTGTCTAGTTTTTATTTGAAGATATTTCCTTTCTCACCACAGGCCTGAAAGCGCTTAAAACGTCCGCTTGCAGATACTACAGAAAGAGTGTTTCAAACCTGCTCTATGAAAGGGAATGTTCAGTTCTGTGACTTGAATGCAAACATCACAAAGAAGTTCCTGAGAATGCTTCTCTCTAGATTTTCTATGTAATCCCGTTTCCAACGAAATCCTCAAAGCTATCCAAATATCCACTTTCAGATTCCACAAAAAGAGTGTTTCAAAACTGCTCTGTAAAAAGAAAGGTTCATCTCTGTTAGTTGAATACACACATCACAAACAAGTTTCTGAGAATGCTTCTGTCTAGTTTTTATGGGAAGATATTTCCTTTTTCATCATAGGCCTCAAAGCGCTGCAAATGTCCACTTCCAAATATTACAAAAAGAGTGTTTCAAACCTGCTGTATGAAGGGAAGTGTTCAACTCTATGAGTTGAATGCAAACATCACAGAGAAGTTTCTGAGAATGCTTCTGTCTTGATTTCATATGAAGATATTCCCGTTTCCAACGAAACCTTCAAAGCTATCCAAATATCCACTTGCAGATTCTACAAAAAGAGTGTTTCCAAAATGTTGTATCAAAAGAAAGGTTCAACTCTGTTAGTTGAGGACACACATCGCAAATAAGTTTCTGAGAATGCTTCTGTCTAGTTTTTATTTGAAGATATTTCCTTTCTCACCATAGGCCTGAAAGCGTTTGAAATGTCCGTTTGCAGATACTACAGAAAGAGTGTTTCAAACATGCTCTATGAAAGGGAATGTTCAGTTCTGTGACTTGAATGCAAACATCACAAAGAAGTTCCTGAGAATGCTTCTCCCTAGATTTTATATGTAATCCCGTTTCCAACGAAATCCGCAAAGCTATCCAAATATCCACTTTCAGATTCCACAAAAAGAGTGTTTCAAAACTGCTCGGTAAAAAGAAAGGTTCATCTCTGTTAGTTGAATACACACATCACAAACAAGTTTCTGAGAATGCTTCTGTCTAGTTTTTATGGGAAGATATTACCTTTTTCATCATAGGCCTCAAAGCGCTGCAAATGTCCACTTCCAAATATTACAAAAAGAGTGTTTCAAACCTGCTGTATGAAGGGAAGTGTTCAACTCTATGAGTTGAATGCAAACATCACAGAGAAGTTTCTGAGAATGCTTCTGTCTTGATTTTATATGAAGATATTCCCATTTCCAACGAAACCTTCAAAGCTATTCAAATATCCACTTGCAGATTCTACAAAAAGAGTGTTTCCAAAATGTTGTATCAAAAGAAAGGTTCAACTCTGTTAGTTGAGGACACACATCGCAAATAAGTTTCTGAGAATGCTTCTGTCTAGTTTTTACTTGAAGATATTTCCTTTCTCACCATAGGCCTGAAAGCGCTTGAAACGTCAGCTTGCAGATACTACAGAAAGAGTGTTTCAAACCTGCTCTATGAAAGGGAATGTTCAGTTCTGTGACTTGAATGCAAACATCACAAAGAAGTTCCTGAGAATGCTTCTGTCTAGATATTATATTAAGATATCCCGTGTCCAACGAAATACTCAAAGGTATCAAAATATCCACTTGCAGATTGTACAAAAAGAGTGCTTCAAAACTGCTCTGTCAAAATGAAGGTTCAACTCTGTTACTTGAGTACACACATCACAAGAAAGATTCTGAGAATGCTTCTGTCTAGTTTTTATGGGAAGATATTTCCTTTTTCAACATTGGCCTCAAAGCGCTCCAAACGTCCACTTCCGGGTAGTGCAGAAAGAGTGTCTCAAACCTGGTATATAACAGGGAACATTCAACTCTGTGACTTGAATGAAAACATCACAAAGCAGTTTCTGAGAATGCTTCCGTCTAGATTTTATATGAAGATATTCCCGTTTCCAAGGAAATCTTCCTAGCTATCTAAATATCAACTTGCAGATTCTACTAAAGGAATGTTTCCAAAATGCTGTATCCACACAAAGGTTCAACTCTGTTAATTGAGGACATACAGCACAAAGAAGTTTCTGAGAATGCTTCTGTCTAGTTTTTACTTGAAGATATTTCCTTTCTCACCATAGGCCTGAAAGCGCTTGAAACGTCAGCTTGCAGATACTACAGAAAGAGTGTTTCAAACCTGCTCTATGAAAGGGAATGTTCAGTTCTGTGACTTGAATGCAAACATCACAAAGAAGTTCCTGAGAATGCTTCTCCCTAGATTTTATATGTAATCCCGTTTCCAACGAAATCCGCAAAGCTATCCAAATATCCACTTTCAGATTCCACAAAAAGAGTGTTTCAAAACTGCTCTGTAAAAAGAAAGGTTCATCTCTGTTAGTTGAATACACACATCACAAACAAGTTTCTGAGAATGCTTCTGTCTAGTTTTTATGGGAAGATATTACCTTTTTCATCATAGGCCTCAAATCGCTGCAAATGTCCACTTCCAAATATTACAAAAAGAGTGTTTCAAACCTGCTGTATGAAGGGAAGTGTTCAACTCTATGAGTTGAATGCAAACATCACAGAGAAGTTTCTGAGAATGCTTCCGTCTAGATTTTATATGAAGATATTCCCGTTTCCAACGAAACCTTCAAAGCTATCCGAATATCCACCTGCAGATTCTACAAAAAGAGTGTTTCCAAAATGCCGTATCAAAACAAAGGTTCAACTCTGTTAGTTGAGAACACACATGGCAAATAAGTTTCTGAGAATGCTTCTGTCTAGTTTTTATTTGAAGATATTTCCTTTCTCACCACAGGCCTGAAAGCGCTTAAAACGTCCGCTTGCAGATACTACAGAAAGAGTGTTTCAAACCTGCTCTATGAAAGGGAATGTTCAGTTCTGTGACTTGAATGCAAACATCACAAAGAAGTTCCTGAGAATGCTTCTCTCTAGATTTTATATGTAATCCCGTTTCCAACGAAATCCTCAAAGCTATCCAAATATGCACTTTCAGATTCCACAAAAAGAGTGTTTCAAAACTGCTCTGTAAAAAGAAAGGTTCATCTCTGTTAGTTGAATACACACATCACAACCAAGTTTCTGAGAATGCTTCTGTCTAGTTTTTATGGGAAGATATTTCCTTTTTCATCATAGGCCTCAAAGCGCTCCAAATGTCCACTTCCAGATAGTGCAGAAAGAGTGTCTCAAACCTGGTATATAAAAGAGAACATTCTACTCTGTGACTTGAATGAAAACATCACAAAGCAGTTTCTGAGAATGCTTCCGTCTAGATTTTCTATGAAGATATTCCCGTTTCCAACGAAACCTTCAAAGCTATCCGAATATCCGCCAGCAGATTCTACAAAAAGAGTGTTTCCAAAATGCCGTATCAAAACAAAGGTTCAACTCTGTTAGTTGAGAACACACATGTTAAATAAGTTTCTGAGAATGCTTCTGTCTAGTTCTTATTTGAAGATATTTCCTTTTTCACCACATGCCTGAAATCGCTTGAAACGTCCGCTTGCAGATACTACAGAAAGAGTGTTTCAAACCTGCTCTATGAAAGGGAATGTTCAGTTCTGTGACTTGAATGCAAACATCAGAAAGAAGTTCCTGAGAATGCTTCTCCCTAGATTTTATATGTAATCCCGTTTCCAACGAAATCCTCAAAGCTATCCAATTATCCACTTTCAGATTCCACAAAAAGAGTGTTTCAAACCTGCTCTGTAAAAAGAATGGTTCATCTCTGTTAGTTGAATATACACATCACAAATAAGTTTCTGAGAATGCTTCTGTCTAGTTTTTATGGGAAGACATTTCCTTTTTCATCATAGGCCTCAAAGCGCTGCAAATGTCCACTTCCAAATATTACAAAAAGAGTGTTTCAAACCTGCTGTATGAAGGGAAGTGTTCAACTCTATGAGTTGAATGCAAACATCACAGAGAAGTTTCTGAGAATGCTTCTGTCTTGATTTTATATCAAGATATTCCCGTTTCCAACGAAACCTTCAAAGCTATCCAAATATCCACTTGCAGATTCTACAAAAAGAGTGTTTCCAAAATGTTGTATCCAAACAAAGGTTCAACTCTGTTAGTTGAGAACACACATGGCAAATAAGTTTCTGAGAATGCTTCTGTCTAGTTTTTACTTGAAGATATTTCCTTTCTCACCATAGGCCTGAAAGCGCTTGAAACGTCAGCTTGCAGATACTACAGAAAGACTGTTTCAAACCTGCTCTATGAAAGGGAATGTTCAGTTCTGTGACTTGAATGCAAACATCACAAAGAAGTTCCTGAGAATGCTTCTCCCTAGATTTTATATGTAATCCCGTTTCCAACGAAATCCGCAAAGCTATCCAAATATCCACTTTCAGATTCCACAAAAAGAGTGTTTCAAAACTGCTCTGTAAAAAGAAAGGTTCATCTCTGTTAGTTGAATACACACATCACAAACAAGTTTCTGAGAATGCTTCTGTCTAGTTTTTATGGGAAGATATTTCCTTTTTCATCATAGGCCTCAAAGCGCTGCAAATGTCCACTTCCAGGTAGTGCAGAAAGAGTGTCTGAAACCTGGTATATAACAGGGAAGATTCTACTCTGTGACTTGAATGAAAACATCACAAAGCAGTTTCTGAGAATGCTTCCGTCTAGATTTTATATGAAGATATTCCCGTTTCCAACGAAACCTTCAAAGCTATCCGAATATCCACCTGCAGATTCTACAAAAAGACTGTTTCCAAAATGCCGTATCAAAACAAAGGTTCAACTCTGTTAGTTGAGAACACGCATGGCAAATAAGTTTCTGAGAATGCTTCTGTCTAGTTTTTACTTGAAGATATTTCCTTTCTCACCACAGGCCTGAAAGCGCTTAAAACGTCCGCTTGCAGATACTACAGAAAGAGTGTTTCAAACCTGCTCTATGAAAGGGAATGTTCAGTTCTGTGACTTGAATGCAAACATCACAAAGAAGTTCCTGAGAATGCTTCTCTCTAGGTTTTATATGTAATCCCGTTTCCAACGAAATCCTCAAAGCTATCCAAATATCCACTTTCAGATTCCACAAAAAGAGTGTTTCAAAACTGCTCTGTAAAAAGAAAGGTTCATCTCTGTTAGTTGAATACACACATCACAAACAAGTTTCTGAGAATGCTTCTGTCTAGTTTTTATGGGAAGATATTTCCTTTTTCAACATAGGCCTCAAAGCGCTCCAAATGTCCACTTCCAGGTAGTGCAGAAAGAGTGTTTCAAACCTGCTCTATAAAAGGGAATATTCAACTCTGTGACTTGAATGCAAACATCACAAAGCACTTTCTGAGAATGCTTCCGTCTAGATTTTATATGAAGATATTCCCGTTTCCAACGAAACCTTCAAAGCTATCCGAATATCCACCTGCAGATTCTACAAAAAGAGTGTTTCCAAAATGCCATATCAAAACAAAGGTTCAACTCTGTTAGTTGAGAACACACATCGCAAATAAGTTTCTGAGAATGCTTCTGTCTAGTTTTTACTTGAAGATATTTCCTTTCTCACCATAGGCCTGAAAGCGCTTGAAACGTCAGCTTGCAGATACTACAGAAAGAGTGTTTCAAACCTGCTCTATGAAAGGGAATGTTGAGTTCTGTGACTTGAATGCAAACATCACAAAGAAGTTACCTGAGAATGCTTTCTGTCTAGATTTTATATGAAGATATCCCGTTTCCAAAGAAATCCTCAAAGGTATCCAAATATCTACTTCCAGATTCTACAAAAAGACTGTTTCAAAACGGCTCTGTCAAAAGTAAGGTTCAACTCTGTTACTTGAGTACACACATCACAAGGAAGTTTCTGAGAATGCTTCTGTCTAGTTTTTATGGGAAGATATTTCCTTTTTCAACATAGGCCTCAAAGCGCTCCAAATGTCCACTTCCAGGTAGTGCAGAAAGAGTGTTTCAAACCTGCTCTATAAAACGGAATATTCAACTCTGTGACCTGAATGCAAACATCACAAAGCACTTTCTGAGAATGCTTCCGTCAAGGTTTTATATGAAGATATTCCCGTTTCCAACGAAACCTTCAAAGCTATCCGAATATCCACCTGCAGATTCTACAAAAAGAGTGTTTCCAAAATGCCGTATCAAAACAAAGGTTCAACTCTGTTAGTTGAGAACACACATGGCAAATAAGTTTCTGAGAATGCTTTCTGTCTAGTTTTTATGTGAAGATATTTCCTTTTTCACCACAGGCCTGAAAGCGCTTCAAACGTCCGCTTGCAGATACTACAGAAAGAGTGTTTCAAACCTGCTCTATGAAAGGGAATGTTCAGTTCTGTGACTTGAATGCAAACATCACAAAGAAGTTCCTGAGAATGCTTCTCTCTAGATTTTATATGTAATCCCGTTTCCAACGAAATCCTCAAAGCTATCCAAATATCCACTTTCAGATTCCACAAAAAGAGTGTTTCAAAACTGCTCTGTAAAAAGAAAGGTTCATCTCTGTTAGTTGAATACACACATCACAAACAAGTTTCTGAGAATGCTTCTGTCTAGTTTTTATGGGAAGATATTTCCTTTTTCATCATAGGCCTCAAAGCGCTGCAAATGTCCACTTCCAAATATTACAAAAAGAGTGTTTCAAACCTGCTGTATGAAGGGAAGTGTTCAACTCTATGAGTTGAATGCAAACATCACAGAGAAGTTTCTGAGAATGCTTCTTTCTTGATTTTATATGAAGATATTTCCGTTTCCAACAAAATCTTCAAAGCTATCCAAATATCCACCCGCAGATTCTACAAAAACAGTGTTTCCAAAATGCTGTATCAAAACAAAGGTTCAACTCTGTTAGTTGGGGACACACATCACTAATAAGTTTCTGAGAATGTTTATGTCCAGTTTTTATTTGAAGATATTTCCTTTCTCACCATAGGCCTGAAAGCGCTTGAAATGTCCACTTGCAGATACTACAGAAAGAGTGTTTCAAACCTGCTCTATGAAAGGGAATGTTCAATTCTGTGACTTGAATTCAAACATCACAAAGAAGTTCCTGAGAATGCTTCTCTCTAGAGTTTATATGTAATCCCGTTTCCAACGAAATCCTCAAAGCTATCCAAATATCCACTCTCAGATTCCACAAAAAGAGTGTTTCAAAATTGCTCTGTAAAAAGAAAGTTCAACTCAGTTGAATACACACATCACAAACAAGTTTCTGAGAATGCTTCTGTCTGGTTTTTAGGAGAAGATATTTCCTTTTTCAACATAGGCCTCAAAGCGCTCCAAATGTCCACTTCCAGATAGTGCAGAAAGAGTGTCTCAAACCTGGTATATAAAAGGGAACATTCTTCTCTGTGACTTGAATGAAAACATCACAAAGCAGTTTCTGAGAATGCTTCCGTCTAGATTTTATATGAAGATATTCCCGTTTCCAAGGAAATCTTCCTAGCTATCTAAATATCAACTTGCAGATTCTACTAAAGGAATGTTTCCAAAATGCTGTATCCACACAAAGGTTCAACTCTGTTAATTGAGGACATACAGCACAAAGAAGTTTCTGAGAATGCTTCTGTCTAGTTTTTATTTGAAGATATTTCCTTTCTCACCATAGGCCTGAAAGCGTTTGAAATGTCCGTTTGCAGATACTACAGAAAGAGTGTTTCAAACATGCTCTATGAAAGGGAATGTTCAGTTCTGTGACGTGAATGCAAACATCACAAAGAAGTTCCTGAGAATGCTTCTCTCTAGGTTTTATATGTAATCCCGTTTCCAACGAAATCCTCAAAGCTATCCAAATATCCACTTTCAGATTCCACAAAAAGAGTGTTTCAAAACTGCTCTGTAAAAAGAAAGGTTCATCTCTGTTAGTTGAATACACACATCACAAACAAGTTTCTGAGAATGCTTCTGTCTAGTTTCTATGGGAAGATATTTCCTTTTTCAACATAGGCCTCAAAGCGCTCCAAATGTCCACTTCCAGGTAGTGCACAGAGTGTTTCAAACCTGCTCTATAAAAGGTAACATTCTACTCTGTGACTTGAATGAAGACATCACAAAGCAGTTTCTGAGAATGCTTCCGTCTAGATTTTATATGAAGATATTCCCGTTTCCAACGAAACCTTCAAAGCTATCCGAATATCCACCTGCAGATTCTACAAAAAGAGGGTTTCCAAAATGCCATATCAAAACAAAGGTTCAACTCTGTTAGTTGAGAACACACATGGCAAATAAGTTTCTGAGAATGCTTCTGTCTAGTTTTTACTTGAAGATATTTCCTTTCTCACCATAGGCCTGAAAGCGCTTGAAACGTCAGCTTGCAGATACTACAGAAAGAGTGTTTCAAACCTGCTCTATGAAAGGGAATGTTCAGTTCTGTGACTTGAATGCAAACATCACAAAGAAGTTCCTGAGAATGCTTCTCTCTAGATTTTATATGTAATCCCGTTTCCAACGAAATCCTCAAAGCTATCCAAATATCCACTTTCAGATTCCACAAAAAGAGTGTTTCAAAACTGCTCTGTAAAAAGAAAGGTTCATCTCTGTTAGTTGAATACACACATCACAAACAAGTTTCTGAGAATGCTTCTGTCTAGTTTTTATGGGAAGATATTTCCTTTTTCAACATAGGCCTCAAAGCGCTCCAAATGTCCACTTCCAGGTAGTGCAGAAAGAGTGTTTCAAACCTGCTCTATAAAAGGGAATATTCAACTCTGTGACTTGAATGCAAACATCACAAAGCACTTTCTGAGAATGCTTCCGTCTAGATTTTATATGAAGATATTCCCGTTTCCAACGAAACCTTCAAAGCTATCCGAATATCCACCTGCAGATTCTACAAAAAGAGTGTTTCCAAAATGTCATATCAAAACAAAGGTTCAACTCTGTTAGTTGAGAACACACATCGCAAATAAGTTTCTGAGAATGCTTCTGTCTAGTTTTTACTTGAAGATATTTCCTTTCTCACCATAGGCCTGAAAGCGCTTGAAACGTCAGCTTGCAGATACTACAGAAAGAGTGTTTCAAACCTGCTCTATGAAAGGGAATGTTCAGTTCTGTGACTTGAATGCAAACATCACAAAGAAGTTCCTGAGAATGCTTCTCTCTAGGTTTTATATGTAATCCCGTTTCCAAGGAAATCCTCAAAGCTATCCAAATATCCACTTTCAGATTCCACAAAAAGAGTGTTTCAAAACTGCTCTGTAAAAAGAAAGGTTCATCTCTGTTAGTTGAATACACACATCACAAACAAGTTTCTGAGAATGCTTCTGTCTAGTTTTTATGGGAAGATATTTCCTTTTTCATCATAGGCCTCAAAGCGCTGCAAATGTCCACTTCCAGGTAGTGCAGAAAGAGTGTCTCAAACCTGGTATATAACAGGGAACATTCTACTCTGTGACTTGAATGAAAACATCACAAAGCAGTTTCTGAGAATGCTTCTGTGTTGATTTTATATGAAGATATTTCCGTTTCCAACGAAACCTTCAAAGCTATCCAAATATCCACTTGCAGATTCTACAAAAAGAGTGGTTCCAAAATGTTGTATCAAAAGAAAGGTTCAACTCTGTTAGTTGAGGACACACATCGCAAATAAGTTTCTGAGAATGCTTCTGTCTAGTTTTTATTTGAAGATATTTCCTTTCTCACCACAGGCCTGAAAGCGCTTAAAACGTCCGCTTGCAGATACTACAGAAAGAGTGTTTCAAACCTGCTCTATGAAAGGGAATGTTCAGTTCTGTGACTTGAATGCAAACATCACAAAGAAGTTCCTGAGAATGCTTCTCTCTAGATTTTATATGTAATCCCGTTTCCAACGAAATCCTCAAAGCTATCCAAATATCCACTTTCAGATTCCACAAAAAGAGTGTTTCAAAACTGCTCTGTAAAAAGAAAGGTTCATCTCTGTTAGTTGAATACACACATCACAAACAAGTTTCTGAGAATGCTTCTGTCTAGTTTTTATGGGAAGATATTTCCTTTTTCATCATAGGCCTCAAAGCGCTCCAAATGTCCACTTCCAGATAGTGCAGAAAGAGTGTCTCAAACCTGGTATATAAAAGGGAACATTCTACTCTGTGACTTGAATGAAAACATCACAAAGCAGTTTCTGAGAATGCTTCCGTCTAGATTTTATATGAAGATATTCCCGTTTCCAACGAAACCTTCAAAGCTATCCGAATATGCGCCTGCAGATTCTACAAAAAGAGTGTTTCCAAAATGCCGTATCAAAACAAAGGTTCAACTCTGTTAGTTGAGAAAACACATGGCAAATAAGTTTCTGAGAATGCTTCTGTCTAGTTTTTACTTGAAGATATTTCCTTTCTCACCATAGGCCTGAAAGCGCTTGAAACGTCAGCTTGCAGATACTACAGAAAGACTGTTTCAAACCTGCTCTATGAAAGGGAATGTTCAGTTCTGTGACTTGAATGCAAACATCACAAAGAAGTTCCTGAGAATGCTTCTCTCTAGATTTTATATGTAATCCCGTTTCCAACGAATTCCTCAAAGCTATCCAAATATCCACTTTCAGATTCCACAAAAAGAGTGTTTCAAAACTGCTCTGTAAAAAGAAAGGTTCATCTCTGTTAGTTGAATACACACATCAAAAACAAGTTTCTGAGAATGCTTCTGTCTAGTTTTTATGGGAAGATATTTCCTTTTTCAACAAAGGCCTCAAAGCGCTCCAAACGTCCACTTCCAGGTAGTGCAGAAAGAGTGTCTCAAACCTGGTATATAACAGGGAACATTCTACTCTGTGACTTGAATGAAAACATCACAAAGCAGTTTCTGAGAATGCTTCCGTCTAGATTTTATATGAAGATATTCCCGTTTCCAACGAAACCTTCAAAGCTATCCGAATATCCACCTGCAGATTCTACAAAAAGAGTGTTTCCAAAATGCCGTATCAAAACAAAGGTTCAACTCTGTTAGTTGAGAACACACATGGCAAATAAGTTTCTGACAATGCTTCTGTCTAGTTTTTACTTGAAGATATTTCCTTTCTCACCATAGGCCTGAAAGCGCTTGAAACGTCAGCTTGCAGATACTACAGAAAGAGTGTTTCAAACCTGCTCTATGAAAGGGAATGTTCAGTCCTGTGACTTGAAGGCAAACATCACAAAGAAGTTCCTGAGAATGCTTCTGTCTAGATTTTATATGAAGATATCTCGTTTCCAAAGAAATCCTCAAATGTATCCAAATATCTACTTCCAGATTCTACAAAAAGAGTGTTTCAAAACTGCGCTGTAAGAAGAAAGGTTCATCTCTGTTAGTTGAATACACACATCACAAACAAGTTTCTGAGAATGCTTCTGTCTAGTTTTTATGGGAAGATATTACCTTTTTCATCATAGGCCTCAAGCGCTGCAAATGTCCACTTCCAAATATTACAAAAAGAGTGTTTCAAACCTGCTGTATGAAGGGAAGTGTTCAACTCTATGAGTTGAATGCAAACATCACAGAGAAGTTTCTGAGAATGCTTCTGTCTTGATTTTATATGAAGATATTCCCGTTTCCAACGAAACCTTCAAAGCTATTCAAATATCCACTTGCAGATTCTACAAAAAGAGTGTTTCCAAAATGTTGTATCAAAAGAAAGGTTCAACTCTGTTAGTTGAGGACACACATCGCAAATAAGTTTCTGAGAATGCTTCTGTCTAGTTTTTATTTGAAGATATTTCCTTTCTCACCATAGGCCTGAAAGCGTTTGAAATGTCCGTTTGCAGATACTACAGAAAGAGTGTTTCAAATATGCTCTATGAAAGGGAATGTTCAGTTCTGTGACGTGAATGCAAACATCACAAAGAAGTTCCTGAGAATGCTTCTGTCTAGATTTTATATGAAGATATCCCGTTTCCAAAGAAATCCTCAAAGGTATCCAAATATCTACTTCCAGATTCTACAAAAAGACTGTTTCAAAACGGCTCTGTCAAAAGGAAGGTTCAACTCTGTTAGTTGAGTACACACATCACAAGGAAGTTTCTGAGAATGCTTCTGTCTAGTTTTTATGGGAAGATATTTCCTTTTTCAACATAGGCCTCAAAGCGCTCCAAATGTCCACTTCCAGGTAGTGCAGAAAGAGTGTTTCAAACCTGCTCTATAAAAGGGAATATTCAACTCTGTGACTTGAATGCAAACATCACAAAGCACTTTCTGAGAATGCTTCTGTCTTGATTTCATATGAAGATATTCCCGTTTCCAACGAAACCTTCAAAGCTATCCAAATATCCACTTGCAGATTCTACAAAAAGAGTGTTTCCAAAATGTTGTATCAAAAGAAAGGTTCAACTCTGTTAGTTGAGGACACACATCGCAAATAAGTTTCTGAGAATGCTTCTGTCTAGTTTTTATTTGAAGATATTTCCTTTCTCACCACAGGCCTGAAAGCGCTTAAAACGTCCGCTTGCAGATACTACAGAAAGAGTGTTTCAAACCTGATCTATGAAAGGGAATGTTCAGTTCTGTGACTTGAATGCAAACATCACAAAGAAGTTCCTGAGAATGCTTCTCTCTAGGTTTTATATGTAATCCCGTTTCCAACGAAATCCTCAAAGCTATCCAAATATCCACTTTCAGATTCCACAAAAAGAGTGTTTCAAAACTGCTCTGTAAAAAGAAAGGTTCATCTCTGTTAGTTGAATACACACATCACAAACAAGTTTCTGAGAATGCTTCTGTCTAGTTTTTATGGGAAGATATTTCCTTTTTCAACATAGGCCTCAAAGCGCTCCAAACGTCCACTTCCAGGTAGTGCAGAAAGAGTGTCTCAAACCTGGTATATAACAGGGAACATTCTACTCTGTGACTTGAATGAAAACATCACAAAGCAGTTTCTGAGAATGCTTCCGTCTAGATTTTATATGAAGATATTCCCGTTTCCAAGGAAATCTTCCTAGCTATCTAAATATCAACTTGCAGATTCTACTAAAGGAATGTTTCCAAAATGCTGTATCCACACAAAGGTTCAACTCTGTTAATTGAGGACATACAGCACAAAGAAGTTTCTGAGAATGCTTCTGTCTAGTTTTTATTTGAAGATATTTCCTTTCTCACCATAGGCCTGAAAGCGTTTGAAATGTCCGTTTGCAGATACTACAGAAAGAGTGTTTCAAACATGCTCTATGAAAGGGAATGTTCAGTTCTGTGACGTGAATGCAAACATCACAAAGAAGTTCCTGAGAATGCTTCTCTCTAGGTTTTATATGTAATCCCGTTTCCAACGAAATCCTCAAAGCTATCCAAATATCCACTTTCAGATTCCACAAAAAGAGTGTTTCAAAACTGCTCTGTAAAAAGAAAGGTTCATCTCTGTTAGTTGAATACACACATCACAAACAAGTTTCTGAGAATGCTTCTGTCTAGTTTTTATGGGAAGATATTTCCTTTTTCATCATAGGCCTCAAAGCGCTCCAAATGTCCACTTCCAGGTAGTGCAGAAAGAGTGTCTCAAACCTGGTATATAAAAGGGAACATTCTACTCTGTGACTTGAATGAAAACATCACAAAGCAGTTTACTGAGAATGCTTCCGTCTAGATTTTATATGAAGATATTCCCGTTTCCAACGAAACCTTCAAAGCTATCCGAATATCCACCTGCAGATTCTACAAAAAGAGTGTTTCCAAAATGCCATATCAAAACAAAGGTTCAACTCTGTTAGTTGAGAACACACATCGCAAATAAGTTTCTGAGAATGCTTCTGTCTAGTTTTTACTTGAAGATATTTCCTTTCTCACCATAGGCCTGAAAGCGCTTGAAACGTCAGCTTGCAGATACTACAGAAAGAGTGTTTCAAACCTGCTCTATGAAAGGGAATGTTCAGTCCTGTGACTTGAATGAAAACATCACAAAGAAGTTCCTGAGAATGCTTCTCTCTAGGTTTTATATGTAATCCCGTTTCCAACGAAATCCTCAAAGCTATCCAAATATCCACTTTCAGATTCCACAAAAAGAGTGTTTCAAAACTGCTCTGTAAAAAGTAAGGTTCATCTCTGTTAGTTGAATACACACATCACAAACAAGTTTCTGAGAATGCTTCTGTCTAGTTTTTATGGGAAGATATTTCCTTTTTCAACATAGGCCTCAAAGCGCTCCAAATGTCCACTTCCAGGTAGTGCAGAAAGAGTGTTTCAAACCTGCTCTATAAAAGGGAACATTCAACTCTGTGACTTGAATGCAAACATCACAAAGCACTTTCTGAGAATGCTTCTGTCTTGATTTTATATGAAGATATTCCCGTTTCCAACGAAACCTTCAAAGCTATTCAAATATCCACTTGCAGATTCTACATAAAGAGTGTTTCCAAAATGTTGTATCAAAAGAAAGGTTCAACTCTCTTAGTTGAGGACACACATCGCAAATAAGTTTCTGAGAATGCTTCTGTCTTAGTTTTTACTTGAAGATATTTCCTTTCTCACCATAGGCCTGAAAGCGTTTGAAATGTCCGTTTGCAGATACTACAGAAAGAGTGTTTCAAACATGCTCTATGAAAGGGAATGTTCAGTTCTGTGACGTGAATGCAAACATCACAAAGAAGTTCCTGAGAATGCTTCTCTCTAGGTTTTATATGTAATCCCGTTTCCAACGAAATCCTCAAAGCTATCCAAATATCCAATTTCAGATTCCACAAAAAGAGTGTTTCAAAACTGCTCTGTAAAAAGAAAGGTTCATCTCTGTTAGTTGAATACACACATCACAAACAAGTTTCTGAGAATGCTTCTGTCTAGTTTTTATGGGAAGATATTGCCTTTTTCAACATAGGCCTCAAAGCGCTCCAAATGTCCACTTCCAGGTAGTGCAGAAAGAGTGTTTCAAACCTGCTCTATAAAAGGGAATATTCAACTCTGTGACTTGAATGCAAACATCACAAAGCACTTTACTGAGAATGCTTCTGTCTTGATTTCATATGAAGATATTCCCGTTTCCAACGAAACCTTCAAAGCTATCCAAGTATCCACTTGCAGATTCTACAAAAAGAGTGTTTCCAAAATGTTGTATCAAAAGAAAGGTTCAACTCTGTTAGTTGAGGACACACATCGCAAATAAGTCTCTGAGAATGCTTCTGTCTAGTTTTCATTTGAAGATATTTCCTTTTTCACCACAGGCCTGAAAGCGCTTCAAACGTCCGCTTGCAGATACTACAGAAAGAGTGTTTCAAACATGCTCTATGAAAGGGAATGTTCAGTTCTGTGACTTGAATGCAAACATCACAAAGAAGTTCCTGAGAATGCTTCTCTCTAGATTTTATATGTAATCCCGTTTCCAACGAAATCCTCAAAGCTAACCAAATATCCACTTTCAGATTCCACAAAAAGAGTGTTTCAAAACTGCTCTGTAAAAAGAAAGGTTCATCTCTGTTAGTTGAATACACACATCACAAACAAGTTTCTGAGAATGCTTCTGTCTAGTTTTTATGGGAAGATATTTCCTTTTTCAACATAGGCCTCAAAGCGCTCCAAATGTGCACTTCCAGGTAGTGCAGAAAGTGTGTCTCAAACCTGGTATATAACAGGGAACATTCTACTCTGTGACTTGAATGAAAACATCACAAAGCAGTTTCTGAGAATGCTTCTGTCTTGATTTCATATGAAGATATTCCCGTTTCCAACGAAACCTTCAAAGCTATCCAAATATCCACTTGCAGATTCTACAAAAAGAGTGTTTCCAAAATGTTGTATCAAAAGAAAGGTTCAACTCTGTTAGTTGAGGACACACATCGCAAATAAGTTTCTGAGAATGCTTCTGTCTAGTTTTTACTTGAAGATATTTCCTTTCTCACCATAGGCCTGAAAGCGCTTGAAACGTCAGCTTGCAGATACTACAGAAAGAGTGTTTCAAACCTGCTCTATGAAAGGGAATGCTCAGTTCTGTGACTTGAATGCAAACATCACAAAGAAGTTCCTGAGAATGCTTCTCTCTAGATTTTATATGTAATCCCGTTTCCAACGAAATCCTCAAAGCTATCCAAATATCCACTTTCAGATTCCACAAAAAGAGTGTTTCAAAACTGCTCTGTAAAAAGAAAGGTTCATCTCTGTTAGTTGAATACACACATCAAAAACAAGTTTCGGAGAATGCTTCTGTCTAGTTTTTATGGGAAGATATTTCCTTTTTCATCATAGGCCTCAAAGCGCTCCAAATGTCCACTTCCAGATAGTGCAGAAAGAGTGTCTCAAACCTGGTATATAAAAGGGAACATTCTACTCTGTGACTTGAATGAAAACGTCACAAAGCAGTTTCTGAGAATGCTTCCGTCTAGATTTTATATGAAGATATTCCCGTTTCCAACGAAACCTTCAAAGCTATCCGAATATCCACCTGCAGATTCTACAAAAAGAGTGTTTCCAAAATGCCGTATCAAAACAAAGGTTCAACTCTGTTAGTTGAGAACACACATGGGAAATAAGTTTCTGAGAATGCTTCTGTCTAGTTTTTATTTGAAGATATTTCCTCTTTCACCACAGGCCTGAAAGCGCTAGAAACGTCCGCTTGCAGATACTACAGAAAGAGTGTTTCAAACCTGCTCTATGAAAGGGAATGTTCAGTTCTGTGACTTGAATGCAAACATCACAGAGGAGTTCCTGAGAATGCTTATCCCTAGATTTTATATGTAATCCCGTTTCCAACGAAATCCTCAAAGCTATCCAAATATCCACTTTCAGATTCCACAAAAAGAGTGTTTCAAAACTGCTCTGTAAAAAGAAAGGTTCATCTCTGTTAGTTGAATACACACATCACAAACAAGTTTCTGAGAATGCTTCTGTCTAGTTTTTATGGGAAGATATTTCCTTTTTCAACATAGGCCTCAAAGCGCTCCAAATGTCCACTTCCAGGTAGTGCAGAAAGAGTGTTTCAAACCTGCTCTATAAAAGGGAATATTCAACTCTGTGACTTGAATGCAAACATCACAAAGCACTTTCTGAGAATGCTTCCGTCTAGATTTTATATGAAGATATTCCCGTTTCCAACGAAACCTTCAAAGCTATCCGAATATCCACCTGCAGATTCTACAAAAAGAGTGTTTCCAAAATGCCATATCAAAACAAAGGTTCAACTCTGTTAGTTGAGAACACACATCGCAAATAAGTTTCTGAGAATGCTTCTGTCTGGTATTTAGGAGAAGATATCTCCTTTTTCACCATAAGCTTCAAAGCGCTGCCAATGTCCACTTCCAAATATTACAAAAAGAGTATTTCAAACCAGCTCTATGAAAGGAATTGTTCAACTCTATGAGTTGAATGCAAACATCACAAAGAAGTTTCTGAGAATGCTTCTGTCTTGATTTTATATGAAGATATTCCCGTTTCCAACGAAACCTTCAAAGCTATCCAAATATCCACCCGCAGATTCTACAAAAAGAGTGTTTCCAAAATGCTGTATCAAAACAAAGGTTCAACTCTGTTAGTTGAGAACACACATCGCAAATAAGTTTCTGAGAATGCTTCTGTCTAGTTTTTACTTGAAGATATTTCCTTTCTCACCATAGGCCTGAAAGCGCTTGAAACGTCCGCTTGCAGATACTACAGAAAGAGTGTTTCAAACATGCTCTATGACAGGGAATGTTAAGTTCTGTGACTTGAATGCAAACATCACAAAGAAGTTCCTGAGAATGCTTCTCTCTAGGTTTTATATGTAATCCCGTTTCCAACGAAATCCTCAAAGCTATCCAAATATCCACTTTCAGATTCCACAAAAAGAGTGTTTCAAAACTGCTCTGTAAAAAGAAAGGTTCATCTCTGTTAGTTGAATACACACATCACAAACAAGTTTCTGAGAATGCTTCTGTCTAGTTTTTATGGGAAGATATTACCTTTTTCATCATAGGCCTCAAAGCGCTGCAAATGTCCACTTCCAAATATTACAAAAAGAGTGTTTCAAACCTGCTGTATGAAGGGAAGTGTTCAACTCTATGAGTTGAATGCAAACATCACAGAGAAGTTTCTGAGAATGCTTCCGTCTAGATTTTATATGAAGATATTCCCGTTTCCAACGAAACCTTCAAAGCTATCCGAATATCCACCTGCAGATTCTACAAAAAGAGTGTTTCCAAAATGCCGTATCAAAACAAAGGTTCAACTCTGTTAGTTGAGAACACACATGGCAAATAAGTTTCTGAGAATGCTTCTGTCTAGTTTTTACTTGAAGATATTTCCTTTCTCACCATAGGCCTGAAAGCGCTTGAAACGTCCGCTTGCAGATACTACAGAAAGAGTGTTTCAAACATGCTCTATGAAAGGAAATGTTCAGTTTTGTGTCTTGAATGCAAACATCACAAAGAAGTTCCTGAGAATGCTTCTCTCTAGATTTTATATGTAATCCCGTTTCCAACGAAATCCTCAAAGCTATCCACATATCCACTTTCAGATTCCACAAAAAGAGTGTTTCAAAACTGCTCTGTAAAAAGAAAGGTTCATCTCTGTTAGTTGAATACACACATCACAAACAAGTTTCTGAGAATGCTTCTGTCTAGTTTTTATGGGAAGATATTTCCTTTTTCAACATAGGCCTCAAAGCGCTCCAAATGTCCACTTCCAGGTAGTGCAGAAAGAGTGTTTCAAACATGCTCTATAAAAGGGAATATTCAACTCTGTGACTTGAATGCAAACATCACAAAGCACTTTTCTGAGAATGCTTCTGTCTTGATTTTATATGAAGATATTCCCGTTTCCAAAGAAACCTTCAAAGCTATCCAAATATCCACTTGCAGATTCTACAAAAAGAGTGTTTCCAAAATGTTGTATCAAAAGAAAGGTTCAACTCTGTTAGTTGAGGAAACACATCGCAAACAAGTTTCTGAGAATGCTTCTGTCTAGTTTTTACTTGAAGATATTTCCTTTCTCACCATAGGCCTGAAAGCGCTTGAAACGTCAGCTTGCAGATACTACAGAAAGAGTGTTTCAAACCTGCTCTATGAAAGGGAATGTTCAGTCCTGTGACTTGAAGGCAAACATCACAAAGAAGTTCCTGAGAATGCTTCTCTCTAGGTTTTATATGTAATCCCGTTTCCAACGAAATCCTCAAAGCTATCCAAATATCCACTTTCAGATTCCACAAAAAGAGTGTTTCAAAACTGCTCTGTAAAAAGAAAGGTTCATCTCTGTTAGTTGAATACACACATCACAAACAAGTTTCTGAGAATGCTTCTGTCTAGTTTTTATGGGAAGATATTTCCTTTTTCAACATAGGCCTCAAAGCGCTCCAAATGTCCACTTCCAGGTAGTGCAGAAAGAGTGTTTCAAACCTGCTCTATAAAAGGGAATATTCAACTCTGTGACTTGAATGCAAACATCACAAAGTACTTTCTGAGAATGCTTCCGTCTAGATTTTATATGAAGATATTCCCGTTTCCAACGAAACCTTCAAAGCTATCCGAATATCCACCTGCAGATTCTACAAAAAGAGTGTTTCCAAAATGCCGTATCAAAACAAAGGTTCAACTCTGTTAGTTGAGAACACACATGGCAAATAAGTTTCTGAGAATGCTTCTGTCTAGTTTTTACTTGAAGATATTTCCTTTCTCACCATAGGCCTGAAAGCGCTTGAAACGTCAGCTTGCAGATACTACAGAAGGAGTGTTTCAAACCTGCTCTATGAAAGGGAATGTTCAGTCCTGTGACTTGAAGGCAAACATCACAAAGAAGTTCCTGAGAATGCTTCTCTCTAGATTTTATATGTAATCCCGTTTCCAACGAAATCCTCAAAGCTATCCAAATATCCACTTTCAGATTCCACAAAAAGAGTGTTTCAAAACTGCTCTGTAAAAAGAAAGGTTCATCTCTGTTAGTTGAATACACACATCACAAACAAGTTTCTGAGAATGCTTCTGTCTAGTTTTTATGGGAAGATATTTCCTTTTTCATCATAGGCCTCAAAGCGCTGCAAATGTCCACTTCCAAATATTACAAAAAGAGTGTTTCAAACCTGCTGTATGAAGGGAAGTGTTCAACTCTATGAGTTGAATGCAAACATCACAGAGAAGTTTCTGAGAATGCTTCTGTCTTGATTTTATATGAAGATATTCCCGTTTCCAACGAAACCTTCAAAGCTATCCAAATATCCACTTGCAGATTCTACAAAAAGAGTGGTTCCAAAATGTTGTATCAAAAGAAAGGTTCAACTCTGTTAGTTGAGGACACACATCGCAAATAAGTTTCTGAGAATGCTTCTGTCTAGTTTTTATTTGAAGATATTTCCTTTTTCACCACAGGCCTGAAAGCGCTTGAAACGTCCACTTGCAGATACTACAGAAAGAGTGTTTCAAACCTGCTCTATGAAAGGGAATGTTCAGTTCTGTGACTTGAATGCAAACATCACAAAGAAGTTCCTGAGAATGCTTCTCCCTAGATTTTATATGTAATCCCGTTTCCAACGAAATCCGCAAAGCTATCCAAATATCCACTTTCAGATTCCACAAAAAGAGTGTTTCAAAACTGCTCTGTAAAAAGAAAGGTTCATCTCTGTTAGTTGAATACACACATCACAAACAAGTTTCTGAGAATGCTTCTGTCTAGTTTTTATGGGAAGATATTACCTTTTTCATCATAGGCCTCAAAGCGCTGCAAATGTCCACTTCCAAATATTACAAAAAGAGTGTTTCAAACCTGCTGTATGAAGGGAAGTGTTCAACTCTATGAGTTGAATGCAAACATCACAGAGAAGTTTCTGAGAATGCTTCCGTCTAGATTTTATATGAAGATATTCCCGTTTCCAACGAAACCTTCAAAGCTATCCGAATATCCACCTGCAGATTCTACAAAAAGAGTGTTTCCAAAATGCCATATCAAAACAAAGGTTCAACTCTGTTAGTTGAGAACACACATCGCAAATAAGTTTCTGAGAATGCTTCTGTCTAGTTTTTATTTGAAGATATTTCCTTTCTCACCATAGGCCTGAAAGCGTTTGAAATGTCCGTTTGCAGATACTACAGAAAGAGTGTTTCAAACATGCTCTATGAAAGGGAATGTTCAGTTCTGTGACGTGAATGCAAACATCACAAAGAAGTTCCTGAGAATGCTTCTCTCTAGATTTTATATGTAATCCCGTTTCCAACGAAATCCTCAAAGCTATCCAAATATCCACTTTCAGATTCCACAAAAAGAGTGTTTCAAAACTGCTCTGTAAAAAGAAAGGTTCATCTCTGTTAGTTGAATACACACATCACAAACAAGTTTCTGAGAATGCTTCTGTCTAGTTTTTATGGGAAGATATTTCCTTTTTCATCATAGGCCTCAAAGCGCTGCAAATGTCCACTTCCAGGTAGTGCAGAAAGAGTGTCTCAAACCTGGTATATAACAGGGAACATTCTACTCTGTGACTTGAATGAAAACATCACAAAGCAGTTTACTGAGAATGCTTCCGTCTAGATTTTATATGAAGATATTCCCGTTTCCAACGAAACCTTCAAAGCTATCCGAATATCCACCTGCAGATACTACAAAAAGAGTGTTTCCAAAATGCCGTATCAAAACAAAGGTTCAACTCTGTTAGTTGAGAACACACATGGCAAATATGTTTCTGAGAATGCTTCTGTCTAGTTTTTATTTGAAGATATTTCCTTTCTCACCACAGGCCTGCAAGCGCTTAAAACGTCCGCTTGCAGATACTACAGAAAGAGTGTTTCAAACCTGCTCTATGAAAGGGAATGTTCAGTTCTGTGACTTGAATGCAAACATCACAAAGAAGTTCCTGAGAATGCTTCTCTCTAGATTTTATATGTAATCCCGTTTCCAACGAAATCCTCAAAGCTATCCAAATATCCACTTTCAGATTCCACAAAAAGAGTGTTTCAAAACTGCTCTGTAAAAAGAAAGGTTCATCTCTGTTAGTTGAATACACACATCACAAACAAGTTTCTGAGAATGCTTCTGTCTAGTTTTTATGGGAAGATATTACCTTTTTCATCATAGGCCTCAAAGCGCTGCTAATGTCCACTTCCAGGTAGTGCAGAAAGAGTGTTTCAAACCTGCTCTATAAAAGGGAATATTCAACTCTGTGACTTGAATGCAAACATCACAAAGCACTTTCTGAGAATGCTTCTGTCTTGATTTCATATGAAGATATTCCCGTTTCCAACGAAACCTTCAAAGCTATCCAAATATCCACTTGCAGATTCTACAAAAAGAGTGTTTCCAAAATGTTGTATCAAAAGAAAGGTTCAACTCTGTTAGTTGAGGACACACATCGCAAATAAGTTTCTGAGAATGCTTCTGTCTAGTTTTTCCTTGCAGAAATTTCCTTTCTCACCATAGGCCTGAAAGCGCTCGAAACGTCAGCTTGCAGATACTACAGAAAGAGTGTTTCAAACCTGCTCTATGAAAGGGAATGTTCAGTTCTGTGACTTGAATGCAAACATCGCAAAGAAGTTCCTGAGAATGCTTCTCTCTAGATTTTATATGTAATCCCGTTTCCAACGAAATCCTCAAAGCTATCCAAATATCCACTTTCAGATTCCACAAAAAGAGTGTTTCAAAACTGCTCTGTAAAAAGAAAGGTTCATCTCTGTTAGTTGAATACACACATCACAAACAAGTTTCTGAGAATGCTTCTGTCTAGTTTTTATGGGAAGATATTTCCTTTTTCAACATAGGCCTCAAAGCGCTCCAAATGTCCACTTCCAGGTAGTGCAGAAAGAGTGTTTCAAACCTGCTCTATAAAAGGGAATATTCAACTCTGTGACTTGAATGCAAACATCACAAAGCACTTTCTGAGAATGCTTCCGTCTAGATTTTATATGAAGATATTCCCGTTTCCAACGAAACCTTCAAAGCTATCCGAATATCCACCTGCAGATTCTACAAAAAGAGTGTTTCCAAAATGCCATATCAAAACAAAGGTTCAACTCTGTTAGTTGAGAACACACATGGCAAATAAGTTTCTGAGAATGCTTCTGTCTAGTTTTTACTTGAAGATATTTCCTTTCTCACCATAGGCCTGAAAGCGCTTGAAACGTCAGCTTGCAGATACTACAGAAAGAGTGTTTCAAACCTGCTCTATGAAAGGGAATGTTCAGTTCTGTGACTTGAATGCAAACATCACAAAGAAGTTCCTGAGAATGCTTCTCCCTAGATTTTATATGTAATCCCGTTTCCAACGAAATCCTCAAAGCTATCCAAATATCCACTTTCAGATTCCACAAAAAGAGTGTTTCAAAACTGCTCTGTAAAAAGAAAGGTTCATCTCTGTTAGTTGAATACACACATCACAAACAAGTTTCTGAGAATGCTTCTGTCTAGTTTTTATGGGAAGATATTTCCTTTTTCAACATAGGCCTCAAAGCGCTCCAAATGTCCACTTCCAGGTAGTGCAGAAAGAGTGTTTCAAACCTGCTCTATAAAAGGGAATATTCAACTCTGTGACTTGAATGCAAACATCACAAAGCACTTTCTGAGAATGCTTCTGTCTTGATTTCATATGAAGATATTCCCGTTTCCAACGAAACCTTCAAAGCTATCCAAATATCCACTTGCAGATTCTACAAAAAGAGTGTTTCCAAAATGTTGTATCAAAAGAAAGGTTCAACTCTGTTAGTTGAGGACACACATCGCAAATAAGTT
Organism: Homo sapiens; assembly: GCF_000001405.40. Taxonomy (NCBI): domain Eukaryota; kingdom Metazoa; phylum Chordata; class Mammalia; order Primates; family Hominidae; genus Homo; species Homo sapiens. The sequence goes on along the minus strand of NC_000009.12, from coordinate 45,344,750 downwards.
TCTGAGAATGCTTCTTTCTAGTTTTTACTTGAAGATATTTCCTTTCTCACCATAGGCCTGAAAGCGCTTGAAACGTCCGCTTGCAGATACAACAGAAAGAGTGTTTCAAACATGCTCTATGAAAGGGAATGTTCAGTTCTGTGACTTGAATGCAAACATCACAAAGAAGTTCCTGAGAATGCTTCTGTCTAGATTTTTTATGAAGATATCCCGTTTCCAAAGAAATCCTCAAAGGTATCCAAATATCTACTTCCAGATTCTACAAAAAGACTTTTTCAAAACGGCTCTGTCAAAAGTAAGGTTCAACTCTGTTACTTGAGTACACACATCACAAGGAAGTTTGTGAGAATCCTTCCTGTCTGGTTTTTAGGAGAAGATATTTCCTTTTTCAACATAGGCCTCAAAGCGCTGCAAATGTCCACTTCCAAATATTACAAAAAGAGTGTTTCAAACCTGCTCTATGAAGGGAAGTGTTCAACTCTATGAGTTGAATGCAAACATCACAGAGAAGTTTCTGAGAATGCTTCCGTCTAGATTTTATATGAAGATATTCCCGTTTCCAACGAAACCTTCAAAGCTATCCGAATATCCACCTGCAGATTCTACAAAAAGAGTGTTTCCAAAATGCCATATCAAAACAAAGGTTCAACTCTGTTAGTTGAGAACACACATCGCAAATAAGTTTCTGAGAATGCTTCTGTCTAGTTTTTATTTGAAGATATTTCCTTTCTCACCATAGGCCTGAAAGCGTTTGAAATGTCCGTTTGCAGATACTACAGAAAGAGTGTTTCAAACATGCTCTATGAAAGGGAATGTTCAGTTCTGTGACTTGAATGCAAACATCACAAAGAAGTTCCTGAGAATGCTTCTCCCTAGATTTTATATGTAATCCCGTTTCCAACGAAATCCGCAAAGCTATCCAAATATCCACTTTCAGATTCCACAAAAAGAGTGTTTCAAAACTGCTCTGTAAAAAGAAAGGTTCATCTCTGTTAGTTGAATACACACATCACAAACAAGTTTCTGAGAATGCTTCTGTCTAGTTTTTATGGGAAGATATTTCCTTTTTCAACATAGGCCTCAAAGCGCTCCAAATGTCCACTTCCAGGTAGTGCAGAAAGAGTGTTTCAAACCTGCTCTATAAAAGGGAATATTCAACTCTGTGACTTGAATGAAAACATCACAAAGCACTTTCTGAGAATGCTTCTGTCTTGATTTTATATGAAGATATTCCCGTTTCCAACGAAACCTTCAAAGCTATTCAAATATCCACTTGCAGATTCTACAAAAAGAGTGTTTCCAAAATGTTGTATCAAAAGAAAGGTTCAACTCTGTTAGTTGAGGACACACATCGCAAATAAGTTTCTGAGAATGCTTCTGTCTAGTTTTTATTTGAAGATATTTCCTTTCTCACCACAGGCCTGAAAGCGCTTAAAACGTCCGCTTGCAGATACTACAGAAAGAGTGTTTCAAACCTGCTCTATGAAAGGGAATGTTCAGTTCTGTGACTTGAATGCAAACATCACAAAGAAGTTCCTGAGAATGCTTCTCTCTAGGTTTTATATGTAATCCCGTTTCCAACGAAATCCTCAAAGCTATCCAAATATCCACTTTCAGATTCCACAAAAAGAGTGTTTCAAAACTGCTCTGTAAAAAGAAAGGTTCATCTCTGTTAGTTGAATACACACATCACAAACAAGTTTCTGAGAATGCTTCTGTCTAGTTTTTATGGGAAGATATTTCCTTTTTCAACATAGGCCTCAAAGCGCTCCAAATGTCCACTTCCAGGTAGTGCAGAAAGAGTGTTTCAAACCTGCTCTATAAAAGGGAATATTCAACTCTGTGACTTGAATGCAAACATCACAAAGCACTTTCTGAGAATGCTTCTGTCTTGATTTTATATGAAGATATTCCCGTTTCCAACGAAACCTTCAAAGCTATTCAAATATCCACTTGCAGATTCTACAAAAAGAGTGTTTCCAAAATGTTGTATCAAAAGAAAGGTTCAACTCTGTTAGTTGAGGACACACATCGCAAATAAGTTTCTGAGAATGCTTCTGTCTAGTTTTTACTTGAAGATATTTCCTTTCTCACCATAGGCCTGAAAGCGCTTGAAACGTCAGCTTGCAGATACTACAGAAAGAGTGTTTCAAACCTGCTCTATGAAAGGGAATGTTCAGTTCTGTGACTTGAATGCAAACATCACAAAGAAGTTCCTGAGAATGCTTCTCTCTAGGTTTTATATGTAATCCCGTTTCCAACGAAATCCTCAAAGCTATCCAAATATCCACTTTCAGATTCCACAAAAAGAGTGTTTCAAAACTGCTCTGTAAAAAGAAAGGTTCATCTCTGTTAGTTGAATACACACATCACAAACAAGTTTCTGAGAATGCTTCTGTCTAGTTTTTATGGGAAGATATTTCCTTTTTCATCATAGGCCTCAAAGCGCTGCAAATGTCCACTTCCAAATACTACAAAAAGAGTGTTTCAAACCTGCTGTATGAAGGGAAGTGTTCAACTCTATGAGTTGAATGCAAACATCACAGAGAAGTTTCTGAGAATGCTTCCGTCTAGATTTTATATGAAGATATTCCCGTTTCCAACGAAACCTTCAAAGCTATCCGAATATCCACCTGCAGATTCTACAAAAAGAGTGTTTCCAAAATGCCATATCAAAACAAAGGTTCAACTCTGTTAGTTGAGAACACACATCGCAAATAAGTTTCTGAGAATGCTTCTGTCTAGTTTTTACTTGAAGATATTTCCTTTCTCACCATAGGCCTGAAAGCGCTTGAAACGTCCGCTTGCAGATACTACAGAAAGAGTGTTTCAAACATGCTCTATGAAAGGGAATGTTCAGTTCTGTGACTTGAATGCAAACATCACAAAGAAGTTCCTGAGAATGCTTCTCTCTAGGTTTTATATGTAATCCCGTTTCCAACGAAATCCTCAAAGCTATCCAAATATCCACTTTCAGATTCCACAAAAAGAGTGTTTCAAAACTGCTCTGTAAAAAGAAAGGTTCATCTCTGTTAGTTGAATACACACATCACAAACAAGTTTCTGAGAATGCTTCCTGTCTAGTTTTTATGGGAAGATATTTCCTTTTTCATCATAGGCCTCAAAGCGCTGCAAATGTCCACTTCCAAATATTACAAAAAGAGTGTTTCAAACCTGCTGTATGAAGGGAAGTGTTCAACTCTATGAGTTGAATGCAAACATCACAGAGAAGTTTCTGAGAATGCTTCTGTCTTGATTTTATATGAAGATATTCCCGTTTCCAACGCAACCTTCAAAGCTATCCAAATATCCACTTGCAGATTCTACAAAAAGAGTGTTTCCAAAATGTTGTATCCAAACAAAGGTTCAACTCTTTTAGTTGAGAACACACATCGCAAATAAGTTTCTGAGAATGCTTCTGTCTAGTTTTTATTTGAAGATATTTCCTTTTTCACCACAGGCCTGAAAGCGCTTGAAACGTCCGCTTGCAGATACTACAGAAAGAGTGTTTCAAACCTGCTCTATGAAAGGGAATGTTCAGTTCTGTGACTTGAATGCAAACATCACAAAGAAGTTCCTGAGAATGCTTCTCCCTAGATTTTATATGTAATCCCGTTTCCAACGAAATCCTCAAAGCTATCCAAATATCCACTTTCAGATTCCACAAAAAGAGTGTTTCAAAACTGCTCTGTAAAAAGAAAGGTTCATCTCTGTTAGTTGAATACACACATCACAAGGAAGTTTCTGAGAATGCTTCTGTCTAGTTTTTATGGGAAGATATTTCGTTTTTCAACATAGGCCTCAAAGCGCTCCAAATGTCCACTTCCAGGTAGTGCAGAAAGAGTGTTTCAAACCTGCTCTATAAAAGGGAATATTCAACTCTGTGACTTGAATGCAAACATCACAAAGCACTTTCTGAGAATGCTTCCGTCTAGATTTTATATGAAGATATTCCCGTTTCCAACGAAACCTTCAAAGCTATCCGAATATCCACCTGCAGATTCTACAAAAAGAGTGTTTCCAAAATGCCGTATCAAAACAAAGGTTCAACTCTGTTAGTTGAGAACACACATGGCAAATAAGTTTCTGAGAATGCTTCTGTCTAGTTTTTACTTGAAGATATTCCCTTTCTCACCATAGGCCTGAAAGCGCTTGAAACGTCCGCTTGCAGATACTACAGAAAGAGTGTTTCAAACATGCTCTATGAAAGGGAATGTTCAGTTCTGTGACTTGAATGCAAACATCACAAAGAAGTTCCTGAGAATGCTTCTCTCTAGGTTTTATATGTAATCCCGTTTCCAACGAAATCCTCAAAGCTATCCAAATATCCACTTTCAGATTCCACAAAAAGAGTGTTTCAAAACTGCTCTGTAAAAAGAAAGGTTCATCTCTGTTAGTTGAATACACACATCACAAACAAGTTTCTGAGAATGCTTCTGTCTAGTTTTTATGGGAAGATATTTCCTTTTTCAACATAGGCCTCAAAGCGCTCCAAATGTCCACTTCCAGGTAGTGCAGAAAGAGTGTTTCAAACCTGCTCTATAAAAGGGAACATTCAACTCTGTGACTTGAATGCAAACATCACAAAGCACTTTCTGAGAATGCTTCCGTCTAGATTTTATATGAAGATATTCCCGTTTCCAAGGAAATCTTCCTAGCTATCTAAATATCAACTTGCAGATTCTACTAAAGGAATGTTTCCAAAATGCTGTATCCACACAAAGGTTCAACTCTGTTAATTGAGGACATACAGCACAAAGAAGTTTCTGAGAATGCTTCTGTCTAGTTTTTATTTGAAGATATTTCCTTTCTCACCACAGGCCTGAAAGCGCTTAAAACGTCCGCTTGCAGATACTACAGAAAGAGTGTTTCAAACCTGCTCTATGAAAGGGAATGTTCAGTTCTGTGACTTGAATGCAAACATCACAAAGAAGTTCCTGAGAATGCTTCTCTCTAGATTTTATATGTAATCCCGTTTCCAACGAAATCCTCAAAGCTATCCAAATATCCACTTTCAGATTCCACAAAAAGAGTGTTTCAAAACTGCTCTGTAAAAAGAAAGGTTCATCTCTATTAGTTGAATACACACATCACAAACAAGTTTCTGAGAATGCTTCTGTCTGGTTTTTAGGAGAAGATATTTCCTTTTTCAACATAGGCCTCAAAGCGCTGCAAATGTCCACTTCCAAATATTACAAAAAGAGTGTTTCAAACCTGCTGTATGAAGGGAAGTGTTCAACTCTATGAGTTGAATGCAAACATCACAGAGAAGTTTCTGAGAATGCTTCCGTCTAGATTTTATATGAAGATATTCCCGTTTCCAACGAAACCTTCAAAGCTATCCGAATATCCACCTGCAGATTCTACAAAAAGACTGTTTCCAAAATGCCGTATCAAAACAAAGGTTCAACTCTGTTAGTTGAGAACACACATGGCAAATAAGTTTCTGACAATGCTTCTGTCTAGTTTTTACTTGAAGATATTTCCTTTCTCACCATAGGCCTGAAAGCGCATGAAACGTCAGCTTGCAGATACTACAGAAAGAGTGTTTCAAACCTGCTCTATGAAAGGGAATGTTCAGTCCTGTGACTTGAAGGCAAACATCACAAAGAAGTTCCTGAGAATGCTTCTCTCTAGATTTTATATGTAATCCCGTTTCCAACGAAATCCTCAAAGCTATCCAAATATCCACTTTCAGATTCCAGAAAAAGAGTGTTTCAAAACTGCTCTGTAAAAAGAAAGATTCATCCTCTGTTAGCTGAATACACACATCACAAACAAGTTTCTGAGAATGCTTCTGTCTAGTTTTTATGGGAAGATATTTCCTTTTTCAACATAGGCCTCAAAGCGCTCCAAATGTCCACTTCCAGGTAGTGCAGAAAGAGTGTTTCAAACCTGCTCTATAAAAGGGAATATTCAACTCTGTGACTTGAATGCAAACATCACAAAGCACTTTCTGAGAATGCTTCTGTCTTGATTTTCTATGAAGATATTCCCGTTTCCAACGAAACCTTCTAAGCTATCCAAATATCCACCTGCAGATCCTACAAAAAGAGTGTTTCCAAAATGCTGTATCAAAACAAAGGTTCAACTCTGTTAGTTGAGAACACACATCGCAAATCAGTTTCTGAGAATGCTTCTGTCTAGTTTTTACTTGAAGATATTTCCTTTCTCACCATAGGCCTGAAAGCGTTTGAAATGTCCGTTTGCAGATACTACAGAAAGAGTGTTTCAAACATGCTCTATGAAAGGGAATGTTCAGTTCTGTGACGTGAATGCAAACATCACAAAGAAGTTCCTGAGAATGCTTCTCCCTAGATTTTATATGTAATCCCGTTTCCAACGAAATCCGCAAAGCTATCCAAATATCCACTTTCAGATTCCACAAAAAGAGTGTTTCAAAACTGCTCTGTAAAAAGAAAGGTTCATCTCTGTTAGTTGAATACACACATCACAAACAAGTTTCTGAGAATGCTTCTGTCTAGTTTTTATGGGAAGATATTTCCTTTTTCATCATAGGCCTCAAAGTGCTGCAAATGTCCACTTCCAAATATTACAAAAAGAGTGTTTCAAACCTGCTGTATGAAGGGAAGTGTTCAACTCTATGAGTTGAATACAAACATCACAGAGAAGTTTCTGAGAATGCTTCTGTCTTGATTTCATATGAAGATATTCCCGTTTCCAACGAAACCTTCAAAGCTATCCAAATATCCACTTGCAGATTCTACAAAAAGAGTGTTTCCAAAATGTTGTATCAAAAGAAAGGTTCAACTCTGTTAGTTGAGGACACACATCGCAAATAAGTTTCTGAGAATGCTTCTGTCTAGTTTTTATTTGAAGATATTTCCTTTCTCACCACAGGCTTGAAAGCGCTTAAAACGTCCGCTTGCAGATACTACAGAAAGAGTGTTTCAAACATGCTCTATTAAAGGGAATGTTCAGTTCTGTGACGTGAATGCAAACATCACAAAGAAGTTCCTGAGAATGCTTCTCCCTAGATTTTATATGTAATCCCGTTTCCAACGAAATCCTCAAAGCTATCCAAATATCCACTTTCAGATTCCACAAAAAGAGTGTTTCAAAACTGCTCTGTAAAAAGAAAGGTTCATATCTGTTAGTTGAATACACACATCACAAACAAGTTTCTGAGAATGCTTCTGTCTAGTTTTTATGGGAAGATATTTCCTTTTTCAACATAGGCCTCAAAGCGCTCGAAATGTCCACTTCCAGGTAGTGCACAGAGTGTTTCAAACCGGCTCTATGAAAGGAAGTCTTCAACTCTATGAGTTGAATGCAAACATCACAGAGAAGTTTCTGAGAATGCTTCTGTCTTGATTTTATATGAAGATATTCCCGTTTCCAACGAAACCTTAAAAGCTATCCAAATATCCACCTGCAGATCCTACAAAAAGAGTGTTTCCAAAATGCTGTATCAAAACAAAGGTTCAACTCTGTTAGTTGAGGACACACATCGCAAATAAGTTTCTGAGAATGCTTCTGTCTAGTTTTTATTTGAAGATATTTCCTTTTCACCACAGGCCTGAAAGCGCTTGAAACGTCCGCTTGCAGATACTACAGAAAGAGTGTTTCAAACCTGCTCTATGAAAGGGAATGTTCAGTTCTGTGACTTGAATGCAAACATCACAAAGAAGTTCCTGAGAATGCTTCTCTCTAGGTTTTATATGTAATCCCGTTTCCAACGAAATCCTCAAAGCTATCCAAATATCCACTTTCAGATTCCACAAAAAGAGTGTTTCAAAACTGCTCTGTAAAAAGAAAGGTTCATCTCTGTTAGTTGAATACACACATCACAAACAAGTTTCTGAGAATGCTTCTGTCTAGTTTTTATTTGAAGATATTTCCTTTCTCACCATAGGCCTGAAAGCGTTTGAAATGTCCGTTTGCAGATACTACAGAAAGAGTGTTTCAAACATGCTGTATGAAAGGGAATGATCAGTTCTGTGACGTGAATGCAAACATCACAAAGAAGTTCCTGAGAATGCTTCTGTCTAGATTTTATATGAAGATATCCCGTGTCTAACGAAATCCTCAAAGGTATCAAAATATCCACTTGCAGATTCTACAAAAAGAGTGCTTCAAAACTGTTCTGTCAAAATGAAGGTTCAACTCTGTTACTTGAGTACACACATCACAAGAAAGATTCTGAGAATGCTTCTGTCTGGTTTTTAGGAGAAGATATCTCCTTTTTCACCATAGGCTTCAAAGCGCTGCCAATGTCCACTTCCAAATATTACAAAAAGAGTATTTCAAACCAGCTCTATGAAAGGAAGTGTTCAACTCTATGAGTTGAATGCAAACAGAACAGAGAAGTTTCTGAGAATGCTTCTGTCTAGATTTTATATGAATATATCCCGTTTCCAAAGAAATCCTCAAAAGTATCCAAATATCTACTTCCAGATTCTACAAAAAGACTGTTTCAAAACGGCTCTGTCAGAAGTAAGGTTCAACTCTGTTACTTGAGTACACACATCACAAGGAAGTTTCTGAGAATGCTTCTGTCTGGTTTTTAGGAGAAGATATTTCCTTTTTCAACATAGGCCTCAAAGCGCTGCAAATGTCCACTTCCAAATATTACAAAAAGAGTGTTTCAAACCTGCTGTATGAAGGGAAGTGTTCAACTCTATGAGTTGAATGCAAACATCACAGAGAAGTTTCTGAGAATGCTTCCGTCTTGATTTTATATGAAGATATTCCCGTTTCCAACGAAACCTTCAAAGCTATTCAAATATCCACTTGCAGATTCTACAAAAAGAGTGTTTCCAAAATGTTGTATCAAAAGAAAGGTTCAACTCTGTTAGTTGAGGACACACATCGCAAATAAGTTTCTGAGAATGCTTCTGTCTACTTTTTATTTGAAGATATTTCCTTTTTCACCACAGGCCTGAAAGCGCTTCAAACGTCCGCTTGCAGATACTACAGAAAGAGTGTTTCAAACCTGCTCTATGAAAGGGAATGTTCTGTTCTGTGACTTGAATGCAAACATCACAAAGAAGTTCCTGAGAATGCTTCTCCCTAGATTTTATATGTAATCCCGTTTCCAATGAAATCCTCAAAGCTATCCAAATATCCACTTTCAGATTCCACAAAAAGAGTGTTTCAAAACTGCTCTGTAAAAAGAAAGGTTCATCTCTGTTAGTTGAATACACACATCACAAACAAGTTTCTGAGAATGCTTCTGTCTAGTTTTTATGGGAAGATATTACCTTTTTCATCATAGGCCTCAAAGCGCTGCAAATGTCCACTTCCAAATATTACAAAAAGAGTGTTTCAAACCTGCTGTATGAAGGGAAGTGTTCAACTCTATGAGTTGAATGCAAACATCACAGAGAAGTTTCTGAGAATGCTTCCGTCTAGATTTTATATGAAGATATTCCCGTTTCCAACGAAACCTTCAAAGCTATCCGAATATCCACCTGCAGATTCTACAAAAAGAGTGTTTCCAAAATGCCATATCAAAACAAAGGTTCAACCCTGTTAGTTGAGAACACACATAGCAAATAAGTTTCTGAGAATGCTTCTGTCTAGTTTTTATTTGAAGATATTTCCTTTCTCACCATAGGCCTGAAAGCGTTTGAAATGTCCGTTTGCAGATACTACAGAAAGAGTGTTTCAAACATGCTCTATGAAAGGGAATGTTCAGTTCTGTGACGTGAATGCAAACATCACAAAGAAGTTCCTGAGAATGCTTCTCTCTAGGTTTTATATGTAATCCCGTTTCCAACGAAATCCTCAAAGCTATCCAAATATCCACTTTCAGATTCCACAAAAAGAGTGTTTCAAAACTGCTCTGTAAAAAGAAAGGTTCATCTCTGTTAGTTGAATACACACATCACAAACAAGTTTCTGAGAATGCTTCTGTCTAGTTTTTATGGGAAGATATTTCCTTTTTCAACATAGGCCTCAAAGCGCTCCAAACGTCCACTTCCAGGTAGTGCAGAAAGAGTGTCTCAAACCTGGTATATAACAGGGAACATTCTACTCTGTGACTTGAATGAAAACATCACAAAGCAGTTTCTGAGAATGCTTCTGTCTTGATTTTATATGAAGATATTCCCGTTTCCAACGAAACCTTCAAAGCTATCCAAATATCCACTTGCAGATTCTACAAAAAGAGTGTTTCCAAAATGTTGTATCAAAAGAAAGGTTCAACTCTGTTAGTTGAGGACACACATCGCAAATAAGTTTCTGAGAATGCTTCTGTCTAGTTTTTATTTGAAGATATTTCCTTTCTCACCACAGGCCTGAAAGCGCTTAAAACGTCCGCTTGCAGATACTACAGAAAGAGTGTTTCAAACCTGCTCTATGAAAGGGAATGTTCAGTTCTGTGACTTGAATGCAAACATCACAAAGAAGTTCCTGAGAATGCTTCTCTCTAGGTTTTATATGTAATCCCGTTTCCAACGAAATCCTCAAAGCTATCCAAATATCCACTTTCAGATTCCACAAAAAGAGTGTTTCAAAACTGCTCTGTAAAAAGAAAGGTTCATCTCTGTTAGTTGAATACACACATCACAAACAAGTTTCTGAGAATGCTTCTGTCTAGTTTTTATGGGAAGATATTTCCTTTTTCAACATAGGCCTCAAAGCGCTCCAAATGTCCACTTCCAGGTAGTGCAGAAAGAGTGTTTCAAACCTGCTCTATAAAAGGGAACATTCAACTCTGTGACTTGAATGCAAACATCACAAAGCACTTTCTGAGAATGCTTCTGTCTTGATTTTATATGAAGCATATTCCCGTTTCCAACGAAACCTTCAAAGCTATTCAAATATCCACTTGCAGATTCTACAAAAAGAGTGTTTCCAAAATGTTGTATCAAAAGAAAGGTTCAACTCTGTTAGTTGAGGACACACATCGCAAATAAGTTTCTGAGAATGCTTTTGTCTAGTTTTTATTTGAAGATATTTCCTTTTTCACCACAGGCCTGAAAGCGCTTGAAACTTCCGCTTGCAGATACTACAGAAAGAGTGTTTCAAACCTGCTCTATGAAAGGGAATGTTCAGTTCTGTGACTTGAATGCAAACATCACAAAGAAGTTCCTGAGAATGCTTCTCTCTAGGTTTTATATGTAATCCCGTTTCCAACGAAATCCTCAAAGCTATCCAAATATCCACTTTCAGATTCCACAAAAAGAGTGTTTCAAAACTGCTCTGTAAAAAGAAAGGTTCATCTCTGTTAGTTGAATACACACATCACAAACAAGTTTCTGAGAATGCTTCTGTCTAGTTTTTATGGGAAGATATTTCCTTTTTCAACATAGGCCTCAAAGCGCTCCAAACGTCCACTTCCGGGTAGTGCAGAAAGAGTGTCTCAAACCTGGTATATAACAGGGAACATTCTACTCTGTGACTTGAATGAAAACATCACAAAGCAGTTTCTGAGAATGCTTCCGTCTAGATTTTATATGAAGATATTCCCGTTTCCAAGGAAATCTTCCTAGCTATCTAAATATCAACTTGCAGATTCTACTAAAGGAATGTTTCCAAAATGCTGTATCCACACAAAGGTTCAACTCTGTTAATTGAGGACATACAGCACAAAGAAGTTTCTGAGAATGCTTCTGTCTAGTTTTTACTTGAAGATATTTCCTTTCTCACCATAGGCCTGAAAGCGCTTGAAACGTCAGCTTGCAGATACTACAGAAAGAGTGTTTCAAACCTGCTCTATGAAAGGGAATGTTCAGTCCTGTGACTTGAAGGCAAACATCAAAAAGAAGTTCCTGAGAATGCTTTCTGTCTAGATTTTATATGAAGATATCCCGTGTCCAACGAAATCCTCAAAGGTATCAAAATATCCACTTGCAGATTCTACAAAAAGAGTGTTTCAAAACTGCTCTGTCAAAAGGAAGGTTCATCTCTGTTACTTGAGTACACACATCACAAGGAAGTTTATGAGAATGCTTCTGTCTGGTTTTTAGGAGAAGATATTTCCTTTTTCACCATAGGCCTCAAAGCGCTGCCAATGTCCGCTTCCAAATATTACAAAAAGAGTGTTTCAAACCTGCTCTATGAAAGGAAGTGTTCCACTCTATGAGTTGAAAGCAAACATCACAGAGAAGTTTCTGAGAATGCTTCCGTCTAGATTTTATATGAAGAGATTCCCGTTTCCAACGAAATCTTCCTATATAAATATCAACTTGCAGATACTACTAAAGGAATGTTTCCAAAATGCTGTATCCAAACAAATGTTCAACTCTGTTAGTTGAGGACACACATCGCAAATAAGTTTCTGAGAATGCTTCTGTCTAGTTTTTATTTGAAGATATTTCCTTTCTCACCACAGGCCTGAAAGCGCTTGAAATGTCCGGTTGCAGATACTACAGAAAGAGTGTTTCAAACATGCTCTATGAAAGGGAATGTTCAGTTCTGTGACGTGAATGCAAACATCACAAAGAAGTTCCTGAGAATTCTTCTCTCTAGATTTTGTATGTAATCCCGTTTCCAACGAAATCCTCAAAGCTATCCAAATATCCACTTTCAGATTCCACAAAAAGAGTGTTTCAAAACTGCTCTGTAAAAAGAAAGGTTCATCTCTGTTAGTTGAATACACACATCACAAACAAGTTTCTGAGAATGCTTTCTGTCTAGTTTTTATGGGAAGATATTTCCTTTTTCATCATAGGCCTCAAAGCGCTGCAAATGTCCACTTCCAGGTAGTGCAGAAAGAGTGTCTCAAACCTGGTATATAACAGGGAACATTCTACTCTGTGACTTGAATGAAAACATCACAAAGCAGTTTCTGAGAATGCTTCTGTCTTGATTTTATATGAAGATATTCCCTTTTCCAACGAAACCTTCAAAGCTATCCAAATATCCACTTGCAGATTCTACAAAAAGAGTGTTTCCAAAATGTTGTATCAAAACAAAGGTTCAACTCTGTTAGTTGAGGACACACATCGCAAATAAGTTTCTGAGAATGCTTCTGTCTAGTTTTTATTTGAAGATATTTCCTTTCTCACCACAGGCCTGAAAGCGCTTAAAACGTCCGCTTGCAGATACTACAGAAAGAGTGTTTCAAACCTGCTCTATGAAAGGGAATGTTCAGTTCTGTGACTTGAATGCAAACATCACAAAGAAGTTCCTGAGAATGCTTCTCTCTAGGTTTTATATGTAATCCCGTTTCCAACGAAATCCTCAAAGCTATCCAAATATCCACTTTCAGATTCCACAAAAAGAGTGTTTCAAAACTGCTCTGTAAAAAGAAAGGTTCATCTCTGTTAGTTGAATACACACATCACAAACAAGTTTCTGAGAATGCTTCTGTCTAGTTTTTATGGGAAGATATTTCCTTTTTCAACATAGGCCTCAAAGCGCTCCAAATGTCCACTTCCAGGTAGTGCAGAAAGAGTGTTTCAAACCTGCTCTATAAAAGGGAATATTCAACTCTGTGACTTGAATGCAAACATCACAAAGCACTTTCTGAGAATGCTTCTGTCTTGATTTCATATGAAGATATTCCCGTTTCCAACGAAACCTTCAAAGCTATCCAAATATCCACTTGCAGATTCTACAAAAAGAGTGTTTCCAAAATGTTGTATCAAAAGAAAGGTTCAACTCTGTTAGTTGAGGACACACATCGCAAATAAGTTTCTGAGAATGCTTCTGTCTAGTTTTTACTTGAAGATATTTCCTTTCTCACCATAGGCCTGAAAGCGCTTGAAACGTCAGCTTGCAGATACTACAGAAAGAGTGTTTCAAACCTGCTCTATGAAAGGGAATGTTCAGTCCTGTGACTTGAAGGCAAACATCACAAAGAAGTTCCTGAGAATGCTCTCTCTAGGTTTTATATGTAATCCCGTTTCCAACGAAATCCTCAAAGCTATCCAAATATCCACTTTCAGATTCCACAAAAAGAGTGTTTCAAAACTGCTCTGTAAAAAGAAAGGTTCATCTCTGTTAGTTGAATACACACATCACAAACAAGTTTCTGAGAAATGCTTTCTGTCTAGTTTTTATGGGAAGATATTTCCTTTTTCAACATAGGCCTCAAAGCGCTCCAAACGTCCACTTCCAGGTTGTGCAGAAAGAGTGTCTCAAACCTGGTATATAACAGGGAACATTCTACTCTGTGACTTGAATGAAAACATCACAAAGCAGTTTCTGAGAATGCTTCCGTCTAGATTTTATATGAAGATATTCCCGTTTCCAAGGAAATCTTCCTAGCTATCTAAATATCAACTTGCAGATTCTACTAAAGGAATGTTTCCAAAATGCTGTATCCACACAAAGGTTCAACTCTGTTAATTGAGGACATACAGCACAAAGAAGTTTCTGAGAATGCTTCTGTCTAGTTTTTATTTGAAGATATTTCCTTTTTCACCACAGGCCTGAAAGCGCTTGAAACGTCAGCTTGCAGATACTACAGAAAGAGTGTTTCAAACCTGCTCTATGAAAGGGAATGTTCAGTTCTGTGACGTGAATGCAAACATCACAAAGAAGTTCCTGAGAATGCTTCTCCCTAGATTTTATATGTAATCCCGTTTCCAACGAAATCCGCAAAGCTATCCAAATATCCACTTTCAGATTCCACAAAAAGAGTGTTTCAAAACTGCTCTGTAAAAAGAAAGGTTCATCTCTGTTAGTTGAATACACACATCACAAACAAGTTTCTGAGAATGCTTCTGTCTAGTTTTTATGGGAAGATATTACCTTTTTCATCATAGGCCTCAAAGCGCTGCAAATGTCCACTTCCAAATATTACAAAAAGAGTGTTTCAAACCTGCTGTATGAAGGGAAGTGTTCAACTCTATGAGTTGAATGCAAACATCACAGAGAAGTTTCTGAGAATGCTTCCGTCTTGATTTTATATGAAGATATTCCCGTTTCCAACGAAACCTTCAAAGCTATTCAAATATCCACTTGCAGATTCTACAAAAAGAGTGTTTCCAAAATGTTGTATCAAAAGAAAGGTTCAACTTCTGTTAGTTGAGGACACACATCGCAAATAAGTTTCTGAGAATGCTTCTGTCTGGTTTTTACTTGAAGATATTTCCTTTCTCACCATAGGCCTGAAAGCGCTTGAAATGTCCGTTTGCAGATAGTACAGAAAGAGTGTTTCAAACCTGCTCTATGAAAGGGAATGTTCAGTTCTGTGATGAGAATGCAAACATCACAAAAAAATTCCTGAGAGTGCTTCTCTCTAGATTTTATATGTAATCCCGTTTGCAACGAAATCCTCAAAGCTATCCAAATATCCACTTTCAGATTCCACAAAAAGAGTGTTTCAAAACTGCTCTGAGAAAAGAAAGGTTCATCTCTGTTAGTTGAATACACACATCACAAACAAGTTTCTGAGAATGCTTCTGTCTAGTTTTTATGGGAAGATATTTCCTTTTTCAACATAGGCCTCAAAGCGCTCCAAATGTCCACTTCCAGGTAGTGCAGAAAGAGTGTTTCAAACCTGCTCTATAAAAGGGAATATTCAACTCTGTGACTTGAATGCAAACATCACAAAGCACTTTCTGAGAATGCTTCCGTCTAGATTTTATATGAAGATATTCCCGTTTCCAACGAAACCTTCAAAGCTATCCGAATATCCACCTGCAGATTCTACAAAAAGAGTGTTTCCAAAATGCCGTATCAAAACAAAGGTTCAACTCTGTTAGTTGAGAACACACATGGCAAATAAGTTTCTGAGAATGCTTCTGTCTAGTTTTTATTTGAAGATATTTCCTTTTTCAACACAGGCCTGAAAGCGCTTGAAACGTCTGCTTGCAGATACTACAGAAAGAGTGTTTCAAACCTGCTCTATGAAAGGGAATGTTCAGTTCTGTGACTTGAATGCAAACATCACAAAGAAGTTCCTGAGAATGCTTCTCTCTAGGTTTTATATGTAATCCCGTTTCCAACGAAATCCTCAAAGCTATCCAAATATCCACTTTCAGATTCCACAAAAAGAGTGTTTCAAAACTGCTCTGTAAAAAGAAAGGTTCATCTCTGTTAGTTGAATACACACATCACAAACAAGTTTCTGAGAATGCTTCTGTCTAGTTTCTATGGGAAGATATTTCCTTTTTCAACATAGGCGTCAAAGCGCTCCAAATGTCCACTTCCAGGTAGTGCACTGAGTGTTTCAAACCTGCTCTATAAAAGGGAACATTCTAGTCTGTGACTTGAATGAAGACATCACAAAGCAGTTTCTGAGAATGCTTCTGTCTTGATTTCATATGAAGATATTCCCGTTTCCAACGAAACCTTCAAAGCTATCCAAATATCCACTTGCAGATTCTACAAAAAGAGTGTTTCCAAAATGTTGTATCAAAAGAAAGGTTCAACTCTGTTAGTTGAGGACACACATCGCAAATAAGTTTCTGAGAATGCTTCTGTCTAGTTTTTACTTGAAGATATTTCCTTTCTCACCATAGGCCTGAAAGCGCTTGAAACGTCAGCTTGCAGATACTACAGAAAGAGTGTTTCAAACCTGCTCTATGAAAGGGAATGTTCAGTCCTGTGACTTGAAGGCAAACATCACAAAGAAGTTCCTGAGAATGCTTCTCTCTAGATTTTATATGTAATCCCGTTTCCAACGAAATCCTCAAAGCTATCCAAATATCCACTTTCAGATTCCACAAAAAGAGTGTTTCAAAACTGCTCTGTAAAAAGAAAGGTTCATCTCTGTTAGTTGAATACACACATCAAAAACAAGTTTCTGAGAATGCTTCTGTCTAGTTTCTATGGGAAGATATTTCCTTTTTCAACATAGGCCTCAAAGCGCTCCAAATGTCCACTTCCAGGTAGTGCACAGAGTGTTTCAAACCTGCTCTATAAAAGGGAACATTCTACTCTGTGACTTGAATGAAGACATCACAAAGCAGTTTCTGAGAATGCTTCTGTCTTGATTTTATATGAAGATATTCCCGTTTCCAACGAAACCTTCAAAGCTATTCAAATATCCACTTGCAGATTCTACAAAAAGAGTGTTTCCAAAATGTTGTATCAAAAGAAAGGTTCAACTCTGTTAGTTGAGGACACACATCGCAAATAAGTTTCTGAGAATGCTTCTGTCCAGTTTTTATTTGAAGATATTTCCTTTCTCACCAGAGGCCTGAAAGCGCTTGAAATATCCACTTGCAGATACTACAGAAAGAGTGTTTCAAACATGCTATATGAAAGGGAATGTTCAGTTCTGTGACGTGAATGCAAACATCACAAAGAAGTTCCTGAGAATTCTTCTCCCTAGATTTTATATGTAATCCCGTTTCCAACGAAATCCTCAAAGCTATCCAAATATCCACTTTCAGATTCCACAAAAAGAGTGTTTCAAAACTGCTCTGTAAAAAGAAAGGTTCATCTCTGTTAGTTGAATACACACATCACAAACAAGTTTCTGAGAATGCTTCTGTCTAGTTTTTATGGGAAGATATTTCCTTTTTCAACATAGGCCTCAAAGCGCTCCAAATGTCCACTTCCAGGTAGTGCAGAAAGAGTGTTTCAAACCTGCTCTATAAAAGGGAATATTCAACTCTGTGACTTGAATGCAAACATCACAAAGCACTTTCTGAGAATGCTTCTGTCTTGATTTCATATGAAGATATTCCCGTTTCCAACGAAACCTTCAAAGCTATCCAAATATCCACTTGCAGATTCTACAAAAAGAGTGTTTCCAAAATGTTGTATCAAAAGAAAGGTTCAACTCTGTTAGTTGAGGACACACATCGCAAATAAGTTTCTGAGAATGCTTCTGTCTAGTTTTTACTTGAAGATATTTCCTTTCTCACCATAGGCCTGAAAGCGCTTGAAACGTCAGCTTGCAGATACTACAGAAAGAGTGTTTCAAACCTGCTCTATGAAAGGGAATGTTCAGTCCTGTGACTTGAAGGCAAACATCACAAAGAAGTTCCTGAGAATGCTTCTCCCTAGATTTTATATGTAATCCCGTTTCCAACGAAATCCGCAAAGCTATCCAAATATCCACTTTCAGATTCCACAAAAAGAGTGTTTCAAAACTGCTCTGTAAAAAGAAAGGTTCATCTCTGTTAGTTGAATACACACATCACAAACAAGTTTCTGAGAATGCTTCTGTCTAGTTTTTATGGGAAGATATTACCTTTTTCATCATAGGCCACAAAGCGCTGCAAAAGTCCACTTCCAAATATTACAAAAAGAGTGTTTCAAACCTGCTGTATGAAGGGAAGTGTTCAACTCTATGAGTTGAATGCAAACATCACAGAGAAGTTTCTGAGAATGCTTCCGTCTAGATTTTATATGAAGATATTCCCGTTTCCAACGAAACCTTCAAAGCTATCCGAATATCCACCTGCAGATTCTACAAAAAGAGTGTTTCCAAAATGCCATATCAAAACAAAGGTTCAACTCTGTTAGTTGAGAACACACATCGCAAATAAGTTTCTGAGAATGCTTCTGTCTAGTTTTTACTTGAAGATATTTCCTTTCTCACCATAGGCCTGAAAGCGCTTGAAACGTCAGCTTGCAGATACTACAGAAAGAGTGTTTCAAACCTGCTCTATGAAAGGGAATGTTCAGTTCTGTGACTTGAATGCAAACATCACAAAGAAGTTCCTGAGAATGCTTCTCTCTAGATTTTATATGTAATCCCGTTTCCAACGAAATCCTCAAAGCTATCCAAATATCCACTTTCAGATTCCACAAAAAGAGTGTTTCAAAACTGCTCTGTAAAAAGAAAGGTTCATCTCTGTTAGTTGAATACACACATCACAAACAAGTTTCTGAGAATGCTTCTGTCTAGTTTTTAAGGGAAGATATTTCCTTTTTCATCATAGGCCTCAAAGCGCTCCAAATGTCCACTTCCAGATAGTGCAGAAAGAGTGTCTCAAACCTGGTATATAAAAGGGAACATTCTACTCTGTGACTTGAATGAAAACATCACAAAGCAGTTTCTGAGAATGCTTCCGTCTAGATTTTATATGAAGATATTCCCGTTTCCAACGAAACCGTCAAAGCTATCCGAATATCCACCTGCAGATTCTACAAAAAGAGTGTTTCCAAAATGCCGTATCAAAACAAAGGTTCAACTCTGTTAGTTGAGAACACACATGGCAAATAAGTTTCTGAGAATGCTTCTGTCTAGTTTTTATTTGAAGATATTTCCTTTCTCACCACAGGCCTGAAAGCGCTTAAAACGTCCGCTTGCAGATACTACAGAAAGAGTGTTTCAAACCTGCTCTATGAAAGGGAATGTTCAGTTCTGTGACTTGAATGCAAACATCACAAAGAAGTTCCTGAGAATGCTTCTCTCTAGGTTTTATATGTAATCCCGTTTCCAACGAAATCCTCAAAGCTATCCAAATATCCACTTTCAGATTCCACAAAAAGAGTGTTTCAAAACTGCTCTGTAAAAAGAAAGGTTCATCTCTGTTAGTTGAATACACACATCACAAACAAGTTTCTGAGAATGCTTCTGTCTAGTTTTTATGGGAAGATATTACCTTTTTCATCATAGGCCTCAAAGCGCTGCAAATGTCCACTTCCAAATATTACAAAAAGAGTGTTTCAAACCTGCTGTATGAAGGGAAGTGTTCAACTCTATGAGTTGAATGCAAACATCACAGAGAAGTTTCTGAGAATGCTTCCGTCTAGATTTTATATGAAGATATTCCCGTTTCCAAGGAAATCTTCCTAGCTATCTAAATATCAACTTGCAGATTCTACTAAAGGAATGTTTCCAAAATGCTGTATCCACACAAAGGTTCAACTCTGTTAATTGAGGACATACAGCACAAAGAAGTTTCTGAGAATGCTTCTGTCTAGTTTTTATTTGAAGATATTTCCTTTCTCACCACAGGCCTGAAAGCGCTTAAAACGTCCGCTTGCAGATACTACAGAAAGAGTGTTTCAAACCTGCTCTATGAAAGGGAATGTTCAGTTCTGTGACTTGAATGCAAACATCACAAAGAAGTTCCTGAGAATGCTTCTCTCTAGATTTTGTATGTAATCCCGTTTCCAACGAAATCCTCAAAGGTATCCAAATATCCACTTTCAGATTCCACAAAAAGAGTGTTTTAAAACTGCTCTGTAAAAAGAAAGGTTCATCTCTGTTAGTTGAATACACACATCACAAACAAGCTTCTGAGAATGCTTCTTTCTTGATTTTATATGAAGATATTTCCGTTTCCAACAAAATCTTCAAAGCTATCCAAATATCCACCCGCAGATTCTACAAAAACAGTGTTTCCAAAATGCTGTATCAAAACAAAGGTTCAACTCTGTTAGTTGGGGACACACATCACTAATAAGTTTCTGAGAATGTTTATGTCCAGTTTTTATTTGAAGATATTTCCTTTCTCACCATAGGCCTGAAAGCGCTTGAAATGTCCACTTGCAGATACTACAGAAAGAGTGTTTCAAACCTGCTCTATGAAAGGGAATGTTCAATTCTGTGACTTGAATTCAAACATCACAAAGAAGTTCCTGAGAATGCTTCTCTCTAGATTTTATATGTAATCCCGTTTCCAACGAAATCCTCAAAGCTATCCAAATATCCACTTTCAGATTCCACAAAAAGAGTGTTTCAAAACTGCTCTGTAAAAAGAAAGGTTCATCTCTGTTAGTTGAATACACACATCAAAAACAAGTTTCTGAGAATGCTTCTGTCTAGTTTTTATGGGAAGATATTTCCTTTTTCAACATAGGCCTCAAAGCGCTCCAAACGTCCACTTCCAGGTAGTGCAGAAAGAGTGTCTCAAACCTGGTATATAACAGGGAACATTCTACTCTGTGACTTGAATGAAAACATCACAAAGCAGTTTCTGAGAATGCTTCTGTCTTGATTTTATATGAAGA
Organism: Homo sapiens; assembly: GCF_000001405.40. Lineage (NCBI taxonomy): Eukaryota > Metazoa > Chordata > Mammalia > Primates > Hominidae > Homo > Homo sapiens. The sequence goes on along the minus strand of NC_000009.12, from coordinate 45,323,972 downwards.
TATTCCCGTTTCCAACGAAACCTTCAAAGCTATCCAAATATCCACTTGCAGATTCTACAAAAAGAGTGTTTCCAAAATGTTGTATCAAAACAAAGGTTCAACTCTGTTAGTTGAGGACACACATCGCAAATAAGTTTCTGAGAATGCTTCTGTCTAGTTTTTATTTGAAGATATTTCCTTTCTCACCACAGGCCTGAAAGCGCTTAAAACGTCCGCTTGCAGATACTACAGAAAGAGTGTTTCAAACCTGCTCTATGAAAGGGAATGTTCAGTTCTGTGACTTGAATGCAAACATCACAAAGAAGTTCCTGAGAGTGCTTCTCTCTAGGTTTTATATGTAATCCCGTTTCCAACGAAATCCTCAAAGCTATCCAAATATCCACTTTCAGATTCCACAAAAAGAGTGTTTCAAAACTGCTCTGTAAAAAGAAAGGTTTATCTCTGTTAGTTGAATACACACATCACAAACAAGTTTCTGAGAATGCTTCTGTCTAGTTTCTATGGGAAGATATTTCCTTTTTCATCATAGGCCTCAAAGCGCTGCAAATGTCCACTTCCAGGTAGTGCAGAAAGAGTGTCTCAAACCTGGTATATAACAGGGAACATTCTACTCTGTGACTTGAATGAAAACATCACAAAGCAGTTTCTGAGAATGCTTCTGTCTTGATTTATATGAAGATATTCCCGTTTCCAACGAAACCTTCAAAGCTATCCAAATATCCACTTGCAGATTCTACAAAAAGAGTGTTTCCAAAATGTTGTATCAAAAGAAAGGTTCAACTCTGTTAGTTGAGGACACACATCGCAAATAAGTTTCTGAGAATGCTTCTGTCTAGTTTTTACTTGAAGATATTTCCTTTGTCACCATAGGCCTGAAAGCGCTTGAAACGTCAGCTTGCAGATACTACAGAAAGAGTGTTTCAAACCTGCTCTATGAAAGGGAATGTTCAGTCCTGTGACTTGAAGGCAAACATCACAAAGAAGTTCCTGAGAATGCTTCTCTCTAGATTTTATATGTAATCCCGTTTCCAACGAAATCCTCAAAGCTATCCAAATATCCACTTTCAGATTCCACAAAAAGAGTGTTTCAAAACTGCTCTGTAAAAAGGAAAGGTTCATCTCTGTTAGTTGAATACACACATCACAAACAAGTTTCTGAGAATGCTTCTGTCTAGTTTTTATGGGAAGATATTTCGTTTTTCAACATAGGCCTCAAAGCGCTCCAAATGTCCACTTCCAGGTAGTGCAGAAAGAGTGTTTCAAACCTGCTCTATAAAAGGGAATATTCAACTACTGTGACTTGAATGCAAACATCACAAAGCACTTTCTGAGAATGCTTCTGTCTTGATTTTATATGAAGATTTTCCCGTTTCCAACGAAACCTTCAAAGCTATTCAAATATCCACTTGCAGATTCTACAAAAAGAGTGTTTCCAAAATGTTGTATCAAAAGAAAGGTCCAACTCTGTTAGTTGAGGACACACATCGCAAATAAGTTTCTGAGAATGCTTCTGTCTAGTTTTTATTTGAAGATATTTCCTTTCTCACCATAGGCCTGAAAGCGTTTGAAATGTCCGTTTGCAGATACTACAGAAAGAGTGTTTCAAACATGCTCTATGAAAGGGAATGTTCAGTTCTGTGACGTGAATGCAAACATCACAAAGAAGTTCCTGAGAATGCTTCTCTCTAGATTTTATATGTAATCCCGTTTCCAACGAAATCCTCAAAGCTATCCAAATATCCACTTTCAGATTCCACAAAAAGAGTGTTTCAAAACTGCTCTGTAAAAAGAAAGGTTCATCTCTGTTAGTTGAATACACACATCACAAACAAGTTTCTGAGAATGCTTCTGTCTAGTTTTTATGGGAAGATATTTCCTTTTTCAACATAGGCCTCAAAGCGCTCCAAACGTCCACTTCCAGGTAGTGCAGAAAGAGTGTCTCAAACCTGGTGTATAACAGGGAACATTCTACTCTGTGACTTGAATGAAAACATCACAAAGCAGTTTCTGAGAATGCTTCCGTCTAGATTTTATATGAAGATATTCCCGTTTCCAACGAAACCTTCAAAGCTATCCGAATATCCACCTGCAGATTCTACAAAAAGAGTGTTTCCAAAATGCCGTATCAAAACAAAGGTTCAACTCTGTTAGTTGAGAACACACATGGCAAATAAGTTTCTGAGAATGCTTCTGTCTAGTTTTTACTTGAAGATATTTCCTTTCTCACCATAGGCCTGAAAGCGCTTGAAACGTCAGCTTGCAGATACTACAGAAAGACTGTTTCAAACCTGCTCTATGAAAGGGAATGTTCAGTTCTGTGACTTGAATGCAAACATCACAAAGAAGTTCCTGAGAATGCTTCTCTCTAGGTTTTATATGTAATCCCGTTTCCAACGAAATCCTCAAAGCTATCCAAATATCCACTTTCAGATTCCACAAAAAGAGTGTTTCAAAACTGCTCTGTAAAAAGAAAGGTTCATCTCTGTTAGTTGAATACACACATCACAAACAAGTTTCTGAGAATGCTTCTGTCTAGTTTTTATGGGAAGATATTTCCTTTTTCAACATAGGCCTCAAAGCGCTCCAAATGTCCACTTCCAGGTAGTGCAGAAAGAGTGTTTCAAACCTGCTCTATAAAAGGGAATATTCAACTCTGTGACTTGAATGCAAACATCACAAAGCACTTTCTGAGAATGCTTCCGTCTAGATTTTATATGAAGATATTCCCGTTTCCAAGGAAAACTTCCTAGCTATCTAAATATCAACTTGCAGATTCTACTAAAGGAATGTTTCCAAAATGCTGTATCCACACAAAGGTTCAACTCTGTTAATTGAGGACATACAGCACAAAGAAGTTTCTGAGAATGCTTCTGTCTAGTTTTTATTTGAAGATATTTCCTTTTTCACCACAGACCTGAAGGCGCTTGAAACGTCCGCTTGCAGATACCACAGAAAGAGTGTTTCAAACCTGCTCTATGAAAGAGAATGTTCAGTTCTGTGACTTGAATGCAAACATCACAAAGAAGTTCCTGAGAATGCTTCTGTGTAGATTTTATATGAAGATATTCCCATTTCCAAAGGAATCCTCAAAGATATCCAAATATCCATTTGCAGATTCTACAAAAGGACGATTTTAAAACTGCTCTATCAAAAGAAAGCTTCAACTCTGTTACTTGAGTACACTCATGACAAACAAGTTTCTGAGAATGCTTCTGTCTAGTTTTTATTTGAAGATATTTCCTTTCTCACCATAGGCCTGAAAGCGCTTGAAACGTCCGCTTGCAGATACTACAGAAAGAGTGTTTCAAACCTGCTCTATGAAAGGGAATGTTCAATTCTGTGACTTGAATGCAAACATCACAAAGAAGTTCCTGAGAATGCTTCTGTCTTGATTTTATATGAAGATATTCCCGTTTCCAACGAAACCTTCAAAGCTATCCAAATATCCACCTGCAGATTCTACAAAAAGAGTGTTTCCAAAATGTTGTATCAAAACAAAGGTTCAACTCTGTTAGTTGAGGACACACATCGCAAATAAGTTTCTGAGAATGCTTCTGTCTAGTTTTTATTTGAAGATATTTCCTTTCTCACCATAGGCCTGAAAGCGCTTGAAATGTCCGTTTGCAGATACTACAGAAAGAGTGTTTCAAACATGCTCTATGAAAGGGAATGTTCAGTTCTGTGACGTGAATGCAAACATCACAAAGAAGTTCCTAAGAATGCTTCTCTCTAGGTTTTATATGTAATCCCGTTTCCAACGAAATCCTCAAAGCTATCCAAATATCCACTTTCAGATTCCACAAAAAGAGTGTTTCAAAACTGCTCTGTAAAAAGAAAGGTTCATCTCTGTTAGTTGAATACACACATCACAAACAAGTTTCTGAGAATGCTTCTGTCTAGTTTTTATGGGAAGATATTACCTTTTTCATCATAGGCCTCAAAGCGCTGCAAATGTCCACTTCCAAATATTACAAAAAGAGTGTTTCAAACCTGCTGTATGAAGGGAAGTGTTCAACTCTATGAGTTGAATGCAAACATCACAGAGAAGTTTCTGAGAATGCTTCTGTCTTGATTTCATATGAAGATATTCCCGTTTCCAACGAAACCTTCAAAGCTATCCAAATATCCACTTGCAGATTCTACAAAAAGAGTGTTTCCAAAATGTTGTATCAAAAGAAAGGTTCAACTCTGTTAGTTGAGGACACACATCGCAAATAAGTTTCTGAGAATGCTTCTGTCTAGTTTTTATTTGAAGATATTTCCTTTCTCACCATAGGCCTGAAAGCGTTTGAAATGTCCGTTTGTAGATACTACAGAAAGAGTGTTTCAAACATGCTCTATGAAAGGGAATGTTCAGTTCTGTGACGTGAATGCAAACATCACAAAGAAGTTCCTGAGAATGCTTCTCTCTAGATTTTATATGTAATCCCGTTTCCAACGAAATCCTCAAAGCTATCCAAATATCCACTTTCAGATTCCACAAAAAGAGTGTTTCAAAACTGCTCTGTAAAAAGAAAGGTTCATCTCTGTTAGTTGAATACACACATCACAAACAAGTTTCTGAGAATGCTTCTGTCTAGTTTTTATGGGAAGATATTTCCTTTTTCAACATAGGCCTCAAAGCGCTCCAAATGTCCACTTCCAGGTAGTGCAGAAAGAGTGTTTCAAACCTGCTCTATAAAAGGGAATATTCAACTCTGTGACTTGAATGCAAACATCACAAAGCACTTTCTGAGAATGCTTCCGTCTAGATTTTATATGAAGATATTCCCGTTTCCAAGGAAATCTTCCTAGCTATCTAAATATCAACTTGCAGATTCTACTAAAGGAATGTTTCCAAAATGCTGTATCCACACAAAGGTTCAACTCTGTTAATTGAGGACATACAGCACAAAGAAGTTTCTGAGAATGCTTCTGTCTAGTTTTTATTTGAAGATATTTCCTTTCTCACCACAGGCCTGAAAGCGCTTAAAACGTCCGCTTGCAGATACTACAGAAAGAGTGTTTCAAACCTGCTCTATGAAAGGGAATGTTCAGTTCTGTGACTTGAATGCAAACATCACAAAGAAGTTCCTGAGAATGCTTCTCTCTAGGTTTTATATGTAATCCCGTTTCCAACGAAATCCTCAAAGCTATCCAAATATCCACTTTCAGATTCCACAAAAAGAGTGTTTCAAAACTGCTCTGTAAAAAGAAAGGTTCATCTCTGTTAGTTGAATACACACATCACAAACAAGTTTCTGAGAATGCTTCTGTCTAGTTTTTATGGGAAGATATTTCCTTTTTCAACAAAGGCCTCAAAGCGCTCCAAACGTCCACTTCCAGGTAGTGCAGAAAGAGTGTCTCAAACCTGGTATATAACAGGGAACATTCTACTCTGTGACTTGAATGAAAACATCACAAAGCAGTTTCTGAGAATGCTTCCGTCTAGATTTTATATGAAGATATTCCCGTTTCCAACGAAACCTTCAAAGCTATCCGAATATCCACCTGCAGATTCTACAAAAAGAGTGTTTCCAAAATGCCGTATCAAAACAAAGGTTCACCTCTGTTAGTTGAGAACACACATGGCAAATAAGTTTCTGAGAATGCTTCTGTCTAGTTTTTACTTGAAGATATTTCCTTTCTCACCATAGGCCTGAAAGCGCTTGAAACGTCAGCTTGCAGATACTACAGAAAGAGTGTTTCAAACCTGCTCTATGAAAGGGAATGTTCAGTCCTGTGACTTGAAGGCAAACATCACAAAGAAGTTCCTGAGAATGCTTCTCTGTAGATTTTATATGTAATCCCGTTTCCAACGAAATCCTCAAAGCTATCCAAATATCCACTTTCAGATTCCACAAAAAGAGTGTTTCAAAACTGCTCTGTAAAAAGAAAGGTTCATCTCTGTTAGTTGAATACACACATCACAAACAAGTTTCTGAGAATGCTTCTGTCTAGTTTTTATGGGAAGATATTTCCTTTTTCAACATAGGCCTCAAAGCGCTCCAAATGTCCACTTCCAGGTAGTGCAGAAAGAGTGTTTCAAACCTGCTCTATAAAAGGGAATATTCAACTCTGTGACTTGAATGCAAACATCACAAAGCACTTTCTGAGAATGCTTCTGTCTTGATTTCATATGAAGATATTCCCGTTTCCAACGAAACCTTCAAAGCTATCCAAATATCCACTTGCAGATTCTACAAAAAGAGTGTTTCCAAAATGTTGTATCAAAAGAAAGGTTCAACTCTGTTAGTTGAGGACACACATCGCAAATAAGTTTCTGAGAATGCTTCTGTCTAGTTTTTATTTGAAGATATTTCCTTTCTCACCATAGGCCTGAAAGCGTTTGAAATGTCCGTTTGCAGATACTACAGAAAGAGTGTTTCAAACATGCTCTATGAAAGGGAATGTTCAGTTCTGTGACGTGAATGCAAACATCACAAAGAAGTTCCTGAGAATGCTTCTCTCTAGATTTTATATGTAATCCCGTTTCCATCGAAATCCTCAAAGCTATCCAAATATCCACTTTCAGATTCCACAAAAAGAGTGTTTCAAAACTGCTCTGTAAAAAGAAAGGTTCATCTCTGTTAGTTGAATACACACATCACAAACAAGTTTCTGAGAATGCTTCTGTCTAGTTTTTATGGGAAGATATTTCCTTTTTCATCATAGGCCTCAAAGCGCTGCAAATGTCCACTTCCAGGTAGTGCAGAAAGAGTGTCTGAAACCTGGTATATAACAGGGAAGATTCTACTCTGTGACTTGAATGAAAACATCACAAAGCAGTTTCTGAGAATGCTTCCGTCTAGATTTTATATGAAGATATTCCCGTTTCCAACGAAACCTTCAAAGCTATCCGAATATCCACCTGCAGATTCTACAAAAAGAGTGTTTCCAAAATGCCATATCAAAACAAAGGTTCAACTCTGTTAGTTGAGAACACACATCGCAAATAAGTTTCTGAGAATGCTTCTGTCTAGTTTTTATTTGAAGATATTTCCTTTCTCACCATAGGCCTGAAAGCGTTTGAAATGTCCGTTTGCAGATACTACAGAAAGAGTGTTTCAAACATGCTCTATGAAAGGGAATGTTCAGTTCTGTGACGTGAATGCAAACATCACAAAGAAGTTCCTGAGAATGCTTCTCCCTAGATTTTATATGTAATCCCGTTTCCAACGAAATCCTCAAAGCTATCCAAATATCCACTTTCAGATTCCACAAAAAGAGTGTTTCAAAACTGCTCTGTAAAAAGAAAGGTTCATCTCTGTTAGTTGAATACACACATCACAAACAAGTTTCTGAGAATGCTTCTGTCTAGTTTTTATGGGAAGATATTTCCTTTTTCATCATAGGCCTCAAAGCGCTCCAAATGTCCACTTCCAGATAGTGCAGAAAGAGTGTCTCAAACCTGGTATATAAAAGGGAACATTCTACTCTGTGACTTCAATGCAAACATCACAAAGCACTTTCTGAGAATGCTTCCGTCTAGATTTTATATGAAGATATTCCCGTTTCCAACGAAACCTTCAAATCTATCCGAATATCCACCTGCAGATTCTACAAAAAGAGTGTTTCCAAAATGCCGTATCAAAACAAAGGTTCAACTCTGTTAGTTGAGAACACACATGGCAAATAAGTTTCTGAGAATGCTTCTGTCTAGTTTTTACTTGAAGATATTTCCTTTCTCACCATAGGCCTGAAAGCGCTTGAAACGTCAGCTTGCAGATACTACAGAAAGACTGTTTCAAACCTGCTCTATGAAAGGGAATGTTCAGTTCTGTGACTTGAATGCAAACATCACAAAGAAGTTCCTGAGAATGCTTCTCTCTAGGTTTTATATGTAATCCCGTTTCCAACAAAATCCTCAAAGCTATCCAAATATCCACTTTCAGAATCCACAAAAAGAGTGTTTCAAAACTGCTCTGTAAAAAGAAAGGTTCATCTCTGTTAGTTGAATACACACATCACAAACAAGTTTCTGAGAATGCTTCTGTCTAGTTTTTATGGGAAGATATTTCCTTTTTCAACATAGGCCTCAAAGCGCTCCAAACGTCCACTTCCAGGTAGTGCAGAAAGAGTGTCTCAAACCTGGTATATAACAGGGAACATTCTACTCTGTGACTTGAATGAAAACATCACAAAGCAGTTTCTGAGAATGCTTCTGTCTTGATTTTATATGAAGATATTCCCGTTTCCAACGAAACCTTCAAAGCTATCCAAATATCCACTTGCAGATTCTACAAAAAGAGTGTTTCCAAAATGTTGTATCAAAACAAAGGTTCAACTCTGTTAGTTGAGGACACACATCGCAAATAAGTTTCTGAGAATGCTTCTGTCTAGTTTTTATTTGAAGATATTTCCTTTCTCACCACAGGCCTGAAAGCGCTTAAAACGTCCGCTTGCAGATACTACAGAAAGAGTGTTTCAAACCTGCTCTATGAAAGGGAATGTTCAGTTCTGTGACTTGAATGCAAACATCACAAAGAAGTTCCTGAGAATGCTTCTCCCTAGATTTTATATGTAATCCCGTTTCCAACGAAATCCGCAAAGCTATCCAAATATCCACTTTCAGATTCCACAAAAAGAGTGTTTCAAAACTGCTCTGTAAAAAGAAAGGTTCATCTCTGTTAGTTGAATACACACATCACAAACAAGTTTCTGAGAATGCTTCTGTCTAGTTTTTATGGGAAGATATTTCCTTTTTCAACATAGGCCTCAAAGCGCTCCAAATGTCCACTTCCAGGTAGTGCAGAAAGAGTGTTTCAAACCTGCTCTATAAAAGGGAATATTCAACTCTGTGACTTGAATGCAAACATCACAAAGCACTTTCTGAGAATGCTTCCGTCTAGATTTTATATGAAGATATTCCCGTTTCCAACGAAACCTTCAAAGCTATCCGAATATCCACCTGCAGATTCTACAAAAAGAGTGTTTCCAAAATGCCATATCAAAACAAAGGTTCAACTCTGTTAGTTGAGAACACACATCGCAAATAAGTTTCTGAGAATGCTTCTGTCTAGTTTTTACTTGAAGATATTTCCTTTCTCACCATAGGCCTGAAAGCGCTTGAAACGTCCGTTTGCAGATACTACAGAAAGAGTGTTTCAAACCTGCTCTATGAAAGGGAATGTTCAGTCCTGTGACTTGAAGGCAAACATCACAAAGAAGTTCCTGAGAATGCTTCTCTCTAGGTTTTATATGTAATCCCGTTTCCAACGAAATCCTCAAAGCTATCCAAATATCCACTTTCAGATTCCACAAAAAGAGTGTTTCAAAACTGCTCTGTAAAAAGAAAGGTTCATCTCTGTTAGTTGAATACACACATCACAAACAAGTTTCTGAGAATGCTTCTGTCTAGTTTTTATGGGAAGATATTTCCTTTTTCAACATACGCCTCAAAGCGCTCCAAACGTCCACTTCCGGGTAGTGCAGAAAGAGTGTCTCAAACCTGGTATATAACAGGGAACATTCTACTCTGTGACTTGAATGAAAACATCACAAAGCAGTTTGCTGAGAATGCTTCTGTCTTGATTTTATATGAAGATATTCCCGTTTCCAACGAATCCTTCAAAGCTATCCAAATATCCACTTGCAGATTCTACAAAAAGAGTGTTTGCAAAATGCTGTATCCAAACAAAGGTTCAACTCTTTTAGTTGAGAACACACATCGCAAATAAGTTTCTGAGAATGCTTCTGTCTAGTTTTTATTTGAAGATATTTCCTTTTTCACCACAGGCCTGAAAGCGCTTGAAACGTCCGCTTGCAGATACTACAGAAAGAGTGTTTCAAACCTGCTCTACGAAAGGGAATGTTCAGTTCTGTGACTTGAATGCAAACATCACAAAGAAGTTCCTGAGAATGCTTCTCCCTAGATTTTATATGTAATCCCGTTTCCAACGAAATCCGCAAAGCTATCCAAATATCCACTTTCAGATTCCACAAAAAGAGTGTTTCAAAACTGCTCGGTAAAAAGAAAGGTTCATCTCTGTTAGTTGAATACACACATCACAACAAGTTTCTGAGAATGCTTCTGTCTAGTTTTTATGGGAAGATATTTCCTTTTTCAACATAGGCCTCAAAGCGCTCCAAATGTCCACTTCCAGGTAGTGCAGAAAGAGTGTTTCAAACCTGCTCTATAAAAGGGAATATTCAACTCTGTGACTTGAATGCAAACATCACAAAGCACTTTCTGAGAATGCTTCCGTCTAGATTTTATATGAATATATTCCCGTTTCCAAGGAAATCTTCCTAGCTATCTAAATATCAACTTGCAGATTCTACTAAAGGAATGTTTCCAAAATGCTGTATCCACACAAAGGTTCAACTCTGTTAATTGAGGACATACAGCACAAAGAAGTTTCTGAGAATGCTTCTGTCTAGTTTTTACTTGAAGATATTTCCTTTCTCACCATAGGCCTGAAAGCGCATGAAACGTCAGCTTGCAGATACTACCGAAAGAGTGTTTCAAACCTGCTCTATGAAACGGAATGTTCAGTCCTGTGACTTGAAGGAAAACATCACAAAGAAGTTCCTGAGAATGCTTTCTCTCTAGATTTTATATGTAATCCCGTTTCCAACGAAATCCTCAAAGCTATCCAAATATCCACTTTCAGATTCCACAAAAAGAGTGTTTCAAAACTGCTCTGTAAAAAGAAAGGTTCATCTCTGTTAGTTGAATACACACATCACAAACAAGTTTCTGAGAATGCTTCTGTCTAGTTTTTATGGGAAGATATTTCCTTTTTCAACATAGGCCTCAAAGCCCTCCAAATGTCCACTTCCAGGTAGTGCAGAAAGAGTGCTTCAAACCTGCTCTATAAAAGGGAATATTCAACTCTGTGACTTGAATGCAAACATCACAAAGCACTTTCTGAGAATGCTTCCGTCTAGATTTTATATGAAGATATTCCCGTTTCCAAGGAAATCTTCCTAGCTATCTAAATATCAACTTGCAGATTCTACTAAAGGAATGTTTCCAAAATGCTGTATCCACACAAAGGTTCAACTCTGTTAATTGAGGACATACAGCACAAAGAAGTTTCTGAGAATGCTTCTGTCTAGTTTTTACTTGAAGATATTTCCTTTCTCACCATAGGCCTGAAAGCGTTTGAAATGTCCGTTTGCAGATACTACAGAAAGAGTGTTTCAAACATGCTCTATGAAAGGGAATGTTCAGTTCTGTGACGTGAATGCAAACATCACAAAGAAGTTCCTGAGAATGCTTCTCTCTAGGTTTTATATGTAATCCCGTTTCCAACGAAATCCTCAAAGCTATCCAAATATCCACTTTCAGATTCCACAAAAAGAGTGTTTCAAAACTGCTCTGTAAAAAGAAAGGTTCATCTCTGTTAGTTGAATACACACATCACAAACAAGTTTCTGAGAATGCTTCTGTCTAGTTTTTATGGGAAGATATTTCCTTTTTCAACATACGCCTCAAAGCGCTCCAAACGTCCACTTCCAGGTAGTGCAGAAAGAGTGTCTCAAACCTGGTATATAACAGGGAACATCTACTCTGTGACTTGAATGAAAACATCACAAAGCAGTTTCTGAGAATGCTTCTGTCTTGATTTTATATGAAGATATTCCCGTTTCCAACGAAACCTTCAAAGCTATCCAAATATCCACTTGCAGATTCTACAAAAAGAGTGTTTCCAAAATGTTGTATCAAAACAAAGGTTCAACTCTGTTAGTTGAGGACACACATCGCAAATAAGTTTCTGAGAATGCTTCTGTCTAGTTTTTATTTGAAGATATTTCCTTTCTCACCACAGGCCTGAAAGCGCTTAAAACGTCCGCTTGCAGATACTACAGAAAGAGTGTTTCAAACCTGCTCTATGAAAGGGAATGTTCAGTTCTGTGACTTGAATGCAAACATCACAAAGAAGTTCCTGAGAATGCTTCTCTCTAGGTTTTATATGTAATCCCGTTTCCAACGAAATCCTCAAAGCTATCCAAATATCCACTTTCAGATTCCACAAAAAGAGTGTTTCAAAACTGCTCTGTAAAAAGAAAGGTTCATCTCTGTTAGTTGAATACACACATCACAAACAAGTTTCTGAGAATGCTTCTGTCTAGTTTTTATGGGAAGATATTTCCTTTTTCATCATAGGCCTCAAAGCGCTCCAAATGTCCACTTCCAGGTAGTGCAGAAAGAGTGTCTCAAACCTGGTATATAACAGGGAACATTCTACTCTGTGACTTGAATGAAAACATCACAAAGCAGTTTCTGAGAATGCTTCCGTCTAGATTTTATATGAAGATATTCCCGTTTCCAACGAAACCTTCAAAGCTATCCGAATATCCACCTGCAGATTCTACAAAAAGAGTGTTTCCAAAATGCCGTATCAAAACAAAGGTTCAACTCTGTTAGTTGAGAACACACATGGCAAATAAGTTTCTGAGAATGCTTCTGTCTAGTTTTTACTTGAAGATATTTCCTTTGTCACCATAGGCCTGAAAGCGCTTGAAACGTCAGCTTGCAGATACTACAGAAAGAGTGTTTCAAACCTGCTCTATGAAAGGGAATGTTCAGTCCTGTGACTTGAAGGCAAACATCACAAAGAAGTTCCTGAGAATGCTTCTCTCTAGGTTTTATATGTAATCCCGTTTCCAACGAAATCCTCAAAGCTATCCAAATATCCACTTTCAGATTCCACAAAAAGAGTGTTTCAAAACTGCTCTGTAAAAAGAAAGGTTCATCTCTGTTAGTTGAATACACACATCACAAACAAGTTTCTGAGAATGCTTCTGTCTAGTTTTTATGGGAAGATATTTCGTTTTTCAACATAGGCCTCAAAGCGCTCCAAATGTCCACTTCCCGGTAGTGCAGAAAGAGTGTTTCAAACCTGCTCTATAAAAGGGAATATTCAACTCTGTGACTTGAATGCAAACATCACAAAGCACTTTCTGAGAATGCTTCCGTCTAGATTTTATATGAAGATATTCCCGTTTCCAAGGAAATCTTCCTAGCTATCTAAATATCAACTTGCAGATTCTACTAAAGGAATGTTTCCAAAATGCTGTATCCACACAAAGGTTCAACTCTGTTAATTGAGGACATACAGCACAAAGAAGTTTCTGAGAATGCTTCTGTCTAGTTTTTATTTGAAGATATTTCCTTTCTCACCATAGGCCTGAAAGCGTTTGAAATGTCCGTTTGCAGATACTACAGAAAGAGTGTTTCAAACATGCTCTATGAAAGGGAATGTTCAGTTCTGTGACTTGAATGCAAACATCACAAAGAAGTTCCTGAGAATGCTTCTCTCTAGATTTTATATGTAATCCCGTTTCCAACGAAATCCTCAAAGCTATCCAAATATCCACTTTCAGATTCCACAAAAAGAGTGTTTCAAAACTGCTCTGTAAAAAGAAAGGGTCATCTCTGTTAGTTGAATACACACATCACAAACAAGTTTCTGAGAATGCTTCTGTCTAGTTTTTATGGGAAGATATTTCCTTTTTCAACATAGGCCTCAAAGCGCTCCAAATGTCCACTTCCAGGTAGTGCAGAAAGAGTGTCTCAAATCTGGTATATAACAGGGAACATTCTACTCTGTGACTTGAATGAAAACATCACAAAGCAGTTTCTGAGAATGCTTCTGTCTTGATTTTATATGAAGATATTCCCGTTTCCAACGAAACCTTCAAAGCTATTCAAATATCCACTTGCAGATTCTACAAAAAGAGTGTTTCCAAAATGTTGTATCAAAAGAAAGGTTCAACTCTGTTAGTTGAGGACACACATCGCAAATAAGTTTCTGAGAATGCTTCTGTCTAGTTTTTATTTGAAGATATTTCCTTTCTCACCACAGGCCTGAAAGCGCTTAAAACGTCCGCTTGCAGATACTACAGAAAGAGTGTTTCAAACATGCTCTATGAAAGGGAATGTTCAGTTCTGTGACTTGAATGCAAACATCACAAAGAAGTTCCTGAGAATGCTTCTCTCTAGGTTTTATATGTAATCCCGTTTCCAACGAAATCCTCAAAGCTATCCAAATATCCACTTTCAGATTCCACAAAAAGAGTGTTTCAAAACTGCTCTGTAAAAAGAAAGGTTCATCTCTGTTAGTTGAATACACACATCACAAACAAGTTTCTGAGAATGCTTCTGTCCAGTTTTTATGGGAACATATTTCCTTTTTCAACATAGGCCTCAAAGCGCTCCAAATGTCCACTTCCAGGTAGTGCAGAAAGAGTGTTTCAAACCTGCTCTATAAAAGGGAATATTCAACTCTGTGACTTGAATGCAAACATCACAAAGCACTTTCTGAGAATGCTTCCGTCTAGATTTTATATGAAGATATTCCCGTTTCCAACGAAACCTTCAAAGCTATCCGAATATCCACCTGCAGATTCTACAAAAAGAGTGTTTCCAAAATGCCGTATCAAAACAAAGGTTCAACTCTGTTAGTTGAGAACACACATGGCAAATAAGTTTCTGAGAATGCTTCTGTCTAGTTTTTACTTGAAGATATTTCCTTTCTCACCATAGGCCTGAAAGCGCATGAAACGTCAGCTTGCAGATACTACAGAAAGAGTGTTTCAAACCTGCTCTATGAAAGGGAATGTTCAGTCCTGTGACTTGAAGGCAAACATCACAAAGAAGTTCCTGAGAATGCTTCTCTCTAGGTTTTTTATGTAATCCCGTTTCCAACGAAATCCTCAAAGCTATCCAAATATCCACTTTCAGATTCCACAAAAAGAGTGTTTCAAAACTGCTCTGTAAAAAGAAAGGTTCATCTCTGTTAGTTGAATACACACATCACAAACAAGTTTCTGAGAATGCATTCTGTCTAGTTTTTATGGGAAGATATTTCCTTTTTCAACATAGGCCTCAAAGCGCTCCAAATGTCCACTTCCAGGTAGTGCAGAAAGAGTGTTTCAAACCTGCTCTATAAAAGGGAATATTCAACTCTGTGACTTGAATGCAAACATCACAAAGCACTTTCTGAGAATGCTTCTGTCTTGATTTCATATGAAGATATTCCCGTTTCCAACGAAACCTTCAAAGCTATCCAAATATCCACTTGCAGATTCTACAAAAAGAGTGTTTCCAAAATGTTGTATCAAAAGAAAGGTTCAACTCTGTTAGTTGAGGACACACATCGCAAATAAGTTTCTGAGAATGCTTCTGTCTAGTTTTTATTTGAAGATATTTCCTTTCTCACCATAGGCCTGAAAGCGTTTGAAATGTCCGTTTGCAGATACTACAGAAAGAGTGTTTCAAACATGCTCTATGAAAGGGAATGTTCAGTTCTGTGACTTGAATGCAAACATCACAAAGAAGTTCCTGAGAATGCTTCTCTCTAGATTTTATATGTAATCCCGTTTCCAACGAAATCCTCAAAGCTATCCAAATATCCACTTTCAGATTCCACAAAAAGAGTGTTTCAAAACTGCTCTGTAAAAAGAAAGGTTCATCTCTGTTAGTTGAATACACACATCACAAACAAGTTTCTGAGAATGCTTCTGTCTAGTTTTTATGGGAAGATATTTCCTTTTTCAACATAGGCCTCAAAGCGCTCCAAATGTCCACTTCCAGGTAGTGCAGAAAGAGTGTTTCAAACCTGCTCTATAAAAGGGAATATTCAACTCTGTGACTTGAATGCAAACATCACAAAGCACTTTCTGAGAATGCTTCCGTCTAGATTTTATATGAAGATATTCCCGTTTCCAACGAAACCTTCAAAGCTATCCGAATATCCACCTGCAGATTCTACAAAAAGAGTGTTTCCAAAATGCCATATCAAAACAAAGGTTCAACTCTGTTAGTTGAGAACACACATCGCAAATAAGTTTCTGAGAATGCTTCTGTCTAGTTTTTATTTGAAGATATTTCCTTTCTCACCATAGGCCTGAAAGCGTTTGAAATGTCCGTTTGCAGATACTACAGAAAGAGTGTTTCAAACATGCTCTATGAAAGGGAATGTTCAGTTCTGTGACGTGAATGCAAACATCACAAAGAAGTTCCTGAGAATGCTTCTCCCTAGATTTTATATGTAATCCCGTTTCCAACGAAATCCTCAAAGCTATCCAAATATCCACTTTCAGATTCCACAAAAAGAGTGTTTCAAAACTGCTCTGTAAAAAGAAAGGTTCATCTCTGTTAGTTGAATACACACATCACAAACAAGTTTCTGAGAATGATTCTGTCTAGTTTTTATGGGAAGATATTACCTTTTTCATCATAGGCCTCAAAGCGCTGCAAATGTCCACTTCCAAATATTACAAAAAGAGTGTTTCAAACCTGCTGTATGAAGGGAAGTGTTCAACTCTATGAGTTGAATGCAAACATCACAGAGAAGTTTCTGAGAATGCTTCCGTCTAGATTTTATATGAAGATATTCCCGTTTCCAACGAAACCTTCAAAGCTATCCGAATATCCACCTGCAGATTCTACAAAAAGAGTGTTTCCAAAATGCCATATCAAAACAAAGGTTCAACTCTGTTAGTTGAGAACACACATCGCAAATAAGTTTCTGAGAATGCTTCTGTCTAGTTTTTATTTGAAGATATTTCCTTTTTCACCACAGTCCTGAAAGCGCTTGAAACGTCCGCTTCCAGATACTACAGAAAGAGTGTTTCAAACCTGCTCTATGAAAGAGAATGTTCAGTTCTGTGACTTGAATGCAAACATCACAAAGAAGTTCCTGAGAATGCTTCTCCCTAGATTTTATATGTAATCCCGTTTCCAACGAAATCCTCAAAGCTATCCAAATATCCACTTTCAGATTCCACAAAAAGAGTGTTTCAAAACTGCTCTGTAAAAAGAAAGGTTCATCTCTGTTAGTTGAATATACACTTCACAAATAAGTTTCTGAGAATGCTTCTGTCTAGTTTTTATGGGAAGATATTTCCTTCTTCAACATAGGCCTCAAAGCACTCCAAATGTCCACTTCCAGGTAGTGCAGAAAGAGTGTTTCAAACCTGCTCTATAAAAGGGAATATTCAACTCTGTGACTTGAATGCAAACATCACAAAGCACTTTCTGAGAATGCTTCTGTCTTGATTTCATATGAAGATATTCCCGTTTCCAACGAAACCTTCAAAGCTATCCAAATATCCACTTGCAGATTCTACAAAAAGAGTGTTTCCAAAATGTTGTATCAAAAGAAAGGTTCAACTCTGTTAGTTGAGGACACACATCGCAAATAAGTTTCTCAGAATGCTTCTGTCTAGTTTTTATTTGAAGATATTTCCTTTCTCACCATAGGCCTGAAAGCGTTTGAAATGTCCGCTTGCAGATACTACAGAAAGAGTGTTTCAAACATGCTCTATGAAAGGGAATGTTCAGTTCTGTGACGTGAATGCAAACATCACAAAGAAGTTCCTGAGAATGCTTCTCTCTAGGTTTTATATGTAATCCCGTTTCCAACGAAATCCTCAAAGCTATCCAAATATCCACTTTCAGATTCCACAAAAAGAGTGTTTCAAAACTGCTCTGTAAAAAGAAAGGTTCATCTCTGTTAGTTGAATACACACATCACAAACAAGTTTCTGAGAATGCTTCAGTCTAGTTTTTATGGGAAGATATTTCCTTTTTCAACATAGGCCTCAAAGCGCTCCAAATGTCCACTTCCAGGTAGTGCACAGAGTGTTTCAAACCGGCTCTATGAAAGGAAGTGTTCAACTCTATGAGTTGAATGCAAACATCACAGAGAAGTTTCTGAGAATGCTTCCGTCTTGATTTTATATGAAGATATTCCCGTTTCCAACGAAACCTTCAAAGCTATCCAAATATCCATCTGCAGATCCTACAAAAAGAGTGTTTCCAAAATGCTGTATCAAAACAATTGTTCAACTCTGTTAGTTGAGAACACACATCGCAAATAAGTTTCTGAGAATGCTTCTGTCTAGTTTTTATTTGAAGATATTTCCTTTCTCACCACAGGCCTGAAAGCGCTTAAAACGTCCGCTTGCAGATACTACAGAAAGAGTGTTTCAAACCTGCTCTATGAAAGGGAATGTTCAGTTCTGTGACTTGAATGCAAACATCACAAAGAAGTTCCTGAGAATGCTTCTCTCTAGGTTTTATATGTAATCCCGTTTCCAACGAAATCCTCAAAGCTATCCAAATATCCACTTTCAGATTCCACAAAAAGAGTGTTTCAAAACTGCTCTGTAAAAAGAAAGGTTCATCTCTGTTAGTTGAATACACACATCACAAACAAGTTTCTGAGAATGCTTCTGTCTAGTTTTTATGGGAAGATATTTCCTTTTTCAACATAGGCCTCAAAGCGTTCCAAATGTCCACTTCCAGGTAGTGCACAGAGTGTTTCAAACCTGCTCTATAAAAGGGAACATTCTACTCTGTGACTTGAATGAAGACTTCACAAAGCAGTTTCTCAGAATGCTTCCGCCTAGATTTTATATGAAGATATTCCCGTTTCCAAGGAAATCTTCCTAGCTATCTAAATATCAACTTGCAGATTCTACTAAAGGAATGTTTCCAAAATGCTGTATCCACACAAAGGTTCAACTCTGTTAATTGAGGACATACAGCACAAAGAAGTTTCTGAGAATGCTTCTGTCTAGATTTTATATGAAGATATCCCGTTTCCAAAGAAATCCTCAAAGGTATCCAAATATCTACGTCCAGATTCTACAAAAAGACTCTTTCAAAACGGGTCTGTCAAAAGTAAGGTTCATCTCTGTTAGTTGAATACACACATCACAAACAAGTTTCTGAGAATGCTTCTCTCTAGGTTTTATATGTAATCCCGTTTCCAACGAAATCCTCAAAGCTATCCAAATATCCACTTTCAGATTCCACAAAAAGAGTGTTTCAAAACTGCTCTGTAAAAAGAAAGGTTCATCTCTGTTAGTTGAATACACACATCACAAACAAGTTTCTGAGAATGCTTCTGTCTAGTTTTTATGGGAAGATATTTCCTTTTTCAACATTGGCCTCAAAGCGCTCCAAACGTCCACTTCCGGGTAGTGCAGAAAGAGTGTCTCAAACCTGGTATATAACAGGGAACATTCAACTCTGTGACTTGAATGAAAACATCACAAAGCAGTTTCTGAGAATGCTTCTGTGTTGATTTTATATGAAGATATTCCCGTTTCCAACGAAACCTTCAAAGCTATCCAAATATCCACCTGCAGATCCTACAAAAAGAGTGTTTCCAAAATGCTGTATCAAAACAAATGTTCAACTCTGTTAGTTGAGAACACACATCGCAAATAAGTTTCTGAGAATGCTTCTGTCTAATTTTTATTTGAAGATATTTCCTTTTTCACCACAGGCCTGAAAGCGCTTGAAACGTCCCCTTGCAGATACTACAGAAAGAGTGTTTCAAACCTATTCTATGAAAGGGAATGCTCAGTTCTGTGACTTCAATGCAAACATCACAAAGAAGTTCCTGAGAATGCTTCTCTCTAGGTTTTATATGTAATCCCGTTTCCAACGAAATCCTCAAAGCTATCCAAATATCCACTTTCAGATTCCACAAAAAGAGTGTTTCAAAACTGCTCTGTAAAAAGAAAGGTTCATCTCTGTTAGTTGAATACACACATCACAAACAAGTTTCTGAGAATGCTTCTGTCTAGTTTTTATGGGAAGATATTTCCTTTTTCATCATAGGCCTCAAAGCGCTCCAAATGTCCACTTCCAGGTAGTGCAGAAAGAGTGTCTCAAACCTGGTATATAACAGGGAACATTCTACTCTGTGACTTGAATGAAAACATCACAAAGCAGTTTCTGAGAATGCTTCCGTCTAGATTTTATATGAAGATATTCCCGTTTCCAACGAAACCTTCAAAGCTATCCGAATATCCACCTGCAGATTCTACAAAAAGAGTGTTTCCAAAATGCCGTATCAAAACAAAGGTTCAACTCTGTTAGTTGAGAACACACATGGCAAATAAGTTTCTGAGAATGCTTTCTGTCTAGTTTTTATTTGAAGATATTTCCTTTCTCACCACAGGCCTGAAAGCGTTTGAAATGTCCGTTTGCAGATACTACAGAAAGAGTGTTTCAAACATGCTCTATGAAAGGGAATGTTCAGTTCTGTGACTTGAATGCAAACATCACAAAGAAGTTCCTGAGAATGCTTCTCCCTAGATTTTATATGTAATCCCGTTTCCAACGAAATCCTCAAAGCTATCCAAATATCCACTTTCAGATTCCACAAAAAGAGTGTTTCAAAACTGCTCTGTAAAAAGAAAGGTTCATCTCTGTTAGTTGAATACACACATCACAAACAAGTTTCTGAGAATGCTTCTGTCTAGTTTTTATGGGAAGATATTTCCTTTTTCAACATAGGCCTCAAAGCACTCCAAATGTCCACTTCCAGGTAGTGCAGAAAGAGTGTTTCACACCTGCTCTATAAAAGGGAATATTCAACTCTGTGACTTGAATGCAAACATCACAAAGCACTTTCTGAGAATGCTTCCGTCTAGATTTTATATGAAGATATTCCCGTTTCCAAGGAAATCTTCCTAGCTATCTAAATATCAACTTGCAGATTCTACTAAAGGAATGTTTCCAAAATGCTGTATCCACACAAAGGTTCAACTCTGTTAATTGAGGACATACAGCACAAAGAAGTTTCTGAGAATGCTTCTGTCTAGTTTTTACTTGAAGATATTTCCTTTCTCACCATAGGCCTGAAAGCGCTTGAAACGTCCACTTGCAGACACTACAGAAAGAGTTTTTCAAACCTGCTCTATGAAAGGGAATGTTCAGTTCTGTGACTTGAATGCAAACATCACAAAGAAGTTCCTGAGAATGCTTCTCTCTAGGTTTTATATGTAATCCCGTTTCCAACGAAATCCTCAAAGCTATCCAAATATCCACTTTCAGATTCCACAAAAAGAGTGTTTCAAAACTGCTCTGTAAAAAGAAAGGTTCATCTCTGTTAGTTGAATACACACATCACAAACAAGTTTCTGAGAATGCTTCTGTCTAGTTTTTATGGGAAGATATTTCCTTTTTCTACATAGGCCTCAAAGCGCTCCAAATGTCCACTTCCAGGTAGTGCAGAAAGAGTGTTTCAAACCTGCTCTATAAAAGGGAATATTCAACTCTGTGACTTGAATGGAAACATCACAAAGCACTTTCTGAGAATGCTTCCGTCTAGCATTTTATATGAAGATATTCCCGTTTCCAACGAAACCTTCAAAGCTATCCGAATATCCACCTGCAGATTCTACAAAAAGAGGGTTTCCAAAATGCCGTATCAAAACAAAGGTTCAACTCTGTTAGTTGAGAACACACATGGCAAATAAGTTTCTGAGAATGCTTCTGTCTAGTTTTTATTTGAAGATATTTCCTTTCTCACCACAGGCCTGAAAGCGCTTAAAACGTCCGCTTGCAGATACTACAGAAAGAGTGTTTCAAACCTGCTCTATGAAAGGGAATGTTCAGTTCTGTGACTTGAATGCAAACATCACAAAGAAGTTCCTGAGAATGCTTCTCTCTAGGTTTTATATGTAATCCCGTTTCCAACGAAATCCTCAAAGCTATCCAAATATCCACTTTCAGATTCCACAAAAAGAGTGTTTCAAAACTGCTCTGTAAAAAGAAAGGTTCATCTCTGTTAGTTGAATACACACATCACAAACAAGTTTCTGAGAATGCTTCTGTCTAGTTTTTATGGGAAGATATTACCTTTTTCATCATAGGCCTCAAAGCGCTGCAAATGTCCACTTCCAAATATTACAAAAAGAGTGTTTCAAACCTGCTGTATGAAGGGAAGTGTTCAACTCTATGAGTTGAATGCAAACATCACAGAGAAGTTTCTGAGAATGCTTCCGTCTAGATTTTATATGAAGATATTCCCGTTTCCAACGAAACCTTCAAAGCTATCCGAATATCCACCTGCAGATTCTACAAAAAGAGTGTTTCCAAAATGCCATATCAAAACAAAGGTTCAACTCTGTTAGTTGAGAACACACATCGCAAATAAGTTTCTGAGAATGCTTCTGTCTAGTTTTTATTTGAAGATATTTCCTTTCTCACCACAGGCCTGAAAGTGCTTAAAACGTCCGCTTGCAGATACTACAGAAAGAGTGTTTCAAACCTGCTCTATGAAAGGGAATGTTCAGTTCTGTGACTTGAATGCAAACATCACAAAGAAGTTCCTGAGAATGCTTCTCTCTAGATTTTATATGTAATCCCGTTTCCAACGAAATCCTCAAAGCTATCCAAATATCCACTTTCAGATTCCACAAAAAGAGTGTTTCAAAACTGCTCTGTAAAAAGAAAGGTTCATCTCTGTTAGTTGAATACACACATCACAAACAAGTTTCTGAGAATGCTTCTGTCTAGTTTTTATGGGAAGATATTTCCTTTTTCATCATAGGCCTCAAAGCGCTCCAAATGTCCACTTCCAGATAGTGCAGAAAGAGTGTCTCAAACCTGGTATATAAAAGGGAACATTCTACTCTGTGACTGGAATGAAAACATCACAAAGCAGTTTCTGAGAATGCTTCCGTCTAGATTTTATATGAAGATATTCCCGTTTCCAACGAAACCTTCAAAGCTATCCGAATATCCACCTGCAGATTCTACAAAAAGAGTGTTTCCAAAATGCCATATCAAAACAAAGGTTCAACTCTGTTAGTTGAGAACACACATCGCAAATAATTTTCTGAGAATGCTTCTGTCTAGTTTTTACTTGAAGATATTTCCTTTCTCACCATAGGCCTGAAAGCGCTTGAAACGTCAGCTTGCAGATACTACAGAAAGAGTGTTTCAAACCTGCTCTATGAAAGGGAATGTTCAGTCCTGTGACTTGAAGGCAAACATCACAAAGAAGTTCCTGAGAATGCTTCTCTCTAGGTTTTATATGTAATCCCGTTTCCAACGAAATCCTCAAAGCTATCCAAATATCCACTTTCAGATTCCACAAAAAGAGTGTTTCAAAACTGCTCTGTAAAAAGAAAGGTTCATCTCTGTTAGTTGAATACACACATCACAAACAAGTTTCTGAGAATGCTTCTGTCTAGTTTTTATGGGAAGATATTTCCTTTTTCAACATAGGCCTCAAAGCGCTCCAAACGTCCACTTCCGGGTAGTGCAGAAAGAGTGTCTCAAACCTGGTATATAACAGGGAACATTCTACTCTGTGACTTGAATGAAAACATCACAAAGCAGTTTCTGAGAATGCTTCCGTCTAGATTTTATATGAAGATATTCCCGTTTCCAAGGAAATCTTCCTAGCTATCTAAATATCAACTTGCAGATTCTACTAAAGGAATGTTTCCAAAATGCTGTATCCACACAAAGGTTCAACTCTGTTAATTGAGGACATACAGCACAAAGAAGTTTCTGAGAATGCTTCTGTCTAGTTTTTATTTGAAGATATTTCCTTTCTCACCACAGGCCTGAAAGCGCTTAAAACGTCCGCTTGCAGATACTACAGAAAGAGTGTTTCAAACCTGCTCTATGAAAGGGAATGTTCAGTTCTGTGACTTGAATGCAAACATCACAAAGAAGTTCCTGAGAATGCTTCTCTCTAGATTTTATATGTAATCCCGTTTCCAACGAAATCCTCAAAGCTATCCAAATATCCACTTTCAGATTCCACAAAAAGAGTGTTTCAAAACTGCTCTGTAAAAAGAAAGGTTCATCTCTGTTAGTTGAATACACACATCACAAACAAGTTTCTGAGAATGCTTCTGTCCAGTTTTTATGGGAAGATATTTCCTTTTTCAACATAGGACTCAAAGCGCTCCAAATGTCCACCTCCAGGTAGTGCAGAAAGAGTGTTTCAAACCTGCTCTATGAAAGGGAATGTTCAGTTCTGTGACTTGAATGCAAACATCACAAAGAAGTTCCTGAGAATGCTCTCTCTAGGTTTTATATGTAATCCCGTTTCCAACGAAATCCTCAAAGCCATCCAAATATCCACTTTCAGATTCCACAAAAAGAGTGTTTCAAAACTGCTCTGTAAAAAGAAAGGTTCATCTCTGTTAGTTGAATACACACATCACAAACAAGTTTCTGAGAATGCTTTCTGTCTAGTTTTTATTTGAAGATATTTCCTTTCTCACCACAGGCCTGAAAGCGCTTAAAACATCCGCTTGCAGATACTACAGAAAGAGTGTTTCAAACCTGCTCTATGAAAGGGAATGTTCAGTTCTGTGACTTGAATGCAAACATCACAAAGAAGTTCCTGAGAATGCTTCTCTCTAGATTTTATATGTAATCCCGTTTCCAAAGAAATCCGCAAAGCTATCCAAATATCCACTTTCAGATTCCACAAAAAGAGTGTTTCAAAACTGCTCTGTAAAAAGAAAGGTTCATCTCTGTTAGTTGAATACACACATCACAAACAAGTTTGCTGAGAATGCTTCTGTCTAGTTTTTATGGGAAGATATTTCCTTTTTCAACATAGGCCTCAAAGCGCTCCAAACGTCCACTTCCAGGTAGTGCAGAAAGAGTGTCTCAAACCTGGTATATAACAGGGAACATTCTACTCTGTGACTTGAATGAAAACATCACAAAGCAGTTTCTGAGAATGCTTCTGTCTTGATTTTATATGAAGATATTCCCGTTTCCAACGAAACCTTCAAAGCTATTCAAATATCCACTTGCAGATTCTACAAAAAGAGTGGTTCCAAAATGTTGTATCAAAAGAAAGGTTCAACTCTGATAGTTGAGGACACACATCGCAAATAAGTTTCTGAGAATGCTTCTGTCTAGTTTTTACTTGAAGATATTTCCTTTCTCACCATAGGCCTGAAAGCGTTTGAAATGTCCGTTTGCAGATACTACAGAGTGTTTCAAACATGCTCTATGAAAGGGAATGTTCAGTTCTGTGACGTGAATGCAAACATCACAAAGAAGTTCCTGAGAATGCTTCTCTCTAGGTTTTATATGTAATCCCGTTTCCAACGAAATCCTCAAAGCTATCCAAATATCCACTTTCAGATTCCACAAAAAGAGTGTTTCAAAACTGCTCTGTAAAAAGAAAGGTTCATCTCTGTTAGTTGAATACACACATCACAAACAAGTTTCTGAGAATGCTTCTGTCTAGTTTTTATGGGAAGATATTTCCTTTTTCAACATAGGCCTCAAAGCGCTGCAAATGTCCACTTCCAGGTAGTGCAGAAAGAGTGTCTGAAACCTGGTATATAACAGGGAAGATTCTACTCTGTGACTTGAATGAAAACATCACAAAGCAGTTTCTGAGAATGCTTCCGTCTAGATTTTATATGAAGGATATTCCCGTTTCCAACGAAACCTTCAAAGCTATCCGAATATCCACCTGCAGATTCTACAAAAAGAGTGTTTCCAAAATGCCGTATCAAAACAAAGGTTCAACTCTGTTAGTTGAGAACACACATGGCAAAGAAGTTTCTGAGAATGCTTCTGTCTAGTTTTTACTTGAAGATATTTCCTTTGTCACCATAGGCCTGAAAGCGCTTGAAACGTCAGCTTGCAGATACTACAGAAAGAGTGTTTCAAACCTGCTCTATGAAAGGGAATGTTCAGTCCTGTGACTTGAAGGCAAACATCACAAAGAAGTTCCTGAGAATGCTTCTCCCTAGATTTTATATGTAATCCCGTTTCCAACGAAATCCGCAAAGCTATCCAAATATCCACTTTCAGATTCCACAAAAAGAGTGTTTCAAAACTGCTCTGTAAAAAGAAAGGTTCATCTCTGTTAGTTGAATACACACATCACAAACAAGTTTCTGAGAATGCTTCTGTCTAGTTTTTATGGGAAGATATTTCCTTTTTCAACATAGGCCTCAAAGCGCTCCAAACGTCCACTTCCAGGTAGTGCAGAAAGAGTGTCTCAAACCTGGTATATAACAGGGAACATTCTACTCTGTGACTTGAATGAAAACATCACAAAGCAGTTTCTGAGAATGCTTCCGTCTAGATTTTATATGAAGATATTCCCGTTTCCAAGGAAATCTTCCTAGCTATCTAAATATCAACTTGCAGATTCTACTAAAGGAATGTTTCCAAAATGCTGTATCCACACAAAGGTTCAACTCTGTTAATTGAGGACATACAGCACAAAGAAGTTTCTGAGAATGCTTCTGTCTAGTTTTTATTTGAAGATATTTCCTTTCTTACCATAGGCCTGAAAGCGCTTGAAATGTCCGTTTGCAGATACTACAGAAAGAGTGTTTCAAACATGCTCTATGAAAGGGAATGTTCAGTTCTGTGACTTGAATGCAAACATCACAAAGAAGTTCCTGAGAATGCTTCTCTCTAGATTTTATATGTAATCCCGTTTCCAACGAAATCCTCAAAGCTATCCAAATATCCACTTTCAGATTCCACAAAAAGAGTGTTTCAAAACTGCTCTGTAAAAAGAAAGGTTCATCTCTGTTAGTTGAATACACACATCACAAACAAGTTTCTGAGAATGCTTCTGTCTAGTTTTTATGGGAAGATATTACCTTTTTCATCATAGGCCTCAAAGCGCTGCAAATGTCCACTTCCAAATATTACAAAAAGAGTGTTTCAAACCTGCTGTATGAAGGGAAGTGTTCAACTCTATGAGTTGAATGCAAACATCACAGAGAAGTTTCTGAGAATGCTTCTGTCTTGATTTCATATGAAGATATTCCCGTTTCCAACGAAACCTTCAAAGCTATCCAAATATCCACTTGCAGATTCTACAAAAAGAGTGTTTCCAAAATGTTGTATCAAAAGAAAGGTTCAACTCTGTTAGTTGAGGACACACATCGCAAATAAGTTTCTGAGAATGCTTCTGTCTAGTTTTTATTTGAAGATATTTCCTTTCTCACCACAGGCCTGAAAGCGCTTAAAACGTCCGCTTGCAGATACTACAGAAAGAGTGTTTCAAACCTGCTCTATGAAAGGGAATGTTCAGTTCTGTGACTTGAATGCAAACATCACAAAGAAGTTCCTGAGAATGCTTCTCTCTAGGTTTTATATGTAATCCCGTTTCCAACGAAATCCTCAAAGCTATCCAAATATCCACTTTCAGATTCCACAAAAAGAGTGTTTCAAAACTGCTCTGTAAAAAGAAAGGTTCATCTCTGTTAGTTGAATACACACATCACAAACAAGTTTCTGAGAATGCTTCTGTCTAGTTTTTAGGGGAAGATATTTCCTTTTTCAACATAGGCCTCAAAGCGCTCCAAATGTCCACTTCCAGGTAGTGCAGAAAGAGTGTTTCAAACCTGCTCTATAAAAGGGAATATTCAACTCTGTGACTTGAATGCAAACATCACAAAGCACTTTCTGAGAATGCTTCCGTCTAGATTTTATATGAAGATATTCCCGTTTCCAACGAAACCTTCAAAGCTATCCGAATATCCACCTGCAGATTCTACAAAAAGAGTGTTTCCAAAATGCCGTATCAAAACAAAGGTTCAACTCTGTTAGTTGAGAACACACATGGCAAATAAGTTTCTGAGAATGCTTCTGTCTAGTTTTTATTTGAAGATATTTCCTTTCTCACCATAGGCCTGAAAGCGTTTGAAATGTCCGTTTGCAGATACTACAGAAAGAGTGTTTCAAACATGCTCTATGAAAGGGAATGTTCAGTTCTGTGACGTGAATGCAAACATCACAAAGAAGTTCCTGAGAATGCTTCTCTCTAGATTTTATATGTAATCCCGTTTCCAACGAAATCCTCAAAGCTATCCAAATATCCACTTTCAGATTCCACAAAAAGAGTGTTTCAAAACTGCTCTGTAAAAAGAAAGGTTCATCTCTGTTAGTTGAATACACACATCACAAACAAGTTTCTGAGAATGCTTCTGTCTAGTTTTTATGGGAAGATATTTCGTTTTTCAACATAGGCCTCAAAGCGCTCCAAACGTCCACTTCCGGGTAGTGCAGAAAGAGTGTCTCAAACCTGGTATATAACAGGGAACATTCTACTCTGTGACTTGAATGAAAACATCACAAAGCAGTTTCTGAGAATGCTTCCGTCTAGATTTTATTTGAAGATATTCCCATTTCCAAGGAAATCTTCCTAGCTATCTAAATATCAACTTGTAGATTCTACTAAAGGAATGTTTCCAAAATGCTGTATCGAAACAAAGGTTCAACTCTGTTAATTGAGGACATACAGCACAAAGAAGTTTCTGAGAATGCTTCTGTCTAGTTTTTACTTGAAGATATTTCCTTTCTCACCATAGGCCTGAAAGCGTTTGAAACGTCCGTTTGCAGATACTACAGAAAGAGTGTTTCAAACATGCTCTATGAAAGGGAATGTTCAGTTCTGTGACTTGAATGCAAACATCACAAAGAAGTTCCTGAGAGTGCTTCTCTCTAGATTTTATATGTAATCCCGTTTCCAACGAATTCCTCAAAACTATCCAAATATCCACTTTCAGATTCCACAAAAAGAGTGTTTCAAAACTGCTCTGTAAAAAGAAAGGTTCATCTCTGTTAGTTGAATACACACATCAAAAACAAGTTTCTGAGAATGCTTCTGTCTAGTTTTTATGGGAAGATATTTCCTTTTTCAACATAGGTCTCAAAGCGCTCCAAATGTCCACTTCCAGGTAGTGCAGAAAGAGTGTTTCAAACCTGCTCTATAAAAGGGAACATTCTACTCTGTGACTTGAATGAAGACTTCACAAAGCACTTTCTGAGAATGCTTCTGTCTTGATTTTATATGAAGATATTCCCGTTTCCAACGAAACCTTCAAAGCTATTCAAATATCCACTTGCTGATTCTACAAAAAGAGTGTTTCCAAAATGTTGTATCAAAAGAAAGGTTCAACTCTGTTAGTTGAGGACACACATCGCAAATAAGTTTCTGAGAATGCTTCTGTCTAGTTTTTACTTGAAGATATTTCCTTTCTCACCATAGGCCTGAAAGCGCTTGAAACGTCAGCTTGCAGATACTACAGAAAGAGTGTTTCAAACCTGCTCTATGAAAGGGAATGTTCAGTTCTGTGACTTGAATGCAAACATCGCAAAGAAGTTCCTGAGAATGCTTCTCTCTAGGTTTTATATGTAATCCCGTTTCCAACAAAATCCTCAAAGCTATCCAAATATCCACTTTCAGATTCCACAAAAAGAGTGTTTCAAAACTGCTCTGTAAAAAGAAAGGTTCATCTCTGTTAGTTGAATACACACATCACAAACAAGTTTCTGAGAATGCTTCTGTCTTGTTTTTAGGAGAAGATATTTCCTTTTTCAACATAGGCCTCAAAGCGCTGCAAATGTCCACTTCCAAATATTACAAAAAGAGTGTTTCAAACCTGCTCTATGAAGGGAAGTGTTCAACTCTATGAGTTGAATGCAAACATCACAGAGAAGTTTCTGAGAATGCTTCTGTCATGATTTTATATGAAGATATTCCCGTTTCCAACGAAACCTTCAAAGCTATCCAAATATCCACCTGCAGATCCTACAAAAAGAGTGTTTCCAAAATGCTGTATCAAAACAAAGGTTCAACTCTGTTAGTTGAGAACACACATCTCAAATAAGTTTCTGAGAATGCTTCTGTCTAGTTTTTATTTGAAGATATTTCCTTTTTCACCACAGGCCTGAAAGCGCTTGAAACGTCCGCTTGCAGATACTACAGATAGAGTGTTTCAAACCTGCTCTATGAAAGGGAATGTTCAGTTCTGTGACTTGAATGCAAACATCACAAAGAAGTTCCTGAGAATGCTTCTCCCTATATTTTATATGTAATCCCGTTTCCAACGAAATCCTCAAAGCTATCCAAATATCCACTTTCAGATTCCACAAAAAGAGTGTTTCAAAACTGCTCTGTAAAAAGAAAGGTTCATCTCGGTTAGTTGAATACACACATCACAAACAAGTTTCTGAGAATGCTTCTGTCTAGTTTTTATGGGAAGATATTTCCTTTTTCATCATAGGCCTCAAAGCGCTCCAAATGTCCACTTCCAGATAGTGCAGAAAGAGTGTCTCAAACCTGGTATATAAAAGGGAACATTCTACTGCTGTGACTTCAATGAAAACATCACAAAGCAGTTTCTGAGAATGTTTCCGTCTAGATTTTATATGAAGATATTCCCGTTTCCAACGAAACCTTCAAAGCTATCCGAATATCCACCTGCAGATTCTACAAAAAGAGTGTTTCCAAAATGCCGTATCAAAACAAAGGTTCAACTCTGTTAGTTGAGAACACACATGGCAAATAAGTTTCGGAGAATGCTTCTGTCTAGTTTTTACTTGAAGATATTTCCTTTCTCACCATAGGCCTGAAAGCGCTTGAAACGTCCGCTTGCAGATACTACAGAAAGAGTGTTTCAAACATGCTCTATGAAAGGGAATGTTCAGTTCTGTGACTTGAATGCAAACATCACAAAGAAGTTCCTGAGAATGCTTCTCTCTAGATTTTATATGTAATCCCGTTTCCAACGAAATCCTCGAAGCTATCCAAATATCCACTTTCAGATTCCACAAAAAGAGTGTTTCAAAACTGCTCTGTAAAAAGAAAGGTTCATCTCTGTTAGTTGAATACACACATCACAAACAAGTTTCTGAGAATGCTTCTGTCTAGTTTTTATGGGAAGATATTTCCTTTTTCAACATAGGCCTCAAAGCGTTCCAAATGTCCACTTCCAGGTAGTGCAGAAAGAGTGTTTCAGACCTGCTCTATAAAAGGGAATATTCAACTCTGTGACTTGAATGCAAACATCACAAAGCACTTTCTGAGAATGCTTCTGTCTTGATTTTATATGAAGATATTCCCGTTTCCAACGAAACCTTCAAAGCTATTCAAATATCCACTTGCAGATTCTACAAAAAGAGTGTTTCCAAAATGTTGTATCAAAAGAAAGGTTCAACTCTGTTAGTTGAGGACACACATCGCAAATAAGTTTCTGAGAATGCTTCTGTCTAGTTTTTACTTGAAGATATTTCCTTTCTCACCATAGGCCTGAAAGCGCTTGAAACGTCAGCTTGCAGATACTACAGAAAGAGTGTTTCAAACCTGCTCTATGAAAGGGAATGTTCAGTCCTGTGACTTGAAGGCAAACATCACAAAGAAGTTCCTGAGAATGCTTCTCTCTAGATTTTATATGTAATCCCGTTTCCAACGAAATCCTCAAAGCTATCCAAATATCCACTTTCAGATTCCACAAAAAGAGTGTTTCAAAACTGCTCTGTAAAAAGAAAGGTTCATCTCTGTTAGTTGAATACACACATCACAAACAAGTTTCTGAGAATGCTTCTGTCTAGTTTTTATGGGAAGATATTTCCTTTTTCATCATAGGCCTCAAAGCGCTGCAAATGTCCACTTCCAGGTAGTGCAGAAAGAGTGTCTCAAACCTGGTATATAACAGGGAACATTCTACTCTGTGACTTGAATGAAAACATCACAAAGCAGTTTCTGAGAATGCTTCCGTCTAGATTTTATATGAAGATATTCCCGTTTCCAAGGAAATCTTCCTAGCTATCTAAATATCAACTTGCAGATTCTACTAAAGGAATGTTTCCAAAATGCTGTATCCACACAAAGGTTCAACTCTGTTAATTGAGGACATACAGCACAAAGAAGTTTCTGAGAATGCTTCTGTCTAGTTTTTACTTGAAGATATTTCCTTTCTTACCATAGGCCTGAAAGCGCTTGAAATGTCCGTTTGCAGATACTACAGAAAGAGTGTTTCAAACATGCTCTATGAAAGGGAATGTTCAGTTCTGTGACGTGAATGCAAACATCACAAAGAAGTTCCTGAGAATGCTTCTGTCTAGATTTTATATGAAGATATCCCGTGTCTAACGAAATCCTCAAAGGTATCAAAATATCCACTTGCAGATTCTACAAAAAGAGTGCTTCAAAACTGCTCTGTCAAAATGAAGGTTCACCTCTGTTACTTGAGTACACACATCACAAGAAAGATTCTGAGAATGCTTCTGTCTGGTTTTTAGGAGAAGATATCTCCTTTTTCACCATAGGCTTCAACGCGCTGCCAATGTCCACTTCCAAATATTACAAAAAGAGTATTTCAAACCAGCTCTATGAAAGGAAGTGTTCAACTCTATGAGTTGAATGCAAACATCACAGAGAAGTTTCTGAGAATGCTTCTGTCTTGATTTTATATGAAGATATTCCCGTTTCCAAAGAAACCTTCAAACCTATCCAAATATCCACCTGCAGATCCTACAAAAAGAGTGTTTCCAAAATGCTGTATCAAAACAAAGGTTCAACTCTGTTAGCTGAGAACACACATCGCAAATAAGTTTCTGAGAATGCTTCTGTCTAGTTTTTATTTGAAGATATTTCCTTTCTTACCATAGGCCTGAAAGCCCTTGAAATGTCCGTTTGCAGATACTACAGAAAGAGTTTTTCAAACATGCTCTATGAAAGGGAATGTTCAGTTCTTTGACGTGAATGCAAACATCACAAAGAAGTTCCTGAGAATGCTTCTCTCTAGATTTTATATGTAATCCCGTTTCCAACGAAACCTTCAAAGCTATCCAAATATCCACTTGCAGATTCTACAAAAACAGTGTTTCCAAAATGTTGTATCAAAACAAAGGTTCAACTCTGTTAGTTGAGGACACACATCGCAAATAAGTTTCTGTGAATGCTTCTGTCTAGTTTTTATTTGAAGATATTTCCTTTCTTACCATAGGCCTGAAAGCGCTTGAAATGTCCGTTTGCAGATACTACAGAAAGAGTGTTTCAAACATGCTCTATGAAAGGGAATGTTCAGTTCTGTGACGTGAATGCAAACATCACAAAGAAGTTCCTGAGAATGTTTCTCTCTAGATTTTATATGTAATCCCGTTTCCAACGAAATCCTCAAAGCTATGCAAATATCCACTCTCAGATTCCACAAAAAGAGTGTTTCAAAACTGCTCTGTAAAAAGAAAGGTTCATCTCTGTTAGTTGAATACACACATCACAAACAAGTTTCTGAGAATGCTTCTGTCTAGTTTTTATGGGAAGATATTTCCTTTTTCAACATAGGCCTCAAAGCGCTCCAAATGTCCACTTCCAGTTAGTGCAGAAAGAGTGTTTCAAACCTGCTCTATAAAAGGGAATATTCAACTCTGTGACTTGAATGCAAACATCACAAAGCACTTTCTGAGAATGCTTCCGTCTAGATTTTATATGAAGATATTCCCGTTTCCAAGGAAATCTTCCTAGCTATCTAAATATCAACTTGCAGATTCTACTAAAGGAATGTTTCCAAAATGCTGTATCCACACAAAGGTTCAACTCTGTTAATTGAGGACATACAGCACAAAGAAGTTTCTGAGAATGCTTCTGTCTAGTTTTTACTTGAAGATATTTCCTTTCTCACCATAGGCCTGAAAGCGTTTGAAATGTCCGCTTGCAGATACTACAGAAAGAGTGTTTCAAACATGCTCTATGAAAGGGAATGTTCAGTTCTGTGACGTGAATGCAAACATCACAAAGGAGTTCCTGAGAATGCTTCTCTCTAGATTTTATAGGTAATCCCGTTTCCAACGAAATCCTCAAAGCTATCCAAATATCCACTTTCAGATTCCAGAAAAAGAGTGTTTCAAAACTGCTCTGTAAAAAGAAAGGTTCATCTCTGTTAGTTGAATACACACATCACAAACAAGTTTCTGAGAATGCTTCTGTCTAGTTTTTATGGGAAGATATTTCCTTTTTCAACATAGGCCTCAAAGCACTCCAAACGTCCACTTCCAGGTAGTGCAGAAAGAGTGTCTCAAACCTGGTATATAACAGGGAACATTCTACTCTGTGACTTGAATGAAAACATCACAAAGCAGTTTCTGAGAATGCTTCTGTCTTGATTTCATATGAAGATATTCCCGTTTCCAACGAAACCTTCAAAGCTATCCAAATATCCACTTGCAGATTCTACAAAAAGAGTGTTTCCAAAATGTTGTATCAAAAGAAAGGTTCAACTCTGTTAGTTGAGGACACACATCGCAAATAAGTTTCTGAGAATGCTTCTGTCTAGTTTTTATTTGAAGATATTTCCTTTCTCAACACAGGCCTGAAAGCGCTTAAAACGTCCGCTTGCAGATACTACAGAAAGAGTGTTTCAAACCTGATCTATGAAAGGGAATGTTCAGTTCTGTGACTTGAATGCAAACATCACAAACAAGTTCCTGAGAATGCTTCTCTCTAGATTTTATATGTAATCCCGTTTCCAACGAAATCCTCAAAGCTATCCAAATATCCACTTTCAGATTCCACAAAAAGAGTGTTTCAAAACTGCTCTGTAAAAAGAAAGGTTCATCTCTGTTAGTTGAATACACACATCACAAACAAGTTTCTGAGAATGCTTCTGTCTAGTTTTTATGGGAAGATATTTCCTTTTTCAACATAGGCCTCAAAGCGCTCCAAACGTCCACTTCCAGGTAGTGCAGAAAGAGTGTCTCAAACCTGGTATATAACAGGGAACATTCTACTCTGTGACTTGAATGAAAACATCACAAAGCAGTTTCTGAGAATGCTTCCGTCTAGATTTTATATGAAGATATTCCCGTTTCCAACGAAACCTTCAAAGCTATCCGAATATCCACCTGCAGATTCTACAAAAAGAGTGTTTCCAAAATGCCGTATCAAAACAAAGGTTCAACTCTGTTAGTTGAGAACACACATGGCAAATAAGTTTCTGAGAATGCTTCTGTCTAGTTTTTACTTGAAGATATTTCCTTTCTCACCATAGGCCTGAAAGCGCTTGAAACGTCAGCTTGCAGATACTACAGAAAGAGTGTTTCAAACCTGCTCTATGAAAGGGAATGTTCAGTCCTGTGACTTGAAGGCAAACATCACAAAGAAGTTCCTGAGAATGCTTCTCTCTAGATTTTATATGTAATCCCGTTTCCAACGAAATCCTCAAAGCTATCCAAATATCCACTTTCAGATTCCACAAAAAGAGTGTTTCAAAACTGCTCTGTAAAAAGAAAGGTTCATCTCTGTTAGTTGAATACACACATCACAAACAAGTTTCTGAGAATGCTTCTGTCTAGTTTTTATGGGAAGATATTTCCTTTTTCATCATAGGCCTCAAAGCGCTGCAAATGTCCACTTCCAGGTAGTGCAGAAAGAGTGTCTGAAACCTGGGATATAACAGGGAACATTCTACTCTGTGACTTGAATGAAAACATCACAAAGCAGTTTCTGAGAATGCTTCTGTCTTGATTTTATATGAAGATATTCCCGTTTCCAACGAAACCTTCAAAGCTATCCAAATATCCACTTGCAGATTCTACAAAAAGAGTGTTTCCAAAATGTTGTATCAAAAGAAACGTTCAACTCTGTTAGTTGAGGACACACATCGCAAATAAGTTTCTGAGAATGCTTCTGTCTAGTTTTTACTTGAAGATATTTCCTTTCTCACCATAGGCCTGAAAGCGCTTGAAACGTCAGCTTGCAGATACTACAGAAAGAGTGTTTCAAACCTGCTCTATGAAAGGGAATGTTCAGTTCTGTGACTTGAATGCAAACATCACAAAGAAGTTCCTGAGAATGCTTCTCCCTAGATTTTATATGTAATCCCGTTTCCAACGAAATCCGCAAAGCTATCCAAATATCCACTTTCAGATTCCACAAAAAGAGTGTTTCAAAACTGCTCTGTAAAAAGAAAGGTTCATCTCTGTTAGTTGAATACACACATCACAAACAAGTTTCTGAGAATGCTTCTGTCTAGTTTTTATGGGAAGATATTTCCTTTTTCAACATAGGCCTCAAAGCGCTCCAAACGTCCACTTCCGGGTAGTGCAGAAAGAGTGTCTCAAACCTGGTATATAACAGGGAACATTCTACTCTGTGACTTGAATGAAAACATCACAAAGCAGTTTCTGAGAATGCTTCTGCCTTGATTTTATATGAAGATATTCCCGTTTCCAACGAAACCTTCAAAGCTATTCAAATATCCACTTGCAGATTCTACAAAAAGAGTGTTTCCAAAATGTTGTATCAAAAGAAAGGTTCAACTCTGTTAGTTGAGGACACACATCGCAAATAAGTTTCTGAGAATGCTTCTGTCTAGTTTTTATTTGAAGATATTTCCTTTCTCACCATAGGCCTGAAAGCGTTTGAAATGTCCGTTTGCAGATACTACAGAAAGAGTGTTTCAAACATGCTCTATGAAAGGGAATGTTCAGTTCTGTGACGTGAATGCAAACATCACAAAGAAGTTCCTGAGAATGCTTCTCTCTAGATTTTATATGTAATCCCGTTTCCAACGAAATCCTCAAAGCTATCCAAATATCCACTTTCAGATTCCACAAAAAGAGTGTTTCAAAACTGCTCTGTAAAAAGAAAGGTTCATCTCTGTTAGTTGAATACACACATCACAAACAAGTTTCTGAGAATGCTTCTGTCTAGTTTTTATGGGAAGATATTTCCTTTTTCATCATAGGCCTCAAAGCGCTGCAAATGTCCACTTCCAGGTAGTGCAGAAAGAGTGTCTCAAACCTGGTATATAACAGGGAACATTCTACTCTGTGACTTGAATGAAAACATCACAAAGCAGTTTCTGACAATGCTTCCGTCTAGATTTTATATGAAGATATTCCCGTTTCCAACGAAACCTTCAAAGCTATCCGAATATCCACCTGCAGATTCTACAAAAAGAGTGTTTCCAAAATGCCGTATCAAAACAAAGGTTCAACTCTGTTAGTTGAGAACACACATGGCAAATAAGTTTCTGAGAATGCTTCTGTCTAGTTTTTACTTGAAGATATTTCCTTTCTCACCATAGGCCTGAAAGCGCTTGAAACGTCAGCTTGCAGATACTACAGAAAGAGTGTTTCAAACCTGCTCTATGAAAGGGAATGTTCAGTTCTGTGACTTGAATGCAAACATCACAAAGAAGTTCCTGAGAATGCTTCTCCCTAGATTTTATATGTAATCCCGTTTCCAACGAAATCCGCAAAGCTATCCAAATATCCACTTTCAGATTCCACAAAAAGAGTGTTTCAAAACTGCTCTGTAAAAAGAAAGGTTCATCTCTGTTAGTTGAATACACACATCACAAACAAGTTTCTGAGAATGCTTCTGTCTAGTTTTTATGGGAAGATATTTCCTTTTTCATCATAGGCCTCAAAGCGCTGCAAATGTCCACTTCCAAATATTACAAAAAGAGTGTTTCAAACCTGCTGTATGAAGGGAAGTGTTCAACTCTATGAGTTGAATGCAAACATCACAGAGAAGTTTCTGAGAATGCTTCCGTCTTGATTTTATATGAAGATATTCCCGTTTCCAACGAAACCTTCAAAGCTATTCAAATATCCACTTGCAGATTCTACAAAAAGAGTGTTTCCAAAATGTTGTATCAAAAGAAAGGTTCAACTCTGTTAGTTGAGGACACACATCGCAAATAAGTTTCTGAGAATGCTTCTGTCTAGTTTTTATTTGAAGATATTTCCTTTCTCACCACAGGCCTGAAAGCGCTTAAAACGTCCGCTTGCAGATACTACAGAAAGAGTGTTTCAAACCTGCTCTATGAAAGGGAATGTTCAGTTCTGTGACTTGAATGCAAACATCACAAAGAAGTTCCTGAGAATGCTTCTCTCTAGGTTTTATATGTAATCCCGTTTCCAACGAAATCCTCAAAGCTATCCAAATATCCACTTTCAGATTCCACAAAAAGAGTGTTTCAAAACTGCTCTGTAAAAAGAAAGGTTCATCTCTGTTAGTTGAATACACACATCACAAACAAGTTTCTGAGAATGCTTCTGTCTAGTTTTTATGGGAAGATATTTCCTTTTTCAACATAGGCCTCAAAGCGCTCCAAACGTCCACTTCCAGGTAGTGCAGAAAGAGTGTCTCAAACCTGGTATATAACAGGGAACATTCTACTCTGTGACTTGAATGAAAACATCACAAAGCAGTTTCTGAGAATGCTTCCGTCTAGATTTTATATGAAGATATTCCCGTTTCCAAGGAAATCTTCCTAGCTATCTAAATATCAACTTGCAGATTCTACTAAAGGAATGTTTCCAAAATGCTGTATCCACACAAAGGTTCAACTCTGTTAATTGAGGACATACAGCACAAAGAAGTTTCTGAGAATGCTTCTGTCTAGTTTTTACTTGAAGATATTTCCTTTCTCACCATAGGCCTGAAAGCGCTTGAAACGTCAGCTTGCAGATACTACAGAAAGAGTGTTTCAAACCTGCTCTATGAAAGGGAATGTTCAGTTCTGTAACTTGAATGCAAACATCACAAAGAAGTTCCTGAGAATGCTTCTGTCTAGATTTTATGTGAAGATATCTCGTTTCCAAAGAAATCCTCAAAGGTATCCAAATATCTACTTCCAGATTCTACAAAAAGACTGTTTCAAAACGGCTCTGTCAAAAGGAAGGTTCAACTCTGTTACTTGAGTACACACATCACAAGGAAGTTTCTGAGAATGCTTCTGTCTAGTTTTTATGGGAAGATATTTCCTTTTTCAACATAGGCCTCAAAGCGCTCCAAATGTCCACTTCCAGGTAGTGCAGAAAGAGTGTTTCAAACCTGCTCTATAAAAGGGAATATTCAACTCTGTGACTTGAATGCAAACATCACAAAGCACTTTCTGAGAATGCTTCTGTCTTGATTTTATATGAAGATATTCCCGTTTCCAACGAAACCTTCAAAGCTATTCAAATATCCACTTGCAGATTCTACAAAAAGAGTGTTTCCAAAATGTTGTATCAAAAGAAAGGTTCAACTCTGTTAGTTGAGGACACACATCGCAAATAAGTTTCTGAGAATGCTTCTGTCTAGTTTTTACTTGAAGATATTTCCTTTCTCACCATAGGCCTGAAAGCGCTTGAAACGTCAGCTTGCAGATACTACAGAAAGAGTGTTTCAAACCTGCTCTATGAAAGGGAATGTTCAGTTCTGTGACTTGAATGCAAACATCACAAAGAAGTTCCTGAGAATGCTTCTCTCTAGGTTTTATATGTAATCCCGTTTCCAACGAAATCCTCAAAGCTATCCAAATATCCACTTTCAGATTCCACAAAAAGAGTGTTTCAAAACTGCTCTGTAAAAAGAAAGGTTCATCTCTGTTAGTTGAATACACACATCACAAACAAGTTTCTGAGAATGCTTCTGTCTAGTTTCTATGGGAAGATATTTCCTTTTTCAACATAGGCCTCAAAGCGCTCCAAATGTCCACTTCCAGGTAGTGCACTGAGTGTTTCAAACCTGCTCTATAAAAGGGAACATTCTGCTCTGTGACTTGAATGAAGACATCACAAAGCAGTTTCTGAGAATGCTTCCGTCTAGATTTTATATGAAGATATTCCCGTTTCCAAGGAAATCTTCCTAGCTATCTAAATATCAACTTGCAGATTCTACTAAAGGAATGTTTCCAAAATGCTGTATCCACACAAAGGTTCAACTCTGTTAATTGAGGACATACAGCACAAAGAAGTTTCTGAGAATGCTTCTGTCTAGTTTTTATTTGAAGATATTTCCTTTCTCACCACAGGCCTGAAAGCGCTTAAAACGTCCGCTTGCAGATACTACAGAAAGAGTGTTTCAAACCTGCTCTATGAAAGGGAATGTTCAGTTCTGTGACTTGAATGCAAACATCACAAAGAAGTTCCTGAGAATGCTTCTCTCTAGGTTTTATATGTAATCCCGTTTCCAACGAAATCCTCAAAGCTATCCAAATATCCACTTTCAGATTCCACAAAAAGAGTGTTTCAAAACTGCTCTGTAAAAAGAAAGGTTCATCTCTGTTAGTTGAATACACACATCACAAACAAGTTTCTGAGAATGCTTCTGTCTAGTTTTTATGGGAAGATATTTCCTTTTTCATCATAGGCCTCAAAGCGCTGCAAATGTCCACTTCCAAATATTACAAAAAGAGTGTTTCAAACCTGCTGTATGAAGGGAAGTGTTCAACTCTATGAGTTGAATGCAAACATCACAGAGAAGTTTCTGAGAATGCTTCCGTCTAGATTTTCTATGAAGATATTCCCGTTTCCAACGAAACCTTCAAAGCTATCCGAATATCCACCAGCAGATTCTACAAAAAGAGTGTTTC
This sequence comes from Homo sapiens, assembly GCF_000001405.40. Taxonomy (NCBI): domain Eukaryota; kingdom Metazoa; phylum Chordata; class Mammalia; order Primates; family Hominidae; genus Homo; species Homo sapiens. The sequence goes on along the minus strand of NC_000009.12, from coordinate 45,284,120 downwards.
CAAAATGCCGTATCAAAACAAAGGTTCAACTCTGTTAGTTGAGAACACACATGTTAAATAAGTTTCTGAGAATGCTTCTGTCTAGTTTTTATTTGAAGATATTTCCCTTTTCACCACAGGCCTGAAAGCGCTTGAAACGTCCGCTTGCAGATACTACAGATATAGTGTTTCAAAGCTGCTCAATGAAAGGGAATGTTCAGTTCTGTGACTTGAATGCAAACATCACAAAGAAGTTCCTGAGAATGCTTCTCCCTAGATTTTATATGTAATCCCGTTTCCAACGAAATCCTCAAAGCTATCCAAATATCCACTTTCAGATTCCACAAAAAGAGTGTTTCAAAACTGCTCTGTAAAAAGAAAGGTTCATCTCTGTTAGTTGAATACACACATCACAAACAAGTTTCTGAGAATGCTTCTGTCTAGTTTTTATGGGAAGATATTTCCTTTTTCAACATAGGCCTCAAAGCGCTCCAAACGTCCACTTCCAGGTAGTGCAGAAAGAGTGTCTCAAACCTGGTATATAACAGGGAACATTCTACTCCTGTGACTTGAATGAAAACATCCCAAAGCAGTTTCTGAGAATGCTTCCGTCTAGTATTTTATATGAAGATATTCCCGTTTCCAACGAAACCTTCAAAGCTATCCGAATATCCACCTGCAGATTCTACAAAAAGAGTGTTTCCAAAATGCCGTATCAAAACAAAGGTTCAACTCTGTTAGTTGAGAACACACATCGCAAATAAGTTTCTGAGAATGCTTCTGTCTAGTTTTTATTTGAAGATATTTCCTTTCTCACCATAGGCCTGAAAGCGTTTGAAATGTCCGTTTGCAGATACTACAGAAAGAGTGTTTCAAACATGCTCTATGAAAGGGAATGTTCAGTTCTGTGACTTGAATGCAAACATCACAAAGAAGTTCCTGAGAATGCTTCTCTCTAGGTTTTATATGTAATCCCGTTTCCAACGAAATCCTCAAAGCTATCCAAATATCCACTTTCAGATTCCACAAAAAGAGTGTTTCAAAACTGCTCTGTAAAAAGAAAGGTTCATCTCTGTTAGTTGAATACACACATCACAAACAAGTTTCTGAGAATGCTTCTGTCTAGTTTTTATGGGAAGATATTTCCTTTTTCATCATAGGCCTCAAAGCGCTGCAAATGTCCACTTCCAGGTAGTGCAGAAAGAGTGTCTCAAACCTGGTATATAACAGGGAACATTCTACTCTGTGACTTGAATGAAAACATCACAAAGCAGTTTCTGAGAATGCTTCCGTCTAGATTTTATATGAAGATATTCCCGTTTCCAACGAAACCTTCAAAGCTATCCGAATATCCACCTGCAGATTCTACAAAAAGAGTGTTTCCAAAATGCCATATCAAAACAAAGGTTCAACTCTGTTAGTTGAGAACACACATCGCAAATAAGATTCTGAGAATGCTTCTGTCTAGTTTTTACTTGAAGATATTTCCTTTCTCACCATAGGGCTGAAAGCGCTTGAAACGTCAGCTTGCAGATACTACAGAAAGAGTGTTTCAAACCTGCTCTATGAAAGGGAATGTTCAGTTCTGTGATTTGAATGCAAACATCACAAAGAAGTTCCTGAGAATGCTTCTCTCTAGGTTTTATATGTAATCCCGTTTCCAACGAAATCCTCAAAGCTATCCAAATATCCACTTTCAGATTCCACAAAAAGAGTGTTTCAAAACTGCTCTGTAAAAAGAAAGGTTCATCTCTGTTAGTTGAATACACACATCACAAACAAGTTTCTGAGAATGCTTCTGTCTAGTTTTTATGGGAAGATATTTCCTTTTTCATCATAGGCCTCAAAGCGCTGCAAATGTCCACTTCCAGGTAGTGCAGAAAGAGTGTCTCAAACCTGGTATATAACAGGGAACATTCTACTCTGTGACTTGAATGAAAACATCACAAAGCAGTTTCTGAGAATGCTTCCGTCTAGATTTTATATGAAGATATTCCCGTTTCCAACGAAACCTTCAAAGCTATCCGAATATCCACCTGCAGATTCTACAAAAAGAGTGTTTGCAAAATGCCGCATCAAAACAAAGGTTCAACTCTGTTAGTTGAGAACACACATGGCAAATAAGTTTCTGAGAATGCTTCTGTCTAGTTTTTACTTGAAGATATTTCCTTTCTCACCATAGGCCTGAAAGCGCTTGAAACGTCCGCTTGCAGATACTACAGAAAGAGTGTTTCAAACATGCTCTATGAAAGGGAATGTTCAGTTCTGTGACTTGAATGCAAACATCACAAAGAAGTTCCTGAGAATGCTTCTCTCTAGATTTTATATGTAATCCCGTTTCCAACGAAATCCTCGAAGCTATCCAAATATCCACTTTCAGATTCCACAAAAAGAGTGTTTCAAAACTGCTCTGTAAAAAGAAAGGTTCATCTCTGTTAGTTGAATACACACATCACAAACAAGTTTCTGAGAATGCTTCTGTCTAGTTTTTATGGGAAGATATTTCCTTTTTCAACATAGGCCTCAAAGCGCTCCAAACGTCCACTTCCAGGTAGTGCAGAAAGAGTGTCTCAAACCTGGTATATAACAGGGAACATTCTACTCTGTGACTTGAATGAAAACATCACAAAGCAGTTTCTGAGAATGCTTCCGTCTAGATTTTATATGAAGATATTCCCGTTTCCAAGGAAATCTTCCTAGCTATCTAAATATCAACTTGCAGATTCTACTAAAGGAATGTTTCCAAAATGCTGTATCCACACAAAGGTTCAACTCTGTTAATTGAGGACATACAGCACAAAGAAGTTTCTGAGAATGCTTCTGTCTAGTTTTTACTTGAAGATATTTCCTTTCTCACCATAGGCCTGAAAGCGTTTGAAATGTCCGTTTGCAGATACTACAGAAAGAGTGTTTCAAACATGCTCTATGAAAGGGAATGTTCAGTTCTGTGACGTGAATGCAAACATCACAAAGAAGTTCCTGAGAATGCTTCTCCCTAGATTTTATATGTAATCCCGTTTCCAACGAAATCCTCAAAGCTATCCAAATATCCACTTTCAGATTCCACAAAAAGAGTGTTTCAAAACTGCTCTGTAAAAAGAAAGGTTCATCTCTGTTAGTTGAATACACACATCACAAACAAGTTTCTGAGAATGCTTCTGTCTAGTTTTTATGGGAAGATATTTCCTTTTTCAACATAGGCCTCAAAGCGCTCCAAATGTCCACTTCCAGGTAGTGCAGAAAGAGTGTTTCAAACCTGCTCTATAAAAGGGAATATTCAACTCTGTGACTTGAATGCAAACATCACAAAGCACTTTCTGAGAATGCTTCCGTCTAGATTTTATATGAAGATATTCCCGTTTCCAACGAAACCTTCAAAGCTATCCGAATATCCACCTGCAGATTCTACAAAAAGAGTGTTTCCAAAATGCCGTATCAAAACAAAGGTTCAACTCTGTTAGTTGAGAACACACATGGCAAATAAGTTTCTGAGAATGCTTCTGTCTAGTTTTTACTTGAAGATATTTCCTTTCTCACCATAGGCCTGAAAGCGCTTGAAACGTCAGCTTGCAGATACTACAGAAAGAGTGTTTCAAACCTGCTCTATGAAAGGGAATGTTCAGTCCTGTGACTTGAAGGCAAACATCACAAAGAAGTTCCTGAGAATGCTTCTCCCTAGATTTTATATGTAATCCCGTTTCCAACGAAATCCGCAAAGCTATCCAAATATCCACTTTCAGATTCCACAAAAAGAGTGTTTCAAAACTGCTCTGTAAAAAGAAAGGTTCATCTCTGTTAGTTGAATACACACATCACAAACAAGTTTCTGAGAATGCTTCTGTCTAGTTTTTATGGGAAGATATTTCGTTTTTCAACATAGGCCTCAAAGCGCTCCAAATGTCCACTTCCAGGTAGTGCAGAAAGAGTGTTTCAAACCTGCTCTATAAAAGGGAATATTCAACTCTGTGACTTGAATGCAAACATCACAAAGCACTTTCTGAGAATGCTTCCGTCTAGATTTTATATGAAGATATTCCCGTTTCCAACGAAACCTTCAAAGCTATCCGAATATCCACCTGCAGATTCTACAAAAAGAGTGTTTCCAAAATGCCGTATCAAAACAAAGGTTCAACTCTGTTAGTTGAGAACACACATGGCAAATAAGTTTCTGAGAATGCTTCTGTCTAGTTTTTATTTGAAGATATTTCCTTTCTCACCATAGGCCTGAAAGCGTTTGAAATGTCCGTTTGCAGATACTACAGAAAGAGTGTTTCAAACATGCTCTATGAAAGGGAATGTTCAGTTCTGTGACGTGAATGCAAACATCACAAAGAAGTTCCTGAGAATGCTTCTCCCTAGATTTTATATGTAATCCCGTTTCCAACGAAATCCGCAAAGCTATCCAAATATCCACTTTCAGATTCCACAAAAAGAGTGTTTCAAAACTGCTCTGTAAAAAGAAAGGTTCATCTCTGTTAGTTGAATACACACATCACAAACAAGTTTCTGAGAATGCTTCTGTCTAGTTTTTATGGGAAGATATTTCCTTTTTCAACATAGGCCTCAAAGCGCTCCAAACGTCCACTTCCGGGTAGTGCAGAAAGAGTGTCTCAAACCTGGTATATAACAGGGAACATTCTACTCTGTGACTTGAATGAAAACATCACAAAGCAGTTTCTGAGAATGCTTCTGTCTTGATTTTATATGAAGATATTCCCGTTTCCAACGAAACCTTCAAAGCTATCCGAATATCCACCTGCAGATTCTACAAAAGGAGTGTTTCCAAAATGCTGTATCAAAACAAAGGTTCAACTCTGTTAGTTGAGAACACACATGGCAAATATGTTTCTGAGAATGCTTCTGTCTAGTTTTTATTTGAAGATATTTCCTTTCTCACCATAGGCCTGAAAGCGTTTGAAATGTCCGTTTGCAGATACTACAGAAAGAGTGTTTCAAACATGCTCTATGAAAGGGAATGTTCAGTTCTGTGACGTGAATGCAAACATCACAAAGAAGTTCCTGAGAATGCTTCTCTCTAGATTTTATATGTAATCCCGTTTCCAACGAAATCCTCAAAGCTATCCAAATATCCACTTTCAGATTCCACAAAAAGAGTGTTTCAAAACTGCTCTGTAAAAAGAAAGGTTCATCTCTGTTAGTTGAATACACACATCACAAACAAGTTTCTGAGAATGCTTCTGTCTAGTTTTTATGGGAAGATATTACCTTTTTCATCATAGGCCTCAAAGCGCTGCAAATGTCCACTTCCAAATATTACAAAAAGAGTGTTTCAAACCTGCTGTATGAAGGGAAGTGTTCAACTCTATGAGTTGAATGCAAACATCACAGAGAAGTTTCTGAGAATGCTTCCGTCTAGATTTTATATGAAGATATTCCCGTTTCCAACGAAACCTTCAAAGCTATCCGAATATCCACCTGCAGATTCTACAAAAAGAGTGTTTCCAAAATGCCGTATCAAAACAAAGGTTCAACTCTGTTAGTTGAGAACACACATGGCAAATAAGTTTTCTGAGAATGCTTTCTGTCTAGTTTTTACTTGAAGATATTTCCTTTCTCACCATAGGCCTGAAAGCGCTTGAAACGTCAGCTTGCAGATACTACAGAAAGAGTGTTTCAAACCTGCTCTATGAAAGGGAATGTTCAGTCCTGTGACTTGAAGGCAAACATCACAAAGAAGTTCCTGAGAATGCTTCTCTCTAGGTTTTGTATGTAATCCCGTTTCCAACGAAATCCTCAAAGCTATCCAAATATCCACTTTCAGATTCCACAAAAAGAGTGTTTCAAAACTGCTCTGTAAAAAGAAAGGTTCATCTCTGTCAGCTGAATACACACATCACAAACAAGTTTCTGAGAATGCTTCTGTCTAGTTTTTATGGGAAGATATTTCGTTTTTCAACATAGGCCTCAAAGCGCTCCAAATGTCCACTTCCAGATAGTGCAGAAAGAGTGTTTCAAACCTGCTCTATAAAAGGGAATATTCAACTCTGTGACTTGAATGCAAACATCACAAAGCACTTTCTGAGAATGCTTCTGTCTTGATTTTTTATGAAGATATTCCCGTTTCCAACGAAACCTTCAAAGCTATTCAAATATCCACTTGCAGATTCTACAAAAAGAGTGTTTCCAAAATGTTGTATCAAAAGAAAGGTTCAACTCTGTTAGTTGAGGACACACATCGCAAATAAGTTTCTGAGAACGCTTCTGTCTAGTTTTTACTTGAAGATATTTCCTTTCTCACCATAGGCATGAAAACGCATGAAACGTCAGCTTGCAGATACTACAGAAAGAGTGTTTCAAACCTGCTCTATGAAAGGGAACGTTCAGTCCTGTGACTTGAATGCAAACATCACAAAGAAGTTCCTGAGAATGCTTCTCTCTAGATTTTATATGTAATCCCGTTTCCAACGAAATCCTCAAAGCTATCCAAATATCCACTTTCAGATTCCACAAAAAGAGTGTTTCAAAACTGCTCTGTAAAAAGAAAGGTTCATCTCTGTTAGTTGAATACACACATCACAAACAAGTTTCTGAGAATGCTTCTGTCTAGTTTTTATGGGAAGATATTTCCTTTTTCATCATAGGCCTCAAAGCGCTGCAAATGTCCACTTCCAGGTAGTGCAGAAAGAGTGTCTGAAACCTGGTATATAACAGGGAAGATTCTACTCTGTGACTTGAATGAAAACATCACAAAGCAGTTTCTGAGAATGCTTCTGTCTTGATTTCATATGAAGATATTCCCGTTTCCAACGAAACCTTCAATGCTATCCAAATATCCACTTGCAGATTCTACAAAAAGAGTGTTTCCAAAATGTTGTATCAAAAGAAAGGTTCAACTCTGTTAGTTGAGGACACACATCGCAAATAAGTTTCTGAGAATGCTTCTGTCTAGTTTTTACTTGAAGATATTTCCTTTCTCACCATAGGCCTGAAAGCGCTTGAAACGTCAGCTTGCAGATACTACAGAAAGAGTGTTTCAAACCTGCTCTATGAAAGGGAATGTTCAGTCCTGTGACTTGAAGGCAAACATCACAAAGAAGTTCCTGAGAATGCTTCTCTCTAGGTTTTATATGTAATCCCGTTTCCAACGAAATCCTCAAAGCTATCCAAATATCCACTTTCAGATTCCACAAAAAGAGTGTTTCAAAACTGCTCTGTAAAAAGAAAGGTTCATCTCTGTTAGTTGAATACACACATCACAAACAAGTTTCTGAGAATGCTTCTGTCTAGTTTTTATGGGAAGATATTACCTTTTTCATCATAGGCCTCAAAGCGCTGCAAATGTCCACTTCCAAATATTACAAAAAGAGTGTTTCAAACCTGCTGTATGAAGGGAAGTGTTCAACTCTATGAGTTGAATGCAAACATCACAGAGAAGTTTCTGAGAATGCTTCCGTCTAGTATTTTATATGAAGATATTCCCGTTTCCAACGAAACCTTCAAAGCTATCCGAATATCCACCTGCAGATTCTACAAAAAGAGTGTTTCCAAAATGCCATATCAAAACAAAGGTTCAACTCTGTTAGTTGAGAACACACATCGCAAATAAGTTTCTGAGAATGCTTCTGTCTAGTTTTTATTTGAAGATATTTCCTTTCTCACCACAGGCCTGAAAGCGCTTAAAACGTCCGCTTGCAGATACTACAGAAAGAGTGTTTCAAACCTGCTCTATGAAAGGGAATGTTCAGTTCTGTGACTTGAATGCAAACATCACAAAGAAGTTCCTGAGAATGCTTCTCTCTAGGTTTTATATGTAATCCCGTTTCCAACGAAATCCTCAAAGCTATCCAAATATCCACTTTCAGATTCCACAAAAAGAGTGTTTCAAAACTGCTCTGTAAAAAGAAAGGTTCATCTCTGTTAGTTGAATACACACATCACAAACAAGTTTCTGAGAATGCTTCTGTCTAGTTTTTATGGGAAGATATTTCCTTTTTCAACATAGGCCTCAAAGCGCTCTAAATGTCCACCTCCAGGTAGTGCAGAAAGAGTGTTTCAAACCTGCTCTATAAAAGGGAATATTCAACTCTGTGACTTGAATGCAAACATCACAAAGCACTTTCTGAGAATGCTTCCGTCTAGATTTTATATGAAGATATTCCCGTTTCCAAGGAAATCTTCCTAGCTATCTAAATATCAACTTGCAGATTCTACTAAAGGAATGTTTCCAAAATGCTGTATCCACACAAAGGTTCAACTCTGTTAATTGAGGACATACAGCACAAAGAAGTTTCTGAGAATGCTTCTGTCTAGTTTTTACTTGAAGATATTTCCTTTCTCACCATAGGCCTGAAAGCGCTTGAAACGTCAGCTTGCAGATACTACAGAAAGAGTGTTTCAAACCTGCTCTATGAAAGGGAATGTTCAGTTCTGTGACTTGAATGCAAACATCACAAAGAAGTTCCTGAGAATGCTTCTCTCTAGATTTTATATGTAATCCCGTTTCCAACGAAATCCTCAAAGCTATCCAAATATCCACTTTCAGATTCCACAAAAAGAGTGTTTCAAAACTGCTCTGTAAAAAGAAAGGTTCATCTCTGTTAGTTGAATACACACATCACAAACAAGTTTCTGAGAATGCTTCTGTCTAGTTTTTATGGGAAGATATTACCTTTTTCATCATAGGCCTCAAAGCGCTGCAAATGTCCACTTCCAAATATTACAAAAAGAGTGTTTCAAACCTGCTGTATGAAGGGAAGTGTTCAACTCTATGAGTTGAATGCAAACATCACAGAGAAGTTTCTGAGAATGCTTCTGTCTTGATTTTATATGAAGATATTCCCGTTTCCAACGAAACCTTCAAAGCTATCCAAATATCCACTTGCAGATTCTACAAAAAGAGTGGTTCCAAAATGTTGTATCAAAAGAAAGGTTCAACTCTGTTAGTTGAGGACACACATCGCAAATAAGTTTCTGAGAATGCTTCTGTCTAGTTTTTACTTGAAGATATTTCCTTTCTCACCATAGGCCTGAAAGCGCTTGAAACGTCAGCTTGCAGATACTACAGAAAGAGTGTTTCAAACCTGCTCTATGAAAGGGAATGTTGAGTTCTGTGACTTGAATGCAAACATCACAAAGAAGTTCCTGAGAATGCTTCTCTCTAGGTTTTATATGTAATCCCGTTTCCAACGAAATCCTCAAAGCTATCCAAATATCCACTTTCAGATTCCACAAAAAGAGTGTTTCAAAACTGCTCTGTAAAAAGAAAGGTTCATCTCTGTTAGTTGAATACACACATCACAAACAAGTTTCTGAGAATGCTTCTGTCTAGTTTTTATGGGAAGATATTTCCTTTTTCAACATAGGCCTCAAAGCGCTCCAAATGTCCACTTCCAGGTAGTGCAGAAAGAGTGTTTCAAACCTGCTCTATAAAAGGGAATATTCAACTCTGTGACTTGAATGCAAACATCACAAAGCACTTTCTGAGAATGCTTCCGTCTAGATTTTATATGAAGATATTCCCGTTTCCAACGAAACCTTCAAAGCTATCCGAATATTCACCTGCAGATTCTACAAAAAGAGTGTTTCCAAAATGCCGTATCAAAACAAAGGTTCAACTCTGTTAGTTGAGAACACACATGGCAAATAAGTTTCTGAGAATGCTTCTGTCTAGTTTTTATTTGAAGATATTTCCTTTCTCACCATAGGCCTGAAAGCGTTTGAAATGTCCGTTTGCAGATACTACAGAAAGAGTGTTTCAAACATGCTCTATGAAAGGGAATGTTCAGTTCTGTGACGTGAATGCAAACATCACAAAGAAGTTCCTGAGAATGCTTCTCTCTAGATTTTATATGTAATCCCGTTTCCAAAGAAATCCTCAAAGCTATCCAAATATCCACTTTCAGATTCCACAAAAAGAGTGTTTCAAAACTGCTCTGTAAAAAGAAAGGTTCATCTCTGTTAGTTGAATACACACATCACAAACAAGTTTCTGAGAATGCTTCTATCTAGTTTTTATGGGAAGATATTACCTTTTTCATCATAGGCCTCAAAGCGCTGCAAATGTCCACTTCCAAATATTACAAAAAGAGTGTTTCAAACCTGCTGTATGAAGGGAAGTGTTCAACTCTATGAGTTGAATGCAAACATCACAGAGAAGTTTCTGAGAATGCTTCCGTCTAGATTTTATATGAAGATATTCCCGTTTCCAAGGAAATCTTCCTAGCTATCTAAATATCAACTTGCAGATTCTACTAAAGGAATGTTTCCAAAATGCTGTATCCACACAAAGGTTCAACTCTGTTAATTGAGGACATACAGCACAAAGAAGTTTCTGAGAATGCTTCTGTCTAGTTTTTATTTGAAGATATTTCCTTTCTCACCACAGGCCTGAAAGCGCTTAAAACGTCCGCTTGCAGATACTACAGAAAGAGTGTTTCAAACCTGCTCTATGAAAGGGAATGTTCAGTTCTGTGACTTGAATGCAAACATCACAAAGAAGTTCCTGAGAATGCTTCTCTCTAGGTTTTATATGTAATCCCGTTTCCAACGAAATCCTCAAAGCTATCCAAATATCCACTTTCAGATTCCACAAAAAGAGTGTTTCAAAACTGCTCTGTAAAAAGAAAGGTTCATCTCTGTTAGTTGAATACACACATCACAAACAAGTTTCTGAGAATGCTTCTGTCTAGTTTTTATGGGAAGATATTTCCTTTTTCAACATAGGCCTCAAAGCGCTCCAAATGTCCACTTCCAGGTAGTGCAGAAAGAGTGTTTCAAACCTGCTCTATAAAAGGGAATATTCAACTCTGTGACTTGAATGCAAACATCACAAAGCACTTTCTGAGAATGCTTCCGTCTAGATTTTATATGAAGATATTCCCGTTTCCAACGAAACCTTCAAAGCTATCCGAATATCCACCTGCAGATTCTACAAAAAGAGTGTTTCCAAAATGCCGTATCAAAACAAAGGTTCAACTCTGTTAGTTGAGAACACACATGGCAAATAAGTTTCTCAGAATGCTTCTGTCTAGTTTTTATTTGAAGATATTTCCTTTCTCACCACAGGCCTGAAAGCGCTTAAAACGTCCGCTTGCAGATACTACAGAAAGAGTGTTTCAAACATGCTCTATGAAAGGGAATGTTCAGTTCTGTGACTTGAATGCAAACATCACAAAGAAGTTCCTGAGAATGCTTCTCTCTAGATTTTATATGTAATCCCGTTTCCAACGAAATCCTCAAAGCTATCCAAATATCCACTTTCAGATTCCACAAAAAGAGTGTTTCAAAACTGCTCTGTAAAAAGAAAGGTTCATCTCTGTTAGTTGAATACACACATCACAAACAAGTTTCTGAGAATGCTTCTGTCTAGTTTTTATGGGAAGATATTACCTTTTTCATCATAGGCCTCAAAGCGCTGCAAATGTCCACTTCCAAATATTACAAAAAGAGTGTTTCAAACCTGCTGTATGAAGGGAAGTGTTCAACTCTATGAGTTGAATGCAAACATCACAGAGAAGTTTCTGAGAATGCTTCTGTCTTGATTTTATATGAAGATATTCCCGTTTGCAACGAAACCTTCAAAGCTATTCAAATATCCACTTGCAGATTCTACAAAAAGAGTGTTTCCAAAATGTTGTATCAAAAGAAAGGTTCAACTCTGTTAGTTGAGGACACACATCGCAAATAAGTTTCTGAGAATGCTTCTGTCTGGTTTTTAGGAGAAGATATCTCCTTTTTCACCATAGGCTTCAAAGCGCTGCCAATGTCCACTTCCAAATATTACAAAAAGAGTATTTCAAACCAGCTCTATGAAAGGAAGTGTTCAACTCTATGAGTTGAATGCAAACATCACAGAGAAGTTTCTAAGAATGCTTCTCTCTAGATTTTATATGTAATCCCGTTTCCAACGAAATCCTCAAAGCTATCCAAATATCCACTTTCAGATTCCAGAAAAAGAGTGTTTCAAAACTGCTCTGTAAAAAGAAAGGTTCATCTCTGTTAGTTGAATACACACATCACAAACAAGTTTCTGAGAATGCTTCTGTCTAGTTTTTATGGGAAGATATTTCCTTTGTCATCATAGGCCTCAAAGCGCTGCAAATGTCCACTTCCAGGTAGTGCAGAAAGAGTGTGTCAAACCTGGTATATAACAGGGAACATTCTACTCTGTGACTTGAATGAAAACATCACAAAGCAGTTTCTGAGAATGCTTCCGTCTAGATTTTATATGAAGATATTCCCGTTTCCAACGAAACCTTCAAAGCTATCCGAATATCCACCTGCAGATTCTACAAAAAGAGTGTTTCCAAAATGCCGTATCAAAACAAAGGTTCAACTCTGTTAGTTGAGAACACACATGGCAAATAAGTTTCTGAGAATGCTTCTGTCTAGTTTTTATTTGAAGATATTTCCTTTCTCACCATAGGCCTGAAAGCGTTTGAAATGTCCGTTTGCAGATACTACAGAAAGAGTGTTTCAAACCTGCTCTATGAAAGGGAATGTTCAGTTCTGTGACGTGAATGCAAACATCACAAAGAAGTTCCTGAGAATGCTTCTCTCTAGATTTTATATGTAATCCCGTTTCCAACGAAATCCTCAAAGCTATCCAAATATCGACTTTCAGATTCCACAAAAAGAGTGTTTCAAAACTGCTCTGTAAAAAGAAAGGTTCATCTCTGTTAGTTGAATACACACATCACAAACAAGTTTCTGAGAATGCTTCTGTCTAGTTTTTATGGGAAGATATTTCCTTTTTCAACATAGGCCTCAAAGCGCTCCAAACGTCCACTTCCAGGTAGTGCAGAAAGAGTGTCTCAAACCTGGTGTATAACAGGGAACATTCTACTCTGTGACTTGAATGAAAACATCACAAAGCAGTTTCTGAGAATGCTTCCGTCTAGATTTTATATGAAGATATTCCCGTTTCCAACGAAACCTTCAAAGCTATCCGAATATCCACCTGCAGATTCTACAAAAAGAGTGTTTCCAAAATGCCATATCAAAACAAAGGTTCAACTCTGTTAGTTGAGAACACACATCGCAAATAAGTTTCTGAGAATGCTTCTGTCTAGTTTTTATTTGAAGATATTTCCTTTCTCACCACAGGCCTGAAAGCGCTTAAAACGTCCGCTTGCAGATACTACAGAAAGAGTGTTTCAAACCTGCTCTATGAAAGGGAATGTTCAGTTCTGTGACTTGAATGCAAACATCACAAAGAAGTTCCTGAGAATGCTTCTCTCTAGGTTTTATATGTAATCCCGTTTCCAACGAAATCCTCAAAGCTATCCAAATATCCACTTTCAGATTCCACAAAAAGAGTGTTTCAAAACTGCTCTGTAAAAAGAAAGGTTCATGCTCTGTTAGTTGAATACACACATCACAAACAAGTTTCTGAGAATGCTTCTGTCTAGTTTTTATGGGAAGATATTTCCTTTTTCAACATAGGCCTCAAAGCGCTCCAAACGTCCACTTCCAGGTAGTGCAGAAAGAGTGTCTCAAACCTGGTATATAACAGGGAACATTCTACTCTGTGACTTGAATGAAAACATCACAAAGCAGTTTCTGAGAATGCTTCCGTCTACATTTTATATGAAGATATTCCCGTTTCCAAGGAAATCTTCCTAGCTATCTAAATATCAACTTGCATATCCTACTAAAGGAGTGTTTCCAAAATGCTGTATCCACACAAAGGTTCAACTCTGTTAATTGAGGACATACAGCACAAAGAAGTTTCTGAGAATGCTTCTGTCTAGTTTTTATTTGAAGATATTTCCTTTCTCACCATAGGCCTGAAAGCGCTTGAAATGTCCGTTTGCAGATACTACAGAAAGAGTGTTTCAAACATGCTCTATGAAAGGGAATGTTCAGTTCTGTGACGTGAATGCAAACATCACAAAGAAGTTCCTGAGAATGCTTCTAGTCTAGATTTTATATGAAGATATCCCGTGTCCAACGAAATCCTCAAAGGTATCAAAATATCCACTTGCAGATTCTACAAAAAGAGTGCTTCAAAACTGCTCTGTCAAAAGGAAGGTTCAACTCTGTTACTTGAGTACACACATCACAAGGAAGTTTCTGAGAATGCTTCTGTCTGGTTTTTAGGAGAAGATATCTCCTTTTTCACCATGGGCTTCAAAGCGCTGCCAATGTCCACTTCCAAATATTACAAAAAGAGTATTTCAAACCAGCTCTATGAAAGGAAGTGTTCAACTCTATGAGTTGAATGCAAACATCACAGAGAACTTTCTGAGAATGCTTCTGTGTTGATTTTATATGAAGATATTCCCGTTTCCAACGAAACCTTCAAAGCTATCCAAATATCCACCTGCAGATCCTACAAAAAGAGTGTTTCCAAAATGCTGTATCAAAACAAAGGTTCAACTCTGTTAGCTGAGAACACACATCGCAAATAAGTTTCTGAGAATGCTTCTGTCTAGTTTTTATTTGAAGATATTTCCTTTCTCACCATAGGCCTGAAAGCGTTTGAAATGTCCGTTTGCAGATACTACAGAAAGAGTGTTTCAAACATGCTCTATGAAAGGGAATGTTCAGTTCTGTGACTTGAATGCAAACATCACAAAGAAGTTCCTGAGAATGCTTCTCTCTAGGTTTTATATGTAATCCCGTTTCCAACGAAATCCTCAAAGCTATCCAAATATCCACTTTCAGATTCCACAAAAAGAGTGTTTCAAAACTGCTCTGTAAAAAGAAAGGTTCATCTCTGTTAGTTGAATACACACATCACAAACAAGTTTCTGAGAATGCTTCTGTCTAGTTTTTATGGGAAGATATTTCCTTTTTCAACATAGGTCTCAAAGCGCTCCAAATGTCCACTTCCAGGTAGTGCAGAAAGAGTGTTTCAAGCCTGCTCTATAAAAGGGAACATTCTACTCTGTGACTTGAATGAAGACATCACAAAGCACTTTCTGAGAATGCTTCCGTCTAGATTTTATATGAAGATATTCCCGTTTCCAAGGAAATCTTCCTAGCTATCTAAATATCAACTTGCAGATTCTACTAAAGGAATGTTTCCAAAATGCTGTATCCACACAAAGGTTCAACTCTGTTAATTGAGGACATACAGCACAAAGAAGTTTCTGAGAATGCTTCTGTCTAGTTTTTACTTGAAGATATTTCCTTTCTCACCATAGGCATGAAAACGCATGAAACGTCAGCTTGCAGATACTACAGAAAGAGTGTTTCAAACCTGCTCTATGAAAGGGAACGTTCAGTCCTGTGACTTGAATGCAAACATCACAAAGAAGTTCCTGAGAATGCTTCTCCCTAGATTTTATATGTAATCCCGTTTCCAACGAAATCTGCAAAGCTATCCAAATATCCACTTTCAGATTCCACAAAAAGAGTGTTTCAAAACTGCTCTGTAAAAAGAAAGGTTCATCTCTGTTAGTTGAATACACACATCACAAACAAGTTTCTGAGAATGCTTCTGTCTAGTTTTTATGGGAAGATATTTCGTTTTTCAACATAGGCCTCAAAGCGCTCCAAATGTCCACTTCCAGGTAGTGCAGAAAGAGTGTTTCAAACCTGCTCTATAAAAGGGAATATTCAACTCTGTGACTTGAATGCAAACATCACAAAGCACTTTCTGAGAATGCTTCCGTCTAGATTTTATATGAAGATATTCCCGTTTCCAACGAAACCTTCAAAGCTATCCGAATATCCACCTGCAGATTCTACAAAAAGAGTGTTTCCAAAATGCCGTATCAAAACAAAGGTTCAACTCTGTTAGTTGAGAACACACATGGCAAATAAGTTTCTGAGAATGCTTCTGTCTAGTTTTTACTTGAAGATATTTCCTTTCTCACCATAGGCCTGAAAGCGCTTGAAACGTCAGCTTGCAGATACTACAGAAAGAGTGTTTCAAACCTGCTCTATGAAAGGGAATGTTCAGTCCTGTGACTTGAATGCAAACATCACAAAGAAGTTCCTGAGAATGCTTCTCTCTAGGTTTTATATGTAATCCCGTTTCCAACGAAATCCGCAAAGCTATCCAAATATCCACTTTCAGATTCCACAAAAAGAGTGTTTCAAAACTGCTCTGTAAAAAGAAAGGTTCATCTCTGTTAGTTGAATACACACATCACAAACAAGTTTCTGAGAATGCTTCTGTCTAGTTTCTATGGGAAGATATTTCCTTTTTCAACATAGGCGTCAAAGCGCTCCAAATGTCCACTTCCAGGTAGTGCACTGAGTGTTTCAAACCTGCTCTATAAAAGGGAACATTCTAGTCTGTGACTTGAATGAAGACATCACAAAGCAGTTTCTGAGAATGCTTCCGTCTAGATTTTATATGAAGATATTCCCGTTTCCAACGAAACCTTCAAAGCTATCCGAATATCCACCTGCAGATTCTACAAAAAGAGTGTTTCCAAAATGCCATATCAAAACAAAGGTTCAACTCTGTTAGTTGAGAACACACATCGCAAATAAGTTTCTGAGAATGCTTCTGTCTAGTTTTTACTTGAAGATATTTCCTTTCTCACCATAGGCCTGAAAGCGTTTGAAACGTCCGTTTGCAGATACTACAGAAAGAGTGTTTCAAACATGCTCTATGAAAGGGAATGTTCAGTTCTGTGACTTGAATGCAAACATCACAAAGAAGTTTCCTGAGAGTGCTTCTGTCTAGATTTTATATGAAGATATCCCGTGTCCAACGAAATCCTCAATGGTATCAAAATATCCACTTGCAGATTCTACAAAAAGAGTGCTTCAAAACTGCTCTGTAAAAAGAAAGGTTCATCTCTGTTAGTTGAATACACACATCACAAACAAGTTTCTGAGAATGCTTCTGTCTAGTTTTTATGGGAAGATATTTCCTTTTTCAACATAGGCCTCAAAGCGCTCCAAATGTCCACTTCCAGGTAGTGCAGAAAGAGTGTTTCAAACCTGCTCTATAAAAGGGAATATTCAACTCTGTGACTTGAATGCAAACATCACAAAGCACTTTCTGAGAATGCTTCCGTCTAGATTTTATATGAAGATATTCCCGTTTCCAACGAAACCTTCAAAGCTATCCGAATATCCACCTGCAGATTCTACAAAAAGAGTGTTTCCAAAATGCCGTATCAAAACAAAGGTTCAACTCTGTTAGTTGAGAACACACATGGCAAATAAGTTTCTGAGAATGCTTCTGTCTAGTTTTTACTTGAAGATATTTCCTTTCTCACCATAGGCCTGAAAGCGCTTGAAACGTCAGCTTGCAGATACTACAGAAAGAGTGTTTCAAACCTGCTCTATGAAAGGGAATGTTCAGTCCTGTGACTTGAAGGCAAACATCACAAAGAAGTTCCTGAGAATGCTTCTCCCTAGATTTTATATGTAATCCCGTTTCCAACGAAATCCGCAAAGCTATCCAAATATCCACTTTCAGATTCCACAAAAAGAGTGTTTCAAAACTGCTCTGTAAAAAGAAAGGTTCATCTCTGTTAGTTGAATACACACATCACAAACAAGTTTCTGAGAATGCTTCTGTCTAGTTTTTATGGGAAGATATTTCCTTTTTCATCATAGGCCTCAAAGCGCTGCAAATGTCCACTTCCAAATATTACAAAAAGAGTGTTTCAAACCTGCTGTATGAAGGGAAGTGTTCAACTCTATGAGTTGAATGCAAACATCACAGAGAAGTTTCTGAGAATGCTTCTGTCTTGATTTTATATGAAGATATTCCCCTTTCCAACGAAACCTTCAAAGCTATTCAAATATCCACTTGCAGATTCTACAAAAAGAGTGGTTCCAAAATGTTGAATCAAAAGAAAGGTTCAACTCTGATAGTTGAGGACACACATCGCAAATAAGTTTCTGAGAATGCTCTGTCTAGTTTTTATTTGAAGATATTTCCTTTCTCACCATAGGCCTGAAAGCGTTTGAAATGTCCGTTTGCAGATACTACAGAAAGAGTGTTTCAAACATGCTCTATGAAAGGGAATGTTCAGTTCTGTGACGTGAATGCAAACATCACAAAGAAGTTCCTGAGAATGCTCTCTCTCTAGGTTTATATGTAATCCCGTTTCCAACGAAATCCTCAAAGCTATCCAAATATCCACTTTCAGATTCCACAAAAAGAGTGTTTCAAAACTGCTCTGTAAAAAGAAAGGTTCATCTCTGTTAGTTGAATACACACATCACAAACAAGTTTCTGAGAATGCTTCTGTCTAGTTTTTATGGGAAGATATTTCCTTTTTCATCATAGGCCTCAAAGCGCTCCAAATGTCCACTTCCAGATAGTGCAGAAAGAGTGCCTCAAACCTGGTATATAAAAGGGAACATTCTACTCTGTGACTTGAATGAAAACATCACAAAGCAGTTTCTGAGAATGCTTCCGTCTAGATTTTATATGAAGATATTCCCGTTTCCAACGAAACCTTCAAAGCTATCCGAATATCCACCTGCAGATTCTACAAAAAGAGTGTTTCCAAAATGCCATATCAAAACAAAGGTTCAACTCTGTTAGTTGAGAACACACATCGCAAATAAGTTTCTGAGAATGCTTCTGTCTAGTTTTTATTTGAAGATATTTCCTTTCTCACCATAGGCCTGAAAGCGTTTGAAATGTCCGTTTGTAGATACTACAGAAAGAGTGTTTCAAACATGCTCTATGAAAGGGAATGTTCAGTTCTGTGACGTGAATGCAAACATCACAAAGAAGTTCCTGAGAATGCTTCTGTCTAGATTTTATATGAAGATATCCCGTGTCCAACGAAATCCTCAAAGGTATCAAAATATCCACTTGCAGATTCTACAAAAAGAGTGCTTCAAAACTGCTCTGTCAAAAGGAAGGTTCAACTCTGTTACTTGAGTACACACATCACAAGGAAGTTTCTGAGAATGCTTCTGTCTAGTTTTTATGGGAAGATATTTCCTTTTTCATCATAGGCCTCAAAGCGCTGCAAATGTCCACTTCCAGGTAGTGCAGAAAGAGTGTCTGAAACCTGGTATATAACAGGGAAGATTCTACTCTGTGACTTGAATGAAAACATCACAAAGCAGTTTCTGAGAATGCTTCCGTCTAGATTTTATATGAAGATATTCCCGTTTCCAACGAAACCTTCAAAGCTATCCGAATATCCACCTGCAGATTCTACAAAAAGAGTGTTTCCAAAATGCCATATCAAAACAAAGGTTCAACTCTGTTAGTTGAGAACACACATCGCAAATAAGTTTCTGAGAATGCTTCTGTCTAGTTTTTATTTGAAGATATTTCCTTTCTCACCACAGGCCTGAAAGCGCTTAAAACGTCCGCTTGCAGATACTACAGAAAGAGTGTTTCAAACCTGCTCTATGAAAGGGAATGTTCAGTTCTGTGACTTGAATGCAAACATCACAAAGAAAGTTCCTGAGAATGCTTCTCTCTAGATTTTATATGTAATCCCGTTTCCAACGAAATCCTCAAAGCTATCCAAATATCCACTTTCAGATTCCACAAAAAGAGTGTTTCAAAACTGCTCTGTAAAAATAAAGGTTCATCTCTGTTAGTTGAATACACACATCACAAACAAGTTTCTGAGAATGCTTCTGTCTAGTTTTTATGGGAAGATATTTCCTTTTTCAACATAGGCCTCAAAGCGCTCCAAATGTCCACTTCCAGGTAGTGCAGAAAGAGTGTTTCAAACCTGCTCTATAAAAGGGAATATTCAACTCTGTGACTTGAATGCAAACATCACAAAGCACTTTCTGAGAATGCTTCCGTCTAGATTTTATATGAAGATATTCCCGTTTCCAACGAAACCTTCAAAGCTATCCGAATATCCACCTGCAGATTCTACAAAAAGAGTGTTTCCAAAATGCCGTATCAAAACAAAGGTTCAACTCTGTTAGTTGAGAACACACATGGCAAATAAGTTTCTGAGAATGCTTCTGTCTAGTTTTTATTTGAAGATATTTCCTTTCTCACCACAGGCCTGAAAGCGCTTAAAACGTCCGCTTGCAGATACTACAGAAAGAGTGTTTCAAACCTGCTCTATGAAAGGGAATGTTCAGTTCTGTGACTTGAATGCAAACATCACAAAGAAGTTCCTGAGAATGCTTCTCCCTAGATTTTATATGTAATCCCGTTTCCAACGAAATCCGCAAAGCTATCCAAATATCCACTTTCAGATTCCACAAAAAGAGTGTTTCAAAACTGCTCTGTAAAAAGAAAGGTTCATCTCTGTTAGTTGAATACACACATCACAAACAAGTTTACTGAGAATGCTTCTGTCTGGTTTTTAGGAGAAGATATATCCTTTTTCAACATCGGCCTCAAAGCGCTGCAAATGTCCACTTCCAAATATTACAAAAAGAGTGTTTCAAACCTGCTGTATGAAGGGAAGTGTTCAACTCTATGAGTTGAATGCAAACATCACAGAGAAGTTTCTGAGAATGCTTCTGTGTTGATTTTATATGAAGATATTCCCGTTTCCAACGAAACCTTCAAAGCTATCCAAATATCCACCTGCAGATCCTACAAAAAGAGTGTTTCCAAAATGCTGTATCAAAACAAAGGTTCAACTCTGTTAGTTGAGAATACACACCGCAAATAAGTTTCTGAGAATGCTTCTGTCTAGTTTTTATTTGAAGATATTTCCTTTTTCACCACAGGCCTGAAAGCGCTTGAAACGTCCACTTGCAGATACTACAGAAAGAGTGTTTCAAACCTGCTCTATGAAAGGGAATGTTCAGTTCTGTGACTTGAATGCAAACATCACAAAGAAGTTCCTGAGAATGCTTCTCTCTAGATTTTATATGTAATCCCGTTTCCAACGAAATCCTCAAAGCTATCCAAATATCCACTTTCAGATTCCACAAAAAGAGTGTTTCAAAACTGCTCTGTAAAAAGAAAGGTTCATCTCTTGTTAGTTGAATACACACATCACAAACAAGTTTCTGAGAATGCTTCTGTCTAGTTTTTATGGGAAGATATTTCCTTTTTCATCATAAGCCTCAAAGCACTCCAAATGTCCACTTCCAGATAGTGCAGAAAGAGTGTCTCAAACCTGGTATATAAAAGGGAACATTCTACTCTGTGACTTGAATGAAAACATCACAAAGCAGTTTCTGAGAATGCTTCTGTCTTGATTTTATATGAAGATATTCCCGTTTCCAGCGAAACCTTCAAAGCTATTCAAATATCCACCTGCAGATTCTACAAAAAGAGTGTTTCCAAAATGTTGTATCAAAAGAAAGGTTCAACTCTGTTAGTTGAGGACACACATCGCAAATAAGTTTCTGAGAATGCTTCTGTCTAGTTTTTATTTGAAGATATTTCCTTTCTCACCACAGGCCTGAAAGCGCTTGAAACGTCCGTTTGCAGATACTACAGAAAGAGTGTTTCAAACATGCTCTATGAAAGGGAATGTTCAGTTCTGTGACGTGAATGCAAACATCACAAAGAAGTTCCTGAGAATGCTTCTCTCTAGATTTTATATGTAATCTCGTTTCCAACGAAATCCTCAAAGCTATCCAAGTATCCACTTTCAGATTCCACAAAAAGAGTGTTTCAAAACTGCTCTGTAAAAAGAAAGGTTCATCTCTGTTAGTTGAATACACACATCACAAAGAAGTTTCTGAGAATGCTTCTGTCTGGTTTTTAGGAGATGTTTCCTTTTTCAACATAGGCCTCAAAGCGCTGCAAATGTCCACTTCCAAATATTAGAAAAACAGTGTTTCAAACCTGCTGTATGAAGGGAAGTGTTCAACTCTATGAGTTGAATGCAAACATCACAGAGAAGTTTCTGAGAATGCTTCCGTCTAGATTTTATATGAAGATATTCCCGTTTCCAAGGAAATCTTCCTAGCTATCTAAATATCAACTTGCAGATTCTACTAAAGGAATGTTTCCAAAATGCTGTATCCACACAAAGGTTCAACTCTGTTAATTGAGGACATACAGCACAAAGAAGTTTCTGAGAATGCTTCTGTCTAGTTTTTATTTGAAGATATTTC
This sequence comes from Homo sapiens, assembly GCF_000001405.40. Lineage (NCBI taxonomy): Eukaryota > Metazoa > Chordata > Mammalia > Primates > Hominidae > Homo > Homo sapiens. The sequence goes on along the minus strand of NC_000009.12, from coordinate 45,262,241 downwards.
CTTTCTCACCATAGGCCTGAAAGCGTTTGAAATGTCCGTTTGGAGATACTACAGAAAGAGTGTTTCAAACATGCTCTATGAAAGGGAATGTTCAGTTCTGTGACGTGAATGCAAACATCACAAAGAAGTTCCTGAGAATGCTTCTCTCTAGGTTTTATATGTAATCCCGTTTCCAACGAAATCCTCAAAGCTATCCAAATATCCACTTTCAGATTCCACAAAAAGAGTGTTTCAAAACTGCTCTGTAAAAAGAAAGGTTCATCTCTGTTAGTTGAATACACACATCACAAACAAGTTTCTGAGAATGCTTCTGTCTAGTTTTTATGGGAAGATATTTCCTTTTTCATCATAGGCCTCAAAGCGCTCCAAATGTTCACTTCCAGATAGTGCAGAAAGAGTGTCTCAAACCTGGTATATAAAAGGGAACATTCTTCTCTGTGACTTGAATGAAAACATCACAAAGCAGTTTCTGAGAATGCTTCCGTCTAGATTTTATATGAAGATATTCCCGTTTCCAACGAAACCTTCAAAGCTATCCGAATATCCACCTGCAGATTCTACAAAAAGAGTGTTTCCAAAATGCCATATCAAAACAAAGGTTCAACTCTGTTAGTTGAGAACACACATCGCAAATAAGTTTCTGAGAATGCTTCTGTCTAGTTTTTACTTGAAGATATTTCCTTTCTCACCATAGGCCTGAAAGCGCTTGAAACGTCAGCTTGCAGATACTACAGAAAGAGTGTTTCAAACATGCTCCATGAAAGGGAATGTTCAGTTCTGTGACTTGAATGCAAACATCACAAAGAAGTTCCTGAGAATGCTTCTCTCTAGGTTTTATATGTAATCCCGTTTCCAACGAAATCCTCAAAGCTATCCAAATATCCACTTTCAGATTCCACAAAAAGAGTGTTTCAAAACTGCTCTGTAAAAAGAGAGGTTCATCTCTGTTAGTTGAATACACACATCACAAACAAGTTTCTGAGAATGCTTCTGTCTAGTTTTTATGGGAAGATATTACCTTTTTCATCATAGGCCTCAAAGCGCTGCTAATGTCCACTTCCAGGTAGTGCAGAAAGAGTGTTTCAAACCTGCTCTATAAAAGGGAATATTCAACTCTGTGACTTGAATGCAAACATCACAAAGCACTTTCTGAGAATGCTTCCGTCTAGATTTTATATGAAGATATTCCCGTTTCCAAGGAAATCTTCCTAGCTATCTAAATATCAACTTGCAGATTCTACTAAAGGAATGTTTCCAAAATGCTGTATCCACACAAAGGTTCAACTCTGTTAATTGAGGACATACAGCACAAAGAAGTTTCTGAGAATGCTTCTGTCTAGTTTTTATTTGAAGATATTTCCTTTCTCACCATAGGCCTGAAAGCGTTTGAAATGTCCGTTTGCAGATACTACAGAAAGAGTGTTTCAAACATGCTCTATGAAAGGGAATGTTCAGTTCTGTGACGTGAATGCAAACATCACAAAGAAGTTCCTGAGAATGCTTCTCCCTAGATTTTATATGTAATCCCGTTTCCAACGAAATCCGCAAAGCTATCCAAATATCCACTTTCAGATTCCACAAAAAGAGTGTTTCAAAACTGCTCTGTAAAAAGAAAGGTTCATCTCTGTTAGTTGAATACACACATCACAAACAAGTTTCTGAGAATGCTTCTGTCTAGTTTTTATGGGAAGATATTTCCTTTTTCAACATAGGCCTCAAAGCGCTCCAAATGTCCACTTCCAGATAGTGCAGAAAGAGTGTTTCAAACCTGCTCTATAAAAGGGAATATTCAACTCTGTGACTTGAATGCAAACATCACAAAGCACTTTCTGAGAATGCTTCCGTCTTGATTTTATATGAAGATATTCCCGTTTCCAACGAAACCTTCAAAGCTATCCGAATATCCACCTGCAGATTCTACAAAAAGAGTGTTTCCAAAATGCCGTATCAAAACAAAGGTTCAACTCTGTTAGTTGAGAACACACATGGCAAATAAGTTTCTGAGAATGCTTCTGTCTAGTTTTTATTTGAAGATATTTCCTTTCTCACCATAGGCCTGAAAGCGTTTGAAATGTCCGTTTGCAGATACTACAGAAAGAGTGTTTCAAACATGCTCTATGAAAGGGAATGTTCAGTTCTGTGACGTGAATGCAAACATCACAAAGAAGTTCCTGAGAATGCTTCTCCCTAGATTTTATATGTAATCCCGTTTCCAACGAAATCCGCAAAGCTATCCAAATATCCACTTTCAGATTCCACAAAAAGAGTGTTTCAAAACTGCTCGGTAAAAAGAAAGGTTCATCTCTGTTAGTTGAATACACACATCACAAACAAGTTTCTGAGAATGCTTCTGTCTAGTTTTTATGGGAAGATATTTCCTTTTTCATCATAGGCCTCAAAGCGCTGCAAATGTCCACTTCCAGGTAGTGCAGAAAGAGTGTCTGAAACCTGGTATATAACAGGGAAGATTCTACTCTGTGACTTGAATGAAAACATCACAAAGCAGTTTCTGAGAATGCTTCCGTCTAGATTTTATATGAAGATATTCCCGTTTCCAACGAAACCTTCAAAACTATCCGAATATCCACCTGCAGATTCTACAAAAAGAGTGTTTCCAAAATACCGTATCAAAACAAAGGTTCAACTCTGTTAGTTGAGAACACACATGGCAAATAAGTTTCTGAGAATGCTTCTGTCTGGTTTTTAGGAGAAGATATTTCCTTTTTCAACATAGGCCTCAAAGCGCTGCAAATGTCCACTTCCAAATACTACAAAAAGAGTGTTTCAAACCTGCTCTATGAAGGGAAGTGTTCAACTCTATGAGTTGAATGCAAACATCACAGAGAAGTTTCTGAGAATGCTTCTCCCTAGATTTTATATGTAATCCCGTTTCCAACGAAATCCGCAAAGCTATCCAAATATCCACTTTCAGATTCCACAAAAAGAGTGTTTCAAAACTGCTCTGTAAAAAGAAAGGTTCATCTCTGTTAGTTGAATACACACATCACAAACAAGTTTCTGAGAATGCTTCTGTCTAGTTTTTATGGGAAGATATTTCCTTTTTCATCATAGGCCTCAAAGCGCTGCAAATGTCCACTTCCAAATATTACAAAAAGAGTGTTTCAAACCTGCTGTATGAAGGGAAGTGTTCAACTCTATGAGTTGAATGCAAACATCACAGAGAAGTTTCTGAGAATGCTTCCGTCTAGATTTTATATGAAGATATTCCCGTTTCCAAGGAAATCTTCCTAGCTATCTAAATATCAACTTGCAGATTCTACTAAAGGAATGTTTCCAAAATGCTGTATCCACACAAAGGTTCAACTCTGTTAATTGAGGACATACAGCACAAAGAAGTTTCTGAGAATGCTTCTGTCTAGTTTTTATTTGAAGATATTTCCTTTCTCACCATAGGCCTGAAAGCGTTTGAAATGTCCGTTTGCAGATACTACAGAAAGAGTGTTTCAAACATGCTCTATGAAAGGGAATGTTCAGTTCTGTGACGTGAATGCAAACATCACAAAGAAGTTCCTGAGAATGCTTCTCTCTAGATTTTATATGTAATCCCGTTTCCAACGAAATCCTCAAAGCTATCCAAATATCCACTTTCAGATTCCACAAAAAGAGTGTTTCAAAACTGCTCTGTAAAAAGAAAGGTTCATCTCTGTTAGTTGAATACACACATCACAAACAAGTTTCTGAGAATGCTTCTGTCTAGTTTTTATGGGAAGATATTTCCTTTTTCAACATAGGCCTCAAAGCGCTCCAAATGTCCACTTCCAGGTAGTGCAGAGAGAGTGTTTCAAACCTGCTCTATAAAGGGGAATAGTCAACTCTGTGACTTGAATGCAAACATCACAAAGCACTTTCTGAGAATGCTTCCGTCTAGATTTTATATGAAGATATTCCCGTTTCCAAGGAAATCTTCCTAGCTATCTAAATATCAACTTGCAGATTCTACTAAAGGAATGTTTCCAAAATGCTGTATCCACACAAAGGTTCAACTCTGTTAATTGAGGACATACAGCACAAAGAAGTTTCTGAGAATGCTTCTGTCTAGTTTTTATTTGAAGATATTTCCTTTCTTACCATAGGCCTGAAAGCGCTTGAAATGTCCGTTTGCAGATACTACAGAAAGAGTGTTTCAAACATGCTCTATGAAAGGGAATGTTCAGTTCTGTGACGTGAATGCAAACATCACAAAGAAGTTCCTGAGAATGCTTCTCCCTAGATTTTATATGTAATCCCGTTTCCAACGAAATCCGCAAAGCTATCCAAATATCCACTTTCAGATTCCACAAAAAGAGTGTTTCAAAACTGCTCTGTAAAAAGAAAGGTTCATCTCTGTTAGTTGAATACACACATCACAAACAAGTTTCTGAGAATGCTTCTGTCTAGTTTTTATGGGAAGATATTTCCTTTTTCATCATAGGCCTCAAAGCGCTGCAAATGTCCACTTCCAGGTAGTGCAGAAAGAGTGTCTGAAACCTGGTATATAACAGGGAAGATTCTACTCTGTGACTTGAATGAAAACATCACAAAGCAGTTTCTGAGAATGCTTCCGTCTAGATTTTATATGAAGATATTCCCGTTTCCAACGAAACGTTCAAAGCTATCCGAATATCCACCTGCAGATTCTACAAAAAGAGTGTTTCCAAAATGCCATATCAAAACAAAGGTTCAACTCTGTTAGTTGAGAACACACATCGCAAATAAGTTTCTGAGAATGCTTCTGTCTAGTTTTTACTTGAAGATATTTCCTTTCTCACCATAGGCCTGAAAGCGCTTGAAACGTCAGCTTGCAGATACTACAGAAAGAGTGTTTCAAACCTGCTCTATGAAAGGGAATGTTCAGTCCTGTGACTTGAAGGCAAACATCACAAAGAAGTTCCTGAGAATGCTTCTCCCTAGATTTTATATGTAATCCCGTTTCCAACGAAATCCGCAAAGCTATCCAAATATCCACTTTCAGATTCCACAAAAAGAGTGTTTCAAAACTGCTCTGTAAAAAGAAAGGTTCATCTCTGTTAGTTGAATACACACATCACAAACAAGTTTCTGAGAATGCTTCTGTCTAGTTTTTATGGGAAGATATTTCCTTTTTCAACATAGGCCTCAAAGCGCTCCAAACGTCCACTTCCAGGTAGTGCAGAAAGAGTGTCTCAAACCTCGTATATAACAGGGAACATTCTACTCTGTGACTTGAATGAAAACATCACAAAGCAGTTTCTGAGAATGCTTCCGTCTAGATTTTATATGAAGATATTCCCGTTTCCAACGAAACCTTCAAAGCTATCCGAATATCCACCTGCAGATTCTACAAAAAGAGTGTTTCCAAAATGCCGTATCAAAACAAAGGTTCAACTCTGTTAGTTGAGAACACTCATGGCAAATAAGTTTCTGAGAATGCTTCTGTCTAGTTTTTACTTGACGATATTTCCTTTCTCACCATAGGCCTGAAAGCGCTTGAAACGTCAGCTTGCAGATACTACAGAAAGAGTGTTTCAAACCTGCTCTATGAAAGGGAATGTTCAGTCCTGTGACTTGAAGGCAAACATCACAAAGAAGTTCCTGAGAATGCTTCTCTCTAGATTTTATATGTAATCCCGTTTCCAACGAAATCCTCAAAGCTATCCAAATATCCACTTTCAGATTCCACAAAAAGAGTGTTTCAAAACTGCTCTGTAAAAAGAAAGGTTCATCTCTGTTAGTTGAATACACACATCAAAAACAAGTTTCTGAGAATGCTTCTGTCTAGTTTTTATGGGAAGATATTTCCTTTTTCAACATAGGCCTCAAAGCGCTCCAAATGTCCACTTCCAGGTAGTGCAGAAAGAGTGTTTCAAACCTGCTCTATAAAAGGGAATATTCAACTCTGTGACTTGAATGCAAACATCACAAAGCACTTTCTGAGAATGCTTCTGTCTTGATTTTATATGAAGATATTCCCGTTTCCAACGAAACCTTCAAAGCTATCCGAATATCCACCTGCAGATTCTACAAAAAGAGTGTTTCCAAAATGCTGTATCAAAACAAAGGTTCAACTCTGTTAGTTGAGAACACACATGGCAAATATGTTTCTGAGAATGCTTCTGTCTAGTTTTTACTTGAAGATATTTCCTTTCTCACCATAGGCCTGAAAGCTCTTGAAACGTCAGCTTGCAGATACTACAGAAAGAGTGTTTCAAACCTGCTCTATGAAAGGGAATGTTCAGTTCTGTGACTTGAATGCAAACATCACAAAAAGTTCCTGAGAATGCTTCTCTCTAGGTTTTATATGTAATCCCGTTTCCAACGAAATCCTCAAAGCTATCCAAATATCCAATTTCAGATTCCACAAAAAGAGTGTTTCAAAACTGCTCTGTAAAAAGAAAGGTTCATCTCTGTTAGTTGAATACACACATCACAAACAAGTTTCTGAGAATGCTTCTGTCTAGTTTTTATGGGAAGATATTTCCTTTTCCCGCATAGGCCTCAAAGCGCTCCAAATGTCCACTTCCATGTAGTGCACAGAGTGTTTCAAACCTGCTCTATAAAAGGGAACATTCTCCTCTGTGACATGAATGAAAACATCTCAAAGCAGTTTCTGAGAATGCTTCTGTCTTGATTTTATATGAGGATATTCCCGTTTCCAACGAAACCTTCAAAGCTATCCAAATATCCACCTGCAGATCCTACAAAAAGAGTGTTTCCAAAATGCTGTATCAAAACAAAGGTTCAACTCTGTTAGTTGAGAACACACATCGCAAATAAGTTTCTGAGAATGCTTCTGTCTACTTTTTATTTGAAGATATTTCCTTTTTCACCACAGGCCTGAAAGCGCTTGAAACGTCCGCTTGTAGATACTACAGAAAGAGTGTTTCAAACCTGCTCTATGAAAGGGAATGTTCAGTTCTGTGACTTGAATGCAAACATCACAAAGAAGTTCCTGAGAATGCTTCTCCCTAGATTTTATAAGTAATCCCGTTTCCAACGAAATCCTCAAAGCTATCCAAATATCCACTTTCAGATTCCACAAAAAGAGTGTTTCAAAACTGCTCTGTAAAAAGAAAGGTTCATCTCTGTTAGTTGAATACACACATCACAAACAAGTTTCTGAGAATGTTTCTGTCTAGTTTTTATGGGAAGATATTTCCTTTTTCAACATAGGCCTCAAAGCGCTCCAAATGTCCACTTCCAGGTAGTGCACAGAGTGTTTCAAACCTGCTCTATGAAAGGAAGTCTTCAACTGTATGAGTTGAATGCAAGCATCACAGAGAAGTTTCTGAGAATGCTTCTGTCTTGATTTTATATGAAGATATTCCCGTTTCCAACGAAACCTTCAAAGCTATCCAAATATCCACTTGCAGATTCTACAAAAACAGTGTTTCCAAAATGTTGTATCAAAACAAAGGTTCAACTCTGTTAGTTGAGGACACACATCGCAAATAAGTTTCTGAGAATGCTTCTTTCTAGTTTTTATTTGAAGATATTTCCTTTCTTACCATAGGCCTGAAAGCGCTTGAAATGTCCGTTTGCAGATACTACAGAAAGAGTGTTTCAAACATGCTCTATGAAAGGGAATGTTCAGTTCTGTGACGTGAATGCAAACATCACAAAGAAGTTCCTGAGAATGTTTCTCTCTAGGTTTTATATGTAATCCCGTTTCCAACGAAATCCTCAAAGCTATCCAAATATCCACTTTCAGATTCCACAAAAAGAGTGTTTCAAAACTGCTCTGTAAAAAGAAAGGTTCATCTCTGTTAGTTGAATACACACATCACAAACAAGTTTCTGAGAATGCTTCTGTGTAGTTTTTATGGGAAGATATTTCCTTTTTCAATATAGGCCTCAAACCGCTCCAAATGTCCACTTCCAGGGAGTGCACAGACTGTTTTAAACCTGCTCTATGAAAGGGAACATTCTACTCTGTGACTTGAATGAAAACATCACAAAGCACTTTCTGAGAATGCTTCTGTCTTGATTTTATATGAAGATATTCCCGTTTCCAACGAAACCTTCAAAGCTATCCAAATATCCACTTGCAGATTCTACAAAAAGAGTGTTTCCTAAATGTTGTACCAAAAGAAAGGTTCAACTCTGTTAGTTGAGGACACACATCGCAAATAAGTTTCTGAGAATGCTTCTGTCTAGTTTTTATTTGAAGATATTTCCTTTCTCACCATAGGCCTGAAAGCGTTTGAAATGTCCGTTTGCAGATACTACAGAAAGAGTGTTTCAAACCTGCTCTATGAAAGGGAATGTTCAGTTCTGTGACGTGAATGCAAACATCACAAAGAAGTTCCTGAGAATGCTTCTCTCTAGGTTTTACATGTAATCCCGTTTCCAACGAAATCCTCAAAGCTATCCAAATATCCACTTTCAGATTCCACAAAAAGAGTGTTTCAAAACTGCTCTGTAAAAAGAAAGGTTCATCTCTGTTAGTTGAATACACACATCACAAACAAGTTTCTGAGAATGCTTCTGTCTAGTTTTTATGGGAAGATATTTCCTTTTTCATCATAGGCCTCAAAGCGCTGCAAATGTCCACTTCCAGGTAGTGCAGAAAGAGTGTCTCAAACCTGGTATATAACAGGGAACATTCTACTCTGTGACTTGAATGAAAACATCACAAAGCAGTTTCTGAGAATGCTTCTGTCTTGATTTTATATGAAGATATTCCCGTTTCCAACGAAACCTTCAAAGCTATCCAAATATCCACCTGAAGATCCTACAAAAAGAGTGTTTCCAAAATGCTGTATCAAAACAAAGGTTCAACTCTGTTAGTTGAGAACACACATCGCAAAGAAGTTTCTGAGAATGCTTCTGTCTAGTTTTTACTTGAAGATATTTCCTTTCTCACCATAGGCCTGAAAGCGCTTGAAACGTCAGCTTGCAGATACTACAGAAAGAGTGTTTCAAACCTGCTCTATGAAAGGGAATGTTCAGTTCTGTGACTTGAATGCAAACATCACAAAGAAGTTCCTGAGAATGCTTCTCCCTAGATTTTATATGTAATCCCGTTTCCAACGAAATCCGCAAAGCTATCCAAATATCCACTTTCAGATTCCACAAAAAGAGTGTTTCAAAACTGCTCTGTAAAGAGAAAGGTTCATCTCTGTTAGTTGAATACACACATCACAAACAAGTTTCTGAGAATGCTTCTGTCTAGTTTTTATGGGAAGATATTTCCTTTTTCATCATATGCCTCAAAGCGCTGCAAATGTCCACTTCCAAATATTACAAAAAGAGTGTTTCAAACCTGCTGTATGAAGGGAAGTGTTCAACTCTATGAGTTGAATGCAAACATCACAGAGAAGTTTCTGAGAATGCTTCCGTCTAGATTTTATATGAAGATATTCCCGTTTCCAACGAAACCTTCAAAGCTATCCGAATATCCACCTGCAGATTCTACAAAAAGAGTGTTTCCAAAATGCCATATCAAAACAAAGGTTCAACTCTGTTAGTTGAGAACACACATCGCAAATAAGTTTCTGAGAATGCTTCTGTCTAGTTTTTACTTGCAGCAAATTTCCTTTCTCACCATAGGCCTGAAAGCGCTTGAAACGTCAGCTTGCAGATACTACAGAAAGAGTGTTTCAAACCTGCTCTATGAAAGGGAATGTTCAGTTCTGTGACTTGAATGCAAACATCGCAAAGAAGTTCCTGAGAATGCTTCTCTCTAGATTTTATATGTAATCCCGTTTCCAACGAAATCCTCAAAGCTATCCAAATATCCACTTTCAGATTCCACAAAAAGAGTGTTTCAAAACTGCTCTGTAAAAAGAAAGGTTCATCTCTGTTAGTTGAATACACACATCACAAACAAGTTTCTGAGAATGCTTCTGTCTAGTTTTTATGGGAAGATATTTCCTTTTTCAACATAGGCCTCAAAGCGCTCCAAACGTCCACTTCCAGGTAGTGCAGAAAGAGTGTCTCAAACCTGGTATATAGCAGGGAACATTCTACTCTGTGACTTGAATGAAAACATCACAAAGCAGTTTCTGAGAATGCTTCCGTCTAGATTTTATATGAAGATATTCCCGTTTCCAACGAAACCTTCAAAGCTATCCGAATATCCACCTGCAGATTCTACAAAAAGAGTGTTTCCAAAATGCCATATCAAAACAAAGGTTCAACTCTGTTAGTTGAGAACACACATCGCAAATAAGTTTCTGAGAATGCTTCTGTCTAGTTTTTACTTGAAGATATTTCCTTTCTCACCATAGGCCTGAAAGCGCTTGAAACGTCAGCTTGCAGATACTACAGAAAGAGTGTTTCAAACCTGCTCTATGAAAGGGAATGTTCAGTCCTGTGACTTGAAGGCAAACATCACAAAGAAGTTCCTGAGAATGCTTCTCTCTAGATTTTATATGTAATCCCGTTTCCAACGAAATCCTCAAAGCTATCCAAATATCCACTTTCAGATTCCACAAAAAGAGTGTTTCAAAACTGCTCTGTAAAAAGAAAGGTTCATCTCTGTTAGTTGAATACACACATCACAAACAAGTTTCTGAGAATGCTTCTGTCTAGCTTTTATGGGAAGATATTTCCTTTTTCAACATAGGCCTCAAAGCGCTCCAAACGTCCACTTCCAGGTAGTGCAGAAGGAGTGTCTCAAACCTGGTATATAACAGGGAACATTCTACTCTGTGACTTGAATGAAAACATCACAAAGCAGTTTCTGAGAATGCTTCCGTCTAGATTTTATATGAAGATATTCCCGTTTCCAACGAAACCTTCAAAGCTATCCGAATATCCACCTGCAGATTCTACAAAAAGAGTGTTTCCAAAATGCCATATCAAAACAAAGGTTCAACTCTGTTAGTTGAGAACACACATGGCAAATAAGTTTCTGAGAATGCTTCTGTCTAGTTTTTACTTGAAGATATTTCCTTTGTCACCATAGGCCTGAAAGCGCTTGAAACGTCAGCTTGCAGATACTACAGAAAGAGTGTTTCAAACCTGCTCTATGAAAGGGAATGTTCAGTCCTGTGACTTGAAGGCAAACATCACAAAGAAGTTCCTGAGAATGCTTCTCTCTAGGTTTTATATGTAATCCCGTTTCCAACGAAATCCTCAAAGCTATCCAAATATACACTTTCAGATTCCACAAAAAGAGTGTTTCAAAACTGCTCTGTAAAAAGAAAGGTTCATCTCTGTTAGTTGAATACACACATCACAAACAAGTTTCTGAGAATGCTTCTGTCTAGTTTTTATGGGAAGATATTTCCTTTTTCAACATAGGCCTCAAAGCGCTCCAAACGTCCACTTCCAGGTAGTGCAGAAAGAGTGTCTCAAACCTGGTATATAACAAGGAACATTCTACTCTGTGACTTGAATGAAAACATCACAAAGCAGTTTCTGAGAATGCTTCCGTCTAGATTTTATATGAAGATATTCCCGTTTCCAACGAAACCTTCAAAGCTATCCGAATATCCACCTGCAGATTCTACAAAAAGAGTGTTTCCAAAATGCCATATCAAAACAAAGGTTCAACTCTGTTAGTTGAGAACACACATCGCAAATAAGTTTCTGAGAATGCTTCTGTCTAGTTTTTACTTGAAGATATTTCCTTTCTCACCATAGGCCTGAAAGCGCTTGAAACGTCAGCTTGCAGATACTACAGAAAGAGTGTTTCAAACCTGCTCTATGAAAGGGAATGTTCAGTTCTGTGACTTGAATGCAAACATCACAAAGAAGTTCCTGAGAATGCTTCTCCCTAGATTTTATATGTAATCCCGTTTCCAACGAAATCCGCAAAGCTATCCAAATATCCACTTTCAGATTCCACAAAAAGAGTGTTTCAAAACTGCTCTGTAAAAAGAAAGGTTCATCTCTGTTAGTTGAATACACACATCACAAACAAGTTTCTGAGAATGCTTCTGTCTAGTTTTTATGGGAAGATATTTCGTTTTTCAACATAGGCCTCAAAGCGCTCCAAATGTCCACTTCCAGGTAGTGCAGAAAGAGTGTTTCAAACCTGCTCTATAAAAGGGAATATTCAACTCTGTGACTTGAATGCAAACATCACAAAGCACTTTCTGAGAATGCTTCCGTCTAGATTTTATATGAAGATATTCCCGTTTCCAAGGAAATCTTCCTAGCTATCTAAATATCAACTTGCAGATTCTACTAAAGGAATGTTTCCAAAATGCTGTATCCACACAAAGGTTCCACTCTGTTAATTGAGGAGATACAGCACAAAGAAGTTTCTGAGAATGCTTCTGTCTAGATTTTATATGAAGATATCCCGTTTCCAAAGAAATCCTCAAATGTATCCAAATATCTACTTCCAGATTCTACAAAAAGACTGTTTCAAAACGGCTCTGTCAAAAGTAAGGTTCAACTCTGTTACTTGAGTACACACATCACAAGGAAGTTTCTGAGAATGCTTCTCTCTAGGTTTTATATGTAATCCCGTTTCCAACGAAATCCTCAAAGCTATCCAAATATCCACTTTCAGATTCCACAAAAAGAGTGTTTCAAAACTGCTCTGTAAAAAGAAAGGTTCATCTCTGTTAGTTGAATACACACATCACAAACAAGTTTCTGAGAATGCTTCTGTCTAGTTTTTATGGGAAGATATTACCTTTTTCATCATAGGCCTCAAAGCGCTGCAAATGTCCACTTCCAAATATTACAAAAAGAGTGTTTCAAACCTGCTGTATGAAGGGAAGTGTTCAACTCTATGAGTTGAATGCAAACATCACAGAGAAGTTTCTGAGAATGCTTCTGTCTTGATTTTATATGAAGATATTCCCGTTTCCAACGAAACCTTCAAAGCTATTCAAATATCCACTTGCAGATTCTACAAAAAGAGTGTTTCCAAAATGTTGTATCAAAAGAAAGTTTCAACTCTGTTAGTTGAGGACACACATCGCAAATAAGTTTCTGAGAATGCTTCTGTCTAGTTTTTATTTGAAGATATTTCCTTTCTCACCATAGGCCTGAAAGCGTTTGAAATGTCCGTTTGCAGATACTACAGAAAGAGTGTTTCAAACATGCTCTATGAAAGGGAATGTTCAGTTCTGTGACGTGAATGCAAACATCACAAAGAAGTTCCTGAGAATGCTTCTCCCTAGATTTTATATGTAATCCCGTTTCCAACGAAATCCGCAAAGCTATCCAAATATCCACTTTCAGATTCCACAAAAAGAGTGTTTCAAAACTACTCTGTAAAAAGAAAGGTTCATCTCTGTTAGTTGAATACACATATCAGAAACAAGTTTCTGAGAATGATTCTGTCTAGTTTTTATGGGAAGATATTTCCTTTTTCAACATAGGCCTCAAAGCGCTCCAAACGTCCACTTCCATGTAGTGCAGAAAGAGTGTCTCAAACCTGGTATATAACAGGGAACATTCTACTCTGTGACTTGAATGAAAACATCACAAAGCAGTTTCTGAGAATGCTTCCGTCTAGATTTTATATGAAGATATTCCCGTTTCCAACGAAACCTTCAAAGCTATCCGAATATCCACCTGCAGATTCTACAAAAAGAGTGTTTCCAAAATGCCATATCAAAACAAAGGTTCAACTCTGTTAGTTGAGAACACACATCGCAAATAAGTTTCTGAGAATGCTTCTGTCTAGTTTTTATTTGAAGATATTGCCTTTCTCACCACAGGCCTGAAAGCGCTTAAAACGTCCGCTTGCAGATACTACAGAAAGAGTGTTTCAAACCTGCTCTATGAAAGGGAATGTTCAGTTCTGTGACTTGAATGCAAACATCACAAAGAAGTTCCTGAGAATGCTTCTCCCTAGATTTTATATGTAATCCCGTTTCCAACGAAATCCGCAAAGCTATCCAAATATCCACTTTCAGATTCCACAAAAAGAGTGTTTCAAAACTGCTCTGTAAAAAGAAAGGTTCATCTCTGTTAGTTGAATACACACATCACAAACAAGTTTCTGAGAATGCTTCTGTCTAGTTTTTATGGGAAGATATTTCCTTTTTCAACATAGGCCTCAAAGCGCTCCAAATGTCCACTTCCAGGTAGTGCAGAAAGAGTGTTTCAAACCTGCTCTATAAAAGGGAATATTCAACTCTGTGACTTGAATGCAAACATCACAAAGCACTTTGCTGAGAATGCTTCCGTCTAGATTTTATATGAAGATATTCCCGTTTCCAACGAATCCTTCAAAGCTATCCGAATATCCACCTGCAGATTCTACAAAAAGAGTGTTTCCAAAATGCCATATCAAAACAAAGGTTCAACTCTGTTAGTTGAGGACACACATGGCAAATAAGTTTCTGAGAATGCTTCTGTCTAGTTTTTACTTGAAGATATTTCCTTTCTCACCATAGGCCTGAAAGCGCTTGAAACGTCCGCTTGCAGATACTACAGAAAGAGTGTTTCAAACATGCTCTATGAAAGGGAATGTTCAGTTCTGTGACTTGAATGCAAACATCACAAAGAAGTTCCTGAGAATGCTTCTCTCTAGATTTTATATGTAATCCCGTTTCCAACGAAATCCTCGAAGCTATCCAAATATCCACTTTCAGATTCCACAAAAAGAGTGTTCCAAAACTGCTCTGTAAAAAGAAAGGTTCATCTCTGTTAGTTGAATACACACATCACAAACAAGTTTCTGAGAATGCTTCTGTCTAGTTTTTATGGGAAGATATTTCCTTTTTCATCATAGGCCTCAAAGCGCTGCAAATGTCCACTTCCAGGTAGTGCAGAAAGAGTGTCTCAAACCTGGTATATAACAGGGAACATTCTACTCTGTGACTTGAATGAAAACATCACAAAGCAGTTTCTGAGAATGCTTCTGTCTTGATTTTATATGAAGATATTCCCGTTTCCAACGAAACCTTCAAAGCTATTCAAATATCCACTTGCAGATTCTACAAAAAGAGTGTTTCCAAAATGTTGTATCAAAAGAAAGGTTCAACTCTGTTAGTTGAGGACACACATCGCAAATAAGTTTCTGAGAATGCTTCTGTCTAGTTTTTACTTGAAGATATTTCCTTTCTCACCATAGGCCTGAAAGCGTTTGAAATGTCCGTTTGCAGATACTACAGAAAGAGTGTTTCAAACATGCTCTATGAAAGGGAATGTTCAGTTCTGTGACGTGAATGCAAACATCACAAAGAAGTTCCTGAGAATGCTTCTCTCTAGATTTTATATGTAATCCCGTTTCCAACGAAATCCTCAAAGCTATCCAAATATCCACTTTCAGATTCCACAAAAAGAGTGTTTCAAAACTGCTCTGTAAAAAGAAAGGTTCATCTCTGTTAGTTGAATACACACATCACAAACAAGTTTCTGAGAATGCTTCTGTCTAGTTTTTATGGGAAGATATTTCCTTTTTCAACATAGGCCTCAAAGCGCTCCAAATGTCCACTTCCAGATAGTGCAGAAAGAGTGTTTCAAACCTGCTCTATAAAACGGAATATTCCACTCTGTGACTTGAATGCAAACATCACAAAGCACTTTCTGAGAATGCTTCTGTCTTGATTTTATATGAAGATATTCCCGTTTCCAACGAAACCTTCAAAGCTATCCAAATATCCACTTGCAGATTCTACAAAAAGAGTGTTTCCAAAGTGTTGTATCAAAAGAAAGGTTCAACTCTGTTAGTTGAGGACACACATCGCAAATAAGTTTCTGAGAATGCTTCTGTCTAGTTTTTACTTGAAGATATTTCCTTTCTCACCACAGGCCTGAAAGCGCTTCAAACGTCCGCTTGCAGATACTACAGAAAGTGTGTTTCAAACCTGCTCTATGAAAGGGAATGTTCAGTTCTGTGACTTGAATGCAAACATCACAAAGAAGTTCCTGAGAATGCTTCTCTCTAGATTTTATATGTAATCCCGTTTCCAACGAAATCCTCAAAGCTATCCAAATATCCACTTTCAGATTCCACAAAAAGAGTGTTTCAAAACTGCTCTGTAAAAAGAAAGGTTCATCTCTGTTAGTTGAATACACACATCACAAACAAGTTTCTGAGAATGCTTCTGTCTAGTTTTTATGGGAAGATATTACCTTTTTCATCATAGGCCTCAAAGCGCTGCAAATGTCCACTTCCAAATATTACAAAAAGAGTGTTTCAAACCTGCTGTATGAAGGGAAGTGTTCAACTCTATGAGTTGAATGCAAGCATCACAGAGAAGTTTCTGAGAATGCTTCTGTCTTGATTTTATATGAAGATATTCCCGTTTCCAACGAAACCTTCAAAGCTATCCAAATATCCACTTGCAGATTCCACAAAAAGAGTGTTTCCAAAATGTTGTATCAAAAGAAAGGTTCAACTCTGTTAGTTGAGGACACACATCGCAAATAAGTTTCTGAGAATGCTTCTGTCTAGTTTTTATTTGAAGATATTTCCTTTCTCACCATAGGCCTGAAAGCGTTTGAAATGTCCGTTTGTAGATACTACAGAAAGAGTGTTTCAAACATGCTCTATGAAAGGGAATGTTCAGTTCTGTGACGTGAATGCAAACATCACAAAGAAGTTCCTGAGAATGCTTCTCTCTAGATTTTATATGTAATCCCGTTTCCAACGAAATCCTCAAAGCTATCCAAATATCCACTTTCAGATTCCACAAAAAGAGTGTTTCAAAACTGCTCTGTAAAAAGAAAGGTTCATCTCTGTTAGTTGAATACACACATCACAAACAAGTTTCTGAGAATGCTTCTGTCTAGTTTTTATGGGAAGATATTTCCTTTTTCAACATAGGCCTCAAAGCGCTCCAAATGTCCACTTCCAGGTAGTGCAGAAAGAGTGTTTCAAACCTGCTCTATAAAAGGGAATATTCAACTCTGTGACTTGAATGCAAACATCACAAAGCACTTTCTGAGAATGCTTCCGTCTTGATTTTATATGAAGATATTCTCGTTTCCAACGAAACCTTCAAAGCTATCCAAATATCCACTTGCAGATTCTACAAAAAGAGTGTTTCCAAAATGTTGTATCAAAACAAAGGTTCAACTCTGTTAGTTGAGAACACACATCGCAAATAAGTTTCTGAGAATGCTTCTGTCTAGTTTTTATTTGAAGATATTTCCTTTCTCACCACAGGCCTGAAAGCGCTTAAAACGTCCGCTTGCAGATACTACAGAAAGAGTGTTTCAAACCTGCTCTATGAAAGGGAATGTTCAGTTCTGTGACTTGAATGCAAACATCACAAAGAAGTTCCTGAGAATGCTTCTCTCTAGGTTTTATATGTAATCCCGTTTCCAACGAAATCCTCAAAGCTATCCAAATATCCACTTTCAGATTCCACAAAAAGAGTGTTTCAAAACTGCTCTGTAAAAAGAAAGGTTCATCTCTGTTAGTTGAATACACACATCACAAACAAGTTTCTGAGAATGCTTCTGTCTAGTTTTTATGGGAAGATATTTCGTTTTTCAACATAGGCCTCAAAGCGCTCCAAATGTCCACTTCCAGGTAGTGCAGAAAGAGTGTTTCAAACCTGCTCTATAAAAGGGAATATTCAACTACTGTGACTTGAATGCAAACATCACAAAGCACTTTCTGAGAATGCTTCCGTCTAGATTTTATATGAAGATATTCCCGTTTCCAACGAAACCTTCAAAGCTATCCGAATATCCACCTGCAGATTCTACAAAAAGAGTGTTTCCAAAATGCCGTATCAAAACAAAGGTTCAACTCTGTTAGTTGAGAACACACATGGCAAATAAGTTTCTGAGAATGCTTCTGTCTAGTTTTTACTTGAAGATATTTCCTTTCTCACCATAGGCCTGAAAGCGCTTGAAACGTCAGCTTGCAGATACTACAGAAAGAGTGTTTCAAACCTGCTCTATGAAAGGGAATGTTGAGTTCTGTGACTTGAATGCAAACATCACAAAGAAGTTCCTGAGAATGCTTCTCTCTAGATTTTATATGTAATCCCGTTTCCAACGAAATCCTCAAAGCTATCCAAATATCCACTTTCAGATTCCACAAAAAGAGTGTTTCAAAACTGCTCTGTAAAAAGAAAGGTTCATCTCTGTTAGTTGAATACACACATCACAAACAAGTTTCTGAGAATGCTTCTGTCTAGTTTTTATGGGAAGATATTTCCTTTTTCAACATAGGCCTCAAAGCGTTCCAAATGTCCACTTCCAGGTAGTGCAGAAAGAGTGTTTCAGACCTGCTCTATAAAAGGGAATATTCAACTCTGTGACTTGAATGCAAACATCACAAAGCACTTTCTGAGAATGCTTCCGTCTAGATTTTATATGAAGATATTCCCGTTTCCAACGAAACCTTCAAAGCTATCCGAATATCCACCTGCAGATTCTACAAAAAGAGTGTTTCCAAAATGCCGTATCAAAACAAAGGTTCAACTCTGTTAGTTGAGAACACACATGGCAAATAAGTTTCTGAGAATGCTTCTGTCTAGTTTTTACTTGAAGATATTTCCTTTCTCACCATAGGCCTGAAAGCGCTTGAAACGTCAGCTTGCAGATACTACAGAAAGAGTGTTTCAAACCTGCTCTATGAAAGGGAATGTTCAGTTCTGTGACTTGAATGCAAACATCACAAAGAAGTTCCTGAGAATGCTTCTCTCTAGGTTTTATATGTAATCCAGTTTCCAACGAAATCCTCAATGCTATCCAAGTATCCACTTTCAGATTCCACAAAAAGAGTGTTTCAAAACTGCTCTGTAAAAAGAAAGGTTCATCTCTGTTAGTTGAATACACACATCACAAACAAGTTTCTGAGAATGCTTCTGTCCAGTTTTTATGGGAACATATTTCCTTTTTCAACATAGGCCTCAAAGCGCTCCAAATGTCCACTTCCAGGTAGTGCAGAAAGAGTGTTTCAAACCTGCTCTATAAAAGGGAATATTCAACTCTGTGACTTGAATGCAAACATCACAAAGCACTTTCTGAGAATGCTTCCGTCTAGATTTTATATGAAGATATTCCCGTTTCCAACGAAACCTTCAAAGCTATCCGAATATCCACCTGCAGATTCTACAAAAAGAGTGTTTCCAAAATGCCATATCAAAACAAAGGTTCAACTCTGTTAGTTGAGAACACACATCGCAAATAAGTTTCTGAGAATGCTTCTGTCTAGTTTTTACTTGAAGATATTTCCTTTCTCACCATAGGCCTGAAAGCGCTTGAAACGTCCGCTTGCAGATACTACAGAAAGAGTGTTTCAAACATGCTCTATGAAAGGGAATGTTCAGTTCTGTGACTTGAATGCAAACATCACAAAGAAGTTCCTGAGAATGCTTCTCTCTAGGTTTTATATGTAATCCCGTTTCCAACGAAATCCTCAAAGCTATCCAAATATCCACTTTCAGATTCCACAAAAAGAGTGTTTCAAAACTGCTCTGTAAAAAGAAAGGTTCATCTCTGTTAGTTGAATACACACATCACAAACAAGTTTCTGAGAATGCTTCTGTCTAGTTTTTATGGGAAGATATTTCCTTTTTCAACATAGGCCTCAAAGCGCTCCAAATGTCCACTTCCAGGTAGTGCAGAAAGAGTGTTTCAAACATGCTCTATAGAAGGGAATATTCAACTCTGTGACTTGAATGCAAACATCACAAAGCACTTTCTGAGAATGCTTCCGTCTAGATTTTATATGAAGATATTCCCGTTTCCAAGGAAATCTTCCTAGCTATCTAAATATCAACTTGCAGATTCTACTAAAGGAATGTTTCCAAAATGCTGTATCCACACAAAGGTTCAACTCTGTTAATTGAGGACATACAGCACAAAGAAGTTTCTGAGAATGCTTCTGTCTGATTTTTAGGAGAAGATATTTCCTTTTTCACCATAGGCCTCAAAGTGCTGCCAATGTCCACTTCCAAATATTACAAAAAGAGTGTTTCAAACCTGCTCTATGAAAGGAAGTGTTCAACACCATGAGTTGAATGCAAACATAACAGAGAAGTTTCTGAGAATGCTTCCTTCTTGATTTTATATGAAGATATTCCCGTTTCCAACGAAACCTTCAAATCTATCCAAGTATCCACCTGCAGATTCTACCAAAAGAGTGTTTCCAAAGTGCTGTATCAAAAAAAAGGTTCAACTCTGTTAGTTGAGGACACACATCGCAAATAAGTATCTGAGAATGCTTCTGTCTAGTTTTTATTTGAAGATATTTCCTTTCTCACCATAGGCCTGAAAGCGCTTGAAATGTCCGCTTGCAGGTAGTATAGAAAGAGTGTTTCAAACATGCTCTATGAAAAGGAAAGGTCAGTTCTGTGACGTGAATGCAAACATCACAAAGAAGTTCCTGAGAATGCTTCTGTCTAGATTTTATATGAAGATATCCCGTGTCCAACGAAATCCTCAAAGGTATCAAAATATCCACTTGCAGATTCTACAAAAAGAGTGCTTCAAAACTGCTCTGTCAAAAGGAAGGTTCAACTCTGTTACTTGAGTACACACATCACAAGGAAGTTTCTGAGAATGCTTCTGTCTAGTTTTTATGGGAAGATATTTCGTTTTTCAACATAGGCCTCAAAGCGCTCCAAATGTCCACTTCCAGGTAGTGCAGAAAGAGTGTTTCAAACCTGCTCTATAAAAGGGAATATTCAACTCTGTGACTTGAATGCAAACATCACAAAGCACTTTCTGAGAATGCTTCTGTCTTGATTTCATATGAAGATATTCCCGTTTCCAACGAAACCTTCAAAGCTATCCAAATATCCACTTGCAGATTCTACAAAAAGAGTGTTTCCAAAATGTTGTATCAAAAGAAAGGTTCAACTCTGTTAGTTGAGGACACACATCGCAAATAAGTTTCTGAGAATGCTTCTGTCTAGTTTTTATTTGAAGATATTTCCTTTCTCACCACAGGCCTGAAAGCGCTTAAAACGTCCGCTTGCAGATACTACAGAAAGAGTGTTTCAAACCTGATCTATGAAAGGGAATGTTCAGTTCTGTGACTTGAATGCAAACATCACAAAGAAGTTCCTGAGAATGCTTCTCTCTAGATTTTATATGTAATCCCGTTTCCAACGAAATCCTCAAAGCTATCCAAATATCCACTTTCAGATTCCACAAAAAGAGTGTTTCAAAACTGCTCTATAAAAAGAAAGGTTCATCTCTGTTAGTTGAATACACACATCACAAACAAGTTTCTGAGAATGCTTCTGTCTAGTTTTTATGGGAAGATATTTCCTTTTTCATCATAGGCCTCAAAGCGCTGCAAATGTCCACTTCCAAATATTACAAAAAGAGTGTTTCAAACCTGCTGTATGAAGGGAAGTGTTCAACTCTATGAGTTGAATGCAAACATCACAGAGAAGTTTCTGAGAATGCTTCTGTCTTGATTTCATATGAAGATATTCCCGTTTCCAACGAAACCTTCAAAGCTATCCAAATATCCACTTGCAGATTCTACAAAAAGAGTGTTTCCAAAATGTTGTATCAAAAGAAAGGTTCAACTCTGTTAGTTGAGGACACACATCGCAAATAAGTTTCTGAGAATGCTTCTGTCTAGTTTTTACTTGAAGATATTTCCTTTCTCACCATAGGCCTGAAAGCGTTTGAAATGTCCGTTTGCAGATACTACAGAAAGAGTGTTTCAAACATGCTCTATGAAAGGGAATGTTCAGTTCTGTGACGTGAATGCAAACATCACAAAGAAGTTCCTGAGAATGCTTCTCTCTAGGTTTTATCTGTAATCCCGTTTCCAACGAAATCCTCAAAGCTATCCAAATATCCACTTTCAGATTCCACAAAAAGAGTGTTTCAAAACTGCTCTGTAAAAAGAAAGGTTCATCTCTGTTAGTTGAATACACACATCACAAACAAGTTTCTGAGAATGCTTCTGTCTAGTTTTTATGGGAAGATATTACCTTTTTCATCATAGGCCTCAAAGCGCTGCAAATGTCCACTTCCAAATATTACAAAAAGAGTGTTTCAAACCTGCTGTATGAAGGGAAGTGTTCAACTCTATGAGTTGAATGCAAACATCACAGAGAAGTTTCTGAGAATGCTTCCGTCTAGATTTTATATGAAGATATTCCCGTTTCCAAGGAAATCTTCCTAGCTATCTAAATATCAACTTGCAGATTCTACTAAAGGAATGTTTCCAAAATGCTGTATCCACACAAAGGTTCAACTCTGTTAATTGAGGACATACAGCACAAAGAAGTTTCTGAGAATGCTTCTGTCTAGTTTTTACTTGAAGATATTTCCTTTCTCACCATAGGCCTGAAAGCGCTTGAAACGTCAGCTTGCAGATACTACAGAAAGAGTGTTTCAAACCTGCTCTATGAAAGGGAATGTTCAGTCCTGTGACTTGAAGGCAAACATCACAAAGAAGTTCCTGAGAATGCTTCTCTCTAGGTTTTATATGTAATCCCGTTTCCAACGAAATCCTCAAAGCTATCCAAATATCCACTTTCAGATTCCACAAAAAGAGTGTTTCAAAACTGCTCTGTAAAAAGAAAGGTTCATCTCTGTTAGTTGAATACACACATCACAAACAAGTTTCTGAGAATGCTTCTGTCTAGTTTTTATGGGAAGATATTTCCTTTTTCATCATAGGCCTCAAAGCGCTGCAAATGTCCACTTCCAGGTAGTGCAGAAAGAGTGTCTCAAACCTGGTATATAACAGGGAACATTCTACTCTGTGACTTGAATGCAAACATCACAAAGCAGTTTCTGAGAATGCTTCCGTCTAGATTTTATATGAAGATATTCCCGTTTCCAACGAAACCTTCAAAGCTATCCGAATATCCACCTGCAGATTCTACAAAAAGAGTGTTTCCAAAATGCCGTATCCAAACAAAGGTTAAACTCTGTTAGTTGAGAACACACATGGCAAATAAGTTTCTGAGAATGCTTCTGTCTAGTTTTTACTTGAAGATATTTCCTTTCTCACCATAGGCCTGAAAGCGCTTGAAACGTCAGCTTGCAGATACTACAGAAAGAGTGTTTCAAACCTGCTCTATGAAAGGGAATGTTCAGTCCTGTGACTTGAAGGCAAACATCACAAAGAAGTTCCTGAGAATGCTTCTCCCTAGATTTTATATGTAATCCCGTTTCCAACGAAATCCGCAAAGCTATCCAAATATCCACTTTCAGATTCCACAAAAAGAGTGTTTCAAAACTGCTCTGTAAAAAGAAAGGTTCATCTCTGTTAGTTGAATACACACATCACAAACAAGTTTCTGAGAATGCTTCTGTCTAGTTTTTATGGGAAGATATTTCCTTTTTCAACATAGGCCTCAAAGCGCTCCAAATGTCCACTTCCAGGTAGTGCAGAAAGAGTGTTTCAAACCTGCTCTATAAAAGGGAATATTCAACTCTGTGACTTGAATGCAAACATCACAAAGCACTTTCTGAGAATGCTTCTGTCTTGATTTTATATGAAGATATTCCCGTTTCCAAAGAAACCTTCAAAGCTATCCAAATATCCACTTGCAGATTCTACAAAAAGAGTGTTTCCAAAATGTTGTATCAAAAGAAAGGTTCAACTCTGTTAGTTGAGGAAACACATCGCAAACAAGTTTCTGAGAATGCTTCTGTCTAGTTTTTATTTTAAGATATTTCCTTTCTCACCATAGGCCTGAAAGCGTTTGAAATGTCCGTTTGCAGATACTACAGAAAGAGTGTTTCAAACATGCTCTATGAAAGGGAATGTTCAGTTCTGTGACTTGAATGCAAACATCACAAAGAAGTTCCTGAGAATGCTTCTCTCTAGATTTTATATGTAATCCCGTTTCCAACGAAATCCTCAAAGCTATCCAAATATCCACTGTCAGATTCCACAAAAAGAGTGTTTCAAAACTTCTCTGTAAAAAGAAAGGTTCATATCTGTTAGTTGAATACACACATCACAAACAAGTTTCTGAGAATGCTTCTGTCTAGTTTTTATGGGAAGATATTACCTTTTTCATCATAGGCCTCAAAGCGCTGCAAATGTCCACTTCCAAATATTACAAAAAGAGTGTTTCAAACCTGCTGTATGAAGGGAAGTGTTCAACTCTATGAGTTGAATGCAAACATCACAGAGAAGTTTCTGAGAATGCTTCTGTCTTGATTTTATATGAAGATATTCCCGTTTCCAACGAAACCTTCAAAGCTATTCAAATATCCACTTGCAGATTCTACAAAAAGAGTGTTTCCAAAATGTTGTATCAAAAGAAAGGTTCAACTCTGTTAGTTGAGGACACACATCGCAAATAAGTTTCTGAGAATGCTTCTGTCTAGTTTTTACTTGAAGATATTTCCTTTCTCACCATAGGCCTGAAAGCGCTTGAAACGTCAGCTTGCAGATACTACAGAAAGAGTGTTTCAAACCTGCTCTATGAAAGGGAATGTTCAGTTCTGTGACTTGAATGCAAACATCACAAAGAAGTTCCTGAGAATGCTTCTCTCTAGGTTTTATATGTAATCCCGTTTCCAACGAAATCCTCAAAGCTATCCAAATATCCACTTTCAGATTCCACAAAAAGAGTGTTTCAAAACTGCTCTGTAAAAAGAAAGGTTCATCTCTGTTAGTTGAATACACACATCACAAACAAGTTTCTGAGAATGCTTCTGTCTAGTTTTTATGGGAAGATATTTCCTTTTTCATCATAGGCCTCAAAGCGCTGCAAATGTCCACTTCCAGGTAGTGCAGAAAGAGTGTCTCAAACCTGGTATATAACAGGGAACATTCTACTCTGTGACTTGAATGAAAACATCACAAAGCAGTTTCTGAGAATGCTTCTGTCTTGATTTCATATGAAGATATTCCCGTTTCCAACGAAACCTTCAAAGCTATCCAAATATCCACTTGCAGATTCTACAAAAAGAGTGTTTCCAAAATGTTGTATCAAAAGAAAGGTTCAACTCTGTTAGTTGAGGACACACATCGCAAATAAGTTTCTGAGAATGCTTCTGTCTAGTTTTTATTTGAAGATATTTCCTTTCTTACCATAGGCCTGAAAGTGCTTGAAATGTCCGTTTGCAGATACTACAGAAAGAGTGTTTCAAACATGCTCTATGAAAGGGAATGTTCAGTTCTGTGACGTGAATGCAAACATCACAAAGAAGTTCCTGAGAATGCTTCTCTCTAGGTTTTATATGTAATCCCGTTTCCAACGAAATCCTCAAAGCTATCCAAATATCCACTTTCAGATTCCACAAAAAGAGTGTTTCAAAACTGCTCTGTAAAAAGAAAGGTTCATCTCTGTTAGTTGAATACACACATCACAAACAAGTTTCTGAGAATGCTTCTGTCTATTTTCTATGGGAAGATATTTCCTTTTTCAACATAGGCCTCAAAGCGCTGCAAATGTCCACTTCCAGATAGTGCAGAAAGAGTGTTTCAAACCTGCTCTATAAAAGGGAATATTCAACTCTGTGACTTGAATGCAAACATCACAAAGCACTTTCTGAGAATGCTTCCGTCTAGATTTTATATGAAGATATTCCCGTTTCCAACGAAACCTTCAAAGCTATCCGAATATCCACCTGCAGATTCTACAAAAAGAGTGTTTCCAAAATGCCATATCAAAACAAAGGTTCAACTCTGTTAGTTGAGAACACACATCGCAAATAAGTTTCTGAGAATGCTTCTGTCTAGTTTTTATTTGAAGATATTTCCTTTCTCACCATAGGCCTGAAAGCGTTTGAAATGTCCGTTTGCAGATACTACAGAAAGAGTGTTTCAAACATGCTCTATGAAAGGGAATGTTCAGTTCTGTGACGTGAATGCAAACATCACAAAGAAGTTCCTGAGAATGCTTCTCTCTAGATTTTATATGTAATCCCGTTTCCAACGAAATCCTCAAAGCTATCCAAATATCCACTCTCAGATTCCACAAAAAGAGTGTTTCAAAACTGCTCTGTAAAAAGAAAGGTTCATCTCTGTTAGTTGAATACACACATCACAAACAAGTTTCTGAGAATGCTTCTGTCTAGTTTTTATGGGAAGATATTTCCTTTTTCATCATAGGCCTCAAAGCGCTCCAAATGTCCACTTCCAGATAGTGCAGAAAGAGTGTCTCAAACCTGGTATATAAAAGGGAACATTCTACTCTGTGACTGGAATGAAAACATCACAAAGCAGTTTCTGAGAATGCTTCCGTCTAGATTTTATATGAAGATATTCCCGTTTCCAACGAAACCTTCAAAGCTATCCGAATATGCACCTGCAGATTCTACAAAAAGAGTGTTTCCAAAATGCCGTATCACAACAAAGGTTCAATTCTGTTAGTTGAGAACACACATGGCAAATAAGTTTCTGAGAATGCTTCTGTCTAGTTTTTATTTGAAGATATTTCCTTTTTCACCACAGGCCTGAAAGCGCTTGAAACGTCCACTTGCAGATACTACAGAAAGAGTGTTTCAAACCTGCTCTATGAAAGGGAATGTTCAGTTCTGTGACTTGAATGCAAACATCACAAAGAAGTTCCTGAGAATGCTTCTCTCTAGGTTTTATATGTAATCCCGTTTCCAACGAAATCCTCAAAGCTATCCAAATATCCACTTTCAGATTCCACAAAAAGAGTGTTTCAAAACTGCTCTGTAAAAAGAAAGGTTCATCTCTGTTAGTTGAATACACACATCACAAACAAGTTTCTGAGAATGCTTCTGTCTAGTTTTTATGGGAAGATATTTCCTTTTTCATCATAGGCCTCAAAGCGCTGCAAATGTCCACTTCCAGGTAGTGCAGAAAGAGTGTCTCAAACCTGGTATATAACAGGGAACATTCTACTCTGTGACTTGAATGAAAACATCACAAAGCAGTTTCTGAGAATGCTTCCGTCTAGATTTTATATGAAGATATTCCCGTTTCCAAGGAACTCTTCCTAGCTATCTAAATATCAACTTGCAGATTCTACTAAAGGAATGTTTCCAAAATGCTGTATCCACACAAAGGTTCAACTCTGTTAATTGAGGACATACAGCACAAAGAAGTTTCTGAGAATGCTTCCGTCAAGGTTTTATATGAAGATATTCCCGTTTCCAACGAAACCTTCAAAGCTATCCGAATATCCACCTGCAGATTCTACAAAAAGAGTGTTTCCAAAATGCCGTATCAAAACAAAGGTTCAACTCTGTTAGTTGAGAACACACATGGCAAATAAGTTTCTGAGAATGCTTCTGTCTAGTTTTTATTTGAAGATATTTCCTTTCTCACCACAGGCCTGAAAGCGCTTAAAACGTCCGCTTGCAGATACTACAGAAAGAGTGTTTCAAACCTGCTCTATGAAAGGGAATGTTCAGTTCTGTGACTTGAATGCAAACATCACAAAGAAGTTCCTGAGAATGCTTCTCCCTAGATTTTATATGTAATCCCGTTTCCAACGAAATCCGCAAAGCTATCCAAATATCCACTTTCAGATTCCACAAAAAGAGTGTTTCAAAACTGCTCTGTAAAAAGAAAGGTGTCATCTCTGTTAGTTGAATACACACATCACAAACAAGTTTCTGAGAATGCTTCTGTCTAGTTTTTATGGGAAGATATTTCCTTTTTCAACATAGGCCTCAAAGCGCTCCAAATGTCCACTTCCAGGTAGTGCAGAAAGAGTGTTTCAAACCTGCTCTATAAAAGGGAATATTCAACTCTGTGACTTGAATGCAAACATCACAAAGCACTTTCTGAGAATGCTTCCGTCTAGATTTTATATGAAGATATTCCCGTTTCCAACAAAACCTTCAAAGCTATCTGAATATCCACCTGCAGATTCTACAAAAAGAGTGTTTCCAAAATGCCATATCAAAACAAAGGTTCAACTCTGTTAGTTGAGAACACACATCGCAAATAAGTTTCTGAGAATGCTTCTGTCTAGTTTTTACTTGAAGATATTTCCTTTCTCACCATAGGCCTGAAAGCGCTTGAAACGTCCGCTTGCAGATACTACAGAAAGAGTGTTTCAAACATGCTCTATGAAAGGGAATGTTCAGTTCTGTGACTTGAATGCAAACATCACAAAGAAGTTCCTGAGAATGCTTCTCTCTAGATTTTATATGTAATCCCGTTTCCAACGAAATCCTCAAAGCTATCCAAATATCCACTTTCAGATTCCACAAAAAGAGTGTTTCAAAACTGCTCTGTAAAAAGAAAGGTTCGTCTCTGTTAGTTGAATACACACATCACAAACAAGTTTCTGAGAATGCTTCTGTCTAGTTTTTATGGGAAGATATTTCCTTTTTCAACATAGGCCTCAAAGCGCTCCAAATGTCCACTTCCAGGTAGTGCAGAAAGAGTGTTTCAAACCTGCTCTATAAAAGGGAATATTCAACTCTGTGACTTGAATGCAAACATCACAAAGCACTTTCTGAGAATGCTTCCGTCTAGATTTTATATGAAGATATTCCCGTTTCCAACGAAACCTTCAAAGCTATCCGAATATCCACCTGCAGATTCTACAAAAAGAGTGTTTCCAAAATGCCGTATCAAAACAAAGGTTCAACTCTGTTAGTTGAGAACACACATGGCAAATAAGTTTCTGAGAATGCTTCTGTCTAGTTTTTATTTGAAGATATTTCCTTTCTCACCATAGGCCTGAAAGCGTTTGAAATGTCCGTTTGCAGATACTATAGAAAGAGTGTTTCAAACATGCTCTATGAAAGGGAATGTTCAGTTCTGTGACGTGAATGCAAACATCACAAAGAAGTTCCTGAGAATGCTTCTCTCTAGATTTTATATGTAATCCCGTTTCCAACGAAATCCTCAAAGCTATCCAAATATCCACTTTCAGATTCCACAAAAAGAGTGTTTCAAAACTGCTCTGTAAAAAGAAAGGTTCATCTCTGTTAGTTGAATACACACATCTCAAACAAGTTTCTGAGAATGCTTCTGTCTAGTTTTTATGGGAAGATATTTCCTTTTTCAACATAGGCCTCAAAGCGCTCCAAATGTCCACTTCCAGGTAGTGCAGAAAGAGTGTTTCAAACCTGCTCTATAAAAGGGAATATTCAACTCTGTGACTTGAATGCAAACATCACAAAGCACTTTCTGAGAATGCTTCTGTCTTGATTTCATATGAAGATATTCCCGTTTCCAACGAAACCTTCAAAGCTATCCAAATATCCACTTGCAGATTCTACAAAAAGAGTGTTTCCAAAATGTTGTATCAAAAGAAAGGTTCAACTCTGTTAGTTGAGGACACACATCGCAAATAAGTTTCTGAGAATGCTTCTGTCTAGTTTTTACTTGAAGATATTTCCTTTCTCACCATAGGCCTGAAAGCGTTTGAAATGTCCGTTTGCAGATACTACAGAAAGAGTGTTTCAAACATGCTCTATGAAAGGGAATGTTCAGTTCTGTGACGTGAATGCAAACATCACAAAGAAGTTCCTGAGAATGCTTCTCTCTAGGTTTTATATGTAATCCCGTTTCCAACGAAATCCTCAAAGCTATCCAAATATCCACTTTCAGATTCCACAAAAAGAGTGTTTCAAAACTGCTCTGTAATAAGAAAGGTTCATCCCTGTTAGTTGAATACACACATCACAAACAAGTTTCTGAGAATGCTTCTGTCTAGTTTTTATGGGAAGATATTTCCTTTTTCAACATAGGCCTCAAAGCGCTCCAAATGTCCACTTCCAGGTAGTGCAGAAAGAGTGTTTCAAACCTGCTCTATAAAAGGGAATATTCAACTCTGTGACTTGAATGCAAACATCACAAAGCACTTTCTGAGAATGCTTCTGTCTTGATTTTATATGAAGATATTCCCGTTTCCAACGAAACCTTCAAAGCTATCCAAATATCCACTTGCAGATTCTACAAAAAGAGTGTTTCCAAAATGTTGTATCAAAACAAAGGTTCAACTCTGTTAGTTGAGGACACACATCGCAAATAAGTTTCTGAGAATGCTTCTGTCTGGTTTTTACGAGAAGATATCTCCTTTTTCACCATAGGCTTCAAAGCGCTGCCAGTGTCCAGTTCCAAATATTACAAAAAGAGTATTTCAAACCAGCTCTATGAAAGGAAGTGTTCAACTCTATGAGTTGAATGCAAACATCACAGAGAAGTTTCTGAGAATGCTTCTCTCTAGATTTTATATGTAATCCCGTTTCCAACGAAATCCTCAAAGCTATCCAAATATCCACTTTCAGATTCCACAAAAAGAGTGTTTCAAAACTGCTCTGTAAAAAGAAAGGTTCATCTCTGTTAGTTGAATACACACATCACAAACAAGTTTCTGAGAATGCTTCTGTCTAGTTTTTATGGGAAGATATTTCCTTTTTCAACATAGGCCTCAAAGCGCTCCAAATGTGCACTTCCAGGTAGTGCAGAAAGAGTGTTTCAAACCTGCTCTATAAAAGGGAATATTCAACTCCGTGACTTGAATGCAAACATCACAAAGCACTTTCTGAGAATGCTTCCGTCTAGATTTTATATGAAGATATTCCCGTTTCCAAGGAAATCTTCCTAGCTATCTAAATATCAACTTGCAGACTCTACTAAAGGAGTGTTTCCAAAATGCTGTATCCACACAAAGGTTCAACTCTGTTAATTGAGGACATACAGCACAAAGAAGTTTCTGAGAATGCTTCTGTCTAGTTTTTATTTGAAGATATTTCCTTTCTCACCATAGGCCTGAAAGCGTTTGAAATGTCCGTTTGCAGATACTACAGAAAGAGTGTTTCAAACATGCTCTATGAAAGGGAATGTTCAGTTCTGTGACGTGAATGCAAACATCACAAAGAAGTTCCTGAGAATGCTTCTGTCTAGATTTTATATGAAGATATCGCGTTTCCAAAGAAATCCTCAAATGTATCCAAATATCTACTTCCAGATTCTACAAAAAGACTGTTTCAAAACTGCGCTGTAAGAAGAAAGGTTCATCTCTGTTAGTTGAATACACACATCACAAACAAGTTTCTGAGAATGCTTCTGTCTAGTTTTTATGGGAAGATATTACCTTTTTCATCATAGGCCTCAAAGCGCTGCAAATGTCCACTTCCAAATATTACAAAAAGAGTGTTTCAAACCTGCTGTATGAAGGGAAGTGTTCAACTCTATGAGTTGAATGCAAACATCACAGAGAAGTTTCTGAGAATGCTTCTGTCTTGATTTCATATGAAGATATTCCCGTTTCCAACGAAACCTTCAAAGCTATCCAAATATCCACTTGCAGATTCTACAAAAAGAGTGTTTCCAAAATGTTGTATCAAAAGAAAGGTTCAACTCTGTTAGTTGAGGACACACATCGCAAATAAGTTTCTGAGAATGCTTCTGTCTAGTTTTTACTTGAAGATATTTCCTTTCTCACCATAGGCCTGAAAGCGCTTGAAACGTCAGCTTGCAGATACTACAGAAAGAGTGTTTCAAACCTGCTCTATGAAAGGGAATGTTCAGTCCTGTGACTTGAAGGCAAACATCACAAAGAAGTTCCTGAGAATGCTTCTCCCTAGATTTTATATGTAATCCCGTTTCCAACGAAATCCTCAAAGCTATCCAAATATCCACTTTCAGATTCCACAAAAAGAGTGTTTCAAAACTGCTCTGTAAAAAGAAAGGTTCATCTCTGTTAGTTGAATACACACATCACAAACAAGTTTCTGAGAATGCTTCTGTCTAGTTTTTATGGGAAGATATTTCCTTTTTCATCATAGGCCTCAAAGCGCTCCAAATGTCCACTTCCAGATAGTGCAGAAAGAGTGTCTCAAACCTGGTATATAAAAGGGAACATTCTACTCTGTGACTTCAATGAAAACATCACAAAGCAGTTTCTGAGAATGCTTCCGTCTAGATTTTATATGAAGATATTCCCGTTTCCAAGGAAATCTTCCTAGCTATCTAAATATCAACTTGCAGATTCTACTAAAGGAATGTTTCCAAAATGCTGTATCCACACAAAGGTTCAACTCTGTTAATTGAGGACATACAGCACAAAGAAGTTTCTGAGAATGCTTCTGTCTAGTTTTTACTTGAAGATATTTCCTTTCTCACCATAGGCCTGAAAGCGCTTGAAACGTCAGCTTGCAGATACTACAGAAAGAGTGTTTCAAACCTGCTCTATGAAAGGGAATGTTCAGTCCTGTGACTTGAAGGCAAACATCACAAAGAAGTTCCTGAGAATGCTTCTCTCTAGATTTTATATGTAATCCCGTTTCCAACGAAATCCTCAAAGCTATCCAAATATCCACTTTCAGATTCCACAAAAAGAGTGTTTCAAAACTGCTCTGTAAAAAGAAAGGTTCATCTCTGTTAGTTGAATACACACATCACAAACAAGTTTCTGAGAATGCTTCTGTCTAGTTTTTATGGGAAGATATTTCCTTTTTCAACATAGGCCTCAAAGCGCTCCAAATGTCCACTTCCAGGTAGTGCAGAAAGAGTGTTTCAAACCTGCTCTATAAAAGGGAATATTCAACTCTGTGACTTGAATGCAAACATCACAAAGCACTTTCTGCGAATGCTTCTGTCTTGATTTTATATGAAGATATTCCCGTTTCCAACGAAACCTTCAAAGCTATCCAAATATCCACTTGCAGATTCTACAAAAAGAGTGTTTCCAAAATGTTGTATCAAAACAAAGGTTCAACTCTGTTAGTTGAGGACACACATCGCAAATAAGTTTCTGAGAATGCTTCTGTCTAGTTTTTACTTGAAGATATTTCCTTTCTCACCATAGGCCTGAAAGCGCTTGAAACGTCAGCTTGCAGATACTACAGAAAGAGTGTTTCAAACCTGCTCTATGAAAGGGAATGTTCAGTCCTGTGACTTGAAGGCAAACATCACAAAGAAGTTCCTGAGAATGCTTCTCTCTAGGTTTTATATGTAATCCCGTTTCCAACGAAATCCTCAAAGCTATCCAAATATCCACTTTCAGATTCCACAAAAAGAGTGTTTCAAAACTGCTCTGTAAAAAGAAAGGTTCATCTCTGTTAGTTGAATACACACATCACAAACAAGTTTCTGAGAATGCTTCTGTCTAGTTTTTATGGGAAGATATTTCCTTTTTCAACATAGGCCTCAAAGCGCTCCAAATGTCCACTTCCAGGTAGTGCAGAAAGAGTGTTTCAAACCTGCTCTATAAAAGGGAATATTCAACTCTGTGACTTGAATGCAAACATCACAAAGCACTTTCTGAGAATGCTTCCGTCTAGATTTTATATGAAGATATTCCCGTTTCCAACGAAACCTTCAAAGCTATCCGAATATCCACCTGCAGATTCTACAAAAAGAGTGTTTCCAAAATGCCATATCAAAACAAAGGTTCAACTCTGTTAGTTGAGAACACACATCGCAAATAAGTTTCTGAGAATGCTTCTGTCTAGTTTTTACTTGAAGATATTTCCTTTCTCACCATAGGCCTGAAAGCGCTTGAAACGTCCGCTTGCAGATACTACAGAAAGAGTGTTTCAAACATGCTCTATGAAAGGGAATGTTCAGTTCTGTGACTTGAATGCAAACATCACAAAGAAGTTCCTGAGAATGCTTCTCTCTAGGTTTTATATGTAATCCCGTTTCCAACGAAATCCTCAAAGCTATCCAAATATCCACTTTCAGATTCCACAAAAAGAGTGTTTCAAAACTGCTCTGTAAAAAGAAAGGTTCATCTCTGTTAGTTGAATACACACATCACAAACAAGTTTCTGAGAATGCTTCTGTCTAGTTTTTATGGGAAGATATTTCCTTTTTCAACATAGGCCTCAAAGCGCTCCAAATGTCCACTTCCAGGTAGTGCAGAAAGAGTGTTTCAAACCTACTCTATAAAAGGGAATATTCAACTCTGTGACTTGAATGC
Source organism: Homo sapiens (assembly GCF_000001405.40). NCBI lineage: Eukaryota > Metazoa > Chordata > Mammalia > Primates > Hominidae > Homo > Homo sapiens. The sequence goes on along the minus strand of NC_000009.12, from coordinate 45,228,636 downwards.
AAACATCACAAAGCACTTTCTGAGAATGCTTCTGTCTTGATTTTATATGAAGATATTCCCGTTTCCAAAGAAACCTTCAAAGCTATCCAAATATCCACCTGCAGATCCTACAAAAAGAGTGTTTCCAAAATGCTGTATCAAAACAAAGGTTCAACTCTGTTAGCTGAGAACACAGATCGCAAATAAGTTTCTGAGAATGCTTCTGTCTAGTTTTTACTTGAAGATATTTCCTTTCTCACCATAGGCCTGAAAGCGCTTGAAACGTCAGCTTGCAGATACTACAGAAAGAGTGTTTCAAACCTGCTCTATGAAAGGGAATGTTCAGTCCTGTGACTTGAAGGCAAACATCACAAAGAAGTTCCTGAGAATGCTTCTCTCTAGATTTTATATGTAATCCCGTTTCCAACGAAATCCTCAAAGCTATCCAAATATCCACTTTCAGATTCCACAAAAAGAGTGTTTCAAAACTGCTCTGTAAAAAGAAAGGTTCATCTCTGTTAGTTGAATACACACATCACAAACAAGATTCTGAGAATGCTTCTGTCTAGTTTTTATGGGAAGATATTTCCTTTTTCATCATAGGCCTCAAAGCGCTCCAAATGTCCACTTCCAGATAGTGCAGAAAGAGTGTCTCAAACCTGGTATATAAAAGGGAACATTCTACTCTGTGACTTGAATGAAAACATCACAAAGCAGTTTCTGAGAATGCTTCCGTCTAGATTTAATATGAAGATATTCCCGTTTCCAACGAAACCTTCAAAGCTATCCGAATATCCAACTGCAGATTCTACAAAAAGAGTGTTTCCAAAATGCCGTATCAAAACAAAGGTTCAACTCTGTTAGTTGAGAACACACATGGCAAATAAGTTTCTGAGAATGCTTCTGTCTAGTTTTTATTTGAAGATATTTCCTTTCTCACCACAGGCCTGAAAGCGCTTAAAACGTCCGCTTGCAGATACTACAGAAAGAGTGTTTCAAACCTGCTCTATGAAAGGGAATGTTCAGTTCTGTGACTTGAATGCAAACATCACAAAGAAGTTCCTGAGAATGCTTCTCCCTAGATTTTATATGTAATCCCGTTTCCAACGAAATCCGCAAAGCTATCCAAATATCCACTTTCAGATTCCACAAAAAGAGTGTTTCAAAACTGCTCTGTAAAAAGAAAGGTTCATCTCTGTTAGTTGAATACACACATCACAAACAAGTTTCTGAGAATGCTTCTGTCTAGTTTTTATGGGAAGATATTTCGTTTTTCAACATAGGCCTCAAAGCGCTCCAAACGTCCACTTCCGGGTAGTGCAGAAAGAGTGTCTCAAACCTGGTATATAACAGGGAACATTCTACTCTGTGACTTGAATGAAAACATCACAAAGCAGTTTCTGAGAATGCTTCTGTCTTGATTTCATATGAAGATATTCCCGTTTCCAACGAAACCTTCAAAGCTATCCAAATATCCACTTGCAGATTCTACAAAAAGAGTGTTTCCAAAATGTTGTATCAAAAGAAAGGTTCAACTCTGTTAGTTGAGGACACACATCGCAAATAAGTTTCTGAGAATGCTTCTGTCTAGTTTTTACTTGAAGATATTTCCTTTCTCACCATAGGCCTGAAAGCGCTTGAAACGTCCGCTTGCAGATACTACAGAAAGAGTGTTTCAAACATGCTCTATGAAAGGGAATGTTCAGTTCTGTGACTTGAATGCAAACATCACAAAGAAGTTCCTGAGAATGCTTCTCTCTAGGTTTTATATGTAATCCCGTTTCCAACGAAATCCTCAAAGCTATCCAAATATCCACTTTCAGATTCCACAAAAAGAGTGTTTCAAAACTGCTCTGTAAAAAGAAAGGTTCATCTCTGTTAGTTGAATACACACATCACAAACAAGTTTCTGAGAATGCTTCTGTCTAGTTTTTATGGGAAGATATTTCCTTTTTCATCATAGGCCTCAAAGCGCTGCAAATGTCCACTTCCAGGTAGTGCAGAAAGAGTGTCTCAAACCTGGTATATAACAGGGAACATTCTACTCTGTGACTTGAATGAAAACATCACAAAGCAGTTTCTGAGAATGCTTCCGTCTAGATTTTATATGAAGATATTCCCGTTTCCAACGAAACCTTCAAAGCTATCCGAATATCCACCTGCAGATTCTACAAAAAGAGTGTTTCCAAAATGCCGTATCAAAACAAAGGTTCAACTCTGTTAGTTGAGAACACACATGGCAAATAAGTTTCTGAGAATGCTTCTGTCTAGTTTTTACTTGAAGATATTTCCTTTCTCACCATAGGCCTGAAAGCGCATGAAACGTCAGCTTGCAGATACTACAGAAAGAGTGTTTCAAACCTGCTCTATGAAAGGGAATGTTCAGTCCTGTGACTTGAAGGCAAACATCACAAAGTAGTTCCTGAGAATGCTTCTCTCTAGGTTTTATATGTAATCCCGTTTCCAACGAAATCCTCAAAGCTATCCAAATATCCACTTTCAGATTCCACAAAAAGAGTGTTTCAAAACTGCTCTGTAATAAGAAAGGTTCATCCCTGTTAGTTGAATACACACATCACAAACAAGTTTCTGAGAATGCTTCTGTCTAGTTTTTATGGGAAGATATTTCCTTTTTCATCATAGGCCTCAAAGCGCTGCAAATGTCCACTTCCAGGTAGTGCAGAAAGAGTGTCTGAAACCTGGTATATAACAGGGAAGATTCTACTCTGTGACTTGAATGAAAACATCACAAAGCAGTTTCTGAGAATGCTTCTGTCTTGATTTCATATGAAGATATTCCCGTTTCCAACGAAACCTTCAAAGCTATCCAAATATCCACTTGCAGATTCTACAAAAAGAGTGTTTCCAAAATGTTGTATCAAAAGAAAGGTTCAACTCTGTTAGTTGAGGACACACATCGCAAATAAGTTTCTGAGAATGCTTCTGTCTAGTTTTTACTTGAAGATATTTCCTTTCTCACCATAGGCCTGAAAGCGCTTGAAACGTCCGCTTGCAGATACTACAGAAAGAGTGTTTCAAACATGCTCTATGACAGGGAATGTTCAGTTCTGTGACTTGAATGCAAACATCACAAAGAAGTTCCTGAGAATGCTTCTCTCTAGATTTTATATGTAATCCCGTTTCCAACGAAATCCTCAAAGCTATCCAAATATCCACTTTCAGATTCCACAAAAAGAGTGTTTCAAAACTGCTCTGTAAAAAGAAAGGTTGATCTCTGTTAGTTGAATACACACATCACAAACAAGTTTCTGAGAATGCTTCTGTCTAGTTTTTATGGGAAGATATTTCCTTTTTCAACATAGGCCTCAAAGCGCTCCAAATGTCCACTTCCAGGTAGTGCAGAAAGAGTGTTTCAAACCTGCTCTATAAAAGGGAATATTCAACTCTGTGACTTGAATGCAAACATCACAAAGCACTTTCTGAGAATGCTTCCGTCTAGATTTTATATGAAGATATTCCCGTTTCCAACGAAACCTTCAAAGCTATCCGAATATCCACCTGCAGATTCTACAAAAAGAGTGTTTCCAAAATGCCGTATCAAAACAAAGGTTCAACTCTGTTAGTTGAGAACACACATGGCAAATAAGTTTCTGAGAATGCTTCTGTCTAGTTTTTACTTGAAGATATTTCCTTTCTCACCATAGGCCTGAAAGCGCTTGAAACGTCAGCTTGCAGATACTACAGAAAGAGTGTTTCAAACCTGCTCTATGAAAGGGAATGTTCAGTTCTGTGACTTGAATGCAAACATCACAAAGAAGTTCCTGAGAATGCTTCTCTCTAGATTTTATATGTAATCCCGTTTCCAACGAAATCCTCAAAGCTATCCAAATATCCACTTTCAGATTCCACAAAAAGAGTGTTTCAAAACTGCTCTGTAAAAAGAAAGGTTCATCTCTGTTAGTTGAATACACACATCACAAACAAGTTTCTGAGAATGCTTCCTGTCTGGTTTTTAGGAGAAGATATTTCCTTTTTCAACATAGGCCTCAAAGCGCTGCAAATGTCCACTTCCAAATATTAGAAAAAGAGTGTTTCAAACCTGCTGTATGAAGGGAAGTGTTCAACTCTATGAGTTGAATGCAAACATCACAGAGAAGTTTCTGAGAATGCTTCTGTCTTGATTTTATATGAAGATATTCCCGTTTCCAACGAAATCTTCAAAGCTATCCAAATATCCACTTGCAGATTCCACAAAAAGAGTGTTTCCAAAATGTTGTATCAAAAGAAAGGTTCAACTCTGTTAGTTGAGGACACACATCGCAAATAAGTTTCTGAGAATGCTTCTGTCTAGTTTTTATTTGAAGATATTTCCTTTCTCACCACAGGCCTGAAAGCGCTTAAAACGTCCGCTTGCAGATACTACAGAAAGAGTGTTTCAAACATGCTCTATGAAAGGGAATGTTCAGTTCTGTGACTTGAATGCAAACATCACAAAGAAGTTCCTGAGAATGCTTCTCTCTAGGTTTTATATGTAATCCCGTTTCCAACGAAATCCTCAAAGCTATCCAAATATCCACTTTCAGATTCCACAAAAAGAGGGTTTCAAAACTGCTCTGTAAAAAGAAAGGTTCATCTCTGTTAGTTGAATACACACATCACAAACAAGTTTCTGAGAATGCTTCTGTCTAGTTTTTATGGGAAGATATTTCCTTTTTCAACATAGGCCTCAAAGCGCTCCAAACGTCCACTTCCAGGTAGTGCAGAAAGAGTTTCTCAAACGTGGTATATAACAGGGAACATTCTACTCTGTGACTTGAATGAAAACATCACAAAGCAGTTTCTGAGAATGCTTCCGTCTAGATTTTATATGAAGATATTCCCGTTTCCAACGAAACCTTCAAAGCTATCCGAATATCCACCTGCAGATTCTACAAAAAGAGTGTTTCCAAAATGCCGTATCAAAACAAAGGTTCAACTCTGTTAGTTGAGAACACACATGGCAAATAAGTTTCTGAGAATGCTTCTGTCTAGTTTTTATTTGAAGATATTTCCTTTCTTACCATAGGCCTGAAAGCGCTTGAAATGTCCGTTTGCAGATACTACAGAAAGAGTGTTTCAAACATGCTCTATGAAAGGGAATGTTCAGTTCTGTGACGTGAATGCAAACATCACAAAGAAGTTCCTGAGAATGCTTCTCTCTAGATTTTATATGTAATCCCGTTTCCAAAGAAATCCGCAAAGCTATCCAAATATCCACTTTCAGATTCCACAAAAAGAGTGTTTCAAAACTGCTCTGTAAAAAGAAAGGTTAATCTCTGTTAGTTGAATACACACATCACAAACAAGTTTCTGAGAATGCTTCTGTCTAGTTTTTATGGGAAGATATTACCTTTTTCATCATAGGCCTCAAAGCGCTGCAAATGTCCACTTCCAAATATTACAAAAAGAGTGTTTCAAACCTGCTGTATGAAGGGAAGTGTTCAACTCTATGAGTTGGATGCAAACATCACAGAGAAGTTTCTGAGAATGCTTCCGTCTAGATTTTATATGAAGATATTCCCGTTTCCAAGGAAATCTTCCTAGCTATCTAAATATCAACTTGCAGATTCTATTAAAGGAATGTTTCCAAAATGCTGTATCCACACAAAGGTTCAACTCTGTTAATTGAGGACATACAGCACAAAGAAGTTTCTGAGAATGCTTCTGTCTAGTTTTTATTTGAAGATATTTCCTTTTTCACCACAGGCCTGAAAGCGCTTGAATCGTCCGTCTTGCAGACTACTACAGAAAGAGTGTTTCAAACCTGCATCTATGAAAGGGAATGTTCAGTTCTGTGACTTGAATGCAAACATCACAAAGAAGTTCCTGAGAATGCTTCTCCCTAGATTTTATATGTAATCCCGTTTCCAACGAAATCCGCAAAGCTATCCAAATATCCACTTTCAGATTCCACAAAAAGAGTGTTTCAAAACTACTCTGTAAAAAGAAAGGTTCATCTCTGTTAGTTGAATACACACATCAGAAACAAGTTTCTGAGAATGATTCTGTCTAGTTTTTATGGGAAGATATTTCCTTTTTCAACATAGGCCTCAAAGCGCTCCAAACGTCCACTTCCATGTAGTGCAGAAAGAGTGTCTCAAACCTGGTATATAACAGGGAACATTCTACACTGTGACTTGAATGAAAACATCACAAAGCAGTTTCTGAGAATGCTTCCGTCTAGATTTTATATGAAGATATTCCCGTTTCCAACGAAACCTTCAAAGCTATCCGAATATCCACCTGCAGATTCTACAAAAAGAGTGTTTCCAAAATGCCGTATCAAAACAAAGGTTCAACTCTGTTAGTTGAGAACACACATGGCAAATAAGTTTCTGAGAATGCTTCTGTCTAGTTTTTACTTGAAGATATTTCCTTTCGCACCATAGGCCTGAAAGCGCTTGAAACGTCCGCTTGCAGATACTACAGAAAGAGTGTTTCAAACATGCTCTATGAAAGGGAATGTTCAGTTCTGTGACTTGAATGCAAACATCACAAAGAAGTTCCTGAGAATGCTTCTCTCTAGATTTTATATGTAATCCCGTTTCCAACGAAATCCTCAAAGCTATCCAAATATCCACTTTCAGATTCCACAAAAAGAGTGTTTCAAAACTGCTCTGTAAAAAGAAAGGTTCATCTCTGTTAGTTGAATACACACATCACAAACAAATTTCTGAGAATGCTTCTGTCTAGTTTTTATGGGAAGATATTTCCTTTTTCAACATAGGCCTCAAAGCGCTCCAAACGTCCACTTCCGGGTAGTGCAGAAAGAGTGTCTCAAACCTGGTATATAACAGGGAACATTCTACTCTGTGACTTGAATGAAAACATCACAAAGCAGTTTCTGAGAATGCTTCTGTCTTGATTTTATATGAAGATATTCCCGTTTCCAACGAAACCTTCAAAGCTATTCAAATATCCACTTGCAGATTCTACAAAAAGAGTGTTTCCAAAATGTTGTATCAAAAGAAAGGTTCAACTCTGTTAGTTGAGGACACACATCGCAAATAAGTTTCTGAGAATGCTTCTGTCTAGTTTTTATTTGAAGATATTTCCTTTCTCACCACAGGCCTGAAAGCGCTTAAAACGTCCGCTTGCAGATACTACAGAAAGAGTGTTTCAAACCTGCTCTATGAAAGGGAATGTTCAGTTCTGTGACTTGAATGCAAACATCACAAAGAAGTTCCTGAGAATGCTTCTCTCTAGGTTTTATATGTAATCCCGTTTCCAACGAAATCCTCAAAGCTATCCAAATATCCACTTTCAGATTCCACAAAAAGAGTGTTTCAAAACTGCTCTGTAAAAAGAAAGGTTCATCTCTGTTAGTTGAATACACACATCACAAACAAGTTTCTGAGAATGCTTCTGTCTAGTTTTTATGGGAAGATATTTCCTTTTTCATCATAGGCCTCAAAGCGCTCCAAATGTCCACTTCCAGATAGTGCAGAAAGAGTCTCTCAAACCTGGTATATAAAAGGGAACATTCTACCCTGTGACTTGAATGAAAACATCACAAAGCAGTTTCTGAGAATGCTTCTGTCTTGATATTATATGAAGATATTCCCGTTTCCAAAGAAACCTTCAAAGCTATCCAAATATCCACCTGCAGATCCTACAAAAAGAGTGTTTCCAAAATGCTGTATCAAAACAAAGGTTCAACTCTCTTAGCTGAGAACGCACATCGCAAATAAGTTTCTGAGAATGCTTCTGTCTAGTTTTTACTTGAAGATATTCCCTTTCTCACCATAGGCCTGAAAGCGCTTGAAACGTCCGCTTGCAGATACTACAGAAAGAGTGTTTCAAACATGCTCTATGAAAGGGAATGTTCAGTTCTGTGACTTGAATGCAAACATCACAAAGAAGTGCCTGAGAATGCTTCTCTCTAGATTTTATATGTAATCCCGTTTCCAACGAAATCCTCAAAGCTATCCAAATATCCACTTTCAGATTCCACAAAAAGAGTGTTTCAAAACTGCTCTGTAAAAAGAAAGGTTCATCTCTGTTCGTTGAATACACACATCACAAACAAGTTTCTGAGAATGCTTTCTGTCTAGTTTTTATGGGAAGATATTTCCTTTTTCATCATAGGCCTCAAAGCACTGCAAATGTCCACTTCCAGGTAGTGCAGAAAGAGTGTCTGAAACCTGGTATATAACAGGGAAGATTCTACTCTGTGACTTGAATGAAAACATCACAAAGCAGTTTCTGAGAATGCTTCCGTCTAGATTTTATATGAAGATATTCCCGTTTCCAACGAAACCTTCAAAGCTATCCGAATATCCACCTGCAGTTTCTACAAAAAGAGTGTTTCCAAAATGCCGTATCAAAACAAAGGTTCAACTCTGTTAGTTGAGAACACACATGGCAAATAAGTTTCTGAGAATGCTTCTGTCTAGTTTTTATTTGAAGATATTTCCTTTCTCACCATAGGCCTGAAAGCGTTTGAAATGTCCGTTTGCAGATACTACAGAAAGAGTGTTTCAAACATGCTCTATGAAAGGGAATGTTCAGTTCTGTGACGTGAATGCAAACATCACAAAGAAGTTCCTGAGAATGCTTCTCTCTAGATTTTATATGTAATCCCGTTTCCAACGAAATCCTCAAAGCTATCCAAATATCCACTTTCAGATTCCACAAAAAGAGTGTTTCAAAACTGCTCTGTAAAAAGAAAGGTTCATCTCTGTTAGTTGAATACACACATCACAAACAAGTTTCTGAGAATGCTTCTGTCTAGTTTTTATGGGAAGATATTTCCTTTTTCATCATAGGCCTCAAAGCGCTGCAAATGTCCACTTCCAGGTAGTGCAGAAAGAGTGTCTGAAACCTGGTATATAACAGGGAAGATTCTACTCTGTGACTTGAATGAAAACATCACAAAGCATTTTCTGAGAATGCTTCTGTCTTGATTTTATATGAAGATATTCCCGTTTCCAACGAAACCTTCAAAGCTATCCAAATATCCACTTGCAGATTCTACAAAAAGAGTGTTTCCAAAATGTTGTATCAAAAGAAAGGTTCAACTCTGTTAGTTGAGGACACACATCGCAAATAAGTTTCTGAGAATCCTTCTGTCTAGTTTTTACTTGAAGATATTTCCTTTCTCACCATAGGCCTGAAAGCGCTTGAAAAGTCAGCTTGCAGATACTACAGAAAGAGTGTTTCAAACCTCCTCTATGAAAGGGAATGTTCAGTCCTGTGACTTGAAGGCAAACATCAAAAAGAAGTTCCTGAGAATGCTTCTCTCTAGGTTTTATATGTAATCCCGTTTCCAACGAAATCCTCAAAGCTATCCAAATATCCACTTTCAGATTCCACAAAAAGAGTGTTTCAAAACTGCTCTGTAAAAAGAAAGGTTCATCTCTGTTAGTTGAATACACACATCACAAACAAGTTTCTGAGAATGCTTCTGTCTAGTTTTTATGGGAAGATATTTCCTTTTTCAACATAAGCCTCAAAGCGCTCCAAATGTCCACTTCCAGGTAGTGCAGAAAGAATGTTTCAAACCTGCTCTATAAAAGGGAATATTCAACTCTGTGACTTGAATGCAAACATCACAAAGCACTTTCTGAGAATGCTTCCGTCTAGATTTTATATGAAGATATTCCCGTTTCCAACGAAACCTTCAAAGCTATCCGAATATCCACCTGTAGATTCTACAAAAAGAGTGTTTCCAAAATGCCGTATCAAAACAAAGGTTCAACTCTGTTAGTTGAGAACACACATGGCAAATAAGTTTCTGAGAATGCTTCTGTCTAGTTTTTACTTGAAGATATTTCCTTTCTCACCATAGGCCTGAAAGCGCTTGAAACGTCAGCTTGCAGATACTACAGAAAGAGTGTTTCAAACATGCTCCATGAAAGGGAATGTTCAGTTCTGTGACTTGAATGCAAACATCACAAAGAAGTTCCTGAGAATGCTTCTCTCTAGGTTTTATATGTAATCCCGTTTCCAACGAAATCCTCAAAGCTATCCAAATATCCACTTTCAGATTCCACAAAAAGAGTGTTTCAAAACTGCTCTGTAAAAAGAAAGGTTCATCTCTGTTAGTTGAATACACACATCACAAACAAGTTTCTGAGAATGCTTCTGTCTAGTTTTTATGGGAAGATATTTCCTTTTTCAACATAGGCCTCAAAGCGCTCCAAACGTCCACTTCCAGGTAGTGCAGAAAGAGTGTCTCAAACCTGGTGTATAACAGGGAACATTCTACTCTGTGACTTGAATGAAAACATCACAAAGCAGTTTCTGAGAATGCTTCCGTCTAGATTTTATATGAAGATATTCCCGTTTCCAACGAAACCTTCAAAGCTATCCGAATATCCACCTGCAGATTCTACAAAAAGAGTGTTTCCAAAATGCCATATCAAAACAAAGGTTCAACTCTGTTAGTTGAGAACACACATCGCAAATAAGTTTCTGAGAATGCTTCTGTCTAGTTTTTATTTGAAGATATTTCCTTTCTCACCACAGGCCTGAAAGCGCTTAAAACGTCCGCTTGCAGATACTACAGAAAGAGTGTTTCAAACCTGCTCTATGAAAGGGAATGTTCAGTTCTGTGACTTGAATGCAAACATCACAAAGAAGTTCCTGAGAATGCTTCTCTCTAGGTTTTATATGTAATCCCGTTTCCAACGAAATCCTCAAAGCTATCCAAATATCCACTTTCAGATTCCACAAAAAGAGTGTTTCAAAACTGCTCTGTAAAAAGAAAGGTTCATTTCTGTTAGTTGAATACACACATCACAAACAAGTTTCTGAGAATGCTTCTGTCTAGTTTTTATGGGAAGATATTACCTTTTTCATCATAGGCCTCAAAGCGCTGCAAATGTCCACTTCCAAATATTACAAAAAGAGTGTTTCAAACCTGCTGTATGAAGGGAAGTGTTCAACTCTATGAGTTGAATGCAAACATCACAGAGAAGTTTCTGAGAATGCTTCTGTCTTGATTTCATATGAAGATATTCCCGTTTCCAACGAAACCTTCAAAGCTATCCAAATATCCACTTGCAGATTCTACAAAAAGAGTGTTTCCAAAATGTTGTATCAAAAGAAAGGTTCAACTCTGTTAGTAGAGGACACACATCGCAAATAAGTTTCTGAGAATGCTTCTGTCTAGTTTTTATTTGAAGATATTTCCTTTCTCACCACAGGCCTGAAAGCGCTTAAAACGTCCGCTTGCAGATACTACAGAAAGAGTGTTTCAAACCTGCTCTATGAAAGGGAATGTTCAGTTCTGTGACTTGAATGCAAACATCACAAAGAAGTTCCTGAGAGTGCTTCTCTCTAGGTTTTATATGTAATCCCGTTTCCAACGAAATCCTCAAAGCTATCCAAATATCCACTTTCAGATTCCACAAAAAGAGTGTTTCAAAACTGCTCTGTAAAAAGAAAGGTTCATCTCTGTTAGTTGAATACACACATCACAAACAAGTTTCTGAGAATGCTTCTGTCTAGTTTTTATGGGAAGATATTTCGTTTTTCAACATAGGCCTCAAAGCGCTCCAAATGTCCACTTCCAGGTAGTGCAGAAAGAGTGTTTCAAACCTGCTCTATAAAAGGGAATATTCAACTCTGTGACTTGAATGCAAACATCACAAAGCACTTTCTGAGAATGCTTCTGTCTTGATTTTATATGAAGATATTCCCGTTTCCAACGAAATCTTCAAAGCTATCCAAATATCCACTTGCAGATTCTACAAAAAGAGTGTTTCCAAAATGTTGTATCAAAAGAAAGGTTCAACTCTGTTAGTTGAGGACACACATCGCAAATAAGTTTCTGAGAATGCTTCTGTCTAGTTTTTATTTGAAGATATTTCCTTTCTCACCATAGGCCTGAAAGCGCTTGTAATGTCCGTTTGCAGATACTACAGAAAGAGTGTTTCAAACATGCTCTATGAAAGGGAATGTTCAGTTCTGTGACGTGAATGAAAACATCACAAAGAAGTTCCTGAGAATGCTTCTCTCTAGGTTTTATATGTAATCCCGTTTCCAACGAAATCCTCAAAGCTATCCAAATATCCACTTTCAGATTCCACAAAAAGAGTGTTTCAAAACTGCTCTGTAAAAAGAAAGGTTCATCTCTGTTAGTTGAATACACACATCACAAACAAGTTTCTGAGAATGCTTCTGTCTGGTTTTTAGGAGAAGATATTTCCTTTTTCAACATAGGCCTCAAAGCGCTGCAAATGTCCACTTCCAAATATTAGAAAAAGAGTGTTTCAAACCTGCTGTATGAAGGGAAGTGTTCAACTCTATGAGTTGAATGCAAACATCACAGAGAAGTTTCTGAGAATGCTTCCGTCTAGATTTTATATGAAGATACTCCCGTTTCCAACGAAACCTTCAAAGATATCCGAATATCCACCTGCAGATTCTACAAAAAGAGTGTTTCCAAAATGCCATATCAAAACAAAGGTTCAACTCTGTTAGTTGAGAACACACATCGCAAATAAGTTTACTGAGAATGCTTCTGTCTAGTTTTTATTTGAAGATATTTCCTTTCTCACCACAGGCCTGCAAGCGCTTAAAACGTCCGCTTGCAGATACTACAGAAAGAGTGTTTCAAACCTGCTCTATGAAAGGGAATGTTCAGTTCTGTGACTTGAATGCAAACATCACAAAGAAGTTCCTGAGAATGCTTCTCTCTAGATTTTATATGTAATCCCGTTTCCAACGAAATCCTCAAAGCTATCCAAATATCCACTTTCAGATTCCACAAAAAGAGTGTTTCAAAACTGCTCTGTAAAAAGAAAGGTTCATCTCTGTTAGTTGAATACACACATCAAAAACAAGTTTCTGAGAATGCTTCCTGTCTGGTTTTTAGGAGAAGATATTTCCTTTTTCAACATAGGCCTCAAAGCGCTGCAAATGTCCACTTCCAAATATTACAAAAAGAGTGTTTCAAACCTGCTCTATGAAGGGAAGTGTTCAACTCTATGAGTTGAATGCAAACATCACAGAGAAGTTTCTGAGAATGCTTCCGTCTAGATTTTATATGAAGATATTCCCGTTTCCAACGAAACCTTCAAAGCTATCCGAATATCCACCTGCAGATTCTACAAAAAGAGTGTTTCCAAAATGCCGTATCAAAACAAAGGTTCAACTCTGTTAGTTGAGAACACACATGGCAAATAAGTTTCTGAGAATGCTTCTGTCTAGTTTTTATTTGAAGATATTTCCTTTCTTACCATAGGCCTGAAAGCGCTTGAAATGTCCGTTTGCAGATACTACAGAAAGAGTGTTTCAAACATGCTTCTATGAAAGGGAATGTTCAGTTCTGTGACGTGAATGCAAACATCACAAAGAAGTTCCTGAGAATGCTTCTCTCTAGGTTTTATATGTAATCCCGTTTCCAACGAAATCCTCAAAGCTATCCAAATATCCACTTTCAGATTCCACAAAAAGAGTGTTTCAAAACTGCTCTGTAAAAAGAAAGGTTCATCTCTGTTAGTTGAATACACACATCACAAACAAGTTTCTGAGAATGCTTCTGTCTAGTTTTTATGGGAAGATATTTCCTTTTTCAACATAGGCCTCAATGCGCTCCAAACGTCCACTTCCAGGTAGTGCAGAAAGAGTGTCTCAAACCTGGTATATAACAGGGAACATTCTACTCTGTGACTTGAATGAAAACATCACAAAGCAGTTTCTGAGAATGCTTCTGTCTTGATTTTATATGAAGATATTCCCGTTTCCAACGAAACCTTCAAAGCTATTCAAATATCCACTTGCAGATTCTACAAAAAGAGTGTTTCCAAAATGTTGTATCAAAAGAAAGGTTCAACTCTGTTAGTTGAGGACACACATCGCAAATAAGTTTCTGAGAATGCTTCTGTCTAGTTTTTACTTGAAGATATTTCCTTTCTCACCATAGGCCTGAAAGCGCTTGAAACGTCAGCTTGCAGATACTACAGAAAGAGTGTTTCAAACCTGCTCTATGAAAGGGAATGTTCAGTCCTGTGACTTGAAGGCAAACATCACAAAGAAGTTCCTGAGAATGCTTCTCTCTAGGTTTTATATGTAATCCCGTTTCCAACGAAATCCTCAAAGCTATCCAAATATCCACTTTCAGATTCCACAAAAAGAGTGTTTCAAAACTGCTCTGTAAAAAGAAAGGTTCATCTCTGTTAGTTGAATACACACATCACAAACAAGTTTCTGAGAATGCTTCTGTCTAGTTTTTATGGGAAGATATTTCCTTTTTCATCATAGGCCTCAAAGCGCTGCAAATGTCCACTTCCAGGTAGTGCAGAAAGAGTGTCTCAAACCTGGTATATAACAGGGAACATTCTACTCTGTGACTTGAATGAAAACATCACAAAGCAGTTTCTGAGAATGCTTCCGTCTAGATTTTATATGAAGATATTCCCGTTTCCAACGAAACCTTCAAAGCTATCCGAATATCCACCTGCAGATTCTACAAAAAGAGTGTTTCCAAAATGCCGTATCAAAACAAAGGTTCAACTCTGTTAGTTGAGAACACACATGGCAAATAAGTTTCTGAGAATGCTTCTGTCTAGTTTTTACTTGAAGATATTTCCTTTCTCACCATAGGCCTGAAAGCGCTTGAAACGTCAGCTTGCAGATACTACAGAAAGAGTGTTTCAAACCTGCTCTATGAAAGGGAATGTTCAGTTCTGTGACTTGAATGCAAACATCACAAAGAAGTTCCTGAGAATGCTTCTCTCTAGATTTTATATGTAATCCCGTTTCCAACGAAATCCTCAAAGCTATCCAAATATCCACTTTCAGATTCCACAAAAAGAGTGTTTCAAAACTGCTCTGTAAAAAGAAAGGTTCATCTCTGTTAGTTGAATACACACATCACAAACAAGTTTCTGAGAATGCTTCTGTCTAGTTTTTATGGGAAGATATTTCCTTTTTCATCATAGGCCTCAAAGCGCTGCAAATGTCCACTTCCAGGTAGTGCAGAAAGAGTGTCTCAAACCTGGTATATAACAGGGAACATTCTACTCTGTGACTTGAATGAAAACATCACAAAGCAGTTTCTGAGAATGCTTCTGTCTTGATTTTATATGAAGATATTCCCGTTTCCAACGAAACCTTCAAAGCTATCCAAATATCCAGCTGCAGATTCTACAAAAAGAATGTTTCCAAAATGCCATATCAAAACAAAGGTTCAACTCTGTTAGTTGAGAACACACATCGCAAATAAGTTTCTGAGAATGCTTCTGTCTAGTTTTTACTTGAAGATATTTCCTTTCGCACCATAGGCCTGAAAGCGCTTGAAACGTCCGCTTGCAGATACTACAGAAAGAGTGTTTCAAACATGCTCTATGAAAGGGAATGTTCAGTTCTGTGACTTGAATGCAAACATCACAAAGAAGTTCCTGAGAATGCTCTTCTCCCTAGCTTTTATATGTAATCCCGTTTCCAACGAAATCCTCAAAGCTATCCAAATATCCACTTTCAGATTCCACAAAAAGAGTGTTTCAAAACTGCTCTGTAAAAAGAAAGGTTCATCTCTGTTAGTTGAATACACACATCACAAACAAGTTTCTGAGAATGCTTCTGTCTAGTTTTTATGGGAAGATATTTCCTTTTTCATCATAGGCCTCAAAGCGCTGCAAATGTCCACTTCCAGGTAGTGCAGAAAGAGTGTCTGAAACCTGGTATATAACAGGGAAGATTCTACTCTGTGACTTGAATGAAAACATCACAAAGCAGTTTCTGAGAATGCTTCCGTCTAGATTTTATATGAAGATATTCCCGTTTCCAACGAAACCTTCAAATCTATCGGAATATCCACCTGCAGATTCTACAAAAAGAGTGTTTCCAAAATGCCGTTTCAAAACAAAGGTTCAACTCTGTTAGTTGAGAACACACATGGCAAATAAGTTTCTGAGAATGCTTCTGTCTAGTTTTTATTTGAAGATATTTCCTTTCTCACCACAGGCCTGAAAGCGCTTAAAACGTCCGCTTGCAGATACTACAGAAAGAGTGTTTCAAACCTGCTCTATGAAAGGGAATGTTCAGTTCTGTGACTTGAATGCAAACATCACAAAGAAGTTCCTGAGAATGCTTCTCCCTAGATTTTATATGTAATCCCGTTTCCAACGAAATCCGCAAAGCTATCCAAATATCCACTTTCAGATTCCACAAAAAGAGTGTTTCAAAACTGCTCTGTAAAAAGAAAGGTTCATCTCTGTTAGTTGAATACACACATCACAAACAAGTTTCTGAGAATGCTTCTGTCTAGTTTTTATGGGAAGATATTACCTTTTTCATCATAGGCCACAAAGCGCTGCAAAAGTCCACTTCCAAATATTACAAAAAGAGTGTTTCAAACCTGCTGTATGAAGGGAAGTGTTCAACTCTATGAGTTGAATGCAAACATCACAGAGAAGTTTCTGAGAATGCTTCTGTCTTGATTTTATATGAAGATATTCCCGTTTCCAACGAAACCTTCAAAGCTATCCAAATATCCACTTGCAGATTCTACAACAAGAGTGTTTCCAAAATGTTGTATCAAAACAAAGGTTCAACTCTGTTAGTTGAGGACACACATCGCAAATAAGTTTCTGAGAATGCTTCTGTCTAGTTTTTACTTGAAGATATTTCCTTTCTCACCATAGGCCTGAAAGCGCTTGAAACGTCAGCTTGCAGATACTACAGAAAGAGTGTTTCAAACCTGCTCTATGAAAGGGAATGTTCAGTTCTGTGACTTGAATGCAAACATCACAAAGAAGTTCCTGAGAATGCTTCTCTCTAGATTTTATATGTAATCCCGTTTCCAACGAAATCCTCAAAGCTATCCAAATATCCACTTTCAGATTCCACAAAAAGAGTGTTTCAAAACTGCTCTGTAAAAAGAAAGGTTCATCTCTGTTAGTTGAATACACACATCACAAACAAGTTTCTGAGAATGCTTCTGTCTAGTTTTTATGGGAAGATATTTCGTTTTTCAACATAGGCCTCAAAGCGCTCCAAACGTCCACTTCCGGGTAGTGCAGAAAGAGTGTCTCAAACCTGGTATATAACAGGGAACATTCTACTCTGTGACTTGAATGAAAACATCACAAAGCAGTTTCTGAGAATGCTTCTGTCTTGATTTCATATGAAGATATTCCCGTTTCCAACGAAACCTTCAAAGCTATCCAAATATCCACTTGCAGATTCTACAAAAAGAGTGTTTCCAAAATGTTGTATCAAAAGAAAGGTTCAACTCTGTTAGTTGAGGACACACATCGCAAATAAGTTTCTGAGAATGCTTCTGTCTAGTTTTTATTTGAAGATATTTCCTTTCTCACCACAGGCCTGAAAGCGCTTAAAACGTCCGCTTGCAGATACTACAGAAAGAGTGTTTCAAACATGCTCTATGAAAGGGAATGTTCAGTTCTGTGACTTGAATGCAAACATCACAAAGAAGTTCCTGAGAATGCTTCTCTCTAGATTTTATATGTAATCCCGTTTCCAACGAAATCCTCAAAGCTATCCAAATATCCACTTTCAGATTCCACAAAAAGAGTGTTTCAAAACTGCTCTGTAAAAAGAAAGGTTCATCTCTATTAGTTGAATACACACATCACAAACAAGTTTCTGAGAATGCTTCTGTCTAGTTTTTATGGGAAGATATTTCCTTTTTCATCATAGGCCTCAAAGCGCTCCAAATGTCCACTTCCAGATAGTGCAGAAAGAGTGTCTCAAACCTGGTATATAAAAGGGAACATTCTACTCTGTGACTTGAATGAAAACATCACAAAGCAGTTTCTGAGAATGCTTCTGTCTTGATTTTATATGAAGTTATTCCCGTTTCCAACGAAACCTTCAAAGCTATCCAAATATCCACCTGCAGATCCTACAAAAAGAGTGTTTCCAAAATGCTGTATCAAAACAAAGGTTCAACTCTGTTAGTTGAGAACACACATCGCAAATAAGTTTCTGAGAATGCTTCTGTCTAGTTTTTATTTGAAGATATTTCCTTTTTCACCACAGGCCTGAAAGCGCTTGAAACGTCCGCTTGCAGATACTACAGAAAGAGTGTTTCAAAGCTGCTCTATGAAAGGGAATGTTCAGTTCTGTGACTTGAATGCAAACATCACAAAGAATTTCCTGAGAATGCTTCTCTCTAGGTTTTATATGTAATCCCGTTTCCAACGAAATCCTCAAAGCTATCCAAATATCCACTTTCAGATTCCACAAAAAGAGTGTTTCAAAACTGCTCTGTAAAAAGAAAGGTTCATCTCTGTTAGTTGAATACACACATCACAAACAAGTTTCTGAGAATGCTTCTGTCTAGTTTTTATGGGAAGATATTTCCTTTTTCATCATAGGCCTCAAAGCACTCCAAATGTCCACTTCCAGATAGTGCAGAAAGAGTGTCTCAAACCTGGTATATAAAAGGGAACATTCTACTCTGTGACTGGAATGAAAACATCACAAAGCAGTTTCTGAGAATGCTTCCGTCTAGATTTTATATGAAGATATTCCCGTTTCCAACGAAACCTTCAAAGCTATCCGAATATCCACCTGCAGATTCTACAAAAAGAGTGTTTCCAAAATGCCATATCAAAACAAAGGTTCAACTCTGTTAGTTGAGAACACACATCGCAAATAAGTTTCTGAGAATGCTTCTGTCTAGTTTTTATTTGAAGATATTTCCTTTCTTACCATAGGCCTGAAAGCGCTTGAAATGTCCGTTTGCAGATACTACAGAAAGAGTGTTTCAAACATGCTCTATGAAAGGGAATGTTCAGTTCTGTGACGTGAATGCAAACATCACAAAGAAGTTCCTGAGAATGCTTCTCTCTAGATTTTATATGTAATCCCGTTTCCAACGAAATCCTCAAAGCTATCCCAATATCCACTTTCAGATTCCACAAAAAGAGTGTTTCAAAACTGCTCTGTAAAAAGAAAGGTTCATCTCTGTTAGTTGAATACACACATCACAAACAAGTTTCTGAGAATGCTTCTGTCTGGTTTTTAGGAGAAGATATTTCCTTTTTCAACATAGGCCTCAAAGCGCTGCAAATGTCCACTTCCAAATATTACAAAAAGAGTGTTTCAAACCTGCTCTATGAAGGGAAGTGTTCAACTCTATGAGTTGAATGCAAACATCACAGAGAAGTTTCTGAGAATGTTTCTGTCTTGATTTTATATGAAGATATTCCCGTTTCCAACGAAACCTTCAAAGCTATCCAAATATCCACTTGCAGATTCTACAAAAAGAGTGTTTCCAAAATGTTGTATCAAAACAAAGGTTCAACTCTGTTAGTTGAGGACACACATCGCAAATAAGTTTCTGAGAATGCTTCTGTCTAGTTTTTATTTGAAGATATTTCCTTTCTTACCATAGGCCTGAAAGCCCTTGAAATGTCCGTTTGCAGATACTACAGAAAGAGTTTTTCAAACATGCTCTATGAAAGGGAATGTTCAGTTCTGTGACGTGAATGCAAACATCACAAAGAAGTTCCTGAGAATGCTTCTCTCTAGATTTTATATGTAATCCCGTTTCCAACGAAATCCTCAAAGATATCCAAATATCCACTTTCAGATTCCACAAAAAGAGTGTTTCAAAACTGCTCTGTAAAAAGAAATGTTCATCTCTGTTAGTTGAATACACACATCACAAACAAGTTTCTGAGAATGCTTCTGTCTAGATTTTATGGGAAGATATTACCTTTTTCATCATAGGCCTCAAAGCGCTGCAAATGTCCACTTCCAAATATTACAAAAAGAGTGTTTCAAACCTGCTGTATGAAGGGAAGTGTTCAACTGTATGAGTTGAATGCAAACATCGCAGAGAAGTTTCTGAGAATGCTTCCGTCTAGATTTTATATGAAGATATTCCCGTTTCCAAGGAAATCTTCCTAGCTATCTAAATATCAACTTGCAGATTCTACTAAAGGAATGTTTCCAAAATGCTGTATCCACACAAAGGTTCAACTCTGTTAATTGAGGACATACAGCACAAAGAAGTTTCTGAGAATGCTTCTGTCTAGTTTTTATTTGAAGATATTTCCTTTCTCACCATAGGCCTGAAAGCGTTTGAAATGTCCGTTTGCAGATACTACAGAAAGAGTGTTTCAAACATGCTCTATGAAAGGGAATGTTCAGTTCTGTGACGTGAATGCAAACATCACAAAGAAGTTCCTGAGAATGCTTCTCTCTAGATTTTATATGTAATCCCGTTTCCAACGAAATCCTCAAAGCTATCCAAATATCCACTTTCAGATTCCACAAAAAGAGTGTTTCAAAACTGCTCTGTAAAAAGAAAGGTTCATCTCTGTTAGTTGAACACACACCTCACAAACAAGTTTCTGAGAATGCTTCTGTCTAGTTTTTATGGGAAGATATTTCCTTTTTCAACATAGGCCTCAAAGCGCTCCAAATGTCCACTTCCAGGTAGTGCAGAAAGAGTGTTTCAAACCTGCTCTATAAAAGGGAATATTCAACTCTGTGACTTGAATGCAAACATCACAAAGCACTTTCTGAGAATGCTTCTGTCTTGATTTTATATGAAGATATTCCCGTTTCCAACGAAACCTTCAAAGCTATCCGAATATCCACCTGCAGATTCTACAAAAAGAGTGTTTCCAAAATGTTGTATCAAAACAAAGGTTCAACTCTGTTAGTTGAGGACACACATCGCAAATAAGTTTCTGAGAATGCTTCTGTATGGTTTTTAGGAGAAGATATCTCCTTTTTCACCACAGGCTTCAAAACGCTGCCAATGTCCACTTCCAAATATTACAAAAAGAGTATTTCAAACCAGCTCTATGAAAGGAAGTGTTCAACTCTGTGAGTTCAATGCAAACATCACAGAGAAGTTTCTGAGAAGGCTTCTGTATTGATTTTATATGAAGATATTCCCGTTTCCAACGAAACCTTCAAAGCTATCCAAATATCCACCTGCAGATCCTACAAAAAGAGTGTTTCCAAAATGCTGTATCAAAACAAAGGTTCAACTCTGTTAGTTGAGAACACACATCGCAAATAAGTTTCTGAGAATGCTTCTGTCTAGTTTTTATTTGAAGATATTTCCTTTTTCACCACAGGCCTGAAAGCGCTTGAAACGTCCGCTTGCAGATACTACAGAAAGAGTGTTTCAAACCTGCTCTATGAAAGGGAATGTTCAGTTCTGTGACTTGAATGCAAACATCACACAGAAGTTCCTGAGAATGCTTCTCTCTAGATTTTATATTTAATCCCGTTTCCAACGAAATCCTCAAAGCTATCCAAATATCCACTTTCAGATTCCACAAAAAGAGTGTTTCAAAACTGCTCTGTAAAAAGAAAGGTTCATCTCTGTTAGTTGAATACACACATCAAAAACAAGTTTCTGAGAATGCTTCTGTCTGGTTTTTAGGAGAAGATATTTCCTTTTTCAACATAGGCCTCAAAGCGCTGCAAATGTCCACTTCCAAATATTACAAAAAGAGTGTTTCAAACCTGCTGTATGAAGGGAAGTGTTCATCTCTATGAGTTGAATGCAAACATCACAGAGAAGTTTCTGAGAATGCTTCTGTCTTGATTTTATATGAAGATATTCCCGTTTCCAACGAAATCTTCAAAGCTATCCAAATATCCACCTGCAGATTCTACAAAAAGAGTGTTTCCAAAATGTTGTATCAAAACAAAGGTTCAACTCTGTTAGTTGAGGACACACATCGCAAATAAGTTTCTGAGAATGCTTCTGTCTAGTTTTTATTTGAAGATATTTCCTTTCTCACCACAGGCCTGAAAGCGCTTAAAACGTCCGCTTGCAGATACTACAGAAAGAGTGTTTCAAACATGCTCTATGAAAGGGAATGTTCAGTTCTGTGACTTGAATGCAAACATCACAAAGAAGTTCCTGAGAATGCTTCTGTCTAGATTTTATATGAAGATATCCCGTTTCCAAAGAAATCCTCAAAGGTGTCCAAATATCTACTTCCAGATTCTACAAAAAGACTGTTTCAAAACGGCTCTGTCAAAAGTAAGGTTCAACTCTGTTACTTGAGTACACACATCACAAGGAAGTTTCTGAGAATGCTTCTGTCTAGTTTTTATGGGAAGATATTTCCTTTTTCATCATAGGCCTCAAAGCGCTGCAAATGTCCACTTCCAGGTAGTGCAGAAAGAGTGTCTCAAACCTGGTATATAACAGGGAACATTCTACTCTGTGACTTGAATGCAAACATCACAAAGCAGTTTCTGAGAATGCTTCTGTCTTGATTTTATATGAAGATATTCCCGTTTCCAACGAAACCTTCAAAGCTATCCAAATATCCACTTGCAGATTCTACAAAAAGAGTGTTTCCAAAATGTTGTATCAAAACAAAGGTTCAACTCTGTTAGTTGAGGACACACATCGCAAATAAGTTTCTGAGAATGCTTCTGTCTAGTTTTTACTTGAAGATATTTCCTTTCTCTCCATAGGCCTGAAAGCGCTTGAAACGTCCGCTTGCAGATACTACAGAAAGAGTGTTTCAAACATGCTCTATGACAGGGAATGTTCAGTTCTGTGACTTGAATGCAAACATCACAAAGAAGTTCCTGAGAATGCTTCTCCCTAGATTTTATATGTAATCCCGTTTCCAACGAAATCCGCAAAGCTATCCAAATATCCACTTTCAGATTCCACAAAAAGAGTGTTTCAAAACTGCTCTGTAAAAAGAAAGGTTCATCTCTGTTAGTTGAATACACACATCACAAACAAGTTTCTGAGAATGCTTCTGTCTAGTTTTTATGGGAAGATATTTCCTTTTTCAACATAGGCCTCAAAGCGCTCCAAATGTCCACTTCCGGGTAGTGCAGAAAGAGTGTTTCAAACCTGCTCTATAAAAGGGAACATTCTACTCTGTGACTTGAATGAAGACATCACAAAGCACTTTCTGAGAATGCTTCTGTCTTGATTTTATATGAAGATATTCCCGTTTCCAACGAAACCTTCAAAGCTATCCAAATATCCACTTGCAGATTCTACAAAAAGAGTGTTTCCAAAATGTTGTATCAAAACAAAGGTTCAACTCTGTTAGTTGAGGACACACATCGCAAATAAGTTTCTGAGAATGCTTCTGTCTAGTTTTTACTTGAAGATATTTCCTTTCTCACCATAGGCCTGAAAGCGTTTGAAATGTCCGTTTGCAGATACTACAGAAAGAGTGTTTCAAACATGCTCTATGAAAGGGAATGTTCAGTTCTGTGACGTGAATGCAAACATCACAAAGAAGTTCCTGAGAATGCTTCTCTCTAGATTTTATATGTAATCCCGTTTCCAACGAAATCCTCAAAGCTATCCAAATATCCACTTTCAGATTCCACAAAAAGAGTGTTTCAAAACTGCTCTGTAAAAAGAAAGGTTCATCTCTGTTAGTTGAATACACACATCACAAACAAGTTTCTGAGAATGCTTCTGTCTAGTTTTTATGGGAAGATATTACCTTTTTCATCATAGGCCTCAAAGCGCTGCAAATGTCCACTTCCAAATATTACAAAAAGAGTGTTTCAAACCTGCTGTATGAAGGGAAGTGTTCAACTCTATGAGTTGAATGCAAACATCACAGAGAAGTTTCTGAGAATGCTTCTGTCTTGATTTTATATGAAGATATTCCCGTTTCCAACGAAACCTTCAAAGCTATTCAAATATCCACTTGCTGATTCTACAAAAAGAGTGTTTCCAAAATGTTGTATCAAAAGAAAGGTTCAACTCTGTTAGTTGAGGACACACATCGCAAATAAGTTTCTGAGAATGCTTCTGTCTAGTTTTTATTTGAAGATATTTCCTTTCTCACCACAGGCCTGAAAGCGCTTAAAACGTCCGCTTGCAGATACTACAGAAAGAGTGTTTCAAACCTGCTCTATGAAAGGGAATGTTCAGTTCTGTGACTTGAATGCAAACATCACAAAGAAGTTCCTGAGAATGCTTCTCTCTAGATGTTATATGTAATCCCGTTTCCAACGAAATCCTCAAAGCTATCCAAATATCCACTTTCAGATTCCAGAAAAAGAGTGTTTCAAAACTGCTCTGTAAAAAGAAAGGTTCATCTCTGTTAGTTGAATTCACACATCACAAACAAGTTTCTGAGAATGGTTCTGTCTAGTTTTTATGGGAAGATATTTCCTTTTCCAACATAGGCCTCAAAGCGCTCAAAATGTTCACTTCCAGGTAGTGCACAGACTGTTTCAAACCTGCTCTATAAAAGGAAACATTCTACTCTGTGACTTGAATGAAAACATCACAAAGCAGTTTCTGAGAATGCATCCGTCTAGATTTTATATGAAGATATTCCCGTTTCCAAGGAAATCTTCCTAGCTATCTAAATATCAACTTGCAGATAGTAATAAAGGAATGTTTCCAAAATGCTGTATCCACACAAAGGTTCAACTCTGTTAATTGAGGACATACAGCACAAAGAAGTTTCTGAGAATGCTTCTGTCTAGATTTTATATGAAGATATCCCGTTTCCAAAGAAATCCTCAAAGGTATCCAAATATCTACTTGCAGATTCTACAAAAAGAGTGTTTCTAACCTGCTCTATGAAGGGAAGTGTTCAACTCTATGAGTTTAATGCAAACATCACAGAGAAGTTTCTGAGAATGCTTCTGTCTTGATTTTATATGATGATATTCCCGTTTCCAACGAAACCTTCAAAGCTATCCAAATATCCACCAGCAGATTCTACAAAAAGAGTGTTTCCAAAATGCTGTATCAAAACAAAGGTTCAACTCTGTTAGTTGAGAACACACATCGCAAATAAGTTTCTGAGAATGCTTCTGTCTAGTTTTTATTTGAAGATATTTCCTTTCTCACCATAGGCCTGAAAGTACTTGAAAAGTCGCTTGCAGATACTACAAAAAGAGTGTTTCAAACCTGCTCTATGAAAGGGAATGTTCAGTTCTGTGACTTGAATGCAAACATCACAAAGAAGTTCCTGAGAATGCTTCTCTCTAGATTTTATATGTAATCCCCTTTCCAACGAAATCCTCAAAGCTATCCAAATATCCACTGTCAGATTCCATAAAAAGAGTGTTTTAAAACTGCTCTGTAAAAAGAAAGGTTCATCTCTGTTAGTTGAATACACATATCACAAACAAGTTTCTGAGAATGCTTGTGTCTAGTTTTTATGGGAAGATATTTCCATTTTCAACATAGCCCTCAAAGCGCTCCAAATGTCTACTTCCAGGTAGTGCAGAAAGAGTGTTTCAAACCGGCTCCATAAAAGCGAATATTCTACTCTGTGACTTGAATGCAAACATCACAAAGCACTTTCTGAGAATGCTTCTGTCTTGATTTCATATGAAGATATTCCCGTTTCCAACGAAACCTTCAAAGCTATCCAAATATCCACTTGCAGATTCTACAAAAAGAGTGTTTCCAAAATGTTGTATCAAAAGAAATGTTCAACTCTGTTAGTTGAGGACACACATCGCAAATAAGTCTCTGAGAATGCTTCTGTCTAGTTTTTATTTGAAGATATTTCCTTTCTCACCACAGGCCTGAAAGCGCTTAAAACGTCCGCTTGCAGATACTACAGAAAGAGTGTTTCAAACCTGCTCTATGAAAGGGAATGTTCAGTTCTGTGACTTGAATGCAAACATCACAAAGAAGTTCCTGAGAATGCTTCTCTCTAGGTTTTATATGTAATCCCGTTTCCAACGAAATCCTCAAAGCTATCCAAATATCCACTTTCAGATTCCACAAAAAGAGTGTTTCAAAACTGCTCTGTAAAAAGAAAGGTTCATCTCTGTTAGTTGAATACACACATCACAAACAAGTTTCTGAGAATGCTTCTGTCTAATTTTTATGGGAAGATATTTCCTTTTTCAACATACGCCTCAAAGCGCTCCAAACGTCCACTTCCAGGTAGTGCAGAAAGAGTGTCTCAAACCTGGTATATAACAGGGAACATTCTACTCTGTGACTTGAATGAAAACATCACAAAGCAGTTTGCTGAGAATGCTTCCGTCTAGATTTTATATGAAGATATTCCCGTTTCCAAGGAAATCTTCCTAGCTATCTAAATATCTACTTGCAGATTCTACTAAAGGAATGTTTCCAAAATGCTGTAACCACATAAAGGTTCAACTCTGTTAATTGAGGACATACAGCACAAAGAAGTTTCTGAGAATGCTTCTGTCTAGATTTTATATGAAGATATCCCGTGTCCAACGAAATCCTCAAAGGTATCAAAATATCCACTTGCAGATTCTACAAAAAGAGTGCTTCAAAACTGCTCTGTCAAAATGAAGGTTCAACTCTGTTACTTGAGTACACACATCACAAGAAAGATTCTGAGAATGCTTCTGTCTAGTTTTTATGGGAAGATATTTCCTTTTTCAACATAGGCCTCAAAGCGCTCCAAACGTCCACTTCCAGGTAGTGCAGAAAGAGTGTCTCAAACCTGGTATATAACAGGGAACATTCTACTCCTGTGACTTGAATGAAAACATCCCAAAGCAGTTTCTGAGAATGCTTCCGTCTAGTATTTTATATGAAGATATTCCCGTTTCCAACGAAACCTTCAAAGCTATCCGAATATCCACCTGCAGATTCTACAAAAAGAGTGTTTCCAAAATGCCGTATCAAAACAAAGGTTCAACTCTGTTAGTTGAGAACACACATCGCAAATAAGTTTCTGAGAATGCTTCTGTCTAGTTTTTACTTGAAGATATTTCCTTTCTCACCATAGGCCTGAAAGCGTTTGAAATGTCCGTTTGCAGATACTACAGAAAGAGTGTTTCAAACATGCTCTATGAAAGGGAATGTTCAGTTCTGTGACGTGAATGCAAACATCACAAAGAAGTTCCTGAGAATGCTTCTGTCTAGATTTTATATGAAGATATCCCTTTTCCAAAGAAATCCTCAAAGGTGTCCAAATATCTACTTCCAGATTCTACAAAAAGACTGTTTCAAAACGGCTCTGTCAAAAGGAAGGTTCAACTCTGTTACTTGAGTACACACATCACAAGGAAGTTTCTGAGAATGCTTCTGTCTGGTTTTTAGGAGAAGATATTTCCTTTTTCTACATAGGCCTCAAAGCGCTGCAAATGTCCACTTCCAAATATTACAAAAAGAGTGTTTCAAACCTGCTGTATGAAGGGAAGTGTTCAACTCTATGAGTTGAATGCAAACAACACAGAGAAGTTTCTGAGAATGCTTCCGTCTAGACTTTATATGAAGATATTCCCGTTTCCAACGAAACCTTGAAAGCTATCCGTATATCCACCTGCAGATTCTACAAAAAGAGTGTTTCCAAAATGCCGTATCAAAACAAAGGTTCAACTCTGTTAGTTGAGAACACACATGGCAAATAAGTTTCTGAGAATGCTTCTGTCTGGTTTTTAGGAGAAGATATTACCTTTTTCACCATCGGCCTCAAAGCGGTGCTAAAGTCCACTTCCGAATATCACAAAGAGTGTTTCAAACGTGCTCTATGAAAGGAAGTGTTCAACTCTATGAGTTGAATGCAAACATCACAGAGAAGTTTCTGAGAATGCTTCTCTCTAGATTTTATATGTAATCCCGTTTCCAACGAAATCCTCAAAGCTATCCAAATATCCACTTTCAGATTCCACAAAAAGAGTGTTTCAAAACTGCTCTGTAAAAAGAAAGGTTCATCTCTGTTAGTTGAATACACACATCACAAACAAGTTTCTGAGAATGCTTCTGTCTAGTTTTTATGGGAAGATATTTCCTTTTTCAACATACGCCTCAAAGCGCTCCAAACGTCCACTTCCGGGTAGTGCAGAAAGAGTGTCTCAAACCTGGTATATAACAGGGAACATTCTACTCTGTGACTTGAATGAAAACATCACAAAGCAGTTTCTGAGAATGCTTCCGTCTAGATTTTATATGAAGATATTCCCGTTTCCAACGAAACCTTCAAAGCTATCCGAATATCCACCTGCAGATTCTACAAAAAGAGTGTTTCCAAAATGCCGTATCAAAACAAAGGTTCAACTCTGTTAGTTGAGAACACACATGGCAAATAAGTTTCTGAGAATGCTTCTGTCTAGTTTTTATTTGAAGATATTTCCTTTCTCACCACAGGCCTGAAAGCGCTTAAAACGTCCGCTTGCAGATACTACAGAAAGAGTGTTTCAAACCTGCTCTATGAAAGGGAATGTTCAGTTCTGTGACTTGAATGCAAACATCACAAAGAAGTTCCTGAGAATGCTTCTCCCTAGATTTTATATGTAATCCCGTTTCCAACGAAATCCGCAAAGCTATCCAAATATCCACTTTCAGATTCCACAAAAAGAGTGTTTCAAAACTGCTCTGTAAAAAGAAAGGTTCATCTCTGTTAGTTGAATACACACATCACAAACAAGTTTCTGAGAATGCTTCTGTCTAGTTTTTATGGGAAGATATTTCCTTTTTCAACATAGGCCTCAAAGCGCTCCAAATGTCCACTTCCAGGTAGTGCAGAAAGAGTGTTTCAAACCTGCTCTATAAAAGGGAATATTCAACTCTGTGACTTGAATGCAAACATCACAAAGCACTTTCTGAGAATGCTTCCGTCTAGATTTTCTATGAAGATATTCCCGTTTCCAACGAAACCTTCAAAGCTATCCGAATATCCACCTGCAGATTCTACAAAAAGAGTGTTTCCAAAATGCCGTATCAAAACAAAGGTTCAACTCTGTTAGTTGAGAACACACATGGCAAATAAGTTTCTGAGAATGCTTCCGTCTAGTTTTTATTTGAAGATATTTCCTTTTTCTCCACAGGCCTGAAAGCGCTTGAAACGTCCGCTTGCAGATACTACTGAAAGAGTGTTTCAAACCTGCTCTATGAAAGGGAATGTTCAGTTCTGTGACTTGAATGCAAACATCACAAAGAAGTTCCTGAGAATGCTTCTCCCTAGATTTTATATGTAATCCCGTTTCCAACGAAATCCGCAAAGCTATCCAAATATCCACTTTCAGATTCCACAAAAAGAGTGTTTCAAAACTGCTCTGTAAAAAGAAAGGTTCATCTCTGTTAGTTGAATACACACATCACAAACAAGTTTCTGAGAATGCTTCTGTCTAGTTTTTATGGGAAGATATTTCCTTTTTCAACATAGGCCTCAAAGCGCTCCAAATGTCCACTTCCAGGTAGTGCAGAAAGAGTGTTTCAAACCTGCTCTATAAAAGGGAATATTCAACTCTGTGACTTGAATGCAAACATCACAAAGCACTTTCTGAGAATGCTTCCGTCTAGATTTTATATGAAGATATTCCCGTTTCCAACGAAACCTTCAAAGCTATCCGAATATCCACCTGCAGATTCTACAAAAAGAGTGTTTCCAAAATGCCGTATCAAAACAAAGGTTCAACTCTGTTAGTTGAGAACACACATGGCAAATAAGTTTCTGAGAATGCTTCTGTCTAGTTTTTATTTGAAGATATTTCCTTTCTCACCACAGGCCTGAAAGCGTTTGAAATGTCCGTTTGCAGATACTACAGAAAGAGTGTTTCAAACATGCTCTATGAAAGGGAATGTTCAGTTCTGTGACGTGAATGCAAACATCACAAAGAAGTTCCTGAGAATGCTTCTCCCTAGATTTTATATGTAATCCCGTTTCCAACGAAATCCGCAAAGCTATCCAAATATCCACTTTCAGATTCCACAAAAAGAGTGTTTCAAAACTGCTCTGTAAAAAGAAAGGTTCATCTCTGTTAGTTGAATACACACATCACAAACAAGTTTCTGAGAATGCTTCTGTCTAGTTTTTATGGGAAGATATTTCCTTTTTCAACATAGGCCTCAAAGCGCTCCAAATGTCCACTTCCAGGTAGTGCAGAAAGAGTGTTTCAAACCTGCTCTATAAAAGGGAACATTCAACTCTGTGACTTGAATGCAAACATCACAAAGCACTTTCTGAGAATGCTTCTGTCTTGATTTTATATGAAGATATTCCCGTTTCCAACGAAACCTTCAAAGCTATCCAAATATCCACTTGCAGATTCTACAAAAAGAGTGTTTCCAAAATGTTGTATCAAAACAAAGGTTCAACTCTGTTAGTTGAGAACACACATGGCAAATAAGTTTCTGAGAATGCTTCTGTCTAGTTTTTACTTGAAGATATTTCCTTTCTCACCATAGGCCTGAAAGCGCTTGAAACGTCAGCTTGCAGATACTACAGAAAGACTGTTTCAAACCTGCTCTATGAAAGGGAATGTTCAGTTCTGTGACTTGAATGCAAACATCACAAAGAAGTTCCTGAGAATGCTTCTCTCTAGGTTTTATATGTAATCCCGTTTCCAACGAAATCCGCAAAGCTATCCAAATATCCACTTTCAGATTCCACAAAAAGAGTGTTTCAAAACTGCTCTGTAAAAAGAAAGGTTCATCTCTGTTAGTTGAATACACACATCACAAACAAGTTTCTGAGAATGCTTTCTGTCTAGTTTTTATGGGAAGATATTACCTTTTTCATCATAGGCCTCAAAGCGCTGCAAATGTCCACTTCCAAATATTACAAAAAGAGTGTTTCAAACCTGCTGTATGAAGGGAAGTGTTCAACTCTATGAGTTGAATGCAAACATCACAGAGAAGTTTCTGAGAATGCTTCTGTCTTGATTTTATATGAAGATATTCCCGTTTCCAACGAAACCTTCAAAGCTATCCAAATATCCACTTGCAGATTCTACAAAAAGAGTGTTTCCAAAATGTTGTATCAAAACAAAGGTTCAACTCTGTTAGTTGAGGACACACATCGCAAATAAGTTTCTGAGAATGCTTCTGTCTAGTTTTTACTTGAAGATATTTCCTTTCTCACCATAGGCCTGAAAGCGCTTGAAACGTCAGCTTGCAGATACTACAGAAAGAGTGTTTCAAACCTGCTCTATGAAAGGGAATGTTCAGTCCTGTGACTTGAAGGCAAACATCACAAAGAAGTTCCTGAGAATGCTTCTCCCTAGATTTTATATGTAATCCCGTTTCCAACGAAATCCTCAGAGCTATCCAAATATCCACTTTCAGATTCCACAAAAAGAGTGTTTCAAAACTGCTCTGTAAAAAGAAAGGTTCATCTCTGTTAGTTGAATACACACATCACAAACAAGTTTCTGAGAATGCTTCTGTCTAGTTTTTATGGGAAGATATTTCCTTTTTCAACATAGGCCTCAAAGCGCTCCAAATGTCCACTTCCAGGTAGTGCAGAAAGAGTGTTTCAAACCTGCTCTATAAAAGAGAATATTCAACTCTGTGACTTGAATGCAAACATCACAAAGCACTTTCTGAGAATGCTTCCGTCTAGATTTTATATGAAGATATTCCCGTTTCCAACGAAACCTTCAAAGCTATCCGAATGTCCACCTGCAGATTCTACAAAAAGAGTGTTTCCAAAATGCCGTATCAAAACAAAGGTTCAACTCTGTTAGTTGAGAACACACATGGCAAATAAGTTTCTGAGAATGCTTCTGTCTAGTTTTACTTGAAGATATTTCCTTTCTCACCATAGGCGTGAAAGCGCTTGAAACGTCAGCTTGCAGATACTACAGAAAGAGTGTTTCAAACCTGCTCTATGAAAGGGAATGTTCAGTTCTGTGACTTGAATGCAAACATCACAAAGAAGTTCCTGAGAATGCTTCTCTCTAGATTTTATATGTAATCCCGTTTCCAACGAAATCCTCAAAGCTATCCAAATATCCACTTTCAGATTCCACAAAAAGAGTGTTTCAAAACTGCTCTGTAAAAAGAAAGGTTCATCTCTGTTAGTTGAATACACACATCACAAACAAGTTTCTGAGAATGCTTCTGTCTAGTTTTTATGGGAAGATATTTCGTTTTTCAACATAGGCCTCAAAGCGCTCCAAATGTCCACTTCCAGGTAGTGCAGAAAGAGTGTTTCAAACCTGCTCTATAAAAGGGAATATTCAACTCTGTGACTTGAATGCAAACATCACAAAGCACTTTCTGAGAATGCTTCTGTCTTGATTTTATATGAAGATATTCCCGTTTCCAACGAAACCTTCAAAGCTATTCAAATATCCACTTGCAGATTCTACAAAAAGAGTGTTTCCAAAATGTTGTATCAAAAGAAAGGTTCAACTCTGTTAGTTGAGGACACACATCGCAAATAAGTTTCTGAGAATGCTTCTGTCTAGTTTTTACTTGAAGATATTTCCTTTCTCACCATAGGCCTGAAAGCGTTTGAAATGTCCGTTTGCAGATACTACAGAAAGAGTGTTTCAAACATGCTCTATGAAAGGGAATGTTCAGTTCTGTGACGTGAATGCAAACATCACAAAGAAGTTCCTGAGAATGCTTCTCTCTAGATTTTATATGTAATCCCGTTTCCAACGAAATCCTCAAAGCTATCCAAATATCCACTTTCAGATTCCACAAAAAGAGTGTTTCAAAACTGCTCTGTAAAAAGAAAGGTTCATCTCTGTTAGTTGAATACACACATCACAAACAAGTTTCTGAGAATGCTTCTGTCTAGTTTTTATGGGAAGATATTTCCTTTTTCAACATAGGCCTCAAAGCGCTCCAAATGTCCACTTCCAGGTAGTGCAGAAAGAGTGTTTCAAACCTGCTCTATAAAAGGGAATATTCAACTCTGTGACTTGAATGCAAACATCACAAAGCACTTTCTGAGAATGCTTCTGTCTTGATTTTATATGAAGATATTCCCGTTTCCAACGAAACCTTCAAAGCTATTCAAATATCCACTTGCAGATTCTACAAAAAGAGTGTTTCCAAAATGTTGTATCAAAAGAAAGGTTCAACTCTGTTAGTTGAGGACACACATCGCAAATAAGTTTCTGAGAATGCTTCTGTCTAGTTTTTACTTGAAGATATTTCCTTTCTCACCATAGGCCTGAAAGCGCTTGAAACGTGAGCTTGCAGACACTACAGAAAGAGTGTTTCAAACCTGCTCTATGAAAGGGAATGTTCAGTCCTGTGACTTGAAGGCAAACATCACAAAGAAGTTCCTGAGAATGCTTCTCCCTAGATTTTATATGTAATCCCGTTTCCAACGAAATCCGCAAAGCTATCCAAATATCCACTTTCAGATTCCACAAAAAGAGTGTTTCAAAACTGCTCTGTAAAAAGAAAGGTTCATCTCTGTTAGTTGAATACACACATCACAAACAAGTTTCTGAGAATGCTTCTGTCTAGTTTTTATGGGAAGATATTTCCTTTTTCATCATAGGCCTCAAAGCGCTGCAAATGTCCACTTCCAGGTAGTGCAGAAAGAGTGTCTCAAACCTGGTATATAACAGGGAACATTCTACTCTGTGACTTGAATGAAAACATCACAAAGCAGTTTCTGAGAATGCTTCCGTCTAGATTTTATATGAAGATATTCCCGTTTCCAACGAAACCTTCAAAGCTATCCGAATATCCACCTGCAGATTCTACAAAAAGAGTGTTTCCAAAATGCCGTATCAAAACAAAGGTTCAACTCTGTTAGTTGAGAACACACATGGCAAATAAGTTTCTGAGAATGCTTCTGTCTAGTTTTTACTTGAAGATATTTCCTTTCTCACCATAGGCCTGAAAGCGCTTGAAACGTCAGCTTGCAGATACTACAGAAAGACTGTTTCAAACCTGCTCTATGAAAGGGAATGTTCAGTTCTGTGACTTGAATGCAAACATCACAAAGAAGTTCCTGAGAATGCTTCTCTCTAGATTTTATATGTAATCCCGTTTCCAAAGAAATCCTCAAAGCTATCCAAATATCCACTTTCAGATTCCACAAAAAGAGTGTTTCAAAACTGCTCTGTAAAAAGAAAGGTTCATCTCTGTTAGTTGAATACACACATCACAAACAAGTTTCTGAGAATGCTTCTGTCTAGTTTTTATGGGAAGATATTTCCTTTTTCAACATAGGCCTCAAAGCGCTCCAAACGTCCACTTCCAGGTAGTGCAGAAAGAGTGTCTCAAACCTGGTATATAACAGGGAACATTCTACTCTGTGACTTGAATGAAAACATCACAAAGCAGTTTCTGAGAATGCTTCCGTCTAGATTTTATATGAAGATATTCCCGTTTCCAAGGAAATCTTCCTAGCTATCTAAATATCAACTTGCAGATTCTACTAAAGGAATGTTTCCAAAATGCTGTATCCACACAAAGGTTCAACTCTGTTAATTGAGGACATACAGCACAAAGAAGTTTCTGAGAATGCTTGTCTAGTTTTTACTTGAAGATATTTCCTTTCTCACCATAGGCCTGAAAGCGCTTGAAACGTCCGCTTGCAGATACTACAGAAGGAGTGTTTCAAACATGCTCTATGAAAGGGAATGTTCAGTTCTGTGACTTGAATGCAAACATCACAAAGAAGTTCCTGAGAATGCTTCTCTCTAGATTTTATATGTAATCCCGTTTCCAAAGAAATCCTCAAAGCTATCCAAATATCCACTTTCAGATTCCACAAAAAGAGTGTTTCAAAACTGCTCTGTAAAAAGAAAGGTTCATCTCTGTTAGTTGAATACACACATCACAAACAAGTTTCTGAGAATGCTTCTGTCTAGTTTTTATGGGAAGATATTTCCTTTTTCATCATAGGCCTCAAAGCGCTGCAAATGTCCACTTCCAGGTAGTGCAGAAAGAGTGTCTCAAACCTGGTATATAACAGGGAACATTCTACTCTGTGACTTGAATGAAAACATCACAAAGCAGTTTCTGAGAATGCTTCCGTCTAGATTTTATTTGAAGATATTCCCGTTTCCAACGAAACCTTCAAAGCTATCCGAATATCCACCTGCAGATTCTACAAAAAGAGTGTTTCCAAAATGCCATATCAAAACAAAGGTTCAACTCTGTTAGTTGAGAACACACATCACAAATAAGTTTCTGAGAATGCTTCTGTCTAGTTTTTATTTGAAGATATTTCCTTTCTCACCACAGGCCTGAAAGCGCTTAAAACGTCCGCTTGCAGATACTACAGAAAGAGTGTTTCAAACCTGCT
Organism: Homo sapiens; assembly: GCF_000001405.40. Taxonomy (NCBI): domain Eukaryota; kingdom Metazoa; phylum Chordata; class Mammalia; order Primates; family Hominidae; genus Homo; species Homo sapiens. The sequence goes on along the minus strand of NC_000009.12, from coordinate 45,193,804 downwards.
CTATGAAAGGGAATGTTCAGTTCTGTGACTTGAATGCAAACATCACAAAGAAGTTCCTGAGAATGCTTCTCCCTAGATTTTATATGTAATCCCGTTTCCAACGAAATCCGCAAAGCTATCCAAATATCCACTTTCAGATTCCACAAAAAGAGTGTTTCAAAACTGCTCTGTAAAAAGAAAGGTTCATCTCTGTTAGTTGAATACACACATCACAAACAAGTTTCTGAGAATGCTTCTGTCTAGTTTTTATGGGAAGATATTTCCTTTTTCAACATAGGCCTCAAAGCGCTCCAAATGTCCACTTCCAGGTAGTGCAGAAAGAGTGTTTCAAACCTGCTCTATAAAAGGGAATATTCAACTCTGTGACTTGAATGCAAACATCACAAAGCACTTTCTGAGAATGCTTCTGTCTTGATTTCATATGAAGATATTCCCGTTTCCAACGAAACCTTCAAAGCTATCCAAATATCCACTTGCAGATTCTACAAAAAGAGTGTTTCCAAAATGTTGTATCAAAAGAAAGGTTCAACTCTGTTAGTTGAGGACACACATCGCAAATAAGTTTCTGAGAATGCTTCTGTCTAGTTTTTACTTGAAGATATTTCCTTTCGCACCATAGGCCTGAAAGCGCTTGAAACGTCCGCTTGCAGATACTACAGAAAGAGTGTTTCAAACATGCTCTATGAAAGGGAATGTTCAGTTCTGTGACTTGAATGCAAACATCACAAAGAAGTTCCTGAGAATGCTTCTCTCTAGATTTTATATGTAATCCCGTTTCCAACGAAATCCTCAAAGCTATCCAAATATCCACTTTCAGATTCCACAAAAAGAGTGTTTCAAAACTGCTCTGTAAAAAGAAAGGTTCATCTCTGTTAGTTGAATACACACATCACAAACAAATTTCTGAGAATGCTTCTGTCTAGTGTTTATGGGAAGATATTTCCTTTTTCAACATAGGCCTCAAAGCGCTCCAAACGTCCACTTCCAGGTAGTGCAGAAAGAGTGTCTCAAACCTGGTATATAACAGGGAACATTCTACTCTGTGACTTGAATGAAAACATCACAAAGCAGTTTCTGAGAATGCTTCCGTCTAGATTTTATATGAAGATATTCCCGTTTCCAACGAAACCTTCAAAGCTATCCGAATATCCACCTGCAGATTCTACAAAAAGAGTGTTTCCAAAATGCCGTATCAAAACAAAGGTTCAACTCTGTTAGTTGAGAACACACATGGCAAATAAGTTTCTGAGAATGCTTCTGTCTAGTTTTTATTTGAAGATATTTCCTTTCTCACCACAGGCATGAAAGCGCTTAAAACGTCCGCTTGCAGATACTACAGAAAGAGTGTTTCAAACCTGCTCTATGAAAGGGAATGTTCAGTTCTGTGACTTGAATGCAAACATCACAAAGAAGTTCCTGAGAATGCTTCTCTCTAGGTTTTATATGTAATCCCGTTTCCAACGAAATCCTCAAAGCTATCCAAATATCCACTTTCAGATTCCACAAAAAGAGTGTTTCAAAACTGCTCTGTAAAAAGAAAGGTTCATCTCTGTTAGTTGAATACACACATCACAAACAAGTTTCTGAGAATGCTTCTGTCTAGTTTTTATGGGAAGATATTTCCTTTTTCAACATAGGCCTCAAAGCGCTCCAAATGTCCACTTCCAGGTAGTGCAGAAAGAGTGTTTCAAACCTGCTCTATAAAAGGGAATATTCAACTCTGTGACTTGAATGCAAACATCACAAAGCATTTTCTGAGAATGCCTCCGTCTAGATTTTATATGAAGATATTCCCGTTTCCAAGGAAATCTTCCTAGCTATCTAAATATCAACTAGCAGATTCTACTAAAGGAATATTTCCAAAATGCTCTATCGAAACAAAGTTTCAACTCTGTTAATTGAGGACACACAGCACAAAGAAGTTTCTGAGAATGCTTCTGTCTAGTTTTTATTTGAAGATATTTCCTTTCTCACCACAGGCCTGAAAGCGCTTAAAACGTCCGCTTGCAGATACTACAGAAAGAGTGTTTCAAACATGCTCTATGAAAGGGAATGTTCAGTTCTGTGACTTGAATGCAAACATCACAAAGAAGTTCCTGAGAATGCTTCTCCCTAGATTTTATATGTAATCCCGTTTCCAACGAAATCCGCAAAGCTATCCAAATATCCACTTTCAGATTCCACAAAAAGAGTGTTTCAAAACTGCTCTGTAAAAAGAAAGGTTCATCTCTGTTAGTTGAATACACACATCACAAACAAGTTTCTGAGAATGCTTCTGTCTAGTTTTTATGGGAAGATATTTCCTTTTTCAACATAGGCCTCAAAGCGCTCCAAATGTCCACTTCCAGGTAGTGCAGAAAGAGTGTTTCAAACCTGCTCTATAAAAGGGAATATTCAACTCTGTGACTTGAATGCAAACATCACAAAGCACTTTCTGAGAATGCTTCTGTCTTGATTTCATATGAAGATATTCCCGTTTCCAACGAAACCTTCAAAGCTATCCAAATATCCACTTGCAGATTCTACAAAAAGAGTGTTTCCAAAATGTTGTATCAAAAGAAAGGTTCAACTCTGTTAGTTGAGGACACACATCGCAAATAAGTTTCTGAGAATGCTTCTGTCTAGTTTTTATTTGAAGATATTTCCTTTCTCACCACAGGCCTGAAAGCGCTTAAAACGTCCGCTTGCAGATACTACAGAAAGAGTGTTTCAAACATGCTCTATGAAAGGGAATGTTCAGTTCTGTGACTTGAATGCAAACATCACAAAGAAGTTCCTGAGAATGCTTCTCTCTAGGTTTTATATGTAATCCCGTTTCCAACGAAATCCTCAAAGCTATCCAAATATCCACTTTCAGATTCCACAAAAAGAGTGTTTCAAAACTGCTCTGTAAAAAGAAAGGTTCATCTCTGTTAGTTGAATACACACATCACAAACAAGTTTCTGAGAATGCTTCTGTCTAGTTTTTATGGGAAGATATTACCTTTTTCATCATAGGCCTCAAAGCGCTGCAAATGTCCACTTCCAAATATTACAAAAAGAGTGTTTCAAACCTGCTGTATGAAGGGAAGTGTTCAACTCTATGAGTTGAATGCAAACATCACAGAGAAGTTTCTGAGAATGCTTCCGTCTAGATTTTATATGAAGATATTCCCGTTTCCAACGAAACCTTCAAAGCTATCCGAATATCCACCTGCAGATTCTACAAAAAGAGTGTTTCCAAAATGCCATATCAAAACAAAGGTTCAACTCTGTTAGTTGAGAACACACATCGCAAATAAGTTTCTGAGAATGCTTCTGTCTAGTTTTTATTTGAAGATATTTCCTTTCTCACCACAGGCCTGAAAGCGCTTAAAACGTCCGCTTGCAGATACTACAGAAAGAGTGTTTCAAACCTGCTCTATGAAAGGGAATGTTCAGTTCTGTGACTTGAATGCAAACATCACAAAGAAGTTCCTGAGAATGCTTCTCTCTAGGTTTTATATGTAATCCCGTTTCCAACGAAATCCTCAAAGCTATCCAAATATCCACTTTCAGATTCCACAAAAAGAGTGTTTCAAAACTGCTCTGTAAAAAGAAAGGTTCATCTCTGTTAGTTGAATACACACATCACAAACAAGTTTCTGAGAATGCTTCTGTCTAGTTTTTATGGGAAGATATTTCCTTTTTCAACATAGGCCTCAAAGCGATCCAAATGTCTACTTCCAGGTAGTGCAGAAAGAGTGTTTCAAACCTGCTCTATAAAAGGGAATATTCAACTCTGTGACTTGAATGCAAACATCACAAAGCACTTTCTGAGAATGCTTCTGTCTTGATTTTATATGAAGATATTCCCGTTTCCAACGAAACCTTCAAAGCTATCCAAATATCCACTTGCAGATTCTACAAAAAGAGTGTTTCCAAAATTTTGTATCAAAAGAAAGGTTCAACTCTGTTAGTTGAGGACACACATCGCAAATAAGTTTCTGAGAATGCTTCTGTCTAGTTTTTACTTGAAGATATTTCCTTTCTCACCATAGGCCTGAAAGCGCTTGAAACGTCAGCTTGCAGATACTACAGAAAGAGTGTTTCAAACCTGCTCTATGAAAGGGAATGTTCAGTTCTGTGACTTGAATGCAAACATCACAGAGAAGTTTCTGAGAATGCTTCTCTCTAGGTTTTATATGTAATCCCGTTTCCAACGAAATCCTCAAAGCTATCCAAATATCCACTTTCAGATTCCACAAAAAGAGTGTTTCAAAACTGCTCTGTAAAAAGAAAGGTTCATCTCTGTTAGTTGAATACACACATCACAAACAAGTTTCTGAGAATGCTTCTGTCTGGTTTTTAGGAGAAGATATTTCCTTTTTCAACATAGGCCTCAAAGCGCTGCAAATGTCCACTTCCAAATATTACAAAAAGAGTGTTTCAAACCTGCTGTATGAAGGGAAGTGTTCAACTCTATGAGTTGAATGCAAACATCACAGAGAAGTTTCTGAGAATGCTTCTGTCTTGATTTTATATGAAGATATTCCCGTTTCCAACGAAACCTTCAAAGCTATCCAAATATCCACTTGCAGATTCCACAAAAAGAGTGTTTCCAAAATGTTGTATCAAAAGAAAGGTTCAACTCTGTTAGTTGAGGACACACATCGCAAATAAGTTTCTGAGAATGCTTCTGTCTAGTTTTTATTTGAAGATATTTCCTTTCTCACCATAGGCCTGAAAGCGTTTGAAATGTCCGTTTGCAGATACTACAGAAAGAGTGTTTCAAACATGCTCTATGAAAGGGAATGTTCAGTTCTGTGACGTGAATGCAAACATCACAAAGAAGTTCCTGAGAATGCTTCTCCCTAGATTTTATATGTAATCCCGTTTCCAACGAAATCCGCAAAGCTATCCAAATATCCACTTTCAGATTCCACAAAAAGAGTGTTTCAAAACTGCTCTGTAAAAAGAAAGGTTCATCTCTGTTAGTTGAATACACACATCACAAACAAGTTTCTGAGAATGCTTCTGTCTTGTTTTTAGGAGAAGATATTTCCTTTTTCAACATAGGCCTCAAAGCGCTGCAAATGTCCACTTCCAAATATTACAAAAAGAGTGTTTCAAACCTGCTCTATGAAGGGAAGTGTTCAACTCTATGAGTTGAATGCAAACATCACAGAGAAGTTTCTGAGAATGCTTCCGGCTAGATTTTATATGAAGATATTCCCGTTTCCAAGGAAATCTTCCTAGCTATCTAAATATCAACTTGCAGATTCTACTAAAGGAATGTTTCCAAAATGCTGTATCCACACAAAGGTTCAACTCTGTTAATTGAGGACATACAGCACAAAGAAGTTTCTGAGAATGCTTCTGTCTAGATTTTATATGAAGATATCCCGTGTCCAACGAAATCCTCAAAGGTATCAAAATATCCACTTGCAGATTCTACAAAAAGAGTGCTTCAAAACTGCTCTCTCAAAATGAAGGTTCAACTCTGTTACTTGAGTACACACATCACAAGAAAGATTCTGAGAATGCTTCTGTCTGGTTTTTAGGAGAAGATATCTCCTTTTTCACCATAAGCTTCAAAGCGCTGCCAATGTCCATTCCAAATATTACAAAAAGAGTATTTCAAACCAGCTCTATGAAAGGAAGTGTTCAACTCTATGAGTTGAATGCAAACATCACAGAGAAGTTTCTGAGAATGCTTCTGTGTTGATTTTATATGAAGATATTCCCGTTTCCAAAGAAACCTTCAAAGCTATCCAAATATCCACCTGCAGATCCTACAAAAAGAGTGTTTCCAAAATGCTGTATCAAAACAAAGGTTCAACTCTGTTAGTTGAGAACACACATCGCAAATAAGTTTCTGAGAATGCTTCTGTCTAGTTTTTATGGGAAGATATTTCCTTTTTCAACATAGGCCTCAAAGCGCTCCAAATGTCCACTTCCAGGTAGTGCAGAAAGAGTGTTTCAAACCTGCTCTATAAAAGGGAATATTCAACTCTGTGACTTGAATGCAAACATCACAAAGCACTTTCTGAGAATGCTTCTGTCTTGATTTTATATGAAGATATTCCCGTTTCCAACGAAACCTTCAAAGCTATCCAAATATCCACTTGCAGATTCTACAAAAAGAGTGGTTCCAAAATGTTGTATCAAAAGAAAGGTTCAACTCTGTTAGTTGAGGACACACATCGCAAATAAGTTTCTGAGAATGCTTCCTGTCTAGTTTTTACTTGAAGATATTTCCTTTCTCACCATAGGCCTGAAAGCGCTTGAAACGTCAGCTTGCAGATACTACAGAAAGAGTGTTTCAAACCTGCTCTATGAAAGGGAATGTTCAGTCCTGTGACTTGAAGGCAAACATCACAAAGAAGTTCCTGAGAATGCTTCTCCCTAGATTTTATATGTAATCCCGTTTCCAACGAAATCCGCAAAGCTATCCAAATATCCACTTTCAGATTCCACAAAAAGAGTGTTTCAAAACTGCTCTGTAAAAAGAAAGGTTCATCTCTGTTAGTTGAATACACACATCACAAACAAGTTTCTGAGAATGCTTCTGTCTAGTTTTTATGGGAAGATATTACCTTTTTCATCATAGGCCTCAAAGCGCTGCAAATGTCCACTTCCAAATATTACAAAAAGAGTGTTTCAAACCTGCTGTATGAAGGGAAGTGTTCAACTCTATGAGTTGAATGCAAACATCACAGAGAAGTTTCTGAGAATGCTTCCGTCTAGATTTTATATGAAGATATTCCCGTTTCCAACGAAACCTTCAAAGCTATCCGAATATCCACCTGCAGATTCTACAAAAAGACTGTTTCCAAAATGCCGTATCAAAACAAAGGTTCAACTCTGTTAGTTGAGAACACACATGGCAAATAAGTTTCTGAGAATGCTTCTGTCTAGTTTTTACTTGAAGATATTTCCTTTCTCACCATAGGCCTGAAAGCGCTTGAAACGTCACCTTGCAGATACTACAGAAAGAGTGTTTCAAACCTGCTCTATGAAAGGGAATGTTCAGTTCTGTGACTTGAATGCAAACATCACAAAGAAGCTCCTGAGAATGCTTCTCTCTAGGTTTTATATGTAATCCCGTTTCCAACGAAATCCTCAAAGCTATCCAAATATCCACTTTCAGATTCCACAAAAAGAGTGTTTCAAAACTGCTCTGTAAAAAGAAAGGTTCATCTCTGTTAGTTGAATACACACATCACAAACAAGTTTCTGAGAATGCTTCTGTCTAGTTTTTATGGGAAGATATTACCTTTTTCATCATAGGCCTCAAAGCGCTGCAAATGTCCACTTCCAAATATTACAAAAAGAGTGTTTCAAACCTGCTGTATGAAGGGAAGTGTTCAACTCTATGAGTTGAATGCAAACATCACAGAGAAGTTTCTGAGAATGCTTCCGTCTAGATTTTATATGAAGATATTCCCGTTTCCAAGGAAATCTTCCTAGCTATCTAAATATCAACTTGCAGATTCTACTAAAGGAATGTTTCCAAAATGCTGTATCCACACAAAGGTTCAACTCTGTTAATTGAGGACATACAGCACAAAGAAGTTTCTGAGAATGCTTCTGTCTAGTTTTTATTTCAAGATATTTCCTTTTTCACCACAGGCCTGAAAGCGCTTCAAACGTCCGCTTGCAGATACTACAGAAAGAGTGTTTCAAACCTGCTCTATGAAAGGGAATGTTCAGTTCTGTGACTTGAATGCAAACATCACAAAGAAGTTCCTGAGAATGCTTCTCTCTAGGTTTTATATGTAATCCCGTTTCCAACGAAATCCTCAAAGCTATCCAAATATCCACTTTCAGATTCCACAAAAAGAGTGTTTCAAAACTGCTCTGTAAAAAGAAAGGTTCATCTCTGTTAGTTGAATACACACATCACAAACAAGTTTCTGAGAATGCTTCTGTCTAGTTTTTATGGGAAGATATTTCCTTTTTCATCATAGGCCTCAAAGCGCTGCAAATGTCCACTTCCAGGTAGTGCAGAAAGAGTGTCTCAAACCTGGTATATAACAGGGAACATTCTACTCTGTGACTTGAATGAAAACATCACAAAGCAGTTTCTGAGAATGCTTCCGTCTAGATTTTATATGAAGATATTCCCGTTTCCAACGAAACCTTCAAAGCTATCCGAATATCCACCTGCAGATTCTACAAAAAGAGTGTTTCCAAAATGCCGTATCAAAACAAAGGTTCAACTCTGTTAGTTGAGAACACACATGGCAAATAAGTTTCTGAGAATGCTTCTGTCTAGTTTTTATTTGAAGATATTTCCTTTCTCACCACAGGCCTGAAAGCGCTTAAAACGTCCGCTTGCAGATACTACAGAAAGAGTGTTTCAAACCTGCTCTATGAAAGGGAATGTTCAGTTCTGTGACTTGAATGCAAACATCACAAAGAAGTTCCTGAGAATGCTTCTCTCTAGGTTTTATATGTAATCCCGTTTCCAACGAAATCCTCAAAGCTATCCAAATATCCACTTTCAGATTCCACAAAAAGAGTGTTTCAAAACTGCTCTGTAAAAAGAAAGGTTCATCTCTGTTAGTTGAATACACACATCACAAACAAGTTTCTGAGAATGCTTCTGTCTAGTTTTTATGGGAAGATATTTCCTTTTTCAACATAGGCCTCAAAGCGCTCCAAATGTCCACTTCCAGGTAGTGCAGAAAGAGTGTTTCAAACCTGCTCTATAAAAGGGAATATTCAACTCTGTGACTTGAATGCAAACATCACAAAGCACTTTCTGAGAATGCTTCTGTCTTGATTTTATATGAAGATATTCCCGTTTCCAACGAAACCTTCAAAGCTATTCAAATATCCACTTGCAGATTCTACAAAAAGAGTGTTTCCAAAATGTTGTATCAAAAGAAAGGTTCAACTCTGTTAGTTGAGGACACACATCGCAAATAAGTTTCTGAGAATGCTTCTGTCTAGTTTTTACTTGAAGATATTTCCTTTCTCACCATAGGCCTGAAAGCGCTTGAAACGTCAGCTTGCAGATACTACAGAAAGAGTGTTTCAAACCTGCTCTATGAAAGGGAATGTTGAGTTCTGTGACTTGAATGCAAACATCACAAAGAAGTTCCTGAGAATGCTTCTCCCTAGATTTTATATGTAATCCCGTTTCCAACGAAATCCTCAAAGCTATCCAAATATCCACTTTCAGATTCCACAAAAAGAGTGTTTCAAAACTGCTCTGTAAAAAGAAAGGTTCATCTCTGTTAGTTGAATACACACATCACAAACAAGTTTCTGAGAATGCTTCTGTCTAGTTTTTATGGGAAGATATTTCCTTTTTCAACATAGGCCTCAAAGCGCTCCAAACGTCCACTTCCAGGTAGTGCAGAAAGAGTGTCTCAAACCTGGTATATAACAGGGAACATTCTACTCTGTGACTTGAATGCAAACATCACAAAGCAGTTTCTGAGAATGCTTCTGTCTTGATTTCATATGAAGATATTCCCGTTTCCAACGAAACCTTCAAAGCTATCCAAATATCCACTTGCAGATTCTACAAAAAGAGTGTTTCCAAAATGTTGTATCAAAAGAAAGGTTCAACTCTGTTAGTTGAGGACACACATCGCAAATAAGTTTCTGAGAATGCTTCTGTCTAGTTTTTATTTGAAGATATTTCCTTTCTCACCATAGGCCTGAAAGCGTTTGAAATGTCCGTTTGTAGATACTACAGAAAGAGTGTTTCAAACATGCTCTATGAAAGGGAATGTTCAGTTCTGTGACGTGAATGCAAACATCACAAAGAAGTTCCTGAGAATGCTTCTCTCTAGGTTTTATATGTAATCCCGTTTCCAACGAAATCCTCAAAGCTATCCAAATATCCACTTTCAGATTCCACAAAAAGAGTGTTTCAAAAGTGCTCTGTAAAAAGAAAGGTTCATCTCTGTTAGTTGAATACACACATCACAAACAAGTTTCTGAGAATGCTTCTGTCTAGTTTTTATGGGAAGATATTTCCTTTTTCAACATAGGCCTCAAAGCGCTCCAAATGTCCACTTCCAGGTAGTGCAGAAAGAGTGTTTCAAACCTGCTCTATAAAAGGGAATATTCAACTCTGTGACTTGAATGCAAACATCACAAAGCACTTTCTGAGAATGCTTCTGTCTTGATTTTATATGAAGATATTCCCGTTTCCAACGAAACCTTCAAAGCTATTCAAATATCCACTTGCAGATTCTACAAAAAGAGTGTTTCCAAAATGTTGTATCAAAAGAAAGGTTCAACTCTGTTAGTTGAGGACACACATCGCAAATAAGTTTCTGAGAATGCTTCTGTCTAGTTTTTACTTGAAGATATTTCCTTTCTCACCATAGGCCTGAAAGCGCTTGAAACGTCAGCTTGCAGATACTACAGAAAGAGGGTTTCAAACCTGCTCTATGAAAGGGAATGTTCAGTTCTGTGACTTGAATGCAAACATCACAAAGAAGTTCCTGAGAATGCTCTCTCTAGGTTTTATATGTAATCCCGTTTCCAACGAAATCCTCAAAGCTATCCAAATATCCACTTTCAGATTCCACAAAAAGAGTGTTTCAAAACTGCTCTGTAAAAAGAAAGGTTCATCTCTGTTAGTTGAATACACACATCACAAACAAGTTTCTGAGAATGCTTTCTGTCTAGTTTTTATGGGAAGATATTTCCTTTTTCATCATAGGCCTCAAAGCGCTGTAAATGTCCACTTCCAGGTAGTGCAGAAAGAGTGTCTGAAACCTGGTATATAACAGGGAAGATTCTACTCTGTGACTTGAATGAAAACATCACAAAGCAGTTTCTGAGAATGCTTCCGTCTAGATTTTATATGAAGATATTCCCGTTTCCAAGGAAATCTTCCTAGCTATCTAAATATCAACTTGCAGATTCTACTAAAGGAATGTTTCCAAAATGCTGTATCCACACAAAGGTTCAACTCTGTTAATTGAGGACATACAGCACAAAGAAGTTTCTGAGAATGCTTCTGTCTAGTTTTTACTTGAAGATATTTCCTTTCTCACCATAGGCCTGAAAGCGTTTGAAATGTCCGTTTGCAGATACTACAGAAAGAGTGTTTCAAACATGCTCTATGAAAGGGAATGTTCAGTTCTGTGACGTGAATGCAAACATCACAAAGAAGTTCCTGAGAATGCTTCTCTCTAGATTTTATATGTAATCCCGTTTCGAACGAAATCCTCAAAGCTATCCAAATATCCACTTTCAGATTCCACAAAAAGAGCGTTTCAAAACTGCTCTGTAAAAAGAAAGGTTCATCTCTGTTAGTTGAATACACACATCACAAACAAGTTTCTGAGAATGCTTCTGTCTAGTTTTTATGGGAAGATATTTCCTTTTTCAACATAGGCCTCAAAGCGCTCCAAATGTCCACTTCCAGGTAGTGCAGAAAGAGTGTTTCAAACCTGCTCTATAAAAGGGAATATTCAACTCTGTGACTTGAATGCAAACATCACAAAGCACTTTCTGAGAATGCTTCCGTCTAGATTTTATATGAAGATATTCCCGTTTCCAACGAAACCTTCAAAGCTATCCGAATATCCACCTGCAGATTCCACAAAAAGAGTGTTTCCAAAATGCCGTATCAAAACAAATGTTCAACTCTGTTAGTTGAGAACACACATGGCAAATAAGTTTCTGAGAATGCTTCTGTCTAGTTTTTACTTGAAGATATTTCCTTTCTCACCATAGGCCTGAAAGCGCTTGAAACGTCAGCTTGCAGATACTACAGAAAGAGTGTTTCAAACCTGCTCTATGAAAGGGAATGTTCAGTTCTGTGACTTGAATGCAAACATCACAAAGAAGTTCCTGAGAATGCTTCTCTCTAGGTTTTATATGTAATCCCGTTTCCAACGAAATCCTCAAAGCTATCCAAATATCCACTTTCAGATTCCACAAAAAGAGTGTTTCAAAACTGCTCTGTAAAAAGAAAGGTTCATCTCTGTTAGTTGAATACACACATCACAAACAAGTTTCTGAGAATGCTTCTGTCTAGTTTTTATGGGAAGATATTACCTTTTTCATCATAGGCCTCAAAGCGCTGCAAATGTCCACTTCCAAATATTACAAAAAGAGTGTTTCAAACCTGCTGTATGAAGGGAAGTGTTCAACTCTATGAGTTGAATGCAAACATCACAGAGAAGTTTCTGAGAATGCTTCTGTCTTGATTTCATATGAAGATATTCCCGTTTCCAACGAAACCTTCAAAGTTATCCAAATATCCACTTGCAGATTCTACAAAAAGAGTGTTTCCAAAATGTTGTATCAAAAGAAAGGTTCAACTCTGTTAGTTGAGGACACACATCGCAAATAAGTTTCTGAGAATGCTTCTGTCTAGTTTTTATTTGAAGATATTTCCTTTCTCACCACAGGCCTGAAAGCGCTTAAAACGTCCGCTTGCAGATACTACAGAAAGAGTGTTTCAAACCTGCTCTATGAAAGGGAATGTTCAGTTCTGTGACTTGAATGCAAACATCACAAAGAAGTTCCTGAGAGTGCTTCTCTCTAGGTTTTATATGTAATCCCGTTTCCAACGAAATCCTCAAAGCTATCCAAATATCCACTTTCAGATTCCACAAAAAGAGTGTTTCAAAACTGCTCTGTAAAAAGAAAGGTTCATCTCTGTTAGTTGAATACACACATCACAAACAAGTTTCTGAGAATGCTTCTGTGTAGTTTTTATGGGAAGATATTTCCTTTTTCATCATAGGCCTCAAAGCGCTCCAAATGTCCACTTCCAGGTAGTGCGGAAAGAGTGTCTCAAACCTGGTATATAACAGGGAACATTCTACTCTGTGACTTGAATGAAAACATCACAAAGCAGTTTCTGAGAATGCTTCTGTATTGATTTTATATGAAGATATTCCCGTTTCCAACGAAACCTTCAAAGCTGTCCAAATATCCACTTGCAGATTCCACACAAAGTGTGTTTCCAAAATGTTGTATCAAAAGAAAGGTTCAACTCTGTTAGTTGAGGACACACATCGCAAATAAGTTTCTGAGAATGCTTCTGTCTAGTTTTTATTTGAAGATATTTCCTTTCTCACCACAGGCCTGAAAGCGCTTAAAACGTCCGCTTGCAGATACTACAGAAAGAGTGTTTCAAACCTGCTCTATGAAAGGGAATGTTCAGTTCTGTGACTTGAATGCAAACATCACAAAGAAGTTCCTGAGAATGCTTCTCTCTAGGTTTTATATGTAATCCCGTTTCCAACGAAATCCTCAAAGCTATCCAAATATCCACTTTCAGATTCCACAAAAAGAGTGTTTCAAAACTGCTCTGTAAAAAGAAAGGTTCATCTCTGTTAGTTGAATACACACATCACAAACAAGTTTCTGAGAATGCTTCTGTCTAGTTTTTATGGGAAGATATTTCCTTTTTCAACATAGGCCTCAAAGCGCTCCAAATGTCCACTTCCAGGTAGTGCAGAAAGAGTGTTTCAAACCTGCTCTATAAAAGGGAATATTCAACTCTGTGACTTGAATGCAAACATCACAAAGCACTTTCTGAGAATGCTTCTGTCTTGATTTTATATGAAGATATTCCCGTTTCCAACGAAACCTTCAAAGCTATTCAAATATCCACTTGCAGATTCTACAAAAAGAGTGTTTCCAAAATGTTGTATCAAAAGAAAGGTTCAACTCTGTTAGTTGAGGACACACATCGCAAATAAGTTTCTGAGAATGCTTCTGTCTAGTTTTTATTTGAAGATATTTCCTTTCTCACCATAGGCCTGAAAGCGTTTGAAATGTCCGTTTGCAGATACTACAGAAAGAGTGTTTCAAACATGCTCTATGAAAGGGAATGTTCAGTTCTGTGACGTGAATGCAAACATCACAAAGAAGTTCCTGAGAATGCTTCTCCCTAGATTTTATATGTAATCCCGTTTCCAACGAAATCCGCAAAGCTATCCAAATATCCACTTTCAGATTCCACAAAAAGAGTGTTTCAAAACTGCTCTGTAAAAAGAAAGGTTCATCTCTGTTAGTTGAATACACACATCACAAACAAGTTTCTGAGAATGCTTCTGTCTAGTTTTTATGGGAAGATATTTCCTTTTTCAACATAGGCCTCAAAGCGCTCCAAATGTCCACTTCCAGGTAGTGCACAGAGTGTTTCAAACCTGCTCTATGAAAGGAAGTGTTCAACTCTATGAGTTGAATGCAAGCATCACAGAGAAGTTTCTGAGAATGCTTCTGTCTTGATTTCATATGAAGATATTCCCGTTTCCAACGAAACCTTCAAAGCTATCCAAATATCCACTTGCAGATTCTACAAAAAGAGTGTTTCCAAAATGTTGTATCAAAAGAAAGGTTCAACTCTGTTAGTTGAGGACACACATCGCAAATAAGTTTCTGAGAATGCTTCTGTCTAGTTTTTACTTGAAGATATTTCCTTTCTCACCATAGGCCTGAAAGCGCTTGAAACGTCAGCTTGCAGATACTACAGAAAGAGTGTTTCAAACCTGCTCTATGAAAGGGAATGTTCAGTTCTGTGACTTGAATGCAAACATCACAAAGAAGTTCCTGAGAATGCTTCTCTCTAGGTTTTATATGTAATCCCGTTTCCAACGAAATCCTCAAAGCTATCCAAATATCCACTTTCAGATTCCACAAAAAGAGTGTTTCAAAACTGCTCTGTAAAAAGAAAGGTTCATCTCTGTTAGTTGAATACACACATCACAAACAAGTTTCTGAGAATGCTTCTGTCTAGTTTTTATGGGAAGATATTTCCTTTTTCATCATAGGCCTCAAAGCGCTGCAAATGTCCACTTCCAGGTAGTGCAGAAAGAGTGTCTGAAACCTGGTATATAACAGGGAAGATTCTACTCTGTGACTTGAATGAAAACATCACAAAGCAGTTTCTGAGAATGCTTCCGTCTAGATTTTATATGAAGATATTCCCGTTTCCAACGAAACCTTCAAAGCTATCCGAATATCCACCTGCAGATTCTACAAAAAGAGTGTTTCCAAAATGCCGTATCAAAACAAAGGTTCAACTCTGTTAGTTGAGAACACACATGGCAAATAAGTTTCTGAGAATGCTTCTGTCTAGTTTTTATTTGAAGATATTTCCTTTCTCACCACAGGCCTGAAAGCGCTTAAAACGTCCGCTTGCAGATACTACAGAAAGAGTGTTTCAAACATGCTCTATGAAAGGGAATGTTCAGTTCTGTGACTTGAATGCAAACATCACAAAGAAGTTCCTGAGAATGCTTCTCTCTAGATTTTATATGTAATCCTGTTTCCAACGAAATCCTCAAAGCTATCCAAATATCCACTTTCAGATTCCACAAAAAGAGTGTTTCAAAACTGCTCTGTAAAAAGAAAGGTTCATCTCTGTTAGTTGAATACACACATCACAAACAAGTTTCTGAGAATGCTTCTGTCTAGTTTTTATGGGAAGATATTTCCTTTTTCAACATAGGCCTCAAAGCGCTCCAAATGTCCACTTCCAGGTAGTGCAGAAAGAGTGTTTCAAACCTGCTCTATAAAAGGGAATATTCAACTCTGTGACTTGAATGCAAACATCACAAAGCACTTTCTGAGAATGCTTCTGTCTTGATTTTATATGAAGATATTCCCGTTTCCAACGAAACCTTCAAAGCTATTCAAATATCCACTTGCAGATTCTACAAAAAGAGTGTTTCCAAAATGTTGTATCAAAAGAAAGGTTCAACTCTGTTAGTTGAGGACACACATCGCAAATAAGTTTCTGAGAATGCTTCTGTCTAGTTTTTACTTGAAGATATTTCCTTTCTCACCATAGGCCTGAAAGCGCTTGAAACGTCAGCTTGCAGATACTACAGAAAGAGTGTTTCAAACCTGCTCTATGAAAGGGAATGTTCAGTTCTGTGACTTGAATGCAAACATCACAAAGAAGTTCCTGAGAATGCTTCTCCCTAGATTTTATATGTAATCCCGTTTCCAACGAAATCCGCAAAGCTATCCAAATATCCACTTTCAGATTCCACAAAAAGAGTGTTTCAAAACTGCTCTGTAAAAAGAAAGGTTCATCTCTGTTAGTTGAATACACACATCACAAACAAGTTTCTGAGAATGCTTCTGTCTAGTTTTTATGGGAAGATATTTCCTTTTTCAACATAGGCCTCAAAGCGCTCCAAATGTCCACTTCCAGGTAGTGCAGAAAGAGTGTTTCAAACCTGCTCTATAAAAGGGAACATTCAACTACTGTGACTTGAATGCAAACATCACAAAGCACTTTCTGAGAATGCTTCCGTCTTGATTTTATATGAAGATATTCTCGTTTCCAACGAAACCTTCAAAGCTATCCAAATATCCACTTGCAGATTCTACAAAAAGAGTGTTTCCAAAATGTTGTATCAAAACAAAGGTTCAACTCTGTTAGTTGAGAACACACATCGCAAATAAGTTTCTGAGAATGCTTCTGTCTAGTTTTTACTTGAAGATATTTCCTTTCTCTCCATAGGCCTGAAAGCGCTTGAAACGTCCGCTTGCAGATACTACAGAAAGAGTGTTTCAAACATGCTCTATGACAGGGAATGTTCAGTTCTGTGACTTGAATGCAAACATCACAAAGAAGTTCCTGAGAATGCTTCTCCCTAGATTTTATATGTAATCCCGTTTCCAACGAAATCCGCAAAGCTATCCAAATATCCACTTTCAGATTCCACAAAAAGAGTGTTTCAAAACTGCTCTGTAAAAAGAAAGGTTCATCTCTGTTAGTTGAATACACACATCACAAACAAGTTTCTGAGAATGCTTCTGTCTAGTTTTTATGGGAAGATATTTCCTTTTTCAACATAGGCCTCAAAGCGCTCCAAACGTCCACTTCCAGGTAGTGCAGAAAGAGTGTCTCAAACCTGGTATATAACAGGGAACATTCTACTCTGTGACTTGAATGAAAACATCACAAAGCAGTTTCTGAGAATGCTTCTGTCTTGATTTCATATGAAGATATTCCCGTTTCCAACGAAACCTTCAAAGCTATCCAAATATCCACTTGCAGATTCTACAAAAAGAGTGTTTCCAAAATGTTGTATCAAAAGAAAGGTTCAACTCTGTTAGTTGAGGACACACATCGCAAATAAGTTTCTGAGAATGCTTCTGTCTAGTTTTTACTTGAAGATATTTCCTTTCTCACCATAGGCCTGAAAGCGTTTGAAATGTCCGTTTGCAGATACTACAGAAAGAGTGTTTCAAACATGCTCTATGAAAGGGAATGTTCAGTTCTGTGACGTGAATGCAAACATCACAAAGAAGTTCCTGAGAATGCTTCTGTCTAGATTTTATATGAAGATATCCCGTTTCCAAAGAAATCCTCAAAGGTATCCAAATATCTACTTCCAGATTCTACAAAAAGACTGTTTCAAAACGGCTCTGTCAAAAGTAAGGTTCAACTCTGTTACCTGAGTACACACATCACAAGGAAGTTTCTGAGAATGCTTCTGTCTGGTTTTTAGGAGAAGATATTTCCTTTTTCAACATAGGCCTCAAAGCGCTGCAAATGTCCACTTCCAAATATTACAAAAAGAGTGTTTCAAACCTGCTGTATGAAGGGAAGTGTTCAACTCTATGAGTTGAATGCAAACATCACAGAGAAGTTTCTGAGAATGCTTCTGTCTTGATTTTATATGAAGATATTCCCGTTTCCAACGAAAACTTCAAAGCTATCCAAATATCCACCTGCAGATTCTACAAAAAGAGTGTTTCCAAAATGTTGTATCAAAACAAAGGTTCAACTCTGTTAGTTGAGGACACACATCGCAAATAAGTTTCTGAGAATGCTTCTGTCTAGTTTTTATTTGAAGATATTTCCTTTCTCACCATAGGCCTGAAATCGCTTGAAATGTCCGTTTGCAGATACTACAGAAAGAGTGTTTCAAACATGCTCTATGAAAGGGAATGTTCAGTTCTGTGACGTGAATGCAAACATCACAAAGAAGTTCCTGAGAATGCTTCTCCCTAGATTTTATATGTAATCCCGTTTCCAACGAAATCCGCAAAGCTATCCAAATATCCACTTTCAGATTCCACAAAAAGAGTGTTTCAAAACTGCTCTGTAAAAAGAAAGGTTCATCTCTGTTAGTTGAATACACACATCACAAACAAGTTTCTGAGAATGCTTCTGTCTAGTTTTTATGGGAAGATATTTCCTTTTTCAACATAGGCCTCAAAGCGCTCCAAATGTCCACTTCCAGGTAGTGCAGAAAGAGTGTTTCAAACCTGCTCTATAAAAGGGAATATTCAACTCTGTGACTTGAATGCAAACATCACAAAGCACTTTCTGAGAATGCTTCCGTCTAGATTTTATATGAAGATATTCCCTTTTCCAAGGAAATCTTCCTAGCTATCTAAATATCAACTTGCAGATTCTACTAAAGGAATGTTTCCAAAATGCTGTATCCACACAAAGGTTCAACTCTGTTAATTGAGGACATACAGCACAAAGAAGTTTCTGAGAATGCTTCTGTCTAGTTTTTATTTGAAGATATATCCTTTTTCACCACAGGCCTGAAAGCGCTTGAAACGTCCGGTTGCAGATACTACAGAAAGAGTGTTTCAAACCTGCTCTATGAAAGGGAATGTTCAGTTCTGTGACTTGAATGCAAACATCACAAAGAAGTTCCAGAGAATGTTTCTCTCTAGATTTTATATGTAATCCCGTTTCCAACGAAATCCTCAAAGCTATCCAAATATCCACTTTCAGATTCCACAAAAAGAGTGTTTCAAAACTGCTCTGTAAAAAGAAAGGTTCATCTCTGTTAGTTGAATACACACATCACAAACAAGTTTCTGAGAATGCTTCTGTCTAGTTTTTATGGGAAGATATTTCCTTTTTCAACATAGGCCTCAAAGCGCTCCAAATGTCCACTTCCAGGTAGTGCAGAAAGAGTGTTTCAAACCTGCTCTATAAAACGGAATATTCAACTCTGTGACTTGAATGCAAACATCACAAAGCACTTTCTGAGAGTGCTTCCGTCTAGATTTTATATGAAGATATTCCCGTTTCCAACGAAACCTTCAAAGCTATCCGAATATCCACCTGCAGATACTACAAAAAGAGTGTTTCCAAAATGCCGTATCAAAACAAAGGTTCAACTCTGTTAGTTGAGAACACACATGGCAAATATGTTTCTGAGAATGCTTCTGTCTAGTTTTTATTTGAAGATATTTCCTTTCTCACCATAGGCCTGAAAGCGTTTGAAATGTCCGTTTGCAGATACTACAGAAAGAGTGTTTCAAACATGCTCTATGAAAGGGAATGTTCAGTTCTGTGACGTGAATGCAAACATCACAAAGAAGTTCCTGAGAATGCTTCTCTCTAGGTTTTATATGTAATCCCGTTTCCAACGAAATCCTCAAAGCTATCCAAATATCCACTTTCAGATTCCACAAAAAGAGTGTTTCAAAACTGCTCTGTAAAAAGAAAGGTTCATCTCTGTTAGTTGAATACACACATCACAAACAAGTTTCTGAGAATGCTTCTGTCTAGTTTTTATGGGAAGATATTTCCTTTTTCAACAAAGGCCTCAAAGCGCTCCAAACGTCCACTTCCAGGTAGTGCAGAAAGAGTGTCTCAAACCTGGTATATAACAGGGAACATTCTACTCTGTGACTTGAATGAAAACATCACAAAGCAGTTTCTGAGAATGCTTCCGTCTAGATTTTATATGAAGATATTCCCGTTTCCAACGAAACCTTCAAAGCTATTCGAATATCCACCTGCAGATTCTACAAAAAGAGTGTTTCCAAAATGCCGTATCAAAACAAAGGTTCAACTCTGTTAGTTGAGAACACACATGGCAAATAAGTTTCTGAGAATGTTTCTGTCTAGTTTTTACTTGAAGATATTTCCTTTCTCACCATAGGCCTGAAAGCGCTTGAAACGTCAGCTTGCAGATACTACAGAAAGAGTGTTTCACACCTGCTCTATGAAAGGGAATGTTCAGTTCTGTGACTTGAATGCAAACATCACAAAGAAGTTCCTGAGAATGCTTCTCCCTAGATTTTATATGTAATCCCGTTTCCAACGAAATCCTCAAAGCTATCCAAATATCCACTTTCAGATTCCACAAAAAGAGTGTTTCAAAACTGCTCTGTAAAAAGAAAGGTTCATCTCAGTTGAATAACCACATCACAAACAAGTTTCTGAGAATGCTTCTGTCTAGTTTCTATGGGAAGATATTTCCTTTTTCAACATAGGCCTCAAAGCGCTCCAAATGTCCACTTCCAGGTAGTGCACTGAGTGTTTCAAACCTGCTCTATAAAAGGGAACATTCTGCTCCGTGACTTGAATGAAGACATCACAAAGCAGTTTCTGAGAATGCTTCCGTCTAGATTTTATGTGAAGATATTCCCGTTTCCAAGGAAATCTTCCTAGCTATCTAAATATCAACTTGCAGATTCTACTAAAGGAGTGTTTCCAAAATGCTGTATCCACACAAAGGTTCAACTCTGTTAATTGAGGATATACAGCACAAAGAAGTTTCTGAGAATGCTTCTGTCTAGTTTTTACTTGAAGATATTTCCTTTCTCACCATAGGCCTGAAAACGCATGAAACGTCAGCTTGCAGATACTACAGAAAGAGTGTTTCAAACCTGCTCTATGAAAGGGAACGTTCAGTCCTGTGACTTGAATGCAAACATCACAAAGAAGTTCCTGAGAATGCTTCTCTCTAGGTTTTATATGTAATCCCGTTTCCAACGAAATCCTCAAAGCTATCCAAATATCCACTTTCAGATTCCACAAAAAGAGTGTTTCAAAACTGCTCTGTAAAAAGAAAGGTTCATCTCTGTTAGTTGAATACACACATCACAAACAAGTTTCTGAGAATGCTTCTGTCTAGTTTTTATGGGAAGATATTTCCTTTTTCAACATAGGCCTCAAAGCGCTCCAAATGTCCACTTCCAGGTAGTGCAGAAAGAGTGTTTCAAACCTGCTCTATAAAAGGGAATATTCAACTCTGTGACTTGAATGCAAACATCACAAAGCACTTTCTGAGAATGCTTCTGTGTTGATTTTATATGAAGATATTCCCGTTTCCAACGAAACCTTCAAATCTATCCAAATATCCACCTGCAGATCCTACAAAAAGAGTGTTTCCAAAATGCTGTATCAAAACAAAGGTTCAACTCTGTTAGTTGAGAACACACATCGCAAATAAGTTTCTGAGAATGCTTCTGTCTAGTTTTTATTTGAAGATATTTCCCTTTTCACCACAGGCCTGAAAGCGCTTGAAACGTCCGCTTGCAGATACTATAGAAAGAGTGTTTCAAAGCTGCTCAATGAAAGGGAATGTTCAGTTCTGTGACTTGAATGCAAACATCACAAAGAAGTTCCTGAGAATGCTTCTCTCTAGGTTTTATATGTAATCCCGTTTCCAACGAAATCCTCAAAGCTATCCAAATATCCACTTTCAGATTCCACAAAAAGAGTGTTTCAAAACTGCTCTGTAAAAAGAAAGGTTCATCTCTGTTAGTTGAATACACACATCACAAACAAGTTTCTGAGAATGCTTCTGTCTAGTTTTTATGGGAAGATATTTCCTTTTTCAACATAGGCCTCAAAGCGCTCCAAATGTCCACTTCCAGGTAGTGCAGAAAGAGTGTTTCAAACCTGCTCTATAAAAGGGAATATTCAACACTGTGACTTGAATGCAAACATCACAAAGCACTTTGCTGAGAATGCTTCTGTCTTGATTTTATATGAAGATATTCCCGTTTCCAACGAAACCTTCAAAGCTATCCAAATATCCACCTGCAGATCCTACAAAAAGAGTGTTTCCAAAATGCTGTATCAAAACAAAGGTTCAACTCTGTTAGTTGAGAACACAGATCGCAAATAAGTTTCTGAGAACGCTTCTGTCTAGTTTTTATTTGAAGATGTTTCCTTTTTCACCACAGGCCTGAAAGCGCTTGAAACGTCCGCTTGCAGATACTACAGAAAGAGTGTTTCAAACCTGCTCTATGAAAGGGAATGTTCAGTTCTGTGACTTGAATGCAAACATCACAAAGAAGTTCCTGAGAATGCTTCTCCCTAGATTTTATATGCAATCCCGTTTCCAACGAAATCCGCAAAGCTATCCAAATATCCACTTTCAGATTCCACAAAAAGAGTGTTTCAAAACTGCTCTGTAAAAAGAAAGGTTCATCTCTGTTAGTTGAATACACACATCACAAACAAGTTTCTGAGAATGCTTCTGTCTAGTTTTTATGGGAAGATATTTCCTTTTTCAACATAGGCCTCAAAGCGCTCCAAACGTCCACTTCCAGGTAGTGCAGAAAGAGTGTCTCAAACCTGGTGTATAACAGGGAACATTCTACTCTGTGACTTGAATGAAAACATCACAAAGCAGTTTCTGAGAATGCTTCCGTCTAGATTTTATATGAAGATATTCCCGTTTCCAACGAAACTTTCAAAGCTATCCGAATATCCACCTGCAGATTCTACAAAAAGAGTGTTTCCAAAATGCCGTATCAAAACAAAGGTTCAACTCTGTTAGTTGAGAACACACATGGCAAATAAGTTTCTGAGAATGCTTCTGTCTAGTTTTTATTTGAAGATATTTCCTTTCTCACCATAGGCCTGAAAGCGTTTGAAATGTCCGTTTGCAGATACTACAGAAAGAGTGTTTCAAACATGCTCTATGAAAGGGAATGTTCAGTTCTGTGACGTGAATGCAAACATCACAAAGAAGTTCCTGAGAATGCTTCTCTCTAGGTTTTATATGTAATCCCGTTTCCAACGAAATCCTCAAAGCTATCCAAATATCCACTTTCAGATTCCACAAAAAGAGTGTTTCAAAACTGCTCTGTAAAAAGAAAGGTTCATCTCTGTTAGTTGAATACACACATCACAAACAAGTTTCTGAGAATGCTTCTGTCTAGTTTTTGTGGGAAGATATTTCCTTTTTCAACATAGGGCTCAAAACGCTCCAAACGTCCACTTCCAGGTAGTGCAGAAAGAGTGTCTCAAACCTGGTATATAACAGCGAACATTCTACTCTGTGACTTGAATGAAAACATCACAAAGCAGTTTCTGAGAATGCTTCCGTCTAGACTTTATATGAAGATATTCCCGTTTCCAACGAAACCTTCAAAGCTATCCGTATATCCACCTGCAGATTCTACAAAAAGAGTGTTTCCAAAATGCCGTATCAAAACAAAGGTTCAACTCTGTTAGTTGAGAACACACATGGCAAATAAGTTTCTGAGAATGCTTCTGTCTAGTTTTTACTTGAAGATATTTCCTTTCTCACCATAGGCCTGAAAACGCTTGAAACGTCAGCTTGCAGATACTACAGAAAGAGTGTTACAAACCTGCTCTATGAAAGGGAATGTTCAGTCCTGTGACTTGAAGGCAAACATCACAAAGGAGTTCCTGAGAATGCTTCTCTCTAGGTTTTATATGTAATCCCGTTTCCAACGAAATCCTCAAAGCTATCCAAATATCCACTTTCAGATTCCTCAAAAAGAGTGTTTCAAAACTGCTCTGTAAAAAGAAAGGTTCATCTCTGTTAGTTGAATACACACATCACAAACAAGTTTCTGACAATGCTTCTGTCTAGTTTTTATGGGAAGATATTTCCTTTTTCAACATAGGCCTCAAAGCGCTCCAAACGTCCACTTCCAGGTAGTGCAGAAAGAGTGTCTCAAACCTGGTATATAACAGGGAACATTCTACTCTGTGACTTGAATGAAAACATCACAAAGCAGTTTCTGAGAATGCTTCCGTCTAGATTTTATATGAAGATATTCCCGTTTCCAACGAAAGCTTCAAAGCCATCCGAATATCCACCTGCAGATTCTACAAAAAGAGTGTTTCCAAAATGCCGTATCAAAACAAAGGTTCAACTCTGTTAGTTGAGAACACACATGGCAAATAAGTTTCTGACAATGCTTCTGTCTAGTTTTTACTTGAAGATATTTCCTTTCTCACCATAGGCCTGAAAGCGCATGAAACGTCAGCTTGCAGATACTACAGAAAGAGTGTTTCAAACCTGCTCTATGAAAGGGAATGTTCAGTCCTGTGACTTGAAGGCAAACATCACAAAGAAGTTCCTGAGAATGCTTCTCCCTAGATTTTTTATGTAATCCCGTTTCCAACGAAATCCTCAAAGCTATCCAAATATCCACTTTCAGATTCCACAAAAAGAGTGTTTCAAAACTGCTCTGTAAAAAGAAAGGTTCATCTCTGTTAGTTGAATACACACATCACAAACAAGTTTCTGAGAATGCTTCTGTCTAGTTTTTATGGGAAGATATTTCCTTTTTCAACATAGGCCTCAAAGCGCTGTAAATGTCCACTTCCAAATATTACAAAAAGAGTGTTTCAAACCTGCTCTATGAAGGGAAGTGTTCAACTCTATGAGTTGAATGCAAACATCACTGAGAAGTTTCTGAGAATGCTTCTGTCTTGATTTTATATGAAGATATTCCCGTTTCCAACGAAACCTTCAAAGCTATCCAAATATCCACATGCAGATCCTACAAAAAGAGTGTTTCCAAAATGCTGTATCAAAACAAAGGTTCAACTCTGTTAGTTGAGAACACACATCGCAAATAAGTTTCTGAGAATGCTTCTGTCTAGTTTTTATTTGAAGATATTTCCTTTTTCACCACAGGCCTGAAAGCGCTTGAAACGTCCGCTTGCAGATACTACAGAAAGAGTGTTTCAATCCTACTCTATGAAAGGGAATGTTCAGTTTTGTGACTTGAATGCAAACATCACAAAGAAGTTCCTGAGAATGCTTCTCCCTAGATTTTATATGTAATCCCGTTTCCAACGAAATCCGCAAAGCTATCCAAATATCCACTTTCAGATTCCACAAAAAGAGTGTTTCAAAACTGCTCTGTAAAAAGAAAGGTTCATCTCTGTTAGTTGAATACACACATCACAAACAAGTTTCCTGAGAATGCTTTCTGTCTAGTTTTTATGGGAAGATATTTCCTTTTTCATCATAGGCCTCAAAGCGCTGCAAATGTCCACTTCCAGGTAGTGCAGAAAGAGTGTCTCAAACCTGGTATATAACAGGGAACATTCTACTCTGTGACTTGAATGAAAACATCACAAAGCAGTTTCTGAGAATGCTTCTGTCTTGATTTTATATGAAGATATTCCCGTTTCCAACGAAACCTTCAAAGCTATCCAAATATCCACTTGCAGATTCTACAAAAAGAGTGTTTCCAAAATGTTGTATCAAAAGAAAGGTTCAACTCTGTTAGTTGAGGACACACATCGCAAATAAGTTTCTGAGAATGCTTCTGTCTAGTTTTTACTTGAAGATATTTCCTTTCTCACCATAGGCCTGAAAGCGCTTGAAACGTCAGCTTGCAGATACTACAGAAAGAGTGTTTCAAACCTGCTCTATGAAAGGGAATGTTCAGTTCTGTGACTTGAATGCAAACATCACAAAGAAGTTCCTGAGAATGCTTCTCTCTAGATTTTATATGTAATCCCGTTTCCAACGAAATCCTCAAAGCTATCCAAATATCCACTTTCAGATTCCACAAAAAGAGTGTTTCAAAACTGCTCTGTAAAAAGAAAGGTTCATCTCTGTTAGTTGAATACACACATCAAAAACAAGTTTCTGAGAATGCTTCTGTCTAGTTTTTATGGGAAGATATTTCCTTTTTCATCATAGGCCTCAAAGCGCTGCAAATGTCCACTTCCAGGTAGTGCAGAAAGAGTGTCTCAAACCTGGTATATAACAGGGAACATTCTACTCTGTGACTTGAATGAAAACATCACAAAGCAGTTTCTGAGAATGCTTCTGTCTTGATTTTATATGAAGATATTCCCGTTTCCAACGAAACCTTCAAAGCTATCCAAATATCCACTTGCAGATTCTACAAAAAGAGTGTTTCCAAAATGTTGTATCAAAACAAAGGTTCAACTCTGTTAGTTGAGGACACACATCGCAAATAAGTTTCTGAGAATGCTTCTGTCTAGTTTTTATTTGAAGATATTTCCTTTCTCACCATAGGCCTGAAAGCGTTTGAAATGTCCGTTTGCAGACACTACAGAAAGAGTGTTTCAAACATGCTCTATGAAAGGGAATGATCAGTTCTGTGACGTGAATGCAAACATCACAAAGAAGTTCTTGAGAATGCTTCTCCCTAGATTTTATATGTAATCCCGTTTCCAACGAAATCCGCAAAGCTATCCAAATATCCACTTTCAGATTCCACAAAAAGAGTGTTTCAAAACTGCTCTGTAAAAAGAAAGGTTCATCTCCGTTAGTTGAATACACACATCACAAACAAGTTTCTGAGAATGCTTCTGTCTAGTTTTTATGGGAAGATATTTCCTTTTTCATCATAGGCCTCAAAGCGCTGCAAATGTCCACTTCCAGGTAGTGCAGAAAGAGTGTCTGAAACCTGGTATATAACAGGGAAGATTCTACTCTGTGACTTGAATGAAAACATCACAAAGCAGTTTCTGAGAATGCTTCTGTCTTGATTTTATATGAAGATATTCCCGTTTCCAAAGAAACCTTCAAAGCTATCCAAATATCCACCTGCAGATCCTACAAAAAGAGTGTTTCCAAAATGCTGTATCAAAACAAAGGTTCAACTCTGTTAGCTGAGAACACACATCGCAAATAAGTTTCTGAGAATGCTTCTGTCTAGTTTTTATTTGAAGATATTTCCTTTCTCACCACAGGCCTGAAAGCGCTTAAAACGTCCGCTTGCAGATACTACAGAAAGAGTGTTTCAAACCTGCTCTATGAAAGGGAATGTTCAGTTCTGTGACTTGAATGCAAACATCACAAAGAAGTTCCTGAGAATGCTTCTCTCTAGATTTTATATGTAATCCCGTTTCCAACGAAATCCTCAAAGCTATCCAAATATCCACTTTCAGATTCCACAAAAAGAGTGTTTCAAAACTGCTCTGTAAAAAGAAAGGTTCATCTCTGTTAGTTGAATACACACATCACAAACAAGTTTCTGAGAATGCTTCTGTCTAGTTTTTATGGGAAGATATTTCCTTTTTCAACATAGGCCTCAAAGCGCTCCAAATGTCCACTTCCAGGTAGTGCAGAAAGAGTGTTTCAAACCTGCTCTATAAAAGGGAATATTCAACTCTGTGACTTGAATGCAAACATCACAAAGCACTTTCTGAGAATGCTTCTGTCTTGATTTTATATGAAGATATTCCCGTTTCCAACGAAACCTTCAAAGCTATTCAAATATCCACTTGCAGATTCTACAAAAAGAGTGTTTCCAAAATGTTGTATCAAAAGAAAGGGTTCAACTCTGTTAGTTGAGGACACACATCGCAAATAAGTTTCTGAGAATGCTTCTGTCTAGTTTTTATTTGAAGATATTTCCTTTCTCACCATAGGCCTGAAAGCGTTTGAAATGTCCGTTTGCAGATACTACAGAAAGAGTGTTTCAAACATGCTCTATGAAAGGGAATGTTCAGTTCTGTGACGTGAATGCAAACATCACAAAGAAGTTCCTGAGAATGCTTCTCTCTAGATTTTATATGTAATCCCGTTTCCAACGAAATCCTCAAAGCTATCCAAATATCCACTTTCAGATTCCACAAAAAGAGTGTTTCAAAACTGCTCTGTAAAAAGAAAGGTTCATCTCTGTTAGTTGAATACACACATCACAAACAAGTTTCTGAGAATGCTTCTGTCTAGTTTTTATGGGAAGATATTTCCTTTTTCAACATAGACCTCAAAGCGCTCCAAATGTCCACTTCCAGGTAGTGCACAGAGTGTTTCAAACCGGCTCTATGAAAGGAGGTGTTCAACTCTATGAGTTGAATGCAAACATCACAGAGAAGTTTCTGAGAATGCTTCTGTCTTGATTTTATATGAAGATATTCCCGTTTCCAACGAAACCTTCAAAGCTATCCAAATATCCACCTGCAGATCCTACAAAAAGAGTGTTTCCAAAATGCTGTATCAAAACAATTGTTCAACTCTGTTAGTTGAGAACACACATCGCAAATAAGTCAATGAGAATGCTTCTGTCTAGTTTTTATTTGAAGATATTTCCTTTTTCACCACAGTCCTGAAAGC
This sequence comes from Homo sapiens, assembly GCF_000001405.40. Lineage (NCBI taxonomy): Eukaryota > Metazoa > Chordata > Mammalia > Primates > Hominidae > Homo > Homo sapiens. Next base: position 45,165,803 of record NC_000009.12, on the reverse strand, counting down.
GTTTGAAACGTCCGCTTCCAGATACTACAGAAAGAGTGTTTCAAACCTGCTCTATGAAAGAGAATGTTCAGTTCTGTGACTTGAATGCAAACATCACAAAGAAGTTCCTGAGAATGCTTCTGTCTAGATTTTATATGAAGATATCCCGTTTCCAAAGAAATCCTCAAAGCTATCCAAATATCTACTTCCAGATTCTACAAAAAGACTGTTTCAAAACGGCTCTGTCAAAAGTAATGTTCAACTCTGATACTTGAGTACACACATCACAAGGAAGTTTCTGAGAATGCTTCTGTCTGGTTTTTAGTAGAAGATATTTCCTTTTTCAACATAGGCCTCAAAGCGCTGCAAATGTCCACTTCCAAATATTACAAAAAGAGTGTTTCAAACCTGTTGTATGAAGGGAAGTGTTCAACTCTATGAGTTGAATGCAAACATCACAGAGAAGTTTCTGAGAATGCTTCTGTGTTGATTTTATATGAGGATATTCCCGTTTCCAACGAAACCTTCAAAGCTATCCAAATATCCACCTGCAGATCCTACAAAAAGAGTGTTTCCAAAATGCTGTATCAAAACAAAGGTTCAACTCTGTTAGTTGAGAACACACATCGCAAATAAGTTTCTGAGAATGCTTCTGTCTAGTTTTTACTTGAAGATATTTCCTTTCTCACCATAGGCCTGAAAGCGCTTGAAACGTCAGCTTGCAGGTACTACAGAAAGAGTGTTTCAAACCTGCTCTATGAAAGGGAATGTTCAGTCCTGTGACTTGAAGGCAAACATCACAAAGAAGTTCCTGAGAATGCTTCTCTCTAGGTTTTATATGTAATCCCGTTTCCAACGAAATCCTCAAAGCTATCCAAATATCCACTTTCAGATTCCACAAAAAGAGTGTTTCAAAACTGCTCTGTAAAAAGAAAGGTTCATCTCTGTTAGTTGAATACACACATTACAAACAAGTTTCTGACAATGATTCTGTCTAGTTTTTATGGGAAGATATTTACTTTTTCAACATAGGCCTCAAAGCGCTCCAAATGTCCACTTCCAGGTAGTGCAGAAAGAGTGTTTCAAACCTGCTCTATAAAAGGGAATATTCAACTCTGTGACTTGAATGCAAACATCACAAAGCACTTTCTGAGAATGCTTCTGTCTTGATTTTATATGAAGATATTCCCGTTTCCAAAGAAACCTTCAAAGCTATCCAAATATCCACCTGCAGATCCTACAAAAAGAGTGTTTCCAAAATGCTGTATCAAAACAAAGGTTCAACTCTGTTAGCTGAGAACACACATCGCAAATAAGTTTCTGAGAATGCTTCTGTCTAGTTTTTATTTGAAGATATTTCCTTTCTCACCATAGGCCTGAAAGCGTTTGAAATGTCCGTTTGCAGATACTACAGAAAGAGTGTTTCAAACATGCTCTATGAAAGGGAATGTTCAGTTCTGTGACGTGAATGCAAACATCACAAAGAAGTTCCTGAGAATGCTTCTCTCTAGGTTTTATATGTAATCCCGTTTCCAACGAAATCCTCAAAGCTATCCAAATATCCACTTTAAGATTCCACAAAAAGAGTGTTTCAAAACTGCTCTGTAAAAAGAAAGGTTCATCTCTGTTAGTTGAATACACACATCACAAACAAGTTTCTGAGAATGCTTCTGTCTAGTTTTTATGGGAAGATATTTCCTTTTTCAACATAGGCCTCAAAGCGCTCCAAACGTCCACTTCCAGGTAGTGCAGAAAGAGTGTCTCAAACCTGGTATATAACAGGGAACATTCTACTCTGTGACTTGAATGAAAACATCACAAAGCAGTTTCTGAGAATGCTTCCGTGTAGATTTTATATGAAGATATTCCCGTTTCCAACGAAACCTTCAAAGCTAACCGAATATGCACCTGCAGATTCTACAAAAAGAGTGTTTCCAAAATGCCGTATCAAAACAAAGGTTCAACTCTGTTAGTTGAGAACACACATGGCAAATAAGTTTCTGAGAATGCTTCTGTCTAGTTTTTATTTGAAGATATTTCCTTTCTCACCATACGCCTGAAAGCGTTTGAAATGTCCGTTTGCAGATACTACAGAAAGAGTGTTTTAAACATGCTCTATGAAAGGGAATGTTCAGTTCTGTGACGTGAATGCAAACATCACAAAGAAGTTCCTGAGAATGCTTCCCTCTAGGTTTTTTATGTAATCCCGTTTCCAACGAAATCCTCAAATCTATCCAAATATCCACTTTCAGATTCCACAAAAAGAGTGTTTCAAAACTGCTCTGTAAAAAGAAAGGTTCATCTCTGTTAGTTGAATACACACATCACAAACAGGTTTCTGAGAATGCTTCTGTCTAGTTTTTATGGGAAGATATTTCCTTTTTCAACATAGGCCTCAAAGCGCTCCAAATGTGCACTTCCAGGTAGTGCAGAAAGAGTGTTTCAAACCTGCTCTATAAAAGGGAATATTCAACTCTGTGACTTGAATGCAAACATCACAAAGCACTTTCTGAGAATGCTTCTGTCTTGATTTTATATGAAGATATTCCCGTTTCCAACGAAACCTTCAAAGCTATTCAAATATCCACTTGAAGATTCTACAAAAAGAGTGTTTCCAAAATGTTGTATCAAAAGAAAGGTTCAACTCTGTTAGTTGAGGACACACATCGCAAATAAGTTTCTGAGAATGCTTCTGTCTAGTTTTTATTTGAAGATATTTCCTTTCTCACCACAGGCCTGAAAGCGCTTAAAACGTCCGCTTGCAGATACTACAGAAAGAGTGTTTCAAACCTGCTCTATGAAAGGGAATGTTCAGTTCTGTGACTTGAATGCAAACATCACAAAGAAGTTCCTGAGAATGCTTCTCCCTAGATTTTATATGTAATCCCGTTTCCAACGAAATCCGCAAAGCTATCCAAATATCCACTTTCAGATTCCACAAAAAGAGTGTTTCAAAACTGCTCTGTAAAAAGAAAGGTTCATCTCTGTTAGTTGAATACACACATCACAAACAAGTTTCTGAGAATGCTTCTGTCTAGTTTTTATGGGAAGATATTACCTTTTTCATCATAGGCCTCAAAGCGCTGCAAAAGTCCACTTCCAAATATTACAAAAAGAGTGTTTCAAACCTGCTGTATGAAGGGAAGTGTTCAACTCTATGAGTTGAATGCAAACATCACAGAGAAGTTTCTGAGAATGCTTCTGTCTTGATTTCATATGAAGATATTCCCGTTTCCAACGAAACCTTCAAAGCTATCCAAATATCCACTTGCAGATTCTACAAAAAGAGTGTTTCCAAAATGTTGTATCAAAAGAAAGGTTCAACTCTGTTAGTTGAGGACACACATCGCAAATAAGTTTCTGAGAATGCTTCCGTCTAGATTTTATATGAAGATATTCCCGTTTCCAAGGAAATCTTCCTAGCTATCTAAAGATCAACTTGCAGATTCTACTAAAGGAGTGTTTCCAAAATGCTGTATCCACACAAAGGTTCAACTCTCTTAATTGAGGACATACAGCACAAAGAAGTTTCTGAGAATGCTTCTGTCTAGATTTTATATGAAGATATCCCGTTTCCAAAGAAATCCTCAAAGGTGTCCAAATATCTACTTCCAGATTCTACAACAAGACTGTTTCAAAACGGCTCTGTCAAAAGTAAGGTTCAACTCTGTTACTTGAGTACACACATCACAAGGAAGTTTCTGAGAATGCTTCTGTCTAGTTTTTATGGGAAGATATTACCTTTTTCATCATAAGCCTCAAAGCGCTGCAAAAGTCCACTTCCAAATATTACAAAAAGAGTGTTTCAAACCTGCTGTATGAAGGGAAGTGTTCAACTCTATGAGTTGAATGCAAACATCACAGAGAAGTTTCTGAGAATGCTTCCGTCTAGATTTTATATGAAGATATTCCCGTTTCCAACGAAACCTTCAAAGCTATCCGAATATCCACCTGCAGATTCTACAAAAAGAGTGTTTCCAAAATGCCGTATCAAAACAAAGGTTCAACTCTGTTAGTTGAGAACACACATGGCAAATAAGTTTCTGAGAATGCTTCTGTCTAGTTTTTACTTGAAGATATTTCCTTTCTCACCATAGGCCTGAAAGCGCTTGAAACGTCAGCTTGCAGATACTACAGAAAGAGTGTTTCAAACCTGCTCTATGAAAGGGAATGTTCAGTCCTGTGACTAGAAGGCAAACATCACAAAGAAGTTCCTGAGAATGCTTCTCTCTAGGTTTTATATGTAATCCCGTTTCCAACGAAATCCTCAAAGCTATCCAAATATCCACTTTCAGATTCCACAAAAAGAGTGTTTCAAAACTGCTCTGTAAAAAGAAAGGTTCATCTCTGTTAGTTGAATACACACATCACAAACAAGTTTCTGAGAATGCTTCTGTCTAGTTTTTATGGGAAGATATTTCCTTTTTCATCATAGGCCTCAAAGCGCTGCAAATGTCCACTTCCAGGTAGTGCAGAAAGAGTGTCTCAAACCTGGTATATAACAGGGAACATTCTACTCTGTGACTTGAATGAAAACATCACAAAGCAGTTTCTGAGAATGCTTCCGTCTAGATTTTATATGAAGATATTCCCGTTTCCAACGAAACCTTCAAAGCTATCCGAATATCCACCTGCAGATTCTACAAAAAGAGTGTTTCCAAAATGCCGTATCAAAACAAAGGTTCAACTCTGTTAGTTGAGAACACACATGGCAAATAAGTTTCTGAGAATGCTTCTGTCTAGTTTTTATTTGAAGATATTTCCTTTCTCACCATAGGCCTGAAAGCGTTTGAAATGTCCGTTTGCAGATACTACAGAAAGAGTGTTTCAAACATGCTCTATGAAAGGGAATGTTCAGTTCTGTGACTTGAATGCAAACATCACAAAGAAGTTCCTGAGAATGCTTCTCTCTAGATTTTATATGTAATCCCGTTTCCAACGAAATCCTCAAAGCTATCCAAATATCCACTTTCAGATTCCACAAAAAGAGTGTTTCAAAACTGCTCTGTAAAAAGAAAGGTTCATCTCTGTTAGTTGAATACACACATCACAAACAAGTTTCTGAGAATGCTTCTGTCTAGTTTTTATGGGAAGATATTTCCTTTTTCAACATAGGCCTCAAAGCGCTCCAAATGTCCACTTCCAGGTAGTGCAGAAAGAGTGTTTCAAACCTGCTCTATAAAAGGGAACATTCAACTCTGTGACTTGAATGCAAACATCACAAAGCACTTTCTGAGAATGCTTCTGTCTTGATTTTATATGAAGATATTCCCGTTTCCAACGAAACCTTCAAAGCTATCCAAATATCCACTTGCAGATTCTACAAAAAGAGTGTTTCCAAAATGTTGTATCAAAACAAAGGTTCAACTCTGTTAGTTGAGGACACACATCGCAAATAAGTTTCTGAGAATGCTTCTTTCTAGTTTTTATTTGAAGATATTTCCTTTCTTACCATAGGCCTGAAAGCGCTTGAAATGTCCGTTTGCAGATACTACAGAAAGAGTGTTTCAAACATGCTCTATGAAAGGGAATGTTCAGTTCTGTGACGTGAATGCAAACATCACAAAGAAGTTCCCTGAGAATGTTTCTCTGTCTAGATTTTATATGAAGATATCCCGTTTCCAAAGAAATCCTCAAATGTATCCAAATATCTACTTCCAGATTCTACAAAAAGACTGTGTCAAAACGGCTCTGTCAAAAGTAAGGTTCAACTCTGTTACTTGAGTACACACATCACAAGGAAGTTTCTGAGAATGCTTCTGTCTAGTTTTTATGGGAAGATATTTCCTTTTTCAACATAGGCCTCAAAGCGCTCCAAATGTCCACTTCCAGATAGTGCAGAAAGAGTGTTTCAAACCTGCTCTATAAAAGGGAATATTCAACTCTGTGACTTGAATGCAAACATCACAAAGCACTTTCTGAGAATGCTTCCGTCAAGATTTTATATGAAGATATTCCCGTTTCCAACGAAACCTTCAAAGCTATCCGAATATCCACCTGCAGATTCTACAAAAAGAGTGTTTCCAAAATGCCGTATCAAAACAAAGGTTCAACTCTGTTAGTTGAGAACACACATGGCAAATAAGTTTCTGAGAATGCTTCTGTCTAGTTTTTACTTGAAGATATTTCCTTTCTCACCATAGGCCTGAAAGCGCTTGAAACGTCAGCTTGCAGATACTACAGAAAGAGTGTTTCAAACCTGCTCTATGAAAGGGAATGTTCAGTCCTGTGACTTGAAGGCAAACATCACAAAGAAGTTCCTGAGAATGCTTCTCTCTAGGTTTTATATGTAATCCCGTTTCCAACGAAATCCTCAAAGCTATCCAAATATCCACTTTCAGATTCCACAAAAAGAGTGTTTCAAAACTGCTCTGTAAAAAGAAAGGTTCATCTCTGTTAGTTGAATACACACATCACAAACAAGTTTCTGAGAATGCTTCTGTCTAGTTTTTATGGGAAGATATTTCCTTTTTCATCATAGGCCTCAAAGCGCTGCAAATGTCCACTTCCAGGTAGTGCAGAAAGAGTGTCTGAAACCTGGTATATAACAGGGAAGATTCTACTCTGTGACTTGAATGAAAACATCACAAAGCAGTTTCTGAGAATGCTTCTGTCTTGATTTTATATGAAGATATTCCCGTTTCCAACGAAACCTTCAAAGCTATTCAAATATCCACTTGCAGATTCTACAAAAAGAGTGTTTCCAAAATGTTGTATCAAAAGAAAGGTTCAACTCTGTTAGTTGAGGACACACATCGCAAATAAGTTTCTGAGAATGCTTCTGTCTAGTTTTTATTTGAAGATATTTCCTTTCTCACCATAGGCCTGAAAGCGTTTGAAATGTCCGTTTGCAGATACTACAGAAAGAGTGTTTCAAACATGCTCTATGAAAGGGAATGTTCAGTTCTGTGACGTGAATGCAAACATCACAAAGAAGTTCCTGAGAATGCTTCTCCCTAGATTTTATATGTAATCCCGTTTCCAACGAAATCCGCAAAGCTATCCAAATATCCACTTTCAGATTCCACAAAAAGAGTGTTTCAAAACTGCTCTGTAAAAAGAAAGGTTCATCTCTGTTAGTTGAATACACACATCACAAACAAGTTTCTGAGAATGCTTCTGTCTAGTTTTTATGGGAAGATATTTCCTTTTTCAACATAGGCCTCAAAGCGCTCCAAATGTCCACTTCCAGGTAGTGCAGAAAGAGTGTTTCAAACCTGCTCTATAAAAGGGAATATTCAACTCTGTGACTTGAATGCAAACATCACAAAGCACTTTCTGAGAATGCTTCTGTCTTGATTTTATATGAAGATATTCCCGTTTCCAACGAAACCTTCAAAGCTATTCAAATATCCACTTGCAGATTCTACAAAAAGAGTGTTTCCAAAATGTTGTATCAAAAGAAAGGTTCAACTCTGTTAGTTGAGGACACACATCGCAAATAAGTTTCTGAGAATGCTTCTGTCTAGTTTTTATTTGAAGATATTTCCTTTCTCACCACAGGCCTGAAAGCGCTTAAAACGTCCGCTTGCAGATACTACAGAAAGAGTGTTTCAAACCTGCTCTATGAAAGGGAATGTTCAGTTCTGTGACTTGAATGCAAACATCACAAAGAAGTTCCTGAGAATGCTTCTCTCTAGATTTTATATGTAATCCCGTTTCCAACGAAATCCTCAAAGCTATCCAAATATCCACTTTCAGATTCCACAAAAAGAGTGTTTCAAAACTGCTCTGTAAAAAGAAAGGTTCATCTCTGTTAGTTGAATACACACATCACAAACAAGTTTCTGAGAATGCTTCTGTCTAGTTTTTATGGGAAGATATTTCCTTTTTCATCATAGGCCTCAAAGCGCTCCAAATGTCCACTTCCAGATAGTGCAGAAAGAGTGTCTCAAACCTGGTATATAAAAGGGAACATTCTACTCTGTGACTTCAATGAAAACATCACAAAGCAGTTTCTGAGAATGCTTCCGTCTAGATTTTATATGAAGATATTCCCGTTTCCAAGGAAATCTTCCTAGCTATCTAAATATCAACTTGCAGATTCTACTAAAGGAATGTTTCCAAAATGCTGTATCCACACAAAGGTTCAACTCTGTTAATTGAGGACATACAGCACAAAGAAGTTTCTGAGAATGCTTCTGTCTAGTTTTTATTTGAAGATATTTCCTTTTTCACCACAGGCCTGAAAGCGCTTGAAACGTCCGCTTGCAGATACTACAGAAAGAGTGTTTCAAACCTACTCTATGAAAGGGAATGTTCAGTTCTGTGACTTGAATGCAAACATCACAAAGAAGTTGCCTGAGAATGCTTCTCTCTAGGATTTTATATGTAATCCCGTTTCCAACGAAATCCTCAAAGCTATCCAAATATCCACTTTCAGATTCCACAAAAAGAGTGTTTCAAAACTGCTCTATAAAAAGAAAGGTTCATCTCTGTTAGTTGAATACACACATCACAAACAAGTTTCTGAGAATGCTTCTGTCTAGTTTTTATGGGAAGATATTTCCTTTGTCATCATAGGCCTCAAAGCGCTGCAAATGTCCACTTCCAGGTAGTGCAGAAAGAGTGTGTCAAACCTGGTATATAACAGGGAACATTCTACTCTGTGACTTGAATGAAAACATCACAAAGCAGTTTCTGAGAATGCTTCCGTCTAGATTTTATATGAAGATATTCCCGTTTCCAACGAAACCTTCAAAGCTATCCGAATATCCACCTGCAGATTCTACAAAAAGAGTGTTTCCAAAATGCCATATCAAAACAAAGGTTCAACTCTGTTAGTTGAGAACACACATCGCAAATAAGTTTCTGAGAATGCTTCTGTCTAGTTTTTACTTGAAGATATTTCCTTTCTCACCATAGGCCTGAAAGCGCTTGAAACGTCCGCTTGCAGATACTACAGAAAGAGTGTTTCAAACATGCTCTATGAAAGGGAATGTTCAGTTCTGTGACTTGAATGCATACATCACAAAAAAGATCCTGAGAATGCTTCTCTCTAGATTTTATATGTAATCCCGTTTCCAACGAAATCCTCAAAGCTATCCAAATATCCACTTTCAGATTCCACAAAAAGAGTGTTTCAAAACTGCTCTGTAAAAAGAAAGGTTCATCTCTGTTAGTTGAATACACACATCACAAACAAGTTTCTGAGAATGCTTCTGTCTAGTTTTTATGGGAAGATATTACCTTTTTCATCATAGGCCTCAAAGCGCTGCAAATGTCCACTTCCAAATATTAGAAAAAGAGTGTTTCAAACCTGCTGTATGAAGGGAAGTGTTCAACTCTATGAGTTGAATGCAAACATCACAGAGAAGTTTCTGAGAATGCTTCTGTCTTGATTTTATATGAAGATATTCCCGTTTCCAACGAAATCTTCAAAGCTATCCAAATATCCACTTGCAGATTCCACAAAAAGAGTGTTTCCAAAATGTTGTATCAAAAGAAAGGTTCAAGTCTGTTAGTTGAGGACACACATCGCAAATAAGTTTCTGAGAATGCTTCTGTCTAGTTTTTACTTGAAGATATTTCCTTTCTCACCATAGGCCTGAAAGCGTTTGAAATGTCCGTTTGCAGATACTACAGAAAGAGTGTTTCAAACATGCTCTATGAAAGGGAATGTTCAGTTCTGTGACGTGAATGCAAACATCACAAAGAAGTTCCTGAGAATGCTTCTCTCTAGATTTTATATGTAATCCCGTTTCCAACGAAATCCTCAAAGCTATCCAAATATCCACTTTCAGATTCCACAAAAAGAGTGTTTCAAAACTGCTCTGTAAAAAGAAAGGTTCATCTCTGTTAGTTGAATACACACATCACAAACAAGTTTCTGAGAATGCTTCTGTCTAGTTTATATGGGAAGATATTTCCTTTTTCAACATAGGCCTCAAAGCGCTCCAAATATCCACTTCCAGGTAGTGCAGAAAGAGTGTTTGAAACCTGCTCTATAAAAGGGAATATTCTACTCTGTGACTTGAATGCAAACATCACAAAGCACTTTCTGAGAATGCTTCTGTCTTGATTTCATATGAAGATATTCCCGTTTCCAACGAAACCTTCAAAGCTATCCAAATATCCACTTGCAGATTCTACAAAAAGAGTGTTTCCAAAATGTTGTATCAAAAGAAAGGTTCAACTCTGTTAGTTGAGGACACACATCGCAAATAAGTTTCTGAGAATGCTTCTGTCTAGTTTTTATTTGAAGATATTTCCTTTCTAACCATAGGCCTGAAAGCGCTTGAAACGTCCGCTTGCAGATACTACAGAAAGAGTGTTTCAAACCTGCTCTATGAAAGGGAATGTTCAGTTCTGCGACTTGAATGCAAACATCACAAAGAAGATCCTGAGAATTCTTCTCTCTAGATTTTATATGTAATACCGTTTCCAACAATATCCTCAAAGCTATCCAAATATCCACTTTCAGATTCCACAAAAAGAGTGTTTTAAAACTGCTGTGTAAAAAGAAAGGTTCATCTCTGTTAGTTGAATACACATATCACAAACAAGTTTCTGAGAATGCTTCTGTCTAGTTTTTATGGGAAGATATTTCCTTTTTCATCATAGGCCTCAAAGCGCTGCAAATGTCCACTTCCAGGTAGTGCAGAAAGAGTGTCTCAAACCTGGTATATAACAGGGAACATTCTACTCTGTGACTTGAATGAAAACATCACAAAGCAGTTTCTGAGAATGCTTCCGTCTAGATTTTATATGAAGATATTCCCGTTTCCAACGAAACCTTCAAAGCTATCCGAATATCCACCTGCAGATTCTACAAAAAGAGTGTTTCCAAAATGCCGTATCAAAACAAAGGTTCAACTCTGTTAGTTGAGAACACACATGGCAAATAAGTTTCTGAGAATGCTTCTGTCTAGTTTTTACTTGAAGATATTTCCTTTGTCACCATAGGCCTGAAAGCGCTTGAAACGTCAGCTTGCAGATACTACAGAAAGAGTGTTTCAAACCTGCTCTATGAAAGGGAATGTTCAGTCCCTGTGACTTGAAGGCAAACATCACAAAGAAGTTCCCTGAGAATGCTCTCTCTAGGATTTTATATGTAATCCCGTTTCCAACGAAATCCACAAAGCTATCCAAATATCCACTTTCAGATTCCACAAAAAGAGTGTTTCAAAACTGCTCTGTAAAAAGAAAGGTTCATCTCTGTTAGTTGAATACACACATCACAAACAAGTTTCTGAGAATGCTTCTGTCTAGTTTTTATGGGAAGATATTTCGTTTTTCAACATAGGCCTCAAAGCGCTCCAAATGTCCACTTCCAGGTAGTGCAGAAAGAGTGTTTCAAACCTGCTCTATAAAAGGGAATATTCAACTCTGTGACTTGAATGCAAACATCACAAAGCACTTTCTGAGAATGCTTCTGTGTTGATTTTATATGAAGATATTCCCGTTTCCAACGAAACCTTCAAATCTATCCAAATATCCACCTGCAGATCCTACAAAAAGAGTGTTTCCAAAATGCTGTATCAAAACAAAGGTTCAACTCTGTTAGTTGAGAACACACATCGCAAATAAGTTTCTGAGAATGCTTCTGTCTAGTTTTTATTTGAAGATATTTCCTTTCTCACCACAGGCCTGAAAGCGCTTAAAACGTCCGCTTGCAGATACTACAGAAAGAGTGTTTCAAACCTGCTCTATGAAAGGGAATGTTCAGTTCTGTGACTTGAATGCAAACATCACAAAGAAGTTCCTGAGAATGCTTCTCTCTAGATTTTATATGTAATCCCGTTTCCAACGAAATCCTCAAAGCTATCCAAATATCCACTTTCAGATTCCACAAAAAGAGTGTTTCAAAACTGCTCTGTAAAAAGAAAGGTTCATCTCTGTTAGTTGAATACACACATCACAAACAAGTTTCTGAGAATGCTTCTGTCTAGTTTTTATGGGAAGATATTTCCTTTTTCAACATAGGCCTCAAAGCGCTCCAAACGTCCACTTCCAGGTAGTGCAGAAAGAGTGTCTCAAACCTGGTATATAACAGGGAACATTCTACTCTGTGACTTGAATGAAAACATCACAAAGCAGTTTCTGAGAATGCTTCTGTCTTGATTTCATATGAAGATATTCCCGTTTCCAACGAAACCTTCAAAGCTATCCAAATATCCACTTGCAGATTCTACAAAAAGAGTGTTTCCAAAATGTTGTATCAAAAGAAAGGTTCAACTCTGTTAGTTGAGGACACACATCGCAAATAAGTTTCTGAGAATGCTTCTGTCTAGTTTTTACTTGAAGATATTTCCTTTCTCACCATAGGCCTGAAAGCGCTTGAAACGTCAGCTTGCAGATACTACAGAAAGAGTGTTTCAAACCTGCTCTATGAAAGGGAATGTTCAGTCCTGTGACTTGAAGGCAAACATCACAAAGAAGTTCCTGAGAATGCTTCTCTCTAGATTTTATATGTAATCCCGTTTCCAACGAAATCCTCAAAGCTATCCAAATATCCACTTTCAGATTCCACAAAAAGAGTGTTTCAAAACTGCTCTGTAAAAAGAAAGGTTCATCTCTGTTAGTTGAATACACACATCACAAACAAGTTTCTGAGAATGCTTCTGTCTAGTTTTTATGGGAAGATATTTCCTTTTTCAACATAGGCCTCAAAGCGCTCCAAACGTCCACTTCCAGGTAGTGCAGAAAGAGTGTCTCAAACCTGGTGTATAACAGGGAACATTCTACTCTGTGACTTGAATGAAAACATCACAAAGCAGTTTCTGAGAATGCTTCCGTCTCGATTTTATATGAAGATATTCCCGTTTCCAACGAAACCTTCAAAGCTATCCGAATATCCACCTGCAGATTCTACAAAAAGAGTGTTTCCAAAATGCCGTATCAAAACAAAGGTTCAACTCTGTTAGTTGAGAACACACATGGCAAATAAGTTTCTGAGAATGCTTCTGTCTAGTTTTTATTTGAAGATATTTCCTTTCTCACCATAGGCCTGAAAGCGTTTGAAATGTCCGTTTGCAGATACTACAGAAAGAGTGTTTCAAACATGCTCTATGAAAGGGAATGTTCAGTTCTGTGACGTGAATGCAAACATCACAAAGAAGTTCCTGAGAATGCTTCTCCCTAGATTTTATATGTAATCCCGTTTCCAACGAAATCCGCAAAGCTATCCAAATATCCACTTTCAGATTCCACAAAAAGAGTGTTTCAAAACTGCTCTGTAAAAAGAAAGGTTCATCTCTGTTAGTTGAATACACACATCACAAACAAGTTTCTGAGAATGCTTCTGTCTAGTTTTTATGGGAAGATATTTCCTTTTTCATCATAGGCCTCAAAGCGCTGCAAATGTCCACTTCCAGGTAGTGCAGAAAGAGTGTCTCAAACCTGGTATATAACAGGGAACATTCTACTGTGTGACTTGAATGAAAACATCACAAAGCAGTTTCTGAGAATGCTTCTGTCTTGATTTTATATGAAGATATTCCCGTTTCCAACGAAACCTTAAAAGCTATCCAAATATCCACCTGCAGATCCTACAAAAAGAGTGTTTCCAAAATGCTGTATCAAAACAAAGGTTCAACTCTGATAGTTGAGAACACACATCGCAAATAAGTTTCTGAGAATGCTTCTGTCTAGTTTTTATTTGAAGATATTTCCTTTTTCACTACAGTCGTGAAAGCGCTTGAAACGTCCGCTTGCAGATATTACAGAAAGAGTGTTTCAAACCTGCTCTATGAAAGGGAATGTTCAGTTCTGTGACTTGAATGCAAACATCACAAAGAAGTTCCTGAGAATGCTTCTCCCTAGATTTTATATGTAATCCCGTTTCCAAAGAAATCCTCAAAGCTATCCAAATATCCACTTTCAGATTCCACAAAAAGAGTGTTTCAAAACTGCTCTGTGAAAGGAAAGGTTCATCTCTGTTAGTTGAATACACACATCACAAACAAGTTTCTGAGAATGCTTCTGTCTAGTTTTTATGGGAAGATATTTCCTTTTTCATCATAGGCCTCAAAGCGCTGCAAATGTCCACTTCCAAATATTACAAAAAGAGTGTTTCAAACCTGCTGTATGAAGGGAAGTGTTCAACTCTATGAGTTGAATGCAAACATCACAGAGAAGTTTCTGAGAATGCTTCTGTCTTGATTTTATATGAAGATATTCCCGTTTCCAACGAAACCTTCAAAGCTATTCAAATATCCACTTGCAGATTCTACAAAAAGAGTGGTTCCAAAATGTTGTATCAAAAGAAAGGTTCAACTCTGATAGTTGAGGACACACATCGCAAATAAGTTTCTGAGAATGCTTCTGTCTAGTTTTTACTTGAAGATAGTTCCTTTCTCACCATAGGCCTGAAAGCGCTTGAAACGTCCGCTTGCAGATACTACAGAAAGAGTGTTTCAAACATGCTCTATGAAAGGGAATGTTCAGTTTTGTGACTTGAATGCAAACATCACAAAGAAGTTCCTGAGAATGCTTCTCTCTAGATTTTATATGTAATCCCGTTTCCAACGAAATCCTCAAAGCTATCCACATATCCACTTTCAGATTCCACAAAAAGAGTGTTTCAAAACTGCTCTGTAAAAAGAAAGGTTCATCTCTGTTAGTTGAATACACACATCACAAACAAGTTTCTGAGAATGCTTCTGTCTAGTTTTTATGGGAAGATATTTCCTTTTTCAACATAGGCCTCAAAGCGCTCCAAATGTCCACTTCCAGGTAGTGCAGAAAGAGTGTTTCAAACATGCTCTATAAAAGGGAATATTCAACTCTGTGACTTGAATGCAAACATCACAAAGCACTTTCTGAGAATGCTTCCGTGTAGATTTTATATGAAGATATTCCCGTTTCCAACGAAACCTTCAAAGCTATCCGAATATCCACCTGCAGATTCTACAAAAAGAGTGTTTCCAAAATGCCATATCAAAACAAAGGTTCAACTCTGTTAGTTGAGAACACACATCGCAAATAAGTTTCTGAGAATGCTTCCGTCTAGATTTTATATGAAGATATTCCCGTTTCCAAGGAAATCTTCCTAGCTATCTGAATATCAACTTGCAGATTCTACTAAAGGAATGTTTCCAAAATGCTGTATCGAAACAAAGGTTCAACTCTGTTAATTGAGGACATACAGCACAAAGAAGTTTCTGAGAATGCTTCTGTCTAGATTTTATATGAAGATATCCCGTGTCCAACGAAATCCTCAAAGGTATCAAAATATCCACTTGCAGATTCTACAAAAAGAGTGCTTCAAAACTGTTCTGTCAAAATGAAGGTTCAACTGTGTTACTTGAGTACACACATCACAAGAAAGATTCTGAGAATGCTTCTGTCTAGTTTTTATGGGAAGATATTTCCTTTTTCATCATAGGCCTCAAAGCGCTGCAAATGTCCACTTCCAGGTAGTGCAGAAAGAGTGTCTCAAACCTGGTATATAACAGGGAACATTCTACTCTGTGACTTGAATGCAAACATCACAAAGCAGTTTCTGAGAATGCTTCTGTCTTGATTTTATATGAAGATATTCCCGTTTCCAACGAAACCTTCAAAGCTATTCAAATATCCACTTGCAGATTCTACAAAAAGAGTGTTTCCAAAATGTTGTATCAAAAGAAAGGTTCAACTCTGTTAGTTGAGGACACACATCGCAAATAAGTTTCTGAGAATGCTTCTGTCTAGTTTTTATTTGAAGATATTTCCTTTCTCACCATAGGCCTGAAAGCGTTTGAAATGTCCGTTTGCAGATACTACAGAAAGAGTGTTTCAAACATGCTCTATGAAAGGGAATGTTCAGTTCTGTGACTTGAATGCAAACATCACAAAGGAAGTTCCTGAGAATGCTTCTCCCTAGATTTTATATGTAATCCCGTTTCCAACGAAATCCGCAAAGCTATCCAAATATCCACTTTCAGATTCCACAAAAAGAGTGTTTCAAAACTGCTCTGTAAAAAGAAAGGTTCATCTCTGTTAGTTGAATACACACATCACAAACAAGTTTCTGAGAATGCTTCTGTCTAGTTTTTATGGGAAGATATTTCCTTTTTCAACATAGGCCTCAAAGCGCTCCAAATGTCCACTTCCAGGTAGTGCAGAAAGAGTGTTTCAAACCTGCTCTATAAAAGGGAATATTCAACTCTGTGACTTGAATGCAAACATCACAAAGCACTTTCTGAGAATGCTCCCTCTAGATTTTATATGAAGATATTCCCGTTTCCAAGGAAATCTTCCTAGCTATCTAAATATCAACTTGCAGATTCTACTAAAGGAATGTTTCCAAAATGCTGTATCCACACAAAGGTTCAACTCTGTTAATTGAGGACATACAGCACAAAGAAGTTTCTGAGAATGCTTTCTGTCTAGTTTTTATTTGAAGATATTTCCTTTCTCACCACAGGCCTGAAAGCGCTTAAAACGTCCGCTTGCAGATACTACAGAAAGAGTGTTTCAAACCTGCTCTAAGAAAGGGAATGTTCAGTTCTGTGACTTGAATGCAAACATCACAAAGAAGTACCTGAGAATGCTTCTCTCTAGATTTTATATGTAATCCCGTTTCCAACGAAATCCTCAAAGCTATCCAAATATCCACTTTCAGATTCCACAAAAAGAGTGTTTCAAAACTGCTCTGTAAAAAGAAAGGTTCATCTCTGTTAGTTGAATACACACATCACAAACAAGTTTCTGAGAATGCTTCTGTCTAGTTTTTATGGGAAGATATTTCCTTTTTCAACATAGGCCTCAAAGCGCTCCAAATGTCCACTTCCAGGTAGTGCAGAAAGAGTGTTTCAAACCTGCTCTATAAAAGGGAATATTCAACTCTGTGACTTGAATGCAAACATCACAAAGCACTTTCTGAGAATGCTTCTGTCTTGATTTTATATGAAGATATTCCCGTTTCCAACGAAACCTTCAAAGCTATTCAAATATCCACTTGCAGATTCTACAAAAAGAGTGTTTCCAAAATGTTGTATCAAAAGAAAGGTTCAACTCTGTTAGTTGAGGACACACATCGCAAATAAGTTTCTGAGAATGCTTCTGTCTAGTTTTTATTTGAAGATATTTCCTTTCTCACCACAGGCCTGAAAGCGCTTAAAACGTCCGCTTGGAGATACTACAGAAAGAGTGTTTCAAAACCTGCTCTATGAAAGGGAATGTTCAGTTCTGTGACTTGAATGCAAACATCACAAAGAAGTTCCTGAGAATGCTTCTCCCTAGATTTTATATGTAATCCCGTTTCCAACGAAATCCGCAAAGCTATCCAAATATCCACTTTCAGATTCCACAAAAAGAGTGTTTCAAAACTTCTCTGTAAAAAGAAAGGTTCATCTCTGTTAGTTGAATACACACATCACAAACAAGTTTCTGAGAATGCTTCTGTCTAGTTTTTATGGGAAGATATTTCCTTTTTCAACATAGGCCTCAAAGCGCTCCAAACGTCCACTTCCAGGTAGTGCAGAAAGAGTGTCTCAAACCTGGTATATAACAGGGAACATTCTACTCTGTGACTTGAATGAAAACATCACAAAGCAGTTTCTGAGAATGCTTCTGTCTTGATTTTATATGAAGATATTCCCGTTTCCAACGAAACCTTCAAAGCTATCCGAATATCCACCTGCAGATTCTACAAAAAGAGTGTTTCCAAAATGCCATATCAAAACAAAGGTTCAACTCTGTTAGTTGAGAACACACATCTCAAATAAGTTTCTGAGAATGCTTCTGTCTAGTTTTTACTTGAAGATATTTCCTTTCTCACCATAGGCCTGAAAGCGCTTGAAACGTCAGCTTGCAGATACTACAGAAAGAGTGTTTCAAACCTGCTCTATGAAAGGGAATGTTCAGTCCTGTGACTTGAAGGCAAACATCACAAAGAAGTTCCTGAGAATGCTTCTCTCTAGGTTTTATATGTAATCCCGTTTCCAACGAAATCCTCAAAGCTATCCAAATATCCACTTTCAGATTCCACAAAAAGAGTGTTTCAAAACTGCTCTGTAAAAAGAAAGGTTCATCTCTGTTAGTTGAATACACACATCACAAACAAGTTTCTGAGAATGCTTCTGTCTAGTTTTTATGGGAAGATATTTCGTTTTTCAACATAGGCCTCAAAGCGCTCCAAATGTCCACTTCCAGGTAGTGCAGAAAGAGTGTTTCAAACCTGCTCTATAAAAGGGAATATTCAACTCTGTGACTTGAATGCAAACATCACAAAGCACTTTCTGAGAATGCTTCTGTCTTGATTTCATATGAAGATATTCCCGTTTCCAACGAAACCTTCAAAGCTATCCAAATATCCACTTGCAGATTCTACAAAAAGAGTGTTTCCAAAATGTTGTATCAAAAGAAAGGTTCAACTCTGTTAGTTGAGGACACACATCGCAAATAAGTTTCTGAGAATGCTTCTGTCTAGTTTTTACTTGAAGATATTTCCTTTCTCACCATAGGCCTGAAAGCGCTTGAAACGTCCGCTTGCAGATACTACAGAAAGAGTGTTTCAAACATGCTCTATGAAAGGGAATGTTCAGTTCTGTGACTTGAATGCAAACATCACAAAGAAGTTCCTGAGAATGCTTCTCCCTAGATTTTATATGTAATCCCGTTTCCAACGAAATCCGCAAAGCTATCCAAATATCCACTTTCAGATTCCACAAAAAGAGTGTTTCAAAACTGCTCTGTAAAAAGAAAGGTTCATCTCTGTTAGTTGAATACACACATCACAAACAAGTTTCTGAGAATGCTTCTGTCTAGTTTTTATGGGAAGATATTTCCTTTTTCATCATAGGCCTCAAAGCGCTCCAAATGTCCACTTCCAGATAGTGCAGAAAGAGTGTCTCAAACCTGGTATATAAAAGGGAACATTCTACTCTGTGACTTGAATGAAAACATCACAAAGCAGTTTCTGAGAATGCTTCCGTCTAGATTTTATATGAAGATATTCCCGTTTCCAACGAAACCTTCAAAGCTATCCGAATATCCACCTGCAGATTCTACAAAAAGAGTGTTTCCAAAATGCCGTATCAAAACAAAGGTTCAACTCTGTTAGTTGAGGACACTCATGGCAAATAAGTTTCTGAGAATGCTTCTGTCTAGTTTTTACTTGAAGATATTTCCTTTCTCACCATAGGCCTGAAAGCGCTTGAAACGTCCACTTGCAGATACTACAGAAAGAGTGTTTCAAACATGCTCTATGAAAGGGAATGTTCAGTTCTGTGACTTGAATGCAAACATCACAAAGAAGTTCCTGAGAATGCTTCTCTCTAGATTTTATATGTAATCCCGTTTCCAACGAAATCCTCGAAGCTATCCAAATATCCACTTTCAGATTCCACAAAAAGAGTGTTTCAAAACTGCTCTGTAAAAAGAAAGGTTCATCTCTGTTAGTTGAATACACACATCACAAACAAGTTTCTGAGAATGCTTCTGTCTAGTTTTTATGGGAAGATATTTCCTTTTTCAACATAGGCCTCAAAGCGCTCCAAATGTCCACTTCCAGGTAGTGCAGAAAGAGTATTTC
Organism: Homo sapiens; assembly: GCF_000001405.40. Taxonomy (NCBI): domain Eukaryota; kingdom Metazoa; phylum Chordata; class Mammalia; order Primates; family Hominidae; genus Homo; species Homo sapiens. Next base: position 45,146,362 of record NC_000009.12, on the reverse strand, counting down.
AAACCTGCTCTATAAAAGGGAATATTCAACTCTGTGACTTGAATGCAAACATCACAAAGCACTTTCTGAGAATGCTTCTGTCTTGATTTTATATGAAGATATTCCCGTTTCCAACGAAACCTTCAAAGCTATCCAAATATCCACTTGCAGATTCTACAAAAAGAGTGTTTCCAAAATGTTGTATCCAAACAAAGGTTCAACTCTTTTAGTTGAGAACACACATCGCAAATAAGTTTCTGAGAATGCTTCTGTCTAGTTTTTATTTGAAGATATTTCCTTTTTCACCACAGGCCTGAAAGCGCTTGAAACGTCCGCTTGTAGATACTACAGAAAGAGTGTTTCAAACCTGCTCTATGAAAGGGAATGTTCAGTTCTGTGACTTGAATGCAAACATCACAAAGAAGTTCCTGAGAATGCTTCTCTCTAGGTTTTATATGTAATCCCGTTTCCAACGAAATCCTCAAAGCTATCCAAATATCCACTTTCAGATTCCACAAAAAGAGTGTTTCAAAACTGCTCTGTAAAAAGAAAGGTTCATCTCTGTTAGTTGAATACACACATCACAAACAAGTTTCTGAGAATGCTTCTGTCTAGTTTTTATGGGAAGATATTACCTTTTTCATTATAGGCTTCAAAGCGCTGCAAAAGTCCACTTCCAAATATTAGAAAAAGAGTGTTTCAAACCTGCTGTATGAAGGGAAGTGTTCAACTCTATGAGTTGAATGCAAACATCACAGAGAAGTTTCTGAGAATGCTTCCGTCTAGATTTTATATGAAGATATTCCCGTTTCCAAGGAAATCTTCCTAGCTATCTAAATATCAACTTGCAGATTCTACTAAAGGAATGTTTCCAAAATGCTGTATCCACACAAAGGTTCAACTCTGTTAATTGAGGACATACAGCACAAAGAAGTTTCTGAGAATGCTTCTGTCTAGTTTTTATTTGAAGATATTTCCTTTCTCACCATAGGCCTGAAAGCGTTTGAAATGTCCGTTTGCAGATACTACAGAAAGAGTGTTTCAAACATGCTCTATGAAAGGGAATGTTCAGTTCTGTGACGTGAATGCAAACATCACAAAGAAGTTCCTGAGAATGCTTCTCTCTAGATGTTATATGTAATCCCGTTTCCAACGAAATCCTCAAAGCTATCCAAATATCCACTTTCAGATTCCACAAAAAGAGTGTTTCAAAACTGCTCTGTAAAAAGAAAGGTTCATCTCTGTTAGTTGAATACACACATCACAAACAAGTTTCTGAGAATGCTTCTGTCTAGTTTTTATGGGAAGATATTTCCTTCTTCATCATAGGCCTCAAAGCGCTCCAAATATCCACTTCCAGGTAGTGCAGAAAGAGTGTCTCAAACCTGGTATATAACAGGGAACATTCTACTCTGTGACTTGAATGAAAACATCACAAAGCAGTTTCTGAGAATGCTTCCGTCTAGATTTTATATGAAGATATTCCCGTTTCCAACGAAACCTTCAAAGCTATCCGAATATCCACCTGCAGATTCTACAAAAAGAGTGTTTCCAAAATGCCGTATCAAAACAAAGGTTCAACTCTGTTAGTTGAGAACACACATGGCAAATAAGTTTCTGAGAATGCTTCTGTCTAGTTTTTACTTGAAGATATTTCCTTTCTCACCATAGGCCTGAAAGCGCTTGAAACGTCAGCTTGCAGATACTACAGAAAGACTGTTTCAAACCTGCTCTATGAAAGGGAATGTTCAGTTCTGTGACTTGAATGCAAACATCACAAAGAAGTTCCTGAGAATGCTTCTCTCTAGGTTTTATATGTAATCCCGTTTCCAACGAAATCCTCAAAGCTATCCAAATATCCACTTTCAGATTCCACAAAAAGAGTGTTTCAAAACTGCTCTGTAAAAAGAAAGGTTCATCTCTGTTAGTTGAATACACACATCACAAACAAGTTTCTGAGAATGCTTCTGTCTAGTTTTTATGGGAAGATATTTCCTTTTTCAACATAGGCCTCAAAGCACTCCAAATGTCCACTTCCAGGTAGTGCAGAAAGAGTGTTTCAAACCTGCTCTATAAAAGGGAACATTCAACTCTGTGACTTGAATGCAAACATCACAAAGCACTTTCTGAGAATGCTTCCGTCTAGATTTTATATGAAGATATTCCCGTTTCCAAGGAACTCTTCCTAGCTATCTAAATATCAACTTGCAGATTCTACTAAAGGAATGTTTCCAAAATGCTGTATCCACACAAAGGTTCAACTCTGTTAATTGAGGACATACAGCACAAAGAAGTTTCTGAGAATGCTTCTGTCTAGATTTTATATGAAGATATCCCAGTGTCCAACGAAATCCTCAATGGTATCAAAATATCCACTTGCAGATTCTACAAAAAGAGTGCTTCAAAACTGCTCTGTAAAAAGAAAGGTTCATCTCTGTTAGTTGAATACACACATCACAAACAAGTTTCTGAGAATGCTTCTGTCTAGTTTTTATGGGAAGATATTTCCTTTTTCAACATAGGCCTCAAAGCGCTCCAAACGTCCACTTCCAGGTAGTGCAGAAAGAGTGTCTCAAACCTGGTATATAACAGGGAACATTCTACTCTGTGACTTGAATGAAAACATCACAAAGCAGTTTCTGAGAATGCTTCCGTCTAGATTTTATATGAAGATATTCCCGTTTCCAACGAAACCTTCAAAGCTATCCGAATATCCACCTGCAGATTCTACAAAAAGAGTGTTTCCAAAATGCCGTATCAAAACAAAGGTTCAACTCTGTTAGTTGAGAACACACATGGCAAATAAGTTTCTGAGAATGCTTCTGTCTAGTTTTTACTTGAAGATATTTCCTTTCTCACCATAGGCCTGAAAGCGCTTGAAACGTCAGCTTGCAGATACTACAGAAAGACTGTTTCAAACCTGCTCTATGAAAGGGAATGTTCAGTTCTGTGACTTGAATGCAAACATCACAAAGAAGTTCCTGAGAATGCTTCTCTCTGGATTTTATATGTAATCCCGTTTCCAACGAAATCCTCAAAGCTATCCAAATATCCACTTTCAGATTCCAGAAAAAGAGTGTTTCAAAACTGCTCTGTAAAAAGAAAGGTTCATCTCTGTTAGTTGAATACACACATCACAAACAAGTTTCTGAGAATGCTTCTGTCTAGTTTTTATGGGAAGATATTTCCTTTTTCAACATAGGCCTCAAAGCGCTCCAAATGTCCACTTCCAGGTAGTGCAGAAAGAGTGTTTCAAACCTGCTCTATAAAAGGGAATATTCAACTCTGTGACTTGAATGCAAACATCACAAAGCACTTTCTGAGAATGCTTCTGTCTTGATTTCATATGAAGATATTCCCGTTTCCAACGAAACCTTCAAAGCTATCCAAATATCCACTTGCAGATTCTACAAAAAGAGTGTTTCCAAAATGTTGTATCAAAAGAAAGGTTCAACTCTGTTAGTTGAGGACACACATCGCAAATAAGTTTCTGAGAATGCTTCTGTCTAGTTTTTATTTGAAGATATTGCCTTTCTCACCACAGGCCTGAAAGCGCTTAAAACGTCCGCTTGCAGATATTACAGAAAGAGTGTTTCAAACCTGCTCTATGAAAGGGAATGTTCAGTTCTGTGACTTGAATGCAAACATCACAAAGAAGTTCCTGAGAATGCTTCTCTCTAGATTTTATATGTAATCCCGTTTCCAACGAAATCCTCAAAGCTATCCAAATATCCACTTTCAGATTCCACAAAAAGAGTGTTTCAAAACTGCTCTGTAAAAAGAAAGGTTCATCTCTGTTAGTTGAATACACACATCACAAACAAGTTTCTGAGAATGCTTCTGTCTAGTTTTTATGGGAAGATATTTCCTTTTTCAACATAGGCCTCAAAGCGCTCCAAACGTCCACTTCCAGGTAGTGCAGAAAGAGTGTCTCAAACCTGGTGTATAACAGGGAACATTCTACTCTGTGACTTGAATGAAAACATCACAAAGCAGTTTCTGAGAATGCTTCCGTCTAGATTTTATATGAAGATATTCCCGTTTCCAACGAAACCTTCAAAGCTATCCGAATATCCACCTGCAGATTCTACAAAAAGAGTGTTTCCAAAATGCCGTATCAAAACAAAGGTTCAACTCTGTTAGTTGAGAACACACATGGCAAATAAGTTTCTGAGAATGCTTCTGTCTAGTTTTTACTTGAAGATATTTCCTTTCTCACCATAGGCCTGAAAGCGCTTGAAACGTCAGCTTGCAGATACTACAGAAAGAGTGTTTCAAACCTGCTCTATGAAAGGGAATGTTCAGTCCTGTGACTTGAAGGCAAACATCACAAAGAAGTTCCTGAGAATGCTTCTCTCTAGGTTTTATATGTAATCCCGTTTCCAACGAAATCCTCAAAGCTATCCAAATATCCACTTTCAGATTCCACAAAAAGAGTGTTTCAAAACTGCTCTGTAAAAAGAAAGGTTCATCTCTGTTAGTTGAATACACACATCACAAACAAGTTTCTGAGAATGCTTCTGTCTAGTTTTTATGGGAAGATATTTCCTTTTTCAACATAGGCCTCAAAGCGCTCCAAATGTCCACTTCCAGGTAGTGCAGAAAGAGTGTTTCAAACCTGCTCTATAAAAGGGAATATTCAACTCTGTGACTTGAATGCAAACATCACAAAGCACTTTCTGAGAATGCTTCCGTCTAGATTTTATATGAAGATATTCCCGTTTCCAACGAAACCTTCAAAGCTATCCGAATATCCACCTGCAGATTCTACAAAAAGAGTGTTTCCAAAATGCCGTATCAAAACAAAGGTTCAACTCTGTTAGTTGAGAACACACATGGCAAATAAGTTTCTGAGAATGCTTCTGTCTAGTTTTTACTTGAAGATATTTCCTTTCTCACCATAGGCCTGAAAGCGCTTGAAACGTCAGCTTGCAGATACTACAGAAAGAGTGTTTCAAACCTGCTCTATGAAAGGGAATGTTCAGTCCTGTGACTTGAATGCAAACATCACAAAGAAGTTCCTGAGAATGCTTCTCTCTAGGTTTTATATGTAATCCCGTTTCCAACGAAATCCTCAAAGCTATCCAAATATCCACTTTCAGATTCCACAAAAAGAGTGTTTCAAAACTGCTCTGTAAAAAGAAAGGTTCATCTCTGTTAGTTGAATACACACATCACAAACAAGTTTCTGAGAATGCTTCTGTCTAGTTTTTATGGGAAGATATTTCCTTTTTCAACATAGGCCTCAAAGCGCTCTAAATGTCCACTTCCAGGTAGTGCAGAAAGAGTGTTTCAAACCTGCTCTATAAAAGGGAATATTCAACTCTGTGACTTGAATGCAAACATCACAAAGCACTTTCTGAGAATGCTTCTGTCTTGATTTCATATGAAGATATTCCCGTTTCCAACGAAACCTTCAAAGCTATCCAAATATCCACTTGCAGATTCTACAAAAAGAGTGTTTCCAAAATGTTGTATCAAAAGAAAGGTTCAACTCTGTTAGTTGAGGACACACATCGCAAATAAGTTTCTGAGAATGCTTCTGTCTAGTTTTTATTTGAAGATATTTCCTTTCTCACCACAGGCCTGAAAGCGCTTAAAACGTCCGCTTGCAGATACTACAGAAAGAGTGTTTCAAACCTGCTCTATGAAAGGGAATGTTCAGTTCTGTGACTTGAATGCAAACATCACAAAGAAGTTCCTGAGAATGCTTCTCCCTAGATTTTATATGTAATCCCGTTTCCAACGAAATCCGCAAAGCTATCCAAATATCCACTTTCAGATTCCACAAAAAGAGTGTTTCAAAACTGCTCTGTAAAAAGAAAGGTTCATCTCTGTTAGTTGAATACACACATCACAAACAAGTTTCTGAGAATGCTTCTGTCTAGTTTTTATGGGAAGATATTTCCTTTTTCATCATAGGCCTCAAAGCGCTGCAAATGTCCACTTCCAGGTAGTGCAGAAAGAGTGTCTCAAACCTGGTATATAACAGGGAACATTCTACTCTGTGACTTGAATGAAAACATCACAAAGCAGTTTCTGAGAATGCTTCCGTCTAGATTTTATATGAAGATATTCCCGTTTCCAACGAAACCTTCAAAGCTATCGGAATATCCACCTGCAGATTCTACAAAAAGAGTGTTTCCAAAATGCCGTATCAAAACAAAGGTTCAACTCTGTTAGTTGAGAACACACATGGCAAATAAGTTTCTGAGAATGCTTCTGTCTAGTTTTTACTTGAAGATATTTCCTTTCTCACCATAGGCCTGAAAGCGCTTGAAACGTCAGCTTGCAGATACTACAGAAAGAGTGTTTCAAACCTGCTCTATGAAAGGGAATGTTCAGTCCTGTGACTTGAAGGCAAACATCACAAAGAAGTTCCTGAGAATGCTTCTCTCTAGATTTTATATGTAATCCCGTTTCCAACGAATTCCTCAAAGCTATCCAAATATCCACTTTCAGATTCCACAAAAAGAGTGTTTCAAAACTGCTCTGTAAAAAGAAAGGTTCATCTCTGTTAGTTGAATACACACATCACAAACAAGTTTCTGAGAATGCTTCTGTCTAGTTTTTATGGGAAGATATTTCCTTTTTCATCATAGGCCTCAAAGCGCTCCAAATGTCCACTTCCAGGTAGTGCAGAAAGAGTGTCTCAAACCTGGTATATAAAAGGGAACATTCTACTCTGTGACTTGAATGAAAACATCACAAAGCAGTTTCTGAGAATGCTTCCGTCTAGATTTTATATGAAGATATTCCCGTTTCCAACGAAACCTTCAAAGCTATCCGAATATCCACCTGCAGATTCTACAAAAAGAGTGTTTCCAAAATGCCGTATCAAAACAAAGGTTCAACTCTGTTAGTTGAGAACACACATGGCAAATAAGTTTCTGAGAATGTTTCTGTCTAGTTTTTACTTGAAGATATTTCCTTTCTCACCATAGGCCTGAAAGCGCTTGAAACGTCAGCTTGCAGATACTACAGAAAGAGTGTTTCAAACATGCTCTATGAAAGGGAATGTTCAGTTCTGTGACTTGAATGCAAACATCACAAAGAAGTTCCTGAGAATGCTTCTCTCTAGATTTTATATGTAATCCCGTTTCCAACGAAATCCTCAAAGCTATCCAAATATCCACTTTCAGATTCCACAGAAAGAGTGTTTCAAAACTGCTCTGTAAAAAGAAAGGTTCATCTCTGTTAGTTGAATACACACATCACAAACAAGTTTCTGAGAATGCTTCTGTCTAGTTTTTATGGGAAGATATTTCCTTTTTCAACATAGGCCTCAAAGCGCTCCAAATGTCCACTTCCAGGTAGTGCAGAAAGAGTGTTTCAAACCTGCTCTATAAAAGGGAATATTCACCTCTGTGACTTGAATGCAAACATCACAAAGCACTTTCTGAGAATGCTTCTGTCTTGATTTTATATGAAGATATTCCCGTATCCAACGAAACCTTCAAAGCTATCCAAATATCCACTTGCAGATTCCACAAAAAGAGTGTTTCCAAAATGTTGTATCAAAAGAAAGGTTCAACTCTGTTAGTTGAGGACACACATCGCAAATAAGTTTCTGAGAATGCTTCTGTCTAGTTTTTATTTGAAGATATTTCCTTTCTCACCATAGGCCTGAAAGCGTTTGAAATGTCCGTTTGCAGATACTACAGAAAGAGTGTTTCAAACATGTTCTATGAAAGGGAATGTTCAGTTCTGTGACGTGAATGCAAACATCACAAAGAAGTTCCTGAGAATGCTTCTCTCTAGGTTTTATATGTAATCCCGTTTCCAACGAAATCCTCAAAGCTATCCAAATATCCACTTTCAGATTCCACAAAAAGAGTGTTTCAAAACTGCTCTGTAAAAAGAAAGGTTCATCTCTGTTAGTTGAATACACACATCACAAACAAGTTTCTGAGAATGCTTCTGTCTAGTTTTTATGGGAAGATATTACCTTTTTCATCATAGGCCTCAAAGCGCTGCAAATGTCCACTTCCAAATATTACAAAAAGAGTGTTTCAAACCTGCTGTATGAAGGGAAGTGTTCAACTCTATGAGTTGAATGCAAACATCACAGAGAAGTTTCTGAGAATGCTTCTGTCTAGATTTTATATGAAGATATTCCCGTTTCCAACGAAACCTTCAAAGCTATCCGAATATCCACCTGCAGATTCTACAAAAAGAGTGTTTCCAAAATGCCATATCAAAACAAAGGTTCAACTCTGTTAGTTGAGAACACACATGGCAAATAAGTTTCTGAGAATGCTTCTGTCTAGTTTTTACTTGAAGATATTTCCTTTCTCACCATAGGCCTGAAAGCGCTTGAAACGTCAGCTTGCAGATACTACAGAAAGAGTGTTTCAAACCTGCTCTATGAAAGGGAATGTTCAGTCCTGTGACTTGAAGGCAAACATCACAAAGAAGTTCCTGAGAATGCTTCTCTCTAGGTTTTATATGTAATCCCGTTTCCAACGAAATCCTCAAAGCTATCCAAATATCCACTTTCAGATTCCACAAAAAGAGTGTTTCAAAACTGCTCTGTAAAAAGAAAGGTTCATCTCTGTTAGTTGAATACACACATCACAAACAAGTTTCTGAGAATGCTTCTGTCTAGTTTTTATGGGAAGATATTACCTTTTTCATCATAGGCCTCAAAGCGCTGCAAATGTCCACTTCCAAATATTACAAAAAGAGTGTTTCAAACCTGCTGTATGAAGGGAAGTGTTCAACTCTATGAGTTGAATGCAAACATCACAGAGAAGTTTCTGAGAATGCTTCTGTCTTGATTTTATATGAAGATATTCCCGTTTCCAACCGAAACCTTCAAAGCTATCCAAATATCCACTTGCAGATTCTACAAAAAGAGTGTTTCCAAAATGCCATATCAAAACAAAGGTTCAACTCTGTTAGTTGAGAACACACATCGCAAATAAGTTTCTGAGAATGCTTCTGTCTAGTTTTTACTTGAAGATATTTCCTTTCTCACCATAGGCCTGAAAGCGCTTGAAACGTCAGCTTGCAGATACTACAGAAAGAGTGTTTCAAACCTGCTCTATGAAAGGGAATGTTGAGTTCTGTGACTTGAATGCAAACATCACAAAGAAGTTCCTGAGAATGCTTCTCTCTAGGTTTTATATGTAATCCCGTTTCCAACGAAATCCTCAAAGCTATCCAAATATCCACTTTCAGATTCCACAAAAAGAGTGTTTCAAAACTGCTCTGTAAAAAGAAAGGTTCATCTCTGTTAGTTGAATACACACATCACAAACAAGTTTCTGAGAATGCTTCTGTCTAGTTTTTATGGGAAGATATTTCCTTTTTCATCATAGGCCTCAAAGCGCTGCAAATGTCCACTTCCAGGTAGTGCAGAAAGAGTGTCTCAAACCTGGTATATAACAGGGAACATTCTACTCTGTGACTTGAATGAAAACATCACAAAGCAGTTTCTGAGAATGCTTCCGTCTAGATTTTATATGAAGATATTCCCGTTTCCAACGAAACCTTCAAAGCTATCCGAATATCCACCTGCAGATTCTACAAAAAGAGTGTTTCCAAAATGCCATATCAAAACAAAGGTTCAACTCTGTTAGTTGAGAACACACATCGCAAATAAGTTTCTGAGAATGCTTCTGTCTAGTTTTTACTTGAAGATATTTCCTTTCTCACCATAGGCCTGAAAGCGCTTGAAACGTCAGCTTGCAGATACTACAGAAAGACTGTTTCAAACCTGCTCTATGAAAGGGAATGTTCAGTTCTGTGACTTGAATGCAAACATCACAAAGAAGTTCCTGAGAATGCTTCTCTCTAGGTTTTATATGTAATCCCGTTTCCAACGAAATCCTCAAAGCTATCCAAATATCCACTTTCAGATTCCACAAAAAGAGTGTTTCAAAACTGCTCTGTAAAAAGAAAGGTTCATCTCTGTTAGTTGAATACACACATCACAAACAAGTTTCTGAGAATGCTTCTGTCTAGTTTTTATGGGAAGATATTTCCTTTTTCATCATAGGCCTCAAAGCGCTGCAAATGTCCACTTCCAGGTAGTGCAGAAAGAGTGTCTGAAACCTGGTATATAACAGGGAAGATTCTACTCTGTGACTTGAATGAAAACATCACAAAGCAGTTTCTGAGAATGCTTCCGTCTTGATTTTATATGAAGATATTCCCGTTTCCAACGAAACCTTCAAAGCTATTCAAATATCCACTTGCAGATTCTACAAAAAGAGTGTTTCCAAAATGTTGTATGAAAAGAAAGGTTCAACTCTGTTAGTTGAGGACACACATCGCAAATAAGTTTCTGAGAATGCTTCTGTCTAGTTTTTATTTGAAGATATTTCCTTTCTCACCATAGGCCTGAAAGCGTTTGAAATGTCCGTTTGCAGATACTACAGAAAGAGTGTTTCAAACATGCTCTATGAAAGGGAATGTTCAGTTCTGTGACGTGAATGCAAACATCACAAAGAAGTTCCTGAGAATGCTTCTCTCTAGATTTTATATGTAATCCCGTTTCCAACGAAATCCGCAAAGCTATCCAAATATCCACTTTCAGATTCCACAAAAAGAGTGTTTCAAAACTACTCTGTAAAAAGAAAGGTTCATCTCTGTTAGTTGAATACACACATCAGAAACAAGTTTCTGAGAATGCTTCTGTCTAGTTTTTATGGGAAGATATTTCCTTTTTCAACATAGGCCTCAAAGCGCTCCAAATGTCCACTTCCAGGTAGTGCAGAAAGAGTGTTTCAAACCTGCTCTATAAAAGGGAATATTCAACTCTGTGACTTGAATGCAAACATCACAAAGCACTTTCTGAGAATGCTTCCGTCTAGATTTTATATGAAGATATTCCCGTTTCCAACGAAACCTTCAAAGCTATCCGAATATCCACCTGCAGATTCTACAAAAAGAGTGTTTCCAAAATGCCGTATCAAAACAAAGGTTCAACTCTGTTAGTTGAGAACACACATGGCAAATAAGTTTCTGAGAATGCTTCTGTCTAGTTTTTATTTGAAGATATTTCCTTTCTCACCACAGGCCTGAAAGCGCTTAAAACGTCCGCTTGCAGATACTACAGAAAGAGTGTTTCAAACCTGCTCTATGAAAGGGAATGTTCAGTTCTGTGACTTGAATGCAAACATCACAAAGAAGTTCCTGAGAATGCTTCTGTCTAGATTTTATATGAAGATATCCCGTGTCCAACGAAATCCTCAAAGGTATCAAAATATCCACTTGCAGATTCTACAAAAAGAGTGCTTCAAAACTGCTCTGTCAAAAGGAAGGTTCAACTCTGTTACTTGAGTACACACATCACAAGGAAGTTTCTGAGAATGCTTCTGTCTAGTTTTTATGGGAAGATATTTCCTTTTTCAACATAGGCCTCAAAGCGCTCCAAATGTCCACTTCCAGGTAGTGCAGAAAGAGTGTTTCAAACCTGCTCTATAAAAGGGAATATTCAACTCTGTGACTTGAATGCAAACATCACAAAGCACTTTCTGAGAATGCTTCCGTCTAGATTTTATATGAAGATATTCCCGTTTCCAACGAAACCTTCAAAGCTATCCGAATATCCACCTGCAGATTCTACAAAAAGAGTGTTTCCAAAATGCCGTATCAAAACAAAGGTTCAACTCTGTTAGTTGAGAACACACATGGCAAATAAGTTTCTGAGAATGCTTCTGTCTAGTTTTTACTTGAAGATATTTCCTTTCTCACCATAGGCCTGAAAGCGCATGAAACGTCAGCTTGCAGATACTACAGAAAGAGTGTTTCAAACCTGCTCTATGAAAGGGAATGTTCAGTCCTGTGACTTGAAGGCAAACATCACAAAGAAGTTCCTGAGAATGCTTCTCCCTAGATTTTATATGTAATCCCGTTTCCAACGAAATCCGCAAAGCTATCCAAATATCCACTTTCAGATTCCACAAAAAGAGTGTTTCAAAACTGCTCTGTAAAAAGAAAGGTTCATCTCTGTTAGTTGAATACACACATCACAAACAAGTTTCTGAGAATGCTTCTGTCTAGTTTTTATGGGAAGATATTTCCTTTTTCAACATAGGCCTCAAAGCGCTCCAAACGTCCACTTCCGGGTAGTGCAGAAAGAGTGTCTCAAACCTGGTATATAACAGGGAACATTCTACTCTGTGACTTGAATGAAAACATCACAAAGCAGTTTCTGAGAATGCTTCTGTCTTGATTTTATATGAAGATATTCCCGTTTCCAACGAAACCTTCAAAGCTATTCAAATATCCACTTGCAGATTCTACAAAAAGAGTGTTTCCAAAATGTTGTATCAAAAGAAAGGTTCAACTCTGTTAGTTGAGGACACACATCGCAAATAAGTTTCTGAGAATGCTTCTGTCTAGTTTTTACTTGAAGATATTTCCTTTCTCACCATAGGCCTGAAAGCGCTTGAAACGTCAGCTTGCAGATACTACAGAAAGAGTGTTTCAAACCTGCTCTATGAAAGGGAATGTTCAGTCCTGTGACTTCAAGGCAAACATCACAAAGAAGTTCCTGAGAATGCTTCTCTCTAGGTTTTATATGTAATCCCGTTTCCAACGAAATCCTCAAAGCTATCCAAATATCCACTTTCAGATTCCACAAAAAGAGTGTTTCAAAACTGCTCTGTAAAAAGAAAGGTTCATCTCTGTTAGTTGAATACACACATCACAAACAAGTTTCTGAGAATGCTTCTGTCTAGTTTTTATGGGAAGATATTTCCTTTTTCAACATAGGCCTCAAAGCGCTCCAAATGTCCACTTCCAGGTAGTGCAGAAAGAGTGTTTCAAACCTGCTCTATAAAAGGGAATATTCAACTCTGTGACTTGAATGCAAACATCACAAAGCACTTTCTGAGAATGCTTCCGTCTAGATTTTATATGAAGATATTCCCGTTTCCAACGAAACCTTCAAAGCTATCCGAATATCCACCTGCAGATTCTACAAAAAGAGTGTTTCCAAAATGCCATATCAAAACAAAGGTTCAACTCTGTTAGTTGAGAACACACATCGCAAATAAGTTTCTGAGAATGCTTCTGTCTAGTTTTTACTTGAAGATATTTCCTTTCTCACCATAGGCCTGAAAGCGCTTGAAACGTCAGCTTGCAGATACTACAGAAAGAGTGTTTCAAACCTGCTCTATGAAAGGGAATGTTCAGTTCTGTGACTTGAATGCAAACATCACAAAGAAGTTCCTGAGAATGCTTCTCTCTAGGTTTTATATGTAATCCCGTTTCCAACGAAATCCTCAAAGCTATCCAAATATCCACTTTCAGATTCCACAAAAAGAGTGTTTCAAAACTGCTCTGTAAAAAGAAAGGTTCATCTCTGTTAGTTGAATACACACATCACAAACAAGTTTCTGAGAATGCTTCTGTCTAGTTTTTATGGGAAGATATTTCCTTTTTCAACATAGGCCTCAAAGCGCTCCAAATGTCCACTTCCAGGTAGTGCAGAAAGAGTGTTTCAAACCTGCTCTATAAAAGGGAATATTCAACTCTGTGACTTGAATGCAAACATCACAAAGCACTTTCTGAGAATGCTTCTGTCTTGATTTTATATGAAGATATTCCCGTTTCCAACGAAACCTTCAAAGCTATCCAAATATCCACTTGCAGATTCTACAAAAAGAGTGTTTCCAAAATGTTGTATCAAAACAAAGGTTCAACTCTGTTAGTTGAGGACACACATCGCAAATAAGTTTCTGAGAATGCTTCTGTCTAGTTTTTATTTGAAGATATTTCCTTTCTCACCACAGGCCTGAAAGCGCTTAAAACGTCCGCTTGCAGATACTACAGAAAGAGTGTTTCAAACATGCTCTATGAAAGGGAATGTTCAGTTCTGTGACTTGAATGCAAACATCACAAAGAAGTTCCTGAGAATGCTTCTCTCTAGATTTTATATGTAATCCCGTTTCCAACGAAATCCTCAAAGCTATCCAAATATCCACTTTCAGATTCCACAAAAAGAGTGTTTCAAAACTGCTTTGTAAAAAGAAAGGTTCATCTCTGTTAGTTGAATACACACATCACAAACAAGTTTCTGAGAATGCTTCTGTCTAGTTTTTATGGGAAGATATTTCCTTTTTCAACATAGGCCTCAAAGCGCTCCAAACGTCCACTTCCAGGTAGTGCAGAAAGAGTGTCTCAAACCTGGTATATAACAGGGAACATTCTACTCTGTGACTTCAATGAAAACATCACAAAGCAGTTTCTGAGAATGCTTCTGTCTTGATTTTATATGAAGATATTCCGGTTTCCAACGAAACCTTCAAAGCTATCCAAATATCCACTTGCAGATCCTACAAAAAGAGTGTTTCCAAAACGTTGTATCCAAACAAAGGTTCAACTCTTTTAGTTGAGAACACACATCGCAAATAAGTTTCTGAGAATGCTTCCTGTCTAGTTTTTATTTGAAGATATTTCCTTTCTTACCATAGTCCTGAAAGCGCTTGAAATGTCCGTTTGCAGATACTACAGAAAGAGTGTTTCAAACATGCTCTATGAAAGGGAATGTTCAGTTCTGTGACTTGAATGCAAACATCACAAAGAAGTTCCTGAGAATGCTTCTCTCTAGGTTTTATATGTAATCCCGTTTCCAACGAAATCCTCAAAGCTATCCAAATATCCACTTTCAGATTCCACAAAAAGAGTGTTTCAAAACTGCTCTGGAAAAAGAAAGGTTCATCTCTGTTAGTTGAATACACACATCACAAACAAGTTTCTGAGAATGCTTCTGTCTAGTTTTTATGGGAAGATATTTCCTTTTTCATCATAGGCCTCAAAGCGCTGCAAATGTCCACTTCCAAATAATACAAAAAGAGTGTTTCACACCTGCTGTATGAAGGGAAGTGTTCAACTCTATGAGTTGAATGCAAACATCACAGAGAAGTTTCTGAGAATGCTTCCGTCTAGATTTTATATGAAGATATTCCCGTTTCCAACGAAACCTTCAAAGCTATCCGAATATCCACCTGCAGATTCTACAAAAAGAGTGTTTCCAAAATGCCGTATCAAAACAAAGGTTCAACTCTGTTAGTTGAGAACACACATGGCAAATAAGTTTCTGAGAATGCTTCTGTCTAGTTTTTACTTGAAGATATTTCCTTTCTCACCATAGGCCTGAAAGCGCTTGAAACGTCAGCTTGCAGATACTACAGAAAGAGTGTTTCAAACCTGCTCTATGAAAGGGAATGTTCAGTCCTGTGACTTGAAGGCAAACATCACAAAGAAGTTCCTGAGAATGCTTCTCTCTAGGTTTTATATGTAATCCCGTTTCCAACGAAATCCTCAAAGCTATCCAAATATCCACTTTCAGATTCCACAAAAAGAGTGTTTCAAAACTGCTCTGTAAAAAGAAAGGTTCATCTCTGTTAGTTGAATACACACATCACAAACAAGTTTCTGAGAATGCTTCTGTCTAGTTTTTATGGGAAGATATTTCCTTTTTCATCATAGGCCTCAAAGCGCTGCAAATGTCCACTTCCAGGTAGTGCAGAAAGAGTGTCTGAAACCTGGTATATAACAGGGAAGATTCTACTCTGTGACTTGAATGAAAACATCACAAAGCAGTTTCTGAGAATGCTTCTGTCTTGATTTTATATGAAGATATTCCCGTTTCCAACGAAACCTTCAAAGCTATCCGAATATCCACCTGCAGATTCTACAAAAAGAGTGTTTCCAAAATGCTGTATCAAAACAAAGGTTCAACTCTGTTAGTTGAGAACACACATGGCAAATATGTTTCTGAGAATGCTTCTGTCTAGTTTTTAGTTGAAGATATTTCCTTTCTCACCATAGGCCTGAAAGCTCTTGAAACGTCAGCTTGCAGATACTACAGAAAGAGTGTTTCAAACCTGCTCTATGAAAGGGAATGTTCAGTTCTGTGACTTGAATGCAAACATCACAAAGAAGTTCCTGAGAATGCTTCTCTCTAGGTTTTATATGTAATCCCGTTTCCAACGAAATCCTCAAAGCTATCCAAATATCCACTTTCAGATTCCACAAAAAGAGTGTTTCAAAACTGCTCTGTAAAAAGAAAGGTTCATCTCTGTTAGTTGAATACACACATCACAAACAAGTTTCTGAGAATGCTTCTGTCTAGTTTTTATGGGAAGATATTTCCTTTTTCATCATAGGCCTCAAAGCGCTGCAAATGTCCACTTCCAGGTAGTGCAGAAAGAGTGTCTGAAACCTGGTATATAACAGGGAAGATTCTACTCTGTGACTTGAATGAAAACATCACAAAGCAGTTTCTGAGAATGCTTCCGTCTAGATTTTATATGAAGATATTCCCGTTTCCAACGAAACCTTCAAAGCTATCCGAATATCCACCTGCAGATTCTACAAAAAGAGTGTTTCCAAAATGCCGTATCAAAACAAAGGTTCAACTCTGTTAGTTGAGAACACACATGGCAAATAAGTTTCTGAGAATGCTTCTGTCTAGTTTTTACTTGAAGATATTTCCTTTCTCACCATAGGCCTGAAAGCGCTTGAAACGTCCGCTTGCAGATACTACAGAAAGAGTGTTTCAAACCTGCTCTATGAAAGGGAATGTTCTGTTCTGTGACTTGAATGCAAACATCACAAAGAAGTTCCTGAGAATGCTTCTCTCTAGATTTTATATGTAATCCCGTTTCCAACGAAATCCTCAAAGCTATCCAAATATCCACTTTCAGATTCCACAAAAAGAGTGTTTCAAAACTGCTCTGTAAAAAGAAAGGTTCATCTCTGTTAGTTGAATACACACATCACAAACAAGTTTCTGAGAATGCTTCTGTCTAGTTTTTATGGGAAGATATTTCCTTTTTCAACATAGGCCTCAAAGCGCTCCAAATGTCCACTTCCAGGTAGTGCAGAAAGAGTGTTTCAAACCTGCTCTATAAAAGGGAATATTCAACTCTGTGAATTGAATGCAAACATCACAAAGCACTTTCTGAGAATGCTTCCGTCTAGATTTTATATGAAGATATTCCCGTTTCCAAGGAAATCTTCCTAGCTATCTAAATATCAACTTGCAGATTCTACTAAAGGAATGTTTCCAAAATGCTGTATCCACACTAAGGTTCCACTCTGTTAATTGAGGAGATACAGCACAAAGAAGTTTCTGAGAATGCTTCTGTCTGGTTTTTAGGGGAAGATATCTCCTTTTTCACCATAGGCTTCAAAGCACTGCCAATGTCCACTTCCAAATATTACAAAAAGAGTATTTCAAACCAGCTCTATGAAAGGAAGTGTTCAACTCTATGAGTTGAATGCAAACATCACAGAGAAGTTTCTGAGAATGCTTCTCTCTAGGTTTTATATGTAATCCCGTTTCCAACGAAATCCTCAAAGCTATCCAAATATCCACTTTCAGATTCCACAAAAAGAGTGTTTCAAAACTGCTCTGTAAAAAGAAAGGTTCATCTCTGTTAGTTGAATACACACATCACAAACAAGTTTCTGAGAATGCTTCTGTCTAGTTTTTATGGGAAGATATTTCCTTTTTCAACATAGGCCTCAAAGCGCTCCAAATGTCCACTTCCAGGTAGTGCAGAAAGAGTGTTTCAAACCTGCTCTATAAAAGGGAATATTCAACTCTGTGACTTGAATGCAAACATCACAAAGCACTTTCTGAGAATGCTTCCGTCTAGATTTTATATGAAGATATTCCCGTTTCCAACGAAACCTTCAAAGCTATCCGAATATCCACCTGCAGATTCTACAAAAAGAGTGTTTCCAAAATGCCATATCAAAACAAAGGTTCAACTCTGTTAGTTGAGAACACACATCGCAAATAAGTTTCTGAGAATGCTTCTGTCTAGTTTTTACTTGAAGATATTTCCTTTCTCACCATAGGCCTGAAAGCGCTTGAAACGTCAGCTTGCAGATACTACAGAAAGACTGTTTCAAACCTGCTCTATGAAAGGGAATGTTCAGTTCTGTGACTTGAATGCAAACATCACAAAGAAGTTCCTGAGAATGCTTCTCTCTAGATTTTATATGTAATCCCGTTTCCAACGAAATCCTCAAAGCTATCCAAATATCCACTTTCAGATTCCACAAAAAGAGTGTTTCAAAACTGCTCTGTAAAAAGAAAGGTTCATCTCTGTTAGTTGAATACACACATCACAAACAAGTTTCTGAGAATGCTTCTGTCTAGTTTTTATGGGAAGATATTTCCTTCTTCATCATAGGCCTCAAAGCGCTCCAAATGTCCACTTCCAGGTAGTGCAGAAAGAGTGTCTCAAACCTGGTATATAACGGGGAACATTCTACTCTGTGACTTGAATGAAAACATCACAAAGCAGTTTCTGAGAATGCTTCCGTCTAGATTTTATATGAAGATATTCCCGTTTCCAACGAAACCTTCAAAGCTATCCGAATATCCACCTGCAGATTCTACAAAAAGAGTGTTTCCAAAATGCCATATCAAAACAAAGGTTCAACTCTGTTAGTTGAGAACACACATGGCAAATAAGTTTCTGAGAATGCTTTCTGTCTAGTTTTTACTTGAAGATATTTCCTTTCTCACCATAGGCCTGAAAGCGCTTGAAACGTCAGCTTGCAGATACTACAGAAAGAGTGTTACAAACATGCTCTATGAAAGGGAATGTTCAGTTCTGTGACTTGAATGCAAACATCACAAAGAAGTTCCTGAGAATGCTTCTCCCTAGATTTTATATGTAATCCCGTTTCCAACGAAATCCGCAAAGCTATCCAAATATCCACTTTCAGATTCCACAAAAAGAGTGTTTCAAAACTGCTCTGTAAAAAGAAAGGTTCATCTCTGTTAGTTGAATACACACATCACAAACAAGTTTCTGAGAATGCTTCTGTCTAGTTTTTATGGGAAGATATTTCCTTTTTCAACATAGGCCTCAAAGCGCTCCAAACGTCCACTTCCAGGTAGTGCAGAAAGAGTGTCTCAAACCTGGTATATAACAGGGAACATTCTACTCTGTGACTTGAATGAAAACATCACAAAGCAGTTTCTGAGAATGCTTCCGTCTAGATTTTATATGAAGATATTCCCGTTTCCAACGAAACCTTCAAAGCTATCCGAATATCCACCTGCAGATTCTACAAAAAGAGTGTTTCCAAAATGCCGTATCAAAACAAAGGTTCAACTCTGTTAGTTGAGAACACACATGGCAAATAAGTTTCTGAGAATGCTTCTGTCTAGTTTTTATTTGAAGATATTTCCTTTCTCACCACAGGCCTGAAAGCGCTTAAAACGTCCGCTTGCAGATACTACAGAAAGAGTGTTTCAAACCTGCTCTATGAAAGGGAATGTTCAGTTCTGTGACTTGAATGCAAACATCACAAAGAAGTTCCTGAGAATGCTTCTCTCTAGATTTTATATGTAATCCCGTTTCCAACGAAATCCTCAAAGCTATCCAAATATCCACTTTCAGATTCCACAAAAAGAGTGTTTCAAAACTGCTCTGTAAAAAGAAAGGTTCATCTCTGTTAGTTGAATACACACATCACAAACAAGTTTCTGAGAATGCTTCTGTCTAGTTTTTATGGGAAGATATTTCGTTTTTCAACATAGGCCTCAAAGCGCTCCAAATGTCCACTTCCAGGTAGTGCAGAAAGAGTGTTTCAAACCTGCTGTATAAAAGGGAATATTCAACTCTGTGACTTGAATGCAAACATCACAAAGCACTTTCTGAGAATGCTTCCGTCTAGATTTTATATGAAGATATTCCCGTTTCCAACGAAACCTTCAAAGCTATCCGAATATCCACCTGCAGATTCTACAAAAAGAGTGTTTCCAAAATGCCGTATCAAAACAAAGGTTCAACTCTGTTAGTTGAGAACACACATGGCAAATAAGTTTCTGAGAATGCTTCTGTCTAGTTTTTATTTGAAGATATTTCCTTTCTCACCATAGGCCTGAAAGCGCTTGAAACGTCCGCTTGCAGATACTACAGAAAGAGTGTTTCAAACCTGCTCTATGAAACGGAATGTTCAGTTCTGTGACTTGAATGCAAACATCACAAAGAAGTTCCTGAGAATGCTTCTCCCTAGATTTTTTATGTAATCCCGTTTCCAACGAAATCCTCAAAGCTATCCAAATATCCACTTTCAGATTCCACAAAAAGAGTGTTTCAAAACTGCTCTGTAAAAAGAAAGGTTCATCTCTGTTAGTTGAATACACACATCACAAACAAGTTTCTGAGAATGCTTCTGTCTAGTTTTTATGGGAAGATATTTCCTTTTTCAACATAGGCCTCAAAGCGCTCCAAACGTCCACTTCCAGGTAGTGCAGAAAGAGTGTCTCAAACCTGGTATATAACAGCGAACATTCTACTCTGTGACTTGAATGAAAACATCACAAAGCAGTTTCTGAGAATGCTTCCGTCTAGATTTTATATGAAGGTATTCCCGTTTCCAACGAAACCTTCAAAGCTATCCGAATATCCACCTGCAGATTCTACAAAAAGAGTGTTTCCAAAATGCCGTATCAAAACAAAGGTTCAACTCTGTTAGTTGAGAACACACATGGCAAATAAGTTTCTGAGAATGCTTCTGTCTAGTTTTTATTTGAAGATATTTCCTTTCTCACCACAGGCCTGAAAGCGCTTAAAACGTCCGCTTGCAGATACTACAGAAAGAGTGTTTCAAACCTGCTCTATGAAAGGGAATGTTCAGTTCTGTGACTTGAATGCAAACATCACAAAGAAGTTCCTGAGAATGCTTCTCTCTAGATTTTATATGTAATCCCGTTTCCAACGAAATCCTCAAAGCTATCCAAATATCCACTTTCAGATTCCACAAAAAGAGTGTTTCAAAACTGCTCTGTAAAAAGAAAGGTTCATCTCTGTTAGTTGAATACACACATCACAAACAAGTTTCTGAGAATGCTTCTGTCTAGTTTTTATGGGAAGATATTTCCTTTTTCATCATAGGCCTCAAAGCGCTCCAAATGTCCACTTCCAGATAGTGCAGAAAGAGTGTCTCAAACCTGGAATATAAAAGAGAACATTGTACTCTGTGACTTGAATGAAAACATCACAAAGCTGTTTCTGAGAATGCTTCCGTCTAGATTTTATATGAAGATATTCCCGTTTCCAACGAAACCTTCAATGCTATCCGAATATCCACCTGCAGATTCTACAAAAAGAGTGTTTCCAAAATGCCGTATCAAAACAAAGGTTCAACTCTGTTAGTTGAGAACACACATGGCAAATAAGTTTCTGAGAATGCTTCTGTCTAGTTTTTACTTGAAGATATTTCCTTTCTCACCATAGGCCTGAAAGCGCTTGAAACGTCAGCTTGCAGATACTACAGAAAGAGTGTTTCAAACCTGCTCTATGAAAGGGAATGTTCAGTCCTGTGACTTGAAGGCAAACATCACAAAGAAGTTCCTGAGAGTGCTTCTCTCTAGGTTTTATATGTAATCCCGTTTCCAACGAAATCCTCAAAGCTATCCAAATATCCACTTTCAGATTCCACAAAAAGAGTGTTTCAAAACTGCTCTGTAAAAAGAAAGGTTCATCTCTGTTAGTTGAATACACACATCACAAACAAGTTTCTGAGAATGCTTCTGTCTAGTTTTTATGGGAAGATATTTCCTTTTTCAACATAGGCCTCAAAGCGCTCCAAATGTCCACTTCCAGATAGTGCAGAAAGAGTGTTTCAAACCTGCTCTATAAAAGGGAATATTCAACTCTGTGACTTGAATGCAAACATCACAAAGCACTTTCTGAGAATGCTTCCGTCTAGATTTTATATGAAGATATTCCCGTTTCCAACGAAACCTTCAAAGCTATCCGAATATCCACCTGCAGATTCTACAAAAAGAGTGTTTCCAAAATGCCGTATCCAAACAAAGGTTCAACTCTGTTAGTTGAGAACACACATCGCAAATAAGTTTCTGAGAATGCTTCTGTCTGGTTTTTAGGAGAAGATATCTCCTTTTTCACCATAGGCTTCAAAGCGCTGCCAATGTCCACTTCCAAATATTATAAAAAGAGTATTTCAAACCAGCTCTATGAAAGGAAGTGTTCAACTCTATGAGTTGAATGCAAACATCACAGAGAAGTTTCTGAGAATGCTTCTGTCTTGATTTTATATGAAGATATTCCCGTTTCCAAAGAAACCTTCAAAGCTATCCAAATATCCACCTGCAGATCCTACAAAAAGAGTGTTTCCAAAATGCTGTATCAAAACAAATGTTCAACTCTGTTAGCTGAGAACACACATCGCAAATAAGTTTCTGAGAATGCTTCTGTCTAGTTTTTATGGGAAGATATTTCCTTTTTCATCATAGGCCTCAAAGCGCTCCAAATGTCCACTTCCAGATAGTGCAGAAAGAGTGTCTCAAACCTGGTATATAAAAGGGAACATTCTACTCTGTGACTTGAATGAAAACATCACAAAGCAGTTTCTGAGAATGCTTCCGTCTAGATTTTATATGAAGATATTCCCGTTTCCAACGAAACCTTCAAAGCTATCCGAATATCCACCTGCAGATTCTACAAAAAGAGTGTTTCCAAAATGCCATATCAAAACAAAGGTTCAACTCTGTTAGTTGAGAACACACATCGCAAATAAGTTTCTGAGAATGCTTCTGTCTAGTTTTTACTTGCAGAAATTTCCTTTCTCACCATAGGCCTGAAAGCGCTTGAAACGTCAGCTTGCAGATACTACAGAAAGAGTGTTTCAAACCTGCTCTATGAAAGGGAATGTTCAGTTCTGTGACTTGAATGCAAACATCGCAAAGAAGTTCCTGAGAATGCTTCTCTCTAGGTTTTATATGTAATCCCGTTTCCAACGAAATCCTCAAAGCTATCCAAATATCCACTTTCAGATTCCACAAAAAGAGTGTTTCAAAACTGCTCTGTAAAAAGAAAGGTTCATCTCTGTTAGTTGAATACACACATCACAAACAAGTTTCTGAGAATGCTTCTGTCTAGTTTTTATGGGAAGATATTTCCTTTTTCATCATAGGCCTCAAAGCGCTCCAAATGTCCACTTCCAGGTAGTGCAGAAAGAGTGTCTCAAACCTGGTATATAACAGGGAATATTCTACTCTCTGACTTGAATGAAAACATCACAAAGCAGTTTCTGAGAATGCTTCCGTCTAGATTTTATATGAAGATATTCCCGTTTCCAACGAAACCTTCAAAGCTATCCGAATATCCACCTGCAGATTCTACAAAAAGAGTGTTTCCAAAATGCCGTATCAAAACAAAGGTTCAACTCTGTTAGTTGAGAACACACATGGCAAATAAGTTTCTGACAATGCTTCTGTCTAGTTTTTACTTGAAGATATTTCCTTTCTCACCATAGGCCTGAAAGCGCATGAAACGTCAGCTTGCAGATACTACCGAAAGAGTGTTTCAAACCTGCTCTATGAAACGGAATGTTCAGTCCTGTGACTTGAAGGAAAACATCACAAAGAAGTTCCTGAGAATGCTTCTCTCTAGGTTTTATATGTAATCCCGTTTCCAACGAAATCCTCAAAGCTATCCAAATATCCACTTTCAGATTCCACAAAAAGAGTGTTTCAAAACTGCTCTGTAAAAAGAAAGGTTCATCTCTGTTAGTTGAATACACACATCACAAACAAGTTTCTGAGAATGCTTCTGTCTAGTTTTTATGGGAAGATATTTCCTTTTTCAACATAGGCCTCAAAGCGTTCCAAATGTCCACTTCCAGGTAGTGCAGAAAGAGTGTTTCAGACCTGCTCTATAAAAGGGAATATTCAACTCTGTGACTTGAATGCAAACATCACAAAGCACTTTCTGAGAATGCTTCCGTCTAGATTTTATATGAAGATATTCCCGTTTCCAAGGAAATCTTCCTAGCTATCTAAATATCAACTTGCAGATTCTACTAAAGGAATGTTTCCAAAATGCTGTATCCACACAAAGGTTCAACTCTGTTAATTGAGGACATACAGCACAAAGAAGTTTCTGAGAATGCTTCTGTCTAGTTTTTACTTGAAGATATTTCCTTTCTCACCATAGGCCTGAAAGCGCTTGAAACGTCCGCTTGCAGATACTACAGAAAGAGTGTTTCAAACATGCTCTATGAAAGGGAATGTTCAGTTCTGTGACTTGAATGCAAACATCACAAAGAAGTTCCTGAGAATGCTTCTCTCTAGATTTTATATGTAATCCCGTTTCCAACGAAATCCTCAAAGCTATCCAAATATCCACTTTCAGATTCCACAAAAAGAGTGTTTCAAAACTGCTCTGTAAAAAGAAAGGTTCATCTCTGTTAGTTGAATACACACATCACAAACAAATTTCTGAGAATGCTTCTGTCTAGTTTTTATGGGAAGATATTTCCTTTTTCAACATAGGCCTCAAAGCGCTCCAAATGTCCACTTCCAGGTAGTGCAGAAAGAGTGTTTCAAACCTGCTCTATAAAAGGGAATATTCAACTCTGTGACTTGAATGCAAACATCACAAAGCACTTTCTGAGAATGCTTCCGTCTAGATTTTATATGAAGATATTCCCGTTTCCAACGAAACCTTCAAAGCTATCCGAATATCCACCTGCAGATTCTATAAAAAGAGTGTTTCCAAAATGCCGTATCAAAACAAAGGTTCAACTCTGTTAGTTGAGAACACACTTCGCAAATAAGTTTCTGAGAATGCTTCTGTCTAGTTTTTACTTGAAGATATTTCCTTTCTCACCATAGGCCTGAAAGCGCTTGAAACGTCAGCTTGCAGATACTACAGAAAGAGTGTTTCAAACGTGCTCTATGAAAGGGAATGTTCTGTCCTGTGACTTGAATGCAAACATCACAAAGAAGTTCCTGAGAATGCTTCTCTCTAGGTTTTATATGTAATCCCGTTTCCAACGAAATCCTCAAAGCTATCCAAATATCCACTTTCAGATTCCACAAAAAGAGTGTTTCAAAACTGCTCTGTAAAAAGAAAGGTTCATCTCTGTTAGTTGAATACACACATCACAAACAAGTTTCTGAGAATGCTTCTGTCTAGTTTTTATGGGAAGTATATTTCCTTTTTCAACATAGGTCTCAAAGCGCTCCAAATGTCCACTTCCAGGTAGTGCAGAAAGAGTGTTTCAAACCTGCTCTATAAAAGGGAACATTCTACTCTGTGACTTGAATGAAGACATCACAAAGCACTTTCTGAGAATGCTTCTGTCTTGATTTCATATGAAGATATTCCCGTTTCCAACGAAACCTTCAAAGCTATCCAAATATCCACTTGCAGATTCTACAAAAAGAGTGTTTCCAAAATGTTGTATCAAAAGAAAGGTTCAACTCTGTTAGTTGAGGACACACATCGCAAATAAGTTTCTGAGAATGCTTCTGTCTAGTTTTTATTTGAAGATATTTCCTTTCTCACCACAGGCCTGAAAGCGCTTAAAACGTCCGCTTGCAGATACTACAGAAAGAGTGTTTCAAACCTGCTCTATGAAAGGGAATGTTCAGTTCTGTGACTTGAATGCAAACATCACAAAGAAGTTCCTGAGAATGCTTCTCTCTAGATTTTATATGTAATCCCGTTTCCAACGAAATCCTCAAAGCTATCCAAATATCCACTTTCAGATTCCACAAAAAGAGTGTTTCAAAACTGCTCTGTAAAAAGAAAGGTTCATCTCTGTTAGTTGAATACACACATCACAAACAAGTTTCTGAGAATGCTTCTGTCTAGTTTTTATGGGAAGATATTTCCTTTTTCAGCATAGGCCTCAAAGCGCTCCAAATGTCCACTTCCAGGTAGTGCAGAAAGAGGGTCTCAAACCTGGTATATAACAGGGAACATTCTACTCTGTGACTTGAATGAAAACATCACAAAGCAGTTTCTGAGAATGCTTCCGTCTAGATTTTATATGAAGATATTCCCGTTTCCAACGAAACCTTTAAAGCTATCCGAATATCCACCTGCAGATTCTACAAAAAGAGTGTTTCCAAAATGCCGTATGAAAACAAAGCTTCAACTCTGTTAGTTGAGAACACACATGGCAAATAAGTTTCTGAGAATGCTTCTGTCTAGTTTTTACTTGAAGATATTTCCTTTCTCACCATAGGCCTGAAAGCGCTTGAAACGTCAGCTTGCAGATACTACAGAAAGAGTGTTTCAAACCTGCTCTATGAAAGGGAATGTTCAGTTCTGTGACTTGAATGCAAACATCACAAAGAAGTTCCTGAGAATGCTTCTCTCTAGGTTTTATATGTAATCCCGTTTCCAACGAAATCCTCAAAGCTATCCAAATATCCACTTTCAGATTCCACAAAAAGAGTGTTTCAAAACTGCTCTGTAAAAAGAAAGGTTCATCTATGTTAGTTGAATACACACATCACAAACAAGTTTCTGAGAATGCTTCTGTCTAGTTTTTATGGGAAGATATTTCCTTTTTCAACATAGGCCTCAAAGCGCTCCAAATGTCCACTTCCAGGTAGTGCAGAAAGAGTGTTTCAAACCTGCTCTATAAAAGGGAATATTCAACTCTGTGACTTGAATGCAAACATCACAAAGCACTTTCTGAGAATGCTTCCGTCTAGATTTTATATGAAGATATTCCCGTTTCCAAGGAAATCTTCCTAGCTATCTAAATATCAACTTGCAGATTCTACTAAAGGAATGTTTCCAAAATGCTGTATCCACACAAAGGTTCAACTCTGTTAATTGAGGACATACAGCACAAAGAAGTTTCTGAGAATGCTTCTGTCTGGTTTTTAGGAGAAGATATCTCCTTTTTCACCACAGGCTTTAAAGCGCTGCCAATGTTCACTTCCAAATATTACAAAAAGAGTATTTCAAACCAGCTCTATGAAAGGAAGTGTTCAACTCTATGAGTTCAATGCAAACATCACAGAGAAGTTTCTGAGAAGGCTTCTCTCTAGATTTTATATGTAATCCCGTTTCCAACGAAATCCTCAAAGCTATCCAAATATCCACTTTCAGATTCCACAAAAAGAGTGTTTCAAAACTGCTCTGTAAAAAGAAAGGTTCATCTCTGTTAGTTGAATACACACATCACAAACAAGTTTCTGAGAATGCTTCTGTCTAGTTTTTATGGGAAGATATTTCCTTTTTCATCATAGGCCTCAAAGCGCTGCAAATGTCCACTTCCAAATATTACAAAAAGAGTGTTTCAAACCTGCTGTATGAAGGGAAGTGTTCAACTCTATGAGTTGAATGCAAACATCACAGAGAAGTTTCTGAGAATGCTTCCGTCTAGATTTTATATGAAGATATTCCCGTTTCCAACGAAACCTTCAAAGCTATCCGAATATCCACCTGCAGATTCTACAAAAAGAGTGTTTCCAAAATGCCGTATCAAAACAAAGGTTCAACTCTGTTAGTTGAGAACACACATGGCAAATAAGTTTCTGAGAATGCTTCTGTCTAGTTTTTATTTGAAGATATTTCCTTTCTCACCATAGGCCTGAAAGCGTTTGAAATGTCCGTTTGCAGATACTACAGAAAGAGTGTTTCAAACATGCTCTATGAAAGGGAATGTTCAGTTCTGTGACGTGAATGCAAACATCACAAAGAAGTTCCTGAGAATGCTTCTCTCTAGATTTTATATGTAATCCCGTTTCCAACGAAATCCTCAAAGCTATCCAAATATCCACTTTCAGATTCCACAAAAAGAGTGTTTCAAAACTGCTCTGTAAAAAGAAAGGTTCATCTCTGTTAGTTGAATACACACATCACAAACAAGTTTCTGAGAATGCTTCTGTCTAGTTTTTATGGGAAGATATTTCCTTTTTCAACATAGGCCTCAAAGCGCTCCAAACGTCCACTTCCAGGTAGTGCAGAAAGAGTGTCTCAAACCTGGTATATAACAGGGAACATTCTACTCTGTGACTTGAATGCAAACATCACAAAGCAGTTTCTGAGAATGCTTCCGTCTAGATTTTATATGAAGATATTCCCGTTTCCAACGAAACCTTCAAAGCTATCCGAATATCCACCTGCAGATTCTACAAAAAGAGTGTTTCCAAAATGCCGTATCAAAACAAAGGTTCAACTCTGTTAGTTGAGAACACACATGGCAAATAAGTTTCTGAGAATGCTTCTGTCTAGTTTTTACTTGAAGATATTTCCTTTCTCACCATAGGCCTGAAAGCGCTTGAAACGTCAGCTTGCAGATACTACAGAAAGAGTGTTTCAAACCTGCTCTATGAAAGGGAATGTTCAGTCCTGTGACTTGAAGGCAAACATCAAAAAGAAGTTCCTGAGAATGCTTCTCTCTAGATTTTATATGTAATCCCGTTTCCAACGAAATCCTCAAAGCTATCCAAATATCCACTTTCAGATTCCACAAAAAGAGTGTTTCAAAACTGCTCTGTAAAAAGAAAGGTTCATCTCTGTTAGTTGAATACACACATCACAAACAAGTTTCTGAGAATGCTTCTGTCTAGTTTTTATGGGAAGATATTTCCTTTTTCAACATAGGCCTCAAAGCGCTCCAAATGTCCACTTCCAGGTAGTGCAGAAAGAGTGTTTCAAACCTGCTCTATAAAAGGGAATATTCAACTCTGTGACTTGAATGCAAACATCACAAAGCACTTTCTGAGAATGCTTCCGTCTAGATTTTATATGAAGATATTCCCGTTTCCAACGAAACCTTCAAAGCTATCCGAATATCCACCTGCAGATTCTACAAAAAGAGTGTTTCCAAAATGCCATATCAAAACAAAGGTTCAACTCTGTTAGTTGAGAACACACATCGCAAATAAGTTTCTGAGAATGCTTCTGTCTAGTTTTTACTTGAAGATATTTCCTTTCTCACCATAGGCCTGAAAGCGCTTGAAACGTCAGCTTGCAGATACTACAGAAAGAGTGTTTCAAACCTGCTCTATGAAAGGGAATGTTCAGTCCTGTGACTTGAAGGCAAACATCACAAAGAAGTTCCTGAGAATGCTTCTCCCTAGATTTTATATGTAATCCCGTTTCCAACGAAATCCTCAAAGCTATCCAAATATCCACTTTCAGATTCCACAAAAAGAGTGTTTCAAAACTGCTCTGTAAAAAGAGAGGTTCATCTCTGTTAGTTGAATACACACATCACAAACAAGTTTCTGAGAATGCTTCTGTCTAGTTTTTATGGGATGATATTTCCTTTTTCAACATAGGCCTCAAAGCGCTCCAAACGTCCACTTCCATGTAGTGCAGAAAGAGTGTCTCAAACCTGGTATATAACAGGGAACATTCTACTCTGTAACTTGAATGAAAACATCACAAAGCAGTTTCTGAGAATGCTTCTGTCTTGATTTTATATGAAGATACTCCCGTTTCCAACGAAACCTTCAAAGCTATTCAAATATCCACTTGCAGATTCTACAAAAAGAGTGTTTCCAAAATGTTGTATCAAAAGAAAGGTTCAACTCTGTTAGTTGAGGACACACATCGCAAATAAGTTTCTGAGAATGCTTCTGTCTAGTTTTTATTTGAAGATATTTCCTTTCTCACCATAGGCCTGAAAGCGTTTGAAATGTCCGCTTGCAGATACTACAGAAAGAGTGTTTCAAACATGCTCTATGAAAGGGAATGTTCAGTTCTGTGACGTGAATGCAAACATCACAAAGAAGTTCCTGAGAATGCTTCTCTCTAGGTTTTATATGTAATCCCGTTTCCAACGAAATCCTCAAAGCTATCCAAATATCCACTTTCAGATTCCACAAAAGAGTGTTTCAAAACTGCTCTGTAAAAAGAAAGGTTCATCTCTGTTAGTTGAATACACACATCACAAACAAGTTTCTGAGAATGCTTCTGTCTAGTTTTTATGGGAAGATATTTCCTTTTTCAACATAGGCCTCAAAGCGCTCCAAATGTCCACTTCCAGGTAGTGCAGAAACAGTGTTTCAAACCTGCTCTATTAAAGGGAATATTCAACTCTGTGACTTGAATGCAAACATCACAAAGCACTTTCTGAGAATGCTTCCGTCTAGATTTTATATGAAGATATTCCCGTTTCCAACGAAACCTTCAAAGCTATCCGAATATCCACCTGCAGATTCTACAAAAAGAGTGTTTCCAAAATGCCGTATCAAAACAAAGGTTCAACTCTGTTAGTTGAGAACACACATGGCAAATAAGTTTCTGAGAATGCTTCTGTCTAGTTTTTACTTAAAGATATTTCCTTTCTCACCATAGGCCTGAAAGCGCTTGAAACGTCAGCTTGCAGATACTACAGAAAGAGTGTTTCAAACCTGCTCTATGAAAGGGAATGTTCAGTCCTGTGACTTGAAGGCAAACATCACAAAGAAGTTCCTGAGAATGCTTCTCTCTAGGTTTTATATGTAATCCCGTTTCCAACGAAATCCTCAAAGCTATCCAAATATCCACTTTCAGATTCCACAAAAAGAGTGTTTCAAAACTGCTCTGTAAAAGAAAGGTTCATCTCTGTTAGTTGAATACACACATCACAAACAAGTTTCTGAGAATGCTTCTGTCTAGTTTTTATGGGAAGATATTTCCTTTTTCAACATAGGCCTCAAAGCGCTCCAAATGTCCACTTCCAGGTAGTGCAGAAAGAGTGTTTCAAACCTGCTCTATAAAAGGGAATATTCAACTCTGTGACTTGAATGCAAACATCACAAAGCACTTTCTGAGAATGCTTCCGTCTAGATTTTATATGAAGATATTCCCGTTTCCAACGAAACCTTCAAAGCTATCCGAATATCCACCTGCAGATTCTACAAAAAGAGTGTTTCCAAAATGCCATATCAAAACAAAGGTTCAACTCTGTTAGTTGAGAACACACATCGCAAATAAGTTTCTGAGAATGCTTCTGTCTAGTTTTTACTTGAAGATATTTCCTTTCTCACCATAGGCCTGAAAGCGCTTGAAACGTCAGCTTGCAGATACTACAGAAAGAGTGTTTCAAACCTGCTCTATGAAAGGGAATGTTCAGTCCTGTGACTTGAAGGCAAACATCACAAAGAAGTTCCTGAGAATGCTTCTCTCTAGGTTTTATATGTAATCCCGTTTCCAACGAAATCCTCAAAGCTATCCAAATATCCACTTTCAGATTCCACAAAAAGAGTGTTTCAAAACTGCTCTGTAAAAAGAAAGGTTCATCTCTGTTAGTTGAATACACACATCACAAACAAGTTTCTGAGAATGCTTCTGTCTAGTTTTTATGGGAAGATATTTCCTTTTTCAACATAGGCCTCAAAGCGCTCCAAACGTCCACT
Source organism: Homo sapiens (assembly GCF_000001405.40). NCBI lineage: Eukaryota > Metazoa > Chordata > Mammalia > Primates > Hominidae > Homo > Homo sapiens. The sequence continues at coordinate 45,115,266 of NC_000009.12, read as the reverse complement.
TCCGGGTAGTGCAGAAAGAGTGTCTCAAACCTGGTATATAACAGGGAACATTCTACTCTGTGACTTGAATGAAAACATCACAAAGCAGTTTCTGAGAATGCTTCCGTCCAGATTTTATATGAAGATATTCCCGTTTCCAACGAAACCTTCAAAGCTATCCGAATATCCACCTGCAGATTCTACAAAAAGAGTGTTTCCAAAATGCCGTATCAAAACAAAGGTTCAACTCTGTTAGTTGAGAACACACATGGCAAATAAGTTTCTGAGAATGCTTCTGTCTAGTTTTTACTTGCAGATATTTCCTTTCTCACCATAGGCCTGAAAGCGCTTGAAACGTCAGCTTGCAGATACTACAGAAAGAGTGTGTCAAACCTGCTCTATGAAAGGGAATGTTCAGTTCTGTGACTTGAATGCAAACATCACAAAGAAGTTCCTGAGAATGCTTCTCTCTAGGTTTTATATGTAATCCCGTTTCCAACGAAATCCTCAAAGCTATCCAAATATCCACTTTCAGATTCCACAAAAAGAGTGTTTCAAAACTGCTCTGTAAAAAGAAAGGTTCATCTCTGTTAGTTGAATACACACATCACAAACAAATTTCTGAGAATGCTTCTGTCTAGTTTTTATGGGAAGATATTTCCTTTTTCAACATAGGCCTCAAAGCGTTCCAAATGTCCACTTCCAGGTAGTGCAGAAAGAGTGTTTCAGACCTGCTCTATAAAAGGGAATATTCAACTCTGTGACTTGAATGCAAACATCACAAAGCACTTTCTGAGAATGCTTCCGTCTAGATTTTATATGAAGATATTCCCGTTTCCAACGAAACCTTCAAAGCTATCCGAATATCCACCTGCAGATTCTACAAAAAGAGTGTTTCCAAAATGCCATATCAAAACAAAGGTTCAACTCTGTTAGTTGAGAACACACATCGCAAATAAGTTTCTGAGAATGCTTCTGTCTAGTTTTTATTTGAAGATATTTCCTTTCTCACCACAGGCCTGAAAGCGCTTAAAACGTCCGCTTGCAGATACTACAGAAAGAGTGTTTCAAACATGCTCTATGAAAGGGAATGTTCAGTTCTGTGACTTGAATGCAAACATCACAAAGAAGTTCCTGAGAATGCTTCTCCGTAGATTTTATATGTAATCCCGTTTCCAACGAAATCGTCAAAGCTATCCAAATATCCACTTTCAGATTCCACAAAAAGAGTGTTTCAAAACTGCTCTGTAAAAAGAAAGGTTCATCTCTGTTAGTTGAATACACACATCACAAACAAGTTTCTGAGAATGCTTCTGTCTAGTTTTTATGGGAAGATATTACCTTTTTCATCATAGGCCTCAAAGCGCTGCAAAAGTCCACTTCCAAATATTACAAAAAGAGTGTTTCAAACCTGCTGTATGAAGGGAAGTGTTCAACTCTATGAGTTGAATGCAAACATCACAGAGAAGTTTCTGAGAATGCTTCCGTCTAGATTTTATATGAAGATATTCCCGTTTCCAACGAAACCTTCAAAGCTATCCGAATATCCACCTGCAGATTCTACAAAAAGAGTGTTTCCAAAATGCCGTATCAAAACAAAGGTTCAACTCTGTTAGTTGAGAACACACATGGCAAATAAGTTTCTGAGAATGCTTCTGTCTAGTTTTTATTTGAAGATATTTCCTTTCTCACCACAGGCCTGAAAGCGCTTAAAACGTCCGCTTGCAGATACTACAGAAAGAGTGTTTCAAACCTGCTCTATGAAAGGGAATGTTCAGTTCTGTGACTTGAATGCAAACATCACAAAGAAGTTCCTGAGAATGCTTCTGTCTAGATTTTATATGAAGATATCCCGTGTCTAACGAAATCCTCAAAGGTATCAAAATATCCACTTGCAGATTCTGCAAAAAGAGTGCTTCAAAACTGCTCTGTCAAAATGAAGGTTCAACTCTGTTACTTGAGTACACACATCACAAGAAAGATTCTGAGAATGCTTCTGTCTGGTTTTTAGGAGAAGATATCTCCTTTTTCACCATAGGCTTCAAACCGCTGCCTATGTCCACTTCCAAATATTACAAAAAGAGTATTTCAAACCAGCTCTATGAAAGGAAGTGTTCAACTCTATGAGTTGAATGCAAACAGAACAGAAAAGTTTCTGAGAATGCTTCCGTCTAGATTTTATATGAAGATATTCCCGTTTCCAACGAAACCTTCAAAGCTATCCGAATATCCACCTGCAGATTCTACAAAAAGAGTGTTTCCAAAATGCCATATCAAAACAAAGGTTCAACTCTGTTAGTTGAGAACACACATCGCAAATAAGTTTCTGAGAATGCTTCTGTCTAGTTTTTACTTGAAGATATTTCCTTTCTCACCATAGGCCTGAAAGCGCTTGAAACGTCAGCTTTCAGATACTACAGAAAGAGTGTTTCAAACCTGCTCTATGAAAGGGAATGTTCAGTTCTGTGACTTGAATGAAAACATCACAAAGAAGTTCCTGAGAATGCTTCTCTCTAGGTTTTATATGTAATCCCGTTTCCAACGAAATCCTCAAAGCTATCCAAATATCCACTTTCAGATTCCACAAAAAGAGTGTTTCAAAACTCCTCTGTAAAAAGAAAGGTTCATCTCTGTTAGTTGAATACACACATCACAAACAAGTTTCTGAGAATGCTTCTGTCTAGTTTTTATGGGAAGATATTTCCTTTTTCAACATAGGCCTCAAAGCGCTCCAAATGTCCACTTCCAGGTAGTGCAGAAAGAGTGTTTCAAACCTGCTCTATAAAAGGGAATATTCAACTCTGTGACTTGAATGCAAACATCACAAAGCACTTTCTGAGAATGCTTCTGTCTTGATTTTATATGAAGATATTCCCGTTTCCAACGAAACCTTCAAAGCTATTCAAATATCCACTTGCAGATTCTACAAAAAGAGTGGTTCCAAAATGTTGAATCAAAAGAAAGGTTCAACTCTGATAGTTGAGGACACACATCGCAAATAAGTTTCTGAGAATGCTTTCTGTCTAGTTTTTATTTGAAGATATTTCCTTTCTCACCATAGGCCTGAAAGCGTTTGAAATGTCCGTTTGCAGATACTACAGAAAGAGTGTTTCAAACATGCTCTATGAAAGGGAATGTTCAGTTCTGTGACGTGAATGCAAACATCACAAAGAAGTTCCTGAGAATGCTTCTCTCTAGATTTTATATGTAATCCCGTTTCCAACGAAATCCGCAAAGCTATCCAAATATCCACTTTCAGATTCCACAAAAAGAGTGTTTCAAAACTACTCTGTAAAAAGAAAGGTTCATCTCTGTTAGTTGAATACACACATCAGAAACAAGTTTCTGAGAATGCTTCTGTCTAGTTTTTATGGGAAGATATTTCCTTTTTCATCATAGGCCTCAAAGCGCTGCAAATGTCCACTTCCAAATATTACAAAAAGAGTGTTTCAAACCTGCTGTATGAAGGGAAGTGTTCAACTCTATGAGTTGAATGCAAACATCACAGAGAAGTTTCTGAGAATGCTTCTGTCTTGATTTTATATGAAGATATTCCCGTTACCAACGAAACCTTCAAAGCTATTCAAATATCCACTTGCAGATTCTACAAAAAGAGTGTTTCCAAAATGTTGTATCAAAAGAAAGGTTCAACTCTGTTAGTTGAGGACACACATCGCAAATAAGTTTCTGAGAATGCTTCTGTCTGGTTTTTAGGAGAAGATATTTCCTTTTTCACCATAGGCCTCAAAGCGCTGCCAATGTCCTCTTCCAAATATTACAAAAAGAGTGTTTCAAACCTGCTCTATGAAAGGAAGTGTTCCACTCTATGAGTTGAATGCAAACATCACAGAGAATTTTCTGAGAATGCTTCTGTCTTGATTTTATATGAAGATATTCCCCTTTCCAATGAAACCTTCAAAGGTATCCAAGTATCCACCTGCAGATTCTACCAAAAGGGTGTTTCCAAAGTGCTGTATCAAAACAAAGGTTCAACTCTGTTAGTTGAGGACACACATCGCAAATAAGTTTCTGAGAATGCTTCTGTCCAGTTTTTATTTGAAGATATTTCCTTTCTCACCAGAGGCCTGAAAGCGCTTGAAATATCCACTTGCAGATACTACAGAAAGAGTGTTTCAAACATGCTATATGAAAGGGAATGTTCAGTTCTGTGACGTGAATGCAAACATCACAAAGAAGTTCCTGAGAATGCTTCTCTCTAGATTTTATATGTAATCCCGTTTCCAACGAAATCCTCAAAGCTATCCAAATATCCACTTTCAGATTCCACAAAAAGAGTGATTCAAAACTGCTCTGTAAAAAGAAAGGTTCATCTCTGTTAGTTGAATACACACATCACAAACAAGTTTCTGAGAATGCTTCTGTCTAGTTTTTATGGGAAGATATTTCCTTTTTCAACATAGGCCTCAAAACGCTCCAAACGTCCACTTCCAGGTAGTGCAGAAAGAGTGTCTCAAACCTGGTATATAACAGGGAACATTCTACTCTGTGACTTGAATGAAAACATCACAAAGCAGTTTCTGAGAATGCTTCTGTCTTGATTTTATATCAAGATATTCCCGTTTCCAACGAAACCTTCAAAGCTATCCAAATATCCACTTGCAGATTCTACAAAAAGAGTGTTTCCAAAATGTTGTATCCAAACAAAGGTTCAACTCTGTTAGTTGAGAACACACATCGCAAATAAGTTTCTGAGAATGCTTCTGTCTAGTTTTTATTTGAAGATATTTCCTTTTTCACCACAGGCCTGAAAGCGCTTGAAACGTCAGCTTGCATATACTACAGAAAGAGTGTTTCAAACCTGCACTATGAAAGGGAATGTTCAGTTCTGTGACTTGAATGCAAACATCACAAAGAAGTTCCTGAGAATGCTTCTCTCTAGGTTTTATATATAATCCCGTTTCCAACGAAATCCTCAAAGCTATCCAAATATCCACTTTCAGATTCCACAAACAGAGTGTTTCAAAACTGCTCTGTAAAAAGAAAGGTTCATTTCTGTTAGTTGAATACACACATCACAAACAAGTTTCTGAGAATGCTTCTGTCTAGTTTTTATGGGAAGATATTTCCTTTTTCATCATAGGCCTCAAAGCGCTGCAAATGTCCACTTCCAAATATTACAAAAAGAGTGTTTCAAACCTGCTGTATGAAGGGAAGTGTTCAACTCTATGAGTTGAATGCAAACATCACAGAGAAGTTTCTGAGAATGCTTCTGTCTTGATTTCATATGAAGATATTCCCGTTTCCAACGAAACCTTCAAAGCTATCCAAATATCCACTTGCAGATTCTACAAAAAGAGTGTTTCCAAAATGTTGTATCAAAAGAAAGGTTCAACTCTGTTAGTTGAGGACACACATCGCAAATAAGTCTCTGAGAATGCTTCTGTCTAGTTTTTATTTGAAGATATTTCCTTTCTCACCACAGGCCTGAAAGCGCTTAAAACGTCCGCTTGCAGATACTACAGAAAGAGTGTTTCAAACCTGCTCTATGAAAGGGAATGTTCAGTTCTGTGACTTGAATGCAAACATCACAAAGAAGTTCCTGAGAATGCTTCTCCCTAGATTTTATATGTAATCCCGTTTCCAACGAAATCCGCAAAGCTATCCAAATATCCACTTTCAGATTCCACAAAAAGAGTGTTTCAAAACTGCTCTGTAAAAAGAAAGGTTCATCTCTGTTAGTTGAATACACGCATCACAAACAAGTTTCTGAGAATGCTTCTGTCTAGTTTTTATGGGAAGATATTTCCTTTTTCATCATAGGCCTCAAAGCGCTGCAAATGTCCACTTCCAGGTAGTGCAGAAAGAGTGTCTCAAACCTGGTATATAACAGGGAACATTCTACTCTGTGACTTGAATGAAAACATCACAAAGCAGTTTCTGAGAATGCTTCCGTCTAGATTTTATATGAAGATATTCCCGTTTCCAAGGAAACTCTTCCTAGCTATCTAAATATCAACTTGCAGATTCTACTAAAGGAATGTTTCCAAAATGCTGTATCCACACAAAGGTTCAACTCTGTTAATTGAGGACATACAGCACAAAGAAGTTTCTGAGAATGCTTCTGTCTAGTTTTTACTTGAAGATATTTCCTTTCTCACCATAGGCCTGAAAGCGCTTGAAACTTCAGCTTGCAGATACTACAGAAAGAGTGTTTCAAACCTGCTCTATGAAAGGGAATGTTCAGTCCTGTGACTTGAAGGCAAACATCACAAAGAAGTTCCTGAGAATGCTTCTCTCTAGGTTTTATATGTAATCCCGTTTCCAACGAAATCCTCGAAGCTATCCAAATATCCACTTTCAGATTCCACAAAAAGAGTGTTTCAAAACTGCTCTGTAAAAAGAAAGGTTCATCTCTGTTAGTTGAATACACACATCACAAACAAGTTTCTGACAATGCTTCTGTCTAGTTTTTATGGGAAGATATTTCCTTTTTCAACATAGGCCTCAAAGCGCTCCAAATGTCCACTTCCAGGTAGTGCAGAAAGAGTGTTTCAAACCTGCTCTATAAAAGGGAATATTCAACTCTGTGACTTGAATGCAAACATCACAAAGCACTTTCTGAGAATGCTTCCGTCTAGATTTTATATGAAGATATTCCCGTTTCCAACGAAACCTTCAAAGCTATCCGAATATCCACCTGCAGATTCTACAAAAAGAGTGTTTCCAAAATGCCGTATCAAAACAAAGGTTCAACTCTGTTAGTTGAGAACACACATGGCAAATAAGTTTCTGAGAATGCTTCTGTCTAGTTTTTACTTGAAGATATTTCCTTTCTCACCATAGGCCTGAAAGCGCTTGAAACGTCAGCTTGCAGATACTACAGAAAGAGTGTTTCAAACCTGCTCTATGAAAGGGAATGTTCAGTCCTGTGACTTGAATGCAAACATCACAAAGAAGTTCCTGAGAATGCTTCTCTCTAGATTTTATATGTAATCCCGTTTCCAACGAAATCCTCAAAGCTATCCAAATATCCACTTTCAGATTCCACAAAAAGAGTGTTTCAAAACTGCTCTGTAAAAAGAAAGGTTCATCTCTGTTAGTTGAATACACACATCACAAACAAGTTTCTGAGAATGCTTCTGTCTAGTTTTTATGGGAAGATATTTCCTTTTTCATCATAGGCCTCAAAGCGCTGCAAATGTCCACTTCCAAATATTACAAAAAGAGTGTTTCAAACCTGCTGTATGAAGGGAAGTGTTCAACTCTATGAGTTGAATGCAAACATCACAGAGAAGTTTCTGAGAATGCTTCCGTCTAGATTTTATATGAAGATATTCCCGTTTCCAACGAAACCTTCAAAGCTATCCGAATATCCACCTGCAGATTCTACAAAAAGAGTGTTTCCAAAATGCCGTATCAAAACAAAGGTTCAACTCTGTTAGTTGAGAACACACATGGCAAATAAGTTTCTGAGAATGCTTCTGTCTAGTTTTTACTTGAAGATATTTCCTTTCTCTCCATAGGCCTGAAAGCGTTTGAAACGTCCGCTTGCAGATACTACAGAAAGAGTGTTTCAAACATGCTCTATGAAAGGGAATGTTCAGTTCTGTGACTTGAATGCAAACATCACAAAGAAGTTCCTGAGAATGCTTCTCACTAGGTTTTATATGTAATCTCGTTTCCAACGAAATCCTCAAAGCTATCCAAATATCCACTTTCAGATTCCACAAAAAGAGTGTTTCAAAACTGCTCTGTAAAAAGAAAGGTTCATCTCTGTTAGTTGAATACACACATCACAAAGAAGTTTCTGAGAATGCTTCTGTCTAGTTTTCATGGGAAGATATTTCCTTTTTCAACATAGGCCTCAAAGCGCTCCAAATGTCCACTTCCAGGTAGTGCAGAAAGAGTGTTTCAAACCTGCTCTATAAAAGGGAATATTCAACTCTGTGACTTGAATGCAAACATCACAAATCACTTTCTGAGAATGCTTCCGTCTAGATTTTATATGAAGATATTCCCGTTTCCAACGAAACCTTCAAAGCTATCCGAATATCCACCTGCAGATTCTACAAAAAGAGTGTTTCCAAAATGCCATATCAAAACAAAGGTTCAACTCTGTTAGTTGAGAACACACATCGCAAATAAGTTTCTGAGAATGCTTCTGTCTAGTTTTTACTTGAAGATATTTCCTTTCTCACCATAGGCCTGAAAGCGCTTGAAACGTCAGCTTGCAGATACTACAGAAAGAGTGTTTCAAACCTGCTCTATGAAAGGGAATGTTCAGTTCTGTGACTTGAATGCAAACATCACAAAGAAGTTCCTGAGAATGCTTCTCTCTAGATTTTATATGTAATCCCGTTTCCAACGAAATCCTCAAAGCTATCCAAATATCCACTTTCAGATTCCACAAAAAGAGTGTTTCAAAACTGCACTGTAAAAAGAAAGGTTCATCTCTGTTAGTTGAATACACACATCACAAACAAGTTTCTGAGAATGCTTCTGTCTAGTTTTTATGGGAAGATATTTCCTTTTTCAACATAGGCCTCAAAGCGCTCCAAATGTCCACTTCCAGGTAGTGCAGAAAGAGTGTTTCAAACCTGCTCTATAAAAGGGAACATTCAACTCTGTGACTTGAATGCAAACATCACAAAGCACTTTCTGAGAATGCTTCCGTCTAGATTTTATATGAAGATATTCCCGTTTCCAACGAAACCTTCAAAGCTATCCGAATATCCACCTGCAGATTCTACAAAAAGAGTGTTTCCAAAATGCCGTATCAAAACAAAGGTTCAACTCTGTTAGTTGAGAACACACATGGCAAATAAGTTTCTGAGAATGCTTCTGTCTAGTTTTTATTTGAAGATATTTCCTTTCTCACCATAGGCCTGAAAGCGTTTGAAATGTCCGTTTGCAGATACTACAGAAAGAGTGTTTCAAACATGCTCTATGAAAGGGAATGTTCAGTTCTGTGACGTGAATGCAAACATCACAAAGAAGTTCCTGAGAATGCTTCTCTCTAGATTTTATATGTAATCCCGTTTCCAACGAAATCCTCAAAGCTATCCAAATATCCACTTTCAGATTCCACAAAAAGAGTGTTTCAAAACTGATCTGTAAAAAGAAAGGTTCATCTCTGTTAGTTGAATACACACATCACAAACAAGTTTCTGAGAATGCTTCTGTCTAGTTTTTATGGGAAGATATTTCCTTTTTCATCATAGGCCTCAAAGCGCTCCAAATGTCCACTTCCAGGTAGTGCAGAAAGAGTGTCTCAAACCTGGTATATAACAGGGAACATTCTACTCCGTGACTTGAATGAAAACATCACAAAGCAGTTTCTGAGAATGCTTCCGTCTAGATTTTATATGAAGATATTCCCGTTTCCAACGAAACCTTCAAAGCTATCCGAATATCCACCTGCAGATTCTACAAAAAGAGTGTTTCCAAAATGCCGTATCAAAACAAAAGTTCAACTCTGTTAGTTGAGAACACACATGGCAAATAAGTTTCTGACAAGGCTTCTGTCTAGTTTTTACTTGAAGATATTTCCTTTCTCACCATAGGCCTGAAAGCGCATGAAACGTCAGCTTGCAGATACTACAGAAAGAGTGTTTCAAACCTGCTCTATGAAAGGGAATGTTCAGTCCTGTGACTTGAAGGAAAACATCACAAAGAAGTTCCTGAGAATGCTTCTCTCTAGGTTTTATATGTAATCCCGTTTCCAACGAAATCCTCAAAGCTATCCAAATATCCACTTTCAGATTCCACAAAAAGAGTGTTTCAAAACTGCTCTGTAAAAAGAAAGGTTCATCTCTGTTAGTTGAATACACACATCACAAACAAGTTTCTGAGAATGCTTCTGTCCAGTTTTTATGGGAACATATTTCCTTTTTCAACATAGGCCTCAAAGCGCTCCAAATGTCCACTTCCAGGTAGTGCAGAAAGAGTGTTTCAAACCTGCTCTATAAAAGGGAATATTCAACTCTGTGACTTGAATGCAAACATCACAAAGCACTTTCTGAGAATGCTTCTGTCTTGATTTCATATGAAGATATTCCCGTTTCCAACGAAACCTTCAAAGCTATCCAAATATCCACTTGCAGATTCTACAAAAAGAGTGTTTCCAAAATGTTGTATCAAAAGAAAGGTTCAACTCTGTTAGTTGAGGACACACATCGCAAATAAGTTTCTGAGAATGCTTGTCTAGTTTTTACTTGAAGATATTTCCTTTCTCACCATAGGCCTGAAAGCGCTTGAAACGTCCGCTTGCAGATACTACAGAAGGAGTGTTTCAAACATGCTCTATGAAAGGGAATGTTCAGTTCTGTGACTTGAATGCAAACATCACAAAGAAGTTCCTGAGAATGCTTCTCCCTAGATTTTATATGTAATCCCGTTTCCAACGAAATCCTCAAAGCTATCCAAATATCCACTTTCAGATTCCACAAAAAGAGTGTTTCAAAACTGCTCTGTAAAAAGAAAGGTTCATCTCAGTTGAATACACACATCACAAACAAGTTTCTGAGAATGCTTCTGTCTAGTTTTTATGGGAAGATATTACCTTTTTCATCATAGGCCTCAAAGCGCTGCAAATGTCCACTTCCAAATATTACAAAAAGAGTGTTTCAAACCTGCTGTATGAAGGGAAGTGTTCAACTCTATGAGTTGAATGCAAACATCACAGAGAAGTTTCTGAGAATGCTTCCGTCTAGATTTTATATGAAGATATTCCCGTTTCCAACGAAACCTTCAAAGCTATCCGAATATCCACCTGCAGATTCTACAAAAAGAGTGTTTCCAAAATGCCGTATCAAAACAAAGGTTCAACTCTGTTAGTTGAGAACACACATGGCAAATAAGTTTCTGACAATGCTTCTGTCTAGTTTTTACTTGAAGATATTTCCTTTCTCACCAAAGGCCTGAAAGCGCATGAAACGTCAGCTTGCAGATACTACAGAAAGAGTGTTTCAAACCTGCTCTATGAAAGGGAATGTTCAGTCCTGTGACTTGAAGGCAAACATCACAAAGAAGTTCCTGAGAATGCTTCTCTCTAGGTTTTATATGTAATCCCGTTTCCAACGAAATCCTCAAAGCTATCCAAATATCCACTTTCAGATTCCACAAAAAGAGTGTTTCAAAACTGCTCTGTAAAAAGAAAGGTTCATCTCTGTTAGTTGAATACACACATCACAAACAAGTTTCTGAGAATGCTTCTGTCTAGTTTTTATGGGAAGATATTTCCTTTTTCAACATAGGCCTCAAAGCGCTCCAAACGTCCACTTCCAGGTAGTGCAGAAAGAGTGTCTCAAACCTGGTGTATAACAGGGAACATTCTACTCTGTGACTTGAATGAAAACATCACAAAGCAGTTTCTGAGAATGCTTCCGTCTAGATTTTATATGAAGATATTCCCGTTTCCAACGAAACGTTCAAAGCTATCCGAATATCCACCTGCAGATTCTACAAAAAGAGTGTTTCCAAAATGCCATATCAAAACAAAGGTTCAACTCTGTTAGTTGAGAACACACATCGCAAATAAGTTTCTGAGAATGCTTCTGTCTAGTTTTTACTTGAAGATATTTCCTTTCTCACCATAGGCCTGAAAGCGTTTGAAATGTCCGTTTGCAGATACTACAGAAAGAGTGTTTCAAACATGCTCTATGAAAGGGAATGTTCAGTTCTGTGACGTGAATGCAAACATCACAAAGAAGTTCCTGAGAATGCTTCTCTCTAGATTTTATATGTAATCCCGTTTCCAACGAAATCCTCAAAGATATCCAAATATCCACTTTCAGATTCCACAAAAAGAGTGTTTCAAAACTGCTCTGTAAAAAGAAAGGTTCATGTCTGTTAGTTGAATACACACATCACAAACAAATTTCTGAGAATGCTTCTGTCTAGTTTTTATGGGAAGATATTTCCTTTTTCATCATAGGCCTCAAAGCGCTCCAAATGTCCACTTCCAGATAGTGCAGAAAGAGTGTCTCAAACCTGGTATATAAAAGGGAACATTCTACTCTGTGACTGGAATGAAAACATCACAAAGCAGTTTCTGAGAATGCTTCCGTCTAGATTTTATATGAAGATATTCCCGTTTCCAACGAAACCTTCAAAGCTATCCGAATATCCACCTGCAGATTCTACAAAAAGAGTGTTTCCAAAATGCCGTATCAAAACAAAGGTTCAACTCTGTTAGTTGAGAACACACATGGCAAATAAGTTTCTGAGAATGCTTCTGTCTAGTTTTTACTTGAAGATATTTCCTTTGTCACCATAGGCCTGAAAGCGCTTGAAACGTCAGCTTGCAGATACTACAGAAAGAGTGTTTCAAACCTGCTCTATGAAAGGGAATGTTCAGTCCTGTGACTTGAAGGCAAACATCACAAAGAAGTTCCTGAGAATGCTTCTCCCTAGATTTTATATGTAATCCCGTTTCCAACGAAATCCGCAAAGCTATCCAAATATCCACTTTCAGATTCCACAAAAAGAGTGTTTCAAAACTGCTCTGTAAAAAGAGAGGTTCATCTCTGTTAGTTGAATACACACATCACAAACAAGTTTCTGAGAATGCTTCTGTCTAGTTTTTATGGGAAGATATTTCCTTTTTCAACATAGGCCTCAAAGCGCTCCAAATGTCCACTTCCAGGTAGTGCAGAAAGAGTGTTTCAAACCTGCTCTATAAAAGGGAATATTCAACTCTGTGACTTGAATGCAAACATCACAAAGCACTTTCTGAGAATGCTTCCGTCTAGATTTTATATGAAGATATTCCCGTTTCCAAGGAAATCTTCCTAGCTATCTAAATAACAACTTGCAGATTCTACTAAAGGAATGTTTCCAAAATGCCGTATCCACACAAAGGTTCAACTCTGTTAATTGAGGACATACAGCACAAAGAAGTTTCTGAGAATGCTTCTGTCTAGTTTTTATGTGAAGATATTTCCTTTCTCACCATAGGCCTGAAAGCGTTTGAAATGTCCGTTTGCAGATACTACAGAAAGAGTGTTTCAAACATGCTCTATGAAAGGGAATGTTCAGTTCTGTGACGTGAATGCAAACATCACAAAGAAGTTCCTGAGAATGCTTCTCCCTAGATTTTATATGTAATCCCGTTTCCAACGAAATCCGCAAAGCTATCCAAATATCCACTTTCAGATTCCACAAAAAGAGTGTTTCAAAACTGCTCTGTAAAAAGAAAGGTTCATCTCTGTTAGTTGAATACACACATCACAAACAAGTTTCTGAGAATGCTTCTGTCTAGTTTTTATGGGAAGATATTTCCTTTTTCAACATAGGCCTCAAAGCGCTCCAAATGTCCACTTCCAGGTAGTGCAGAAAGAGTGTTTCAAACCTGCTCTATAAAAGGGAATATTCAACTCTGTGACTTGAATGCAAACATCACAAAGCACTTTCTGAGAATGCTTCCGTCTAGATTTTATATGAAGATATTCCCGTTTCCAACGAAACCTTCAAAGCTATCCGAATATCCACCTGCAGATTCTACAAAAAGAGTGTTTCCAAAATGCCATATCAAAACAAAGGTTCAACTCTGTTAGTTGAGAACACACATCGCAAATAAGTTTCTGAGAATGCTTCTGTCTAGTTTTTACTTGAAGATATTTCCTTTGTCACCATAGGCCTGAAAGCGCTTGAAACGTCAGCTTGCAGATACTACAGAAAGAGTGTTTCAAACCTGCTCTATGAAACGGAATGTTCAGTCCTGTGACTTGAAGGCAAACATCACAAAGAAGTTCCTGAGAATGCTTCTCTCTAGATTTTATATGTAATCCCGTTTCCAACGAAATCCTCAAAGCTATCCAAATATCCACTTTCAGATTCCACAAAAAGAGTGTTTCAAAACTGCTCTGTAAAAAGAAAGGTTCATCTCTGTTAGTTGAATACACACATCACAAACAAGTTTCTGAGAATGCTTCTGTCTAGTTTTTATGGGAAGATATTTCCTTTTTCATCATAGGCCTCAAAGCGCTCCAAATGTCCACTTCCAGATAGTGCAGAAAGAGTGTCTCAAACCTGGTATATAAAAGGGAACATTCTACTCTGTGACTTCAATGAAAACATCACAAAGCAGTTTCTGAGAATGCTTCCGTCTAGATTTTATATGAAGATATTCCCGTTTCCAACGAAACCTTCAAAGCTATCCGAATATCCACCTGCAGATTCTACAAAAAGAGTGTTTCCAAAATGCCGAATCAAAACAAAGGTTCAACTCTGTTAGTTGAGAACACACATGGCAAATAAGTTTCTGAGAATGCTTCTGTCTAGTTTTTACTTGAAGATATTTCCTTTCTCACCATAGGCCTGAAAGCGCTTGAAACGTCCGCTTGCAGATACTACAGAAGGAGTGTTTCAAACATGCTCTATGAAAGGGAATGTTCAGTTCTGTGACTTGAATGCAAACATCACAAAGAAGTTCCTGAGAATGCTTCTCTCTAGATTTTCTATGTAATCCCGTTTCCAACGAAATCCTCAAAGCTATCCAAATATCCACTTTCAGATTCCACAAAAAGAGTGTTTCAAAACTGCTCGGTAAAAAGAAAGGTTCATCTCTGTTTGTTGAATACACACATCACAAACAAGTTTCTGAGAATGCTTCTGTCTAGTTTTTATGGGAAGGTATTTCCTTTTTCAACATAGGCCTCAAAGCGCTCCAAATGTCCACTTCCAGGTAGTGCAGAAAGAGTGTTTCAAACCTGCTCTATAAAAGGGAATATTCAACTCTGTGAATTGAATGCAAACATCACAAAGCACTTTCTGAGAATGCTTCCGTCTAGGTTTTATATGAAGTTATTCCCGTTTCCAAAAAATCTTCCTAGCTATCTAAATATCAACTTGCATATCCTACTAAAGGGGTGTTTCCAAAATGCTGTATCCACACAAAGGTTCAACTCTGTTAATTGAGGACATACAGCACAAAGAAGTTTCTGAGAATGCTTCTGTCTAGTTTTTATTTGAAGATATTTCCTTTCTCACCACAGGCCTGAAAGCACTTAAAACGTCCGCTTGCAGATACTACAGAAAGAGTGTTTCAAACCTGCTCTATGAAAGGGAATGTTCAGTTCTGTGACTTGAATGCAAACATCACAAAGAAGTTCCTGAGAATGCTTCTCTCTAGATTTTATATGTAATCCCGTTTCCAACGAAATCCTCAAAGCTATCCAAATATCCACTTTCAGATTCCACAAAAAGAGTGTTTCAAAACTGCTCTGTAAAAAGAAAGGTTCATCTCTGTTAGTTGAATACACACATCACAAACAAGTTTCTGAGAATGCTTCTGTCTAGTTTTTATGGGAAGATATTTCCTTTTTCATCATAGGCCTCAAAGCGCTCCAAATGTCCACTTCCAGGTAGTGCAGAAAGAGTGTCTCAAACCTGGTATATAACAGGGAACATTCTACTCCCGTGACTTGAATGAAAACATCACAAAGCAGTTTCTGAGAATGCTTCTGTCTTGATTTTATATGAAGATATTCCCGTTAACAACGAAACCTTCAAAGCTATCCAAATATCCACTTGCAGATTCTACAAAAGGAGTGTTTCCAAAATGTTGTATCCAAACAAAGGTTCAACTCTGTTAGTTGAGAACACACATCGCAAATAAGTTTCTGAGAATGCTTCTGTCTAGTTTTTATTTGAAGATATTTCCTTTTTCACCACAGGCCTGAAAGCGCTTGAAATGTCAGCTTGCAGATACTACAGAAAGAGTGTTTCAAACCTGCACTATGAAAGGGAATGTTCAGTTCTGTGACTTGAATGCAAACATCACAAAGAAGTTCCTGAGAATGCTTCTCTCTAGATTTTATATGTAATCCCGTTTCCAACGAAATCCTCAAAGCTATCCAAATATCCACTTTCAGATTCCACAAAAAGAGTGTTTCAAAACTGCTCTGTAAAAAGAAAGGTTCATCTCAGTTAGTTGAATACACACATCACAAACAAGTTTCTGAGAATGCTTCTGTCTAGTTTTTATGGGAAGATATTTCCTTTTTCATCATAGGCCTCAAAGCGCTCCAAATGTCCACTTCCAGATAGTGCAGAAAGAGTGTCTCAAACCTGGTATATAAAAGGGAACATTCTACTCTGTGACTTGAATGAAAACATCACAAAGCAGTTTCTGAGAATGCTTCCGTCTAGATTTTATATGAAGATATTCCCGTTTCCAACGAAACCTTCAAAGCTATCCGAATATCCACCTGCAGATTCTACAAAAAGAGTGTTTCCAAAATGCCGTATCAAAACAAAGGTTCAACTCTGTTAGTTGAGAACACACATGGCAAATAAGTTTCTGAGAATGCTTCTGTCTAGTTTTTACTTGAAGATATTTCCTTTCTCACCATAGGCCTGAAAGCGCTTGAAACGTCAGCTTGCAGATACTACAGAAAGACTGTTTCAAACCTGCTCTATGAAAGGGAATGTTCAGTTCTGTGACTTGAATGCAAACATCACAAAGAAGTTCCTGAGAATGCTTCTCTCTAGGTTTTATATGTAATCCCGTTTCCAACGAAATCCTCAAAGCTATCCAAATATCCACTTTCAGATTCCACAAAAAGAGTGTTTCAAAACTGCTCTGTAAAAGAAAGGTTCATCTCTGTTAGTTGAATACACACATCACAAACAAGTTTCTGAGAATGCTTCTGTCTAGTTTTTATGGGAAGATATTTCCTTTTTCAACATAGGCCTCAAAGCGCTCCAAATGTCCACTTCCAGGTAGTGCAGAAAGAGTGTTTCAAACCTGCTCTATAAAAGGGAATATTCAACTCTGTGACTTGAATGCAAACATCACAAAGCACTTTCTGAGAATGCTTCTGTCTTGATTTCATATGAAGATATTCCCGTTTCCAACGAAACCTTCAAAGCTATTCAAATATCCACTTGCAGATTCTACAAAAAGAGTGTTTCCAAAATGTTGTATCAAAAGAAAGGTTCAACTCTGTTAGTTGAGGACACACATCGCAAATAAGTTTCTGAGAATGCTTCTGTCTAGTTTTTATTTGAAGATATTTCCTTTCTCACCATAGGCCTGAAAGCGTTTGAAATGTCCGTTTGCAGATACTACAGAAAGAGTGTTTCAAACATGCTCTATGAAAGGGAATGTTCAGTTCTGTGACGTGAATGCAAACATCACAAAGAAGTTGCTGAGAATGCTTCTCCCTAGATTTTATATGTAATCCCGTTTCCAACGAAATCCGCAAAGCTATCCAAATATCCACTTTCAGATTCCACAAAAAGAGTGTTTCAAAACTGCTCTGTAAAAAGAAAGGTTCATCTCTGTTAGTTGAATACACACATCACAAACAAGTTTCTGAGAATGCTTCTGTCTAGTTTTTATGGGAAGATATTTCCTTTTTCAACATAGGCCTCAAAGCGCTCCAAACGTCCACTTCCGGGTAGTGCAGAAAGAGTGTCTCAAACCTGGTATATAACAGGGAACATTCTACTCTGTGACTTGAATGAAAACATCACAAAGCAGTTTCTGAGAATGCTTCCGTCAAGATTTTATATGAAGATATTCCCGTTTCCAACGAAACCTTCAAAGCTATCCGAATATCCACCTGCAGATTCTACAAAAAGAGTGTTTCCAAAATGCCGTATCAAAACAAAGGTTCAACTCTGTTAGTTGAGAACACACATGGCAAATAAGTTTCTGAGAATGCTTCTGTCTAGTTTTTATTTGAAGATATTTCCTTTCTCACCACAGGCCTGAAAGCGCTTAAAACGTCCGCTTGCAGATACTACAGAAAGAGTGTTTCAAACATGCTCTATGAAAGGGAATGTTCAGTTCTGTGACTTGAATGCAAACATCACAAAGAAGTTCCTGAGAATGCTTCTCTCTAGATTTTATATGTAATCCCGTTTCCAACGAAATCGTCAAAGCTGTCCACATATCCACTTTCAGATTCCACAAAAAGAGTGTTTCAAAACTGCTCTGTAAAAAGAAAGGTTCATCTCTGTTAGTTGAATACACACATCACAAACAAGTTTCTGAGAATGCTTCTGTCTAGTTTTTATGGGAAGATATTTCCTTTTTCAACATAGGCCTCAAAGCGCTCCAAATGTCCACTTCCAGGTAGTGCAGAAAGAGTGTTTCAAACCTGCTCTATAAAAGGGAATATTCAACTCTGTGACTTGAATGCAAACATCACAAAGCACTTTCTGAGAATGCTTCCGTCTAGATTTTATATGAAGATATTCCCGTTTCCAACGAAACCTTCAAAGCTATCCGAATATCCACCTGCAGATTCTACAAAAAGAGTGTTTCCAAAATGCCATATCAAAACAAAGGTTCAACTCTGTTAGTTGAGAACACACATCGCAAATAAGTTTCTGAGAATGCTTCTGTCTAGTTTTTACTTGAAGATATTTCTTTTCTCACCATAGGCCTGAAAGCGCTTGAAACGTCAGCTTGCAGACAATACAGAAAGAGTGTTTCAAACCTGCTCTATGAAAGGGAATGTTCAGTTCTGTGACTTGAATGCAAACATCACAAAGAAGTTCCTGAGAATGCTTCTGTCTAGATTTTATATGAAGATATCCCGTGTCCAACGAAATCCTCAAAGGTATCAAAATATCCACATGCAGATTCTACAAAAAGAGTGCTTCAAAACTGCTCTGTCAAAAGGAAGGTTCAACTCTGTTACTTGAGTACACACATCACAAGGAAGATTCTGAGAATGCTTCTGTCTAGTTTTTATGGGAAGATATTTCCTTTTTCAACATAGGCCTCAAAGCGCTCCAAATGTCCACTTCCAGGTAGTGCAGAAAGCGTGTTTCAAACCTGCTCTATAAAAGGGAATATTCAACTCTGTGACTTGAATGCAAACATCACAAAGCACTTTCTGAGAATGCTTCCGTCTTGATTTTATATGAAGATATTCCCGTTTCCAACGAAACCTTCAAATCTATTCAAATATCCACTTGCAGATTCTACAAAAAGAGTGTTTCCAAAATGTTGTATCAAAAGAAAGGTTCAACTCTGTTAGTTGAGGACACACATCGCAAATAAGTTTCTGAGAATGCTTCTGTCTAGTTTTTACTTGAAGATATTTCCTTTCTCACCATAGGCCTGAAAGCGCTTGAAACGTCAGCTTGCAGATACTACAGAAAGAGTGTTTCAAACCTGCTCTATGAAAGGGAATGTTCAGTCCTGTGACTTGAAGGCAAACATCACAAAGAAGTTCCTGAGAATGCTTCTCTCTAGATTTTATATGTAATCCCGTTTCCAACGAAATCCTCAAAGCTATCCAAATATCCACTTTCAGATTCCACAAAAAGAGTGTTTCAAAACTGCTCTGTAAAAAGAAAGGTTCATCTCTGTTAGTTGAATACACACATCACAAACAAGTTTCTGAGAATGCTTCCGTCTAGTTTTTATGGGAAGATATTTCCTTTTTCAACATAGGCCTCAAAGCGCTCCAAATGTCCACTTCCAGGTAGTGCAGAAAGAGTGTTTCAAACCTGCTCTATAAAAGGGAATATTCAACTCTGTGACTTGAATGCAAACATCACAAAGCACTTTCTGAGAATGCTTCCGTCTAGATTTTATATGAAGATATTCCCGTTTCCAACGAAACCTTCAAAGCTATCCGAATATCCACCTGCAGATTCTACAAAAAGAGTGTTTCCAAAATGCCATATCAAAACAAAGGTTCAACTCCGTTAGTTGAGAACACACATGGCAAATATGTTTCTGAGAATGCTTCTGTCTAGTTTTTACTTGAAGATATTTCCTTTCTCACCATAGGCCTGAAAGCGTTTGAAATGTCCGTTTGCAGATACTACAGAAAGAGTGTTTCAAACATGCTCTATGAAAGGGAATGTTCAGTTCTGTGACGTGAATGCAAACATCACAAAGAAGTTCCTGAGAATGCTTCTGTCTAGATTTTATATGAAGATATCCCGTTTCCAAAGAAATCCTCAATGGTGTCCAAATATCTACTTCCAGATTCTACAAAAAGACTGTTTCAAAACGGCTCTGTCAAAAGTAAGGTTCAACTCTGTTACTTGAGTACACACATCACAAGGAAGTTTCTGAGAATGCTTCTGTCTAGTTTCTATGGGAAGATATTTCCTTTTTCAACATAGGCCTCAAAGCGCTCCAAATGTCCACTTCCAGGTAGTGCACTGAGTGTTTCAAACCTGCTCTATAAAGGGGAACATTCTGCTCTGTGACTTGAATGAAGACATCACAAAGCAGTTTCTGAGAATGCTTCCGTCTAGATTTTATATGAAGATATTCCCGTTTCCAAGGAAATCTTCCTAGCTATCTAAATATCAACTTGCAGATTCTACTAAAGGAATGTTTCCAAAATGCTGTATCCACACAAAGGTTCAACTCTGTTAATTGAGGACATACAGCACAAAGAAGTTTCTGAGAATGCTTCTGTCTAGTTTTTACTTGAAGATATTTCCTTTCTCACCATAGGCCTGAAAGCGCTTGAAACGTCAGCTGGCAGATACTACATAAAGAGTGTTTCAAACCTGCTCTATGAAAGGGAATGTTCAGTTCTGTGACTTGAATGCAAACATCACAAAGAAGTTCCTGAGAATGCTTCTCTCTAGGTTTTATATGTAATCCCGTTTCCAACGAAATCCTCAAAGCTATCCAAATATCCACTTTCAGATTCCACAAAAAGAGTGTTCCAAAACTGCTCTGTAAAAAGAAAGGTTCATCTCTGTTAGTTGAATACACACATCACAAACAAGTTTCTGAGAATGCTTCTGTCTAGTTTTTATGGGAAGATATTTCCTTTTTCATCATAGGCCTCAAAGCGCTGCAAATGTCCACTTCCAGGTAGTGCAGAAAGAGTGTCTGAAACCTGGTATATAACAGGGAAGATTCTACTCTGTGACTTGAATGAAAACATCACAAAGCAGTTTCTGAGAATGCTTCTGTCTTGATTTTATATGAAGATATTCCCGTTTCCAAAGAAACCTTCAAAGCTATCCAAATATCCACCTGCAGATCCTACAAAAAGAGTGTTTCCAAAATGCTGTATCAAAACAAAGGTTCAACTCTGTTAGCTGAGAACACACATCGCAAATAAGTTTCTGAGAATGCTTCTGTCTAGTTTTTATTTGAAGATATTTCCTTTTTCACCACAGGCCTGAAAGCGCTTGAAACGTCCACTTGCAGATACTACAGAAAGAGTGTTTCAAACCTGCTCTATGAAAGGGAATGTTCAGTTCTGTGACTTGAATGCAAACATCACAAAGAAGTTCCTGAGAATGCTTCTCTCTAGAATTTATATGTAATCCCGTTTCCAACGAAATCCTCAAAGCTATCCAAATATCCACTTTCAGATTCCACAAAAAGAGTGTTTCAAAACTGCTCTGTAAAAAGAAAGGTTCATCTCTGTTAGTTGAATACACACATCACAAACAAGTTTCTGAGAATGCTTCTGTCTAGTTTTCATGGGAAGATATTTCCTTTTTCAACATACGCCTCAAAGCGCTCCAAACGTCCACTTCCAGGTAGTGCAGAAAGAGTGTCTCAAACCTGGTATATAACAGGGAACATTCTACTCTGTGACTTGAATGAAAACATCACAAAGCAGTTTCTGAGAATGCTTCCGTCTACATTTTATATGAAGATATTCCCGTTTCCAACGAAACCTTCAAAGCTATCCGAATATCCACCTGCAGATTCTACAAAAAGAGGGTTTCCAAAATGCCGTATCAAAACAAAGGTTCAACTCTGTTAGTTGAGAACACACATGGCAAATAAGTTTCTGAGAATGCTTCTGTCTAGTTTTTACTTGAAGATATTTCCTTTCTCACCATAGGCATGAAAACGCATGAAACGTCAGCTTGCAGATACTACAGAAAGAGTGTTTCAAACCTGCTCTATGAAAGGGAACGTTCAGTCCTGTGACTTGAATGCAAACATCACAAAGAAGTTCCTGAGAATGCTTCTCTCTAGGTTTTATATGTAATCCCGTTTCCAACGAAATCCTCAAAGCTATCCAAATATCCACTTTCAGATTCCACAAAAAGAGTGTTTCAAAACTGCTCTGTAAAAAGAAAGGTTCATCTCTGTTAGTTGAATACACACATCACAAACAAGTTTCTGAGAATGCTTCTGTCTAGTTTTTATGGGAAGATATTTCCTTTTTCAACATAGGGCTCAAAGCGCTCCAAACGTCCACTTCCAGGTAGTGCAGAAAGAGTGTCTCAAACCTGGTATATAACAGCGAACATTCTACTCTGTGACTTGAATGAAAACATCACAAAGCAGTTTCTGAGAATGCTTCCGTCTAGATTTTATATGAAGATATTCCCGTTTCCAACGAAACCTTCAAAGCTATCCGAATATCCACCTGCAGATTCTACAAAAAGAGTGTTTCCAAAATGCCGTATCAAAACAAAGGTTCAACTCTGTTAGTTGAGAACACACATGGCAAATAAGTTTCTGAGAATGCTTCTGTCTAGTTTTTATTTGAAGATATTTCCTTTCTCACCATAGGCCTGAAAGCGTTTGAAATGTCCGTTTGCAGATACTACAGAAAGAGTGTTTCAAACATGCTCTATGAAAGGGAATGTTCAGTTCTGTGACTTGAATGCAAACATCACAAAGAAGTTCCTGAGAATGCTTCTCTCTAGGTTTTATATGTAATCCCGTTTCCAACGAAATCCTCAAAGCTATCCAAATATCCACTTTCAGATTCCACAAAAAGAGTGTTTCAAAACTGCTCTGTAAAAAGAAAGGTTCATCTCTGTTAGTTGAATACACACATCACAAACAAGTTTCTGAGAATGCTTCTGTCTAGTTTTTATGGGAAGATATTTCCTTTTTCAACATAGGCCTCAAAGCGCTCCAAATGTCCACTTCCAGGTAGTGCAGAAAGAGTGTTTCAAACCTGCTCTATAAAGGGGAATATTCAACTACTGTGACTTGAATGCAAACATCACAAAGCACTTTCTGAGAATGCTTCCGTCTAGATTTTATGTGAAGATATTCCCGTTTCCAAGGAAATCTTCCTAGCTATCTAAATATCAACTTGCAGATTCTACTAAAGGAACGTTTCCAAAATGCTGTTTCCAAACAAAGGTTCAACTCTGTTAATTGAAGACATACAGCACAAAGAAGTGTCTGAGAATGCTTCTGTCTAGATTTTATATGAAGATATCCCGTGTCCAACGAAATCCTCAAAGGTATCCAAATATCCACTTGCAGATTCTACAAAAAGAGTGCTTCAAAACTGCTCTGTCAAAAGGAAGGTTCAACTCTGTTACTTGAGTACACACATCACAAGAAAGATTCTGAGAATGCTTCTGTCTGGTATTTAGGAGAAGATATCTCCTTTTTCACCATAAGCTTCAAAGCGCTGCCAATATCCACTTCCAAATATTACAAAAAGAGTATTTCAAACCAGCTCTATGAAAGGAATTGTTCAACTCTATGAGTTGAATGCAAACATCACAGAGAAGTTTCTGAGAATGCTTCTCCCTAGATTTTATATGTAATCCCGTTTCCAACGAAATCCGCAAAGCTATCCAAATATCCACTTTCAGATTCCACAAAAAGAGTGTTTCAAAACTGCTCTGTAAAAAGAAAGGTTCATCTCTGTTAGTTGAATACACACATCACAAACAAGTTTCTGAGAATGCTTCTGTCTAGTTTTTATGGGAAGATATTTCCTTTTTCAACATAGGCCTCAAAGCGCTCCAAACGTCCACTTCCAGGTAGTGCAGAAAGAGTGTCTCAAACCTGGTATATAACAGGGAACATTCTACTCTGTGACTTGAATGAAAACATCACAAAGCAGTTTCTGAGAATGCTTCCGTCTAGATTTTATATGAAGATATTCCCGTTTCCAACGAAACCTTCAAAGCTATCCGAATATCCACCTGCAGATTCTACAAAAAGAGTGTTTCCAAAATGCCATATCAAAACAAAGGTTCAACTCTGTTAGTTGAGAACACACATCGCAAATAAGTTTCTGAGAATGCTTCTGTCTAGTTTTTATTTGAAGATATTTCCTTTCTCACCACAGGCCTGAAAGCGCTTAAAACGTCCGCTTGCAGATACTACAGAAAGAGTGTTTCAAACCTGCTCTATGAAAGGGAATGTTCAGTTCTGTGACTTGAATGCAAACATCACAAAGAAGTTCCTGAGAATGCTTCTCCCTAGATTTTATATGTAATCCCGTTTCCAACGAAATCCGCAAAGCTATCCAAATATCCACTTTCAGATTCCACAAAAAGAGTGTTTCAAAACTGCTCTGTAAAAAGAAAGGTTCATCTCTGTTAGTTGAATACACACATCACAAACAAGTTTCTCAGAATGCTTCTGTCTAGTTTTTATGGGAAGATATTTCCTTTTTCAACATAGGCCTCAAAGCGCTCCAAATGTCCACTTCCAGGTAGTGCAGAAAGAGTGTTTCAAACCTACTCTATAAAAGGGAATATTCAACTCTGTGACTTGAATGCAAACATCACAAAGCACTTTCTGAGAATGCTTCCGTCTAGATTTTATATGAAGATATTCCCGTTTCCAACGAAACCTTCAAAGCTATCCGAATATCCACCTGCAGATTCTACAAAAAGAGTGTTTCCAAAATGCCGTATCAAAACAAAGGTTCAACTCTGTTAGTTGAGAACACACATGGCAAATAAGTTTCTGAGAATGCTTCTGTCTAGTTTTTACTTGAAGATATTTCCTTTCTCACCATAGGCCTGAAAACGCATGAAACGTCAGCTTGCAGATACTACAGAAAGAGTGTTTCAAACCTGCTCTATGAAAGGGAACGTTCAGTCCTGTGACTTGAAGGCAAACATCACAAAGAAGTTCCTGAGAATGCTTCTCTCTAGGTTTTATATGTAATCCCGTTTCCAACGAAATCCTCAAAGCTATCCAAATATCCACTTTCAGATTCCACAAAAAGAGTGTTTCAAAACTGCTCTGTAAAAAGAAAGGTTCATCTCTGTTAGTTGAATACACACATCACAAACAAGTTTCTGAGAATGCTTCTGTCTAGTTTTTATGGGAAGATATTTCCTTTTTCATCATAGGCCTCAAAGCGCTGCAAATGTCCACTTCCAGGTAGTGCAGAAAGAGTGTCTCAAACCTGGTATATAACAGGGAACATTCTACTCTGTGACTTGAATGAAAACATCACAAAGCAGTTTCTGAGAATGCTTCTGTCTTGATTTTATATGAAGATATTCCCGTTTCCAACGAAACCTTCAAAGCTATTCAAATATCCACTTGCAGATTCTACAAAAAGAGTGTTTCCAAAATGTTGTATCAAAAGAAAGGTTCAACTCTGTTAGTTGAGGACACACATCGCAAATAAGTTTCTGAGAATGCTTCTGTCTGGTTTTTAGGAGAAGATATTTCCTTTTTCAACATAGGCCTCAAAGCGCTGCAAATGTCCACTTCCAAATATTACAAAAAGAGTGTTTCAAACCTGCTCTATGAAGGGAAGTGTTCACCTCTATGAGTTGAATGCAAACATCACAGAGAAGTTTCTGAGAATGCTTCTCCCTAGATTTTATATGTAATCCCGTTTCCAACGAAATCCGCAAAGCTATCCAAATATCCACTTTCAGATTCCACAAAAAGAGTGTTTCAAAACTGCTCTGTAAAAAGAAAGGTTCATCTCTGTTAGTTGAATACACACATCACAAACAAGTTTCTGAGAATGCTTCTGTCTAGTTTTTATGGGAAGATATTTCCTTTTTCAACATAGGCCACAAAGCGCTCCAAATGTCCACTTCCAGATAGTGCAGAAAGTGTGTCTCAAACCTGGTATATAAAAGGGAACATTCTACTCTGTGACTTGAATGAAAACATCACAAAGCAGTTTCTGAGAGTGCTTCCGTCTAGTATTTTATATGAAGATATTCCCGTTTCCAACGAAACCTTCAAAGCTATCCGAATATCCACCTGCAGATTCTACAAAAAGAGTGTTTCCAAAATGCCGTATCAAAACAAAGGTTCAACTCTGTTAGTTGAGAACACACATGGCAAAGAAGTTTCTGAGAATGCTTCTGTCTAGTTTTTACTTGAAGATATTTCCTTTCTCACCATAGGCCTGAAAGCGCTTGAAACGTCAGCTTGCAGATACTACAGAAAGAGTGTTTCAAACCTGCTCTATGAAAGGGAATGTTCAGTCCTGTGACTTGAAGGCAAACATCACAAAGAAGTTCCTGAGAATGCTTCTCTCTAGGTTTTATATGTAATCCCGTTTCCAACGAAATCCTCAAAGCTATCCAAATATCCACTTTCAGATTCCACAAAAAGAGTGTTTCAAAACTGCTCTGTAAAAAGAAAGGTTCATCTCTGTTAGTTGAATACACACATCACAAACAAGTTTCTGAGAATGCTTCTGTCTAGTTTTTATGGGAAGATATTTCCTTTTTCAACATAGGCCTCAAAGCGCTCCAAACGTCCACTTCCAGGTAGTGCAGAAAGAGTGTCTCAAACCTGGTGTATAACAGGGAACATTCTACTCTGTGACTTGAATGAAAACATCACAAAGCAGTTTCTGAGAATGCTTCTGTCTTGATTTTATATGAAGATATTCCCATTTCCAACGAAACCTTCAAAGCTATTCAAATATCCACTTGCAGATTCTACAAAAAGAGTGTTTCCAAAATGTTGTATCAAAAGAAAGGTTCAACTCTGTTAGTTGAGGACACACATCGCAAATAAGTTTCTGAGAATGCTTCTGTCTAGTTTTTACTTGAAGATATTTCCTTTCTCACCATAGGCCTGAAAGCGCTTGAAACGTCAGCTTGCAGATACTACAGAAAGAGTGTTTCAAACCTGCTCTATGAAAGGGAATGTTCAGTCCTGTGACTTGAAGGCAAACATCACAAAGGAGTTCCTGAGAATGCTTCTCTCTAGGTTTTATATGTAATCCCGTTTCCAACGAAATCCTCAAAGCTATCCAAATATCCACTTTCAGATTCCACAAAAAGAGTGTTTCAAAACTGCTCTGTAAAAAGAAAGGTTCATCTCTGTTAGTTGAATACACACATCACAAACAAGTTTCTGAGAATGCTTCTGTCTAGTTTTTATGGGAAGATATTTCCTTTTTCAACATAGGCCTCAAAGCGCTCCAAATGTCCACTTCCAGGTAGTGCAGAAAGAGTGTTTCAAACCTGCTCTATAAAAGGGAATATTCAACTCTGTGACTTGAATGCAAACATCACAAAGCACTTTCTGAGAATGCTTCCGTCTAGATTTTATATGAAGATATTCCAGTTTCCAACGAAACCTTCAAAGCTATCCGAATATCCACCTGCAGATTCTACAAAAAGAGTGTTTCCAAAATGCCGCATCAAAACAAAGGTTCAACTCTGTTAGTTGAGAACACACATGGCAAATAAGTTTCTGAGAATGCTTCTGTCTAGTTTTTACTTGAAGATATTTCCTTTCTCACCATAGGCCTGAAAGCGCTTGAAACGTCAGCTTGCAGATACTACAGAAAGAGTGTTTCAAACCTGCTCTATGAAAGGGAATGTTCAGTTCTGTGACTTGAATGCAAACATCACAAAGAAGTTCCTGAGAATGCTTCTCTCTAGGTTTTATATGTAATCCCGTTTCCAACGAAATCCTCAAAGCTATCCAAATATCCACTTTCAGATTCCACAAAAGAGTGTTTCAAAACTGCTCTGTAAAAAGAAAGGTTCATCTCTGTTAGTTGAATACACACATCACAAACAAGTTTCTGAGAATGCTTCTGTCTAGTTTTTATGGGAAGATATTACCTTTTTCATCATAGGCCCCAAAGCGCTGCAAATGTCCACTTCCAAATATTACAAAAAGAGTGTTTCAAACCTGCTGTATGAAGGGAAGTGTTCAACTCTATGAGTTGAATGCAAACATCACAGAGAAGTTTCTGAGAATGCTTCCGTCAAGATTTTATATGAAGATATTCCCGTTTCCAACGAAACCTTCAAAGCTATCCGAATATCCACCTGCAGATTCTACAAAAAGAGTGTTTCCAAAATGCCGTATCAAAACAAAGGTTCAACTCTGTTAGTTGAGAACACACATGGCAAATAAGTTTCTGAGAATGCTTCCTGTCTAGTTTTTACTTGAAGATATTTCCTTTCTCACCATAGGCCTGAAAGCGCTTGAAACGTCAGCTTGCAGATACTACAGAAAGAGTGTTTCAAACCTGCTCTATGAAAGGGAATGTTCAGTCCTGTGACTTGAAGGCAAACATCACAAAGAAGTTCCTGAGAATGCTTCTCTCTAGGTTTTATATGTAATCCCGTTTCCAACGAAATCCTCAAAGCTATCCAAATATCCACTTTCAGATTCCACAAAAAGAGTGTTTCAAAACTGCTCTGTAAAAAGAAAGGTTCATCTCTGTTAGTTGAATACACACATCACAAACAAGTTTCTGAGAATGCTTCTGTCTAGTTTTTATGGGAAGATATTACCTTTTTCATCATAGGCCTCAAAGCGCTGCAAATGTCCACTTCCAAATATTACAAAAAGAGTGTTTCAAACCTGCTGTATGAAGGGAAGTGTTCAACTCTATGAGTTGAATGCAAACATCACAGAGAAGTTTCTGAGAATGCTTCCGTCTAGATTTTATATGAAGATATTCCCGTTTCCAACGAAACCTTCAAAGCTATCCGAATATCCACCTGCAGATTCTACAAAAAGAGTGTTTCCAAAATGCCATATCAAAACAAAGGTTCAACTCTGTTAGTTGAGAACACACATCGCAAATAAGTTTCTGAGAATGCTTCTGTCTAGTTTTTATTTGAAGATATTTCCTTTCTCACCATAGGCCTGAAAGCGTTTGAAATGTCCGTTTGCAGATACTACAGAAAGAGTGTTTCAAACATGCTCTATGAAAGGGAATGTTCAGTTCTGTGACTTGAATGCAAACATCACAAAGAAGTTCCTGAGAATGCTTCTCTCTAGGTTTTATATGTAATCCCGTTTCCAACGAAATCCTCAAAGCTATCCAAATATCCACTTTCAGATTCCACAAAAAGAGTGTTTCAAAACTGCTCTGTAAAAAGAAAGGTTCATCTCTGTTAGTTGAATACACACATCACAAACAAGTTTCTGAGAATGCTTCTGTCTAGTTTTTATGGGAAGATATTTCGTTTTTCAACATAGGCCTCAAAGCGCTCCAAATGTCCACTTCCAGGTAGTGCAGAAAGAGTGTTTCAAACCTGCTCTATAAAAGGGAATATTCAACTCTGTGACTTGAATGCAAACATCACAAAGCACTTTCTGAGAATGCTTCTGTCTTGATTTCATATGAAGATATTCCCGTTTCCAACGAAACCTTCAAAGCTATCCAAATATCCACTTGCAGATTCTACAAAAAGAGTGTTTCCAAAATGTTGTATCAAAAGAAAGGTTCAACTCTGTTAGTTGAGGACACACATCGCAAATAAGTTTCTGAGACTGCTTCTGTCTAGTTTTTACTTGAAGATATTTCCTTTCTCACCATAGGCCTGAAAGCGCTTGAAACGTCCGCTTGCAGATACTACAGAAAGAGTGTTTCAAACATGCTCTATGAAAGGGAATGTTCAGTTCTGTGACTTGAATGCAAACATCACAAAGAAGTTCCTGAGAATGCTTCTCTCTAGGTTTTATATGTAATCCCGTTTCCAACGAAATCCTCAAAGCTATCCAAATATCCACTTTCAGATTCCACAAAAAGAGTGTTTCAAAACTGCTCTGTAAAAAGAAAGGTTCATCTCTGTTAGTTGAATACACACATCACAAACAAGTTTCTGAGAATGCTTCTGTCTAGTTTTTATGGGAAGATATTTCCTTTTTCAACATAGGCCTCAAAGCGCTCCAAATGTCCACTTCCAGGTAGTGCAGAAAGAGTGTTTCAAACCTGCTCTATAAAAGGGAATATTCAACTCTGTGACTTGAATGCAAACATCACAAAGCACTTTCTGAGAATGCTTCTGTCTTGATTTCATATGAAGATATTCCCGTTTCCAACGAAACCTTCAAAGCTATCCAAATATCCACTTGCAGATTCTACAAAAAGAGTGTTTCCAAAATGTTGTATCAAAAGAAAGGTTCAACTCTGTTAGTTGAGGACACACATCGCAAATAAGTTTCTGAGAATGCTTCTGTCTAGTTTTTATTTGAAGATATTTCCTTTTTCACCACAGGCCTGAAAGCGCTTGAAACGTCCGCTTGCAGATACTACAGAAAGAGTGTTTCAAACCTGCTCTATGAAAGGGAATGTTCAGTTACTGTGACTTGAATGCAAACATCACAAAGAAGTTCCTGAGAATGCTTCTCTCTAGATTTTATATGTAATCCCGTTTCCAACGAAATCCTCAAAGCTATCCAAATATCCACTTTCAGATTCCACAAAAAGAGTGTTTCAAAACTGCTCTGTAAAAAGAAAGGTTCATCTCTGTTAGTTGAATACACACATCACAAACAAGTTTCTGAGAATGCTTCTGTCTAGTTTTTATGGGAAGATATTTCGTTTTTCAACATAGGCCTCAAAGCGCTCCAAATGTCCACTTCCAGGTAGTGCAGAAAGAGTGTTTCAAACCTGCTCTATAAAAGGGAATATTCAACTCTGTGACTTGAATGCAAACATCACAAAGCACTTTCTGAGAATGCTTCTGTCTTGATTTTATATGAAGATATTCCCGTTTCCAACGAAACCTTCAAAGCTATCCAAATATCCACTTGCAGATTCTACAAAAAGAGTGTTTCCAAAATGTTGTATCAAAACAAAGGTTCAACTCTGTTAGTTGAGGACACACATCGCAAATAAGTTTCTGAGAATGCTTCTGTCTGGTTTTTAGGAGAAGATATCTCCTTTTTCACCATAGGCTTCAAACCGCTGCCAATGTCCACTTCCAAATATTACAAAAAGAGTATTTCAAACCAGCTCTATGAAAGGAAGTGTTCAACTCTATGAGTTGAATGCAAACAGAACAGAGAAGTTTCTGAGAATGCTTCTCTCTAGATTTTATATGTAATCCCGTTTCCAACGAAATCCTCAAAGCTATCCAAATATCCACTCTCAGATTCCACAAAAAGAGTGTTTCAAAACTGCTCTGTAAAAAGAAAGGTTCATCTCTGTTAGTTGAATACACACATCACAAACAAGTTTCTGAGAATGCTTCTGTCTAGTTTTTATGGGAAGATATTTCCTTTTT
Organism: Homo sapiens; assembly: GCF_000001405.40. Classification (NCBI taxonomy): domain Eukaryota; kingdom Metazoa; phylum Chordata; class Mammalia; order Primates; family Hominidae; genus Homo; species Homo sapiens. The sequence goes on along the minus strand of NC_000009.12, from coordinate 45,084,183 downwards.
CAACATAGGCCTCAAAGCGCTCCAAACGTCCACTTCCAGGTAGTGCAGAAAGAGTGTCTCAAACCTGGTATATAACAGGGAACATTCTACTCTGTGACTTGAATGAAAACATCACAAAGCAGTTTCTGAGAATGCTTCCGTCTAGACTTTATATGAAGATATTCCCGTTTCCAACGAAACCTTCAAAGCTATCCGAATATCCACCTGCAGATTCTACAAAAAGAGTGTTTCCAAAATGCCGTATCAAAACAAAGGTTCAACTCTGTTAGTTGAGAACACACATGGCAAATAAGTTTCTGACAATGCTTCTGTCTAGTTTTTACTTGAAGATATTTCCTTTCTCACCATAGGCCTGAAAGCGCATGAAACGTCAGCTTGCAGATACTACAGAAAGAGTGTTTCAAACCTGCTCTATGAAAGGGAATGTTCAGTCCTGTGACTTGAAGGCAAACATCACAAAGAAGTTCCTGAGAATGCTTCTCTCTAGGTTTTATATGTAATCCCGTTTCCAACGAAATACTCAAAGCTATCCAAATATCCACTTTCAGATTCCACAAAAAGAGTGTTTCAAAACTGCTCTGTAAAAAGAAAGGTTCATCTCTGTTAGTTGAATACACACATCACAAACAAGTTTCTGAGAATGCTTCTGTCTAGTTTTTATGGGAAGATATTTCCTTTTTCAACATAGGCCTCAAAGCGCTCCAAACGTCCACTTCCAGGTAGTGCAGAAAGAGTGTCTCAAACCTGGTATATAACAGGGAACATTCTACTCTGTGACTTGAATGAAAACATCACAAAGCAGTTTCTGAGAATGCTTCTGTCTTGATTTCATATGAAGATATTCCCGTTTCCAACGAAACCTTCAAAGCTATCCAAATATCCACTTGCAGATTCTACAAAAAGAGTGTTTCCAAAATGTTGTATCAAAAGAAAGGTTCAACTCTGTTAGTTGAGGACACACATCGCAAATAAGTTTCTGAGAATGCTTCTGTCTAGTTTTTATTTGAAGATATTTCTTTTCTCACCACAGGCCTGAAAGCGCTTAAAACGTCCGCTTGCAGATACTACAGAAAGAGTGTTTCAAACCTGCTCTATGAAAGGGAATGTTCAGTTCTGTGACTTGAATGCAAACATCACAAAGAAGTTCCTGATAATGCTTTCTCCCTAGATTTTATATGTAATCCCGTTTCCAACGAAATCCGCAAAGCTATCCAAATATCCACTTTCAGATTCCACAAAAAGAGTGTTTCAAAACTGCTCTGTAAAAAGAAAGGTTCATCTCTGTTAGTTGAATACACACATCACAAACAAGTTTCTGAGAATGCTTCTGTCTAGTTTTTATGGGAAGATATTTCCTTTTTCATCATAGGCCTCAAAGCGCTCCAAATGTCCACTTCCAGATAGTGCAGAAAGAGTGTCTGAAACCTGGTATATAAAAGGGAACATTCTACTCTGTGACTTCACTGAAAACATCACAAAGCAGTTTCTGAGAATGCTTCCGTCTAGATTTTATATGAAGATATTCCCGTTTCCAAGGAAATCTTCCTAGCTATCTAAATATCAACTTGCAGATTCTACTAAAGGAATGTTTCCAAAATGCTGTATCCACACAAAGGTTCCACTCTGTTAATTGAGGAGATACAGCACAAAGAAGTTTCTGAGAATGCTTCTGTCTAGATTTTATATGAAGATATCCCGTTTCCAAAGAAATCCTCAAAGGTGTCCAAATATCTACTTCCAGATTCTACAAAAAGACTGTGTCAAAACGGCTCTGTCAAAAGTAAGGTTCATCTCTGTTAGTTGAATACACACATCACAAACAAGTTTCTGAGAATGCTTCTCCCTAGATTTTATATGTAATCCCGTTTCCAACGAAATCCGCAAAGCTATCCAAATATCCACTTTCAGATTCCACAAAAAGAGTGTTTCAAAACTGCTCTGTAAAAAGAAAGGTTCATCTCTGTTAGTTGAATACACACATCACAAACAAGTTTCTGAGAATGCTTCTGTCTAGTTTTTATGGGAAGATATTTCGTTTTTCAACATAGGCCTCAAAGCGCTCCAAATGTCCACTTCCAGGTAGTGCAGAAAGAGTGTTTCAAACCTGCTCTATAAAAGGGAATATTCAACTCTGTGACTTGAATGCAAACATCACAAAGCACTTTCTGAGAATGCTTCCGTCTAGATTTTATATGAAGATATTCCCGTTTCCAACGAAACCTTCAAAGCTATCCGAATATCCACCTGCAGATTCTACAAAAAGAGTGTTTCCAAAATGCCATATCAAAACAAAGGTTCAACTCTGTTAGTTGAGAACACACATCGCAAATAAGTTTCTGAGAATGCTTCTGTCTAGTTTTTACTTGAAGATATTTCCTTTCTCACCATAGGCCTGAAAGCGCTTGAAACGTCAGCTTGCAGATACTACAGAAAGAGTGTTTCAAACCTGCTCTATGAAAGGGAATGTTCAGTCCTGTGACTTGAAGGCAAACATCACAAAGAAGTTCCTGAGAATGCTTCTCTCTAGGTTTTATATGTAATCCCGTTTCCAACGAAATCCTCAAAGCTATCCAAATATCCACTTTCAGATTCCACAAAAAGAGTGTTTCAAAACTGCTCTGTAAAAAGAAAGGTTCATCTCTGTTAGTTGAATACACACATCACAAACAAGTTTCTGAGAATGCTTCTGTCTAGTTTTTATGGGAAGATATTTCCTTTTTCATCATAGGCCTCAAAGCGCTCCAAATGTCCACTTCCAGATAGTGCAGAAAGAGTGTCTCAAACCTGGTATATAAAAGGGAACATTCTACTCTGTGACTTCAACGAAAACATCACAAAGCAGTTTCTGAGAATGCTTCCGTCTAGATTTTATATGAAGATATTCCCGTTTCCAACGAAACCTTCAAAGCTATCCGAATATCCACCTGCAGATTCTACAAAAAGAGTGTTTCCAAAATGCCGTATCAAAACAAAGGTTCAACTCTGTTAGTTGAGAACACACATGGCAAATAAGTTTCTGAGAATGCTTCTGTCTAGTTTTTATTTGAAGATATTTCCTTTCTCACCATAGGCCTGAAAGCGCTTGAAACGTCAGCTTGCAGATACTACAGAAAGAGTGTTTCAAACCTGCTCTATGAAAGGGAATGTTCAGTCCTGTGACTTGAATGGAAACATCACAAAGAAGTTGCCTGAGAATGCTTTCCCTCTAGGTTTTATATGTAATCCCGTTTCCAACGAAATCCTCAAAGCTATCCAAATATCCACTTTCAGATTCCACAAAAAGAGTGTTTCAAAACTGCTCTGTAAAAAGAAAGGTTCATCTCTGTTAGTTGAATACACACATCACAAACAAGTTTCTGAGAATGCTTCTGTCTAGTTTTTATGGGAAGATATTTCGTTTTTCAACATAGGCCTCAAAGCGCTCCAAATGTCCACTTCCAGGTAGTGCAGAAAGAGTGTTTCAAACCTGCTCTATAAAAGGGAATATTCAACTCTGTGACTTGAATGCAAACATCACAAAGCACTTTCTGAGAATGCTTCTGTCTTGATTTTATATGAAGATATTCCCGTTTCCAACGAAACCTTCAAAGCTATCCAAATATCCACTTGCAGATTCTACAAAAAGAGTGTTTCCAAAATGTTGTATCAAAACAAAGGTTCAACTCTGTTAGTTGAGGACACACATCGCAAATAAGTTTCTGAGAATGCTTCTGTCTAGTTTTTACTTGAAGATATTTCCTTTCTCACCATAGGCCTGAAAGCGCTTGAAACGTCAGCTTGCAGATACTACAGAAAGAGTGTTTCAAACCTGCTCTATGAAAGGGAATGTTCAGTTCTGTGACTTGAATGCAAACATCACAAAGAAGTTCCTGAGAATGCTTCTCTCTAGGTTTTATATGTAATCCCGTTTCCAACGAAATCCTCAAAGCTATCCAAATATCCACTTTCAGATTCCACAAAAAGAGTGTTTCAAAACTGCTCTGTAAAAAGAAAGGTTCATCTCTGTTAGTTGAATACACACATCACAAACAAGTTTCTGAGAATGCTTCTGTCTAGTTTTTATGGGAAGATATTTCCTTTTTCATCATAGGCCTCAAAGCGCTGCAAATGTCCACTTCCAAATATTACAAAAAGAGTGTTTCAAACCTGCTGTATGAAGGGAAGTGTTCAACTCTATGAGTTGAATGCAAACATCACAGAGAAGTTTCTGAGAATGCTTCCGTCTAGATTTTATATGAAGATATTCCCGTTTCCAACGAAACCTTCAAAGCTATCCGAATATCCACCTGCAGATTCTACAAAAAGAGTGTTTCCAAAATGCCATATCAAAACAAAGGTTCAACTCTGTTAGTTGAGAACACACATCGCAAATAAGTTTCTGAGAATGCTTCTGTCTAGTTTTTACTTGAAGATATTTCCTTTTTCACCATAGGCCTGAAAGCGCTTGAAACGTCCGCTTGCAGATACTACAGAAAGAGTGTTTCAAACCTGCTCTATGAAAGGGAATGTTCAGTTCTGTGACTTGAATGCAAACATCACAAAGAAGTTCCTGAGAATGCTTCTGTCTAGATTTTATATGAAGATATCCCGTTTCCAAAGAAATCCTCAAAGGTGTCCAAATATCTACTTCCAGATTCTACAAAAAGACTGTTTCAAAACGGCTCTGTCAAAAGGAAGGTTCAACTCTGTTACTTGAGTACACACATCACAAGGAAGTTTCTGAGAATGCTTCTGTCTAGTTTTTATGGGAAGATATTTCCTTTTTCATCATAGGCCTCAAAGCGCTGCAAATGTCCACTTCCAAATATTACAAAAAGAGTGTTTCAAACCTGCTGTATGAAGGGAAGTGTTCAACTCTATGAGTTGAATGCAAACATCACAGAGAAGTTTCTGAGAATGCTTCCGTCCAGATTTTATATGAAGATATTCCCGTTTCCAACGAAACCTTCAAAGCTATCCGAATATCCACCTGCAGATTCTACAAAAAGAGTGTTTCCAAAATGCCGTATCAAAACAAAGGTTCAACTCTGTTAGTTGAGAACACACATGGCAAATAAGTTTCTGAGAATGCTTCTGTCTAGTTTTTATTTGAAGATATTTCCTTTCTCACCATAGGCCTGAAAGCGTTTGAAATGTCCGTTTGCAGATACTACAGAAAGAGTGTTTCAAACATGCTCTATGAAAGGGAATGTTCAGTTCTGTGACGTGAATGCAAACATCACAAAGAAGTTCCTGAGAATGCTTCTCCCTAGATTTTATATGTAATCCCGTTTCCAACGAAATCCGCAAAGCTATCCAAATATCCACTTTCAGATTCCACAAAAAGAGTGTTTCAAAACTGCTCTGTAAAAAGAAAGGTTCATCTCTGTTAGTTGAATACACACATCACAAACAAGTTTCTGAGAATGCTTCTGTCTAGTTTTTATGGGAAGATATTTCCTTTTTCATCATAGGCCTCAAAGCGCTGCAAATGTCCACTTCCAGGTAGTGCAGAAAGAGTGTCTCAAACCTGGTATATAACAGGGAACATTCTACTCTGTGACTTGAATGAAAACATCACAAAGCAGTTTCTGAGAATGCTTCTGTCTTGATTTTATATGAAGATATTCCCGTTTCCAACGAAACCTTCAAAGCTATTCAAATATCCACTTGCAGATTCTACAAAAAGAGTGTTTCCAAAATGTTGTATCAAAAGAAAGGTTCAACTCTGTTAGTTGAGGACACACATCGCAAATAAGTTTCTGAGAATGCTTCTGTCTAGTTTTTACTTGAAGATATTTCCTTTCTTACCATAGGCCTGAAAGCGCTTGAAATGTCCGTTTGCAGATACTACAGAAAGAGTGTTTCAAACATGCTCTATGAAAGGGAATGTTCAGTTCTGTGACGTGAATGCAAACATCACAAAGAAGTTCCTGAGAATGCTTCTCTCTAGATTTTATATGTAATCCCGTTTCCAACGAAATCCTCAAAGCTATCCAAATATCCACTTTCAGATTCCACAAAAAGAGTGTTTCAAAACTGCTCTGTAAAAAGAAAGGTTCATCTCTGTTAGTTGAATACACACATCACAAACAAGTTTCTGAGAATGCTTCTGTCTAGTTTTTATGGGAAGATATTTCCTTTTTCAACATAGGCCTCAAAGCGCTCCAAATGTCCACTTCCAGGTAGTGCAGAAAGAGTGTTTCAAACCTGCTCTATAAAAGGGAATATTCAACTCTGTGACTTGAATGCAAACATCACAAAGCACTTTCTGAGAATGCTTCCGTCTAGATTTTATATGAAGATATTCCCGTTTCCAACGAAACCTTCAAAGCTATCCGAATATCCACCTGCAGATTCTACAAAAAGAGTGTTTCCAAAATGCCGTATCAAAACAAAGGTTCAACTCTGTTAGTTGAGAACACACATGGCAAATAAGTTTCTGAGAATGCTTCTGTCTAGTTTTTACTTGAAGATATTTCCTTTCTCACCATAGCCCTGAAAGCGCTTGAAACGTCAGCTTGCAGATACTACAGAAAGAGTGTTTCAAACCTGCTCTATGAAAGGGAATGTTCAGTTCTGTGCCTTGAATGCAAACATCACAAAGAAGTTCCTGAGAATGCTTCTCTCTAGGTTTTATATGTAATCCCGTTTCCAACGAAATCCTCAAAGCTATCCAAATATCCACTTTCAGATTCCACAAAAAGAGTGTTTCAAAACTGCTCTGTAAAAAGAAAGGTTCATCTCTGTTAGTTGAATACACACATCACAAACAAGTTTCTGAGAATGCTTCTGTCTAGTTTTTATGGGAAGATATTTCCTTTTTCAACATAGGCCTCAAAGCGCTCCAAATGTCCACTTCCAGGTAGTGCAGAAAGAGTGTTTCAAACCTGCTCTATAAAAGGGAATATTCAACTCTGTGACTTGAATGCAAACATCACAAAGCACTTTCTGAGAATGCTTCCGTCTAGATTTAATATGAAGATATTCCCGTTTCCAAGGAAATCTTCCTAGCTATCTAAATATCAACTTGCAGATTCTACTAAAGGAATGTTTCCAAAATGCTGTATCCACACAAAGGTTCAACTCTGTTAATTGAGGACATACAGCACAAAGAAGTTTCTGAGAATGCTTCTGTCTAGTTTTTACTTGAAGGTATTTCCTTTCTCACCATAGGCCTGAAAGCGCTTGAAACGTCTGCTTGCAGATACTACAGAAAGAGTGTTTCAAACATGCTCTATGAAAGGGAATGTTCAGTTCTGTGACTTGAATGCAAACATCACAAAGAAGTTCCTGAGAATGCTTCTCTCTAGATTTTATATGTAATCCCGTTTCCAACGAAATCCTCAAAGCTATCCAAATATCCACTTTCAGATTCCACAAAAAGAGTGTTTCAAAACTGCTCTGTAAAAAGAAAGGTTCATCTCTGTTAGTTGAATACACACATCACAAACAAGTTTCTGAGAATGCTTCTGTCTAGTTTTTATGGGAAGATATTTCGTTTTTCAACATAGGCCTCAAAGCGCTCCAAACGTCCACTTCCGGGTAGTGCAGAAAGAGTGTCTCAAACCTGGTATATAACAGGGAACATTCTACTCTGTGACTTGAATGAAAACATCACAAAGCAGTTTCTGAGAATGCTTCCGTCTAGATTTTATATGAAGATATTCCCGTTTCCAACGAAACCTTCAAAGCTATCCGAATATCCACCTGCAGATACTACAAAAAGAGTGTTTCCAAAATGCCGTATCAAAACAAAGGTTCAACTCTGTTAGTTGAGAACACACATGGCAAATATGTTTCTGAGAATGCTTCTGTCTAGTTTTTACTTGAAGATATTTCCTTTCTCACCATAGGCCTGAAAGCGCTTGAAACGTCAGCTTGCAGATACTACAGAAAGAGTGTTTCAAACCTGCTCTATGAAAGGGAATGTTCAGTCCTGTGACTTGAAGGCAAACATCAAAAAGAAGTTCCTGAGAATGCTTCTCCCTAGATTTTATATGTAATCCCGTTTCCAACGAAATCCGCAAAGCTATCCAAATATCCACTTTCAGATTCCACAAAAAGAGTGTTTCAAAACTGCTCTGTAAAAAGAAAGGTTCATCTCTGTTAGTTGAATACACACATCACAAACAAGTTTCTGAGAATGCTTCTGTCTAGTTTTTATGGGAAGATATTTCCTTTTTCAACATAGGCCTCAAAGCGCTCCAAACGTCCACTTCCAGGTAGTGCAGAAAGAGTGTCTCAAACCTGGTATATAACAGGGAACATTCTACTCTGTGACTTGAATGAAAACATCACAAAGCAGTTTCTGAGAATGCTTCCGTCTAGATTTTATATGAAGATATTCCCGTTTCCAACGAAACCTTCAAAGCTATCCGAATATCCACCTGCAGATTCTACAAAAAGAGTGTTTCCAAAATGCCATATCAAAACAAAGGTTCAACTCTGTTAGTTGAGAACACACATGGCAAATAAGTTTCTGAGAATGCTTCTGTCTAGTTTTTACTTGAAGATATTTCCTTTGTCACCATAGGCCTGAAAGCGCTTGAAACGTCAGCTTGCAGATACTATAGAAAGAGTGTTTCAAACCTGCTCTATGAAAGGGAATGTTCAGTCCTGTGACTTGAAGGCAAACATCACAAAGAAGTTCCTGAGAATGCTTCTGTCTAGATTTTATATGAAGATATCCCGTGTCCATCGAAATCCTCAAAAGTATCAAAATATCCACTTGCAGATTCTACAAAAAGAGTGCTTCAAAACTGCTCTGTCAAAAGGAAGGTTCAACTCTGTTACTTGAGTACACACATCACAAGGAAGTTTCTGAGAATGCTTCTGTCTAGTTTTTATGGGAAGATATTTCCCTTTTTCAACATAGGCCTCAAAGCGCTCCAAATGTCCACTTCCAGGTAGTGCAGAAAGAGTGTTTCAAACCTGCTCTATAAAAGGGAATATTCAACTCTGTGACTTGAATGCAAACATCACAAAGCACTTTCTGAGAATGCTTCTGTCTTGATTTTATATGAAGATATTCCCGTTTCCAACGAAACCTTCAAAGCTATTCAAATATCCACTTGCAGATTCTACAAAAAGAGTGTTTCCAAAATGTTGTATCAAAAGAAAGGTTCAACTCTGTTAGTTGAGGACACACATCGCAAATAAGTTTCTGAGAATGCTTCTGTCTAGTTTTTATTTGAAGATATTTCCTTTCTCACCACAGGCCTGAAAGCGCTTAAAACGTCCGCTTGCAGATACTACAGAAAGAGTGTTTCAAACCTGCTCTATGAAAGGGAATGTTCAGTTCTGTGACTTGAATGCAAACATCACAAAGAAGTTCCTGAGAATGCTTCTGTCTAGATTTTATATGAAGATATCCCGTGTCCAACGAAATCCTCAAAGGTATCAAACTATCCACTTGCAGATTCTACAAAAAGAGTGCTTCAAAACTGCTCTGTCAAAAGGAAGGTTCAACTCTATTACTTGAGTACACACATCACAAGGAAGTTTCTGAGAATGCTTCTGTCTAGTTTTTATGGGAAGATATTTCGTTTTTCAACATAGGCCTCAAAGCGCTCCAAATGTCCACTTCCAGGTAGTGCAGAAAGAGTGTTTCAAACCTGCTCTATAAAAGGGAATATTCAACTGTGTGACTTGAATGCAAACATCACAAAGCACTTTCTGAGAATGCTTCTGTCTTGATTTTATTTGAAGATATTCCCGTTTCCAACGAGACCTTCAAAGCTATTCAAATATCCACTTGCAGATTCTACAAAAAGAGTGTTTCCAAAATGTTGTATCAAAAGAAAGGTTCAACTCTGTTAGCTGAGGACACACATCGCAAATAAGTTTCTGAGAATGCTTCTGTCTAGTTTTTACTTGAAGATATTTCCTTTCTCACCATAGGCCTGAAAGCGCTTGAAACGTCAGCTTGCAGATACTACAGAAAGAGTGTTTCAAACCTGCTCTATGAAAGGGAATGTTCAGTTCTGTGACTTGAATGCAAACATCACAAAGAAGTTCCTGAGAATGCTTCTCTCTAGGTTTTATATGTAATCCCGTTTCCAACGAAATCCTCAAAGCTATCCAAATATCCACTTTCAGATTCCACAAAAAGAGTGTTTCAAAACTGCTCTGTAAAAAGAAAGGTTCATCTCTGTTAGTTGAATACACACATCACAAACAAGTTTCTGAGAATGCTTCTGTCTAGTTTTTATGGGAAGATATTTCCTTTTTCAACATAGGCCTCAAAGCGCTCCAAATGTCCACTTCCAGGTAGTGCAGAAAGAGTGTTTCAAACCTGCTCTATAAAAGGGAATACTCAACTCTGTGACTTGAATGCAAACATCACAAAGCACTTTCTGAGAATGCTTCCGTCTAGATTTTATATGAAGATAATACCGTTTCCAAGGAAATCTTCCTAGCTATCTAAATATCAACTTGCAGATTCTACTAAAGGAATGTTTCCAAAATGCTGTATCCACACAAAGGTTCAACTCTGTTAATTGAGGACATACAGCACAAAGAAGTTTCTGAGAATGCTTCTGTCTAGTTTTGATTTGAAGATATTTCCTTTCTTACCATAGGCCTGAAAGCGCTTGAAATGTCCGTTTGCAGATACTACAGAAAGAGTGTTTCAAACATGCTCTATGAAAGGGAATGTTCAGTTCTGTGACGTGAATGCAAACATCACAAAGAAGTTCCTGAGAATGCTTCTCTCTAGATTTTATATGTAATCCCGTTTCCAACGAAATCCTCAAAGCTATCCAACTATCCACTTTCAGATTCCACAAAAAGAGTGTTTCAAAACTGCTCTGTAAAAAGAAAGGTTCATCTCTGTTAGTTGAATACACACATCACAAACAAGTTTCTGAGAATGCTTCTGTCTAGTTTTTATGGGAAGATATTTCCTTTTTCATCATAGGCCTCAAAGCGCTCCAAATGTCCACTTCCAGATAGTGCAGAAAGAGTGTCTCAAACCTGGTATATAAAAGGGAACATTCTACTCTGTGACTTCAATGAAAACATCACAAAGCAGTTTCTGAGAATGCTTCCGTCTAGATTTTATATGAAGATATTCCCGTTTCCAACGAAACCTTCAAAGCTATCCGAATATCCACCTGCAGATTCTACAAAAAGAGTGTTTCCAAAATGCCATATCAAAACAAAGGTTCAACTCTGTTAGTTGAGAACACACATCGCAAATAAGTTTCTGAGAATGCTTCTGTCTAGTTTTTACTTGAAGATATTTCCTTTCTCACCATAGGCCTGAAAGCGCTTGAAACGTCCGCTTGCAGATACTACAGAAAGAGTGTTTCAAACATGCTCTATGAAAGGGAATGTTCAGTTCTGTGACTTGAATGCAAACATCACAAAGAAGTTCCTGAGAATGCTTCTCCCTAGATTTTATATGTAATCCCGTTTCCAACGAAATCCGCAAAGCTATCCAAATATCCACTTTCAGATTCCACAAAAAGAGTGTTTCAAAACTGCTCTGTAAAAAGAAAGGTTCATCTCTGTTAGTTGAATACACACATCACAAACAAGTTTCTGAGAATGCTTCTGTCTAGTTTTTATGGGAAGATATTTCCTTTTTCAACATAGGCCTCAAAGCGCTCCAAATATCCACTTCCAGGTAGTGCAGAAAGAGTGTTTCAAACCTGCTCTATAAAAGGGAACATTCAACTCTGTGACTTGAATGCAAACATCACAAAGCACTTTCTGAGAATGCTTCCGTCTAGATTTTATATGAAGATATTCCCGTTTCCAACGAAACCTTCAAAGCTATCCGAATATCCACCTGCAGATTCTACAAAAAGAGTGTTTCCAAAATGCCGTATCAAAACAAAGGTTCAACTCTGTTAGTTGAGAACACACATGGCAAATTAGTTTCTGAGAATGCTTCTGTCTAGTTTTTACTTGAAGATATTTCCTTTCTCACCATAGGCCTGAAAGCGCTTGAAACGTCAGCTTGCAGATACTACAGAAAGAGTGTTTCAAACCTGCTCTATGAAAGGGAATGTTCAGTCCTGTGACTTGAATGCAAACATCACAAAGAAGTTCCTGAGAATGCTTCTCCCTAGATTTTATATGTAATCCCGTTTCCAACGAAACCCTCAAAGCTCTCCAAATATCCACTTTCAGATTCCACAAAAAGAGTGTTTCAAAACTGCTCTGTAAAAAGAAAGGTTCATCTCTGTTAGTTGAATACACACATCACAAACAAGTTTCTGAGAATGCTTCTGTCTAGTTTTTATGGGAAGATATTTCCTTTTTCAACATAGGCCTCAAAGCGCTCCCAATGTCCACTTCCACGTAGTGCACAGAGTGTTTCAAACCTGCTCTATAAAAGGGAACATTCTACTCTGTGACTTGAATGCAAACATCACAAAGCACTTTCTGAGAATCCTTCCGTCTAGATTTTATATGAAGATATTCCCGTTTCCAACGAAACCTTCAAAGCTATCCGAATATCCACCTGCAGATTCTACAAAAAGAGTGTTTCCAAAATGCCATATCAAAACAAAGGTTCAACTCTGTTAGTTGAGAACACACATCGCAAATAAGTTTCTCAGAATGCTTCTGTCTAGTTTTTACTTGAAGATATTTCCTTTCTCACCATAGGCCTGAAAGCGCTTGAAACGTCAGCTTGCAGATACTACAGAAAGAGTGTTTCAAACCTGCTCTATGAAAGGGAATGTTCAGTTCTGTGACTTGAATGCAAACATCACAAAGAAGTTCCTGAGAATGCTTCTCTCTAGGTTTTATATGTAATCCCGTTTCCAACGAAATCCTCAAAGCTATCCAAATATCCACTTTCAGATTCCACAAAAAGAGTGTTTCAAAACTGCTCTGTAAAAAGAAAGGTTCATCTCTGTTAGTTGAATACACACATCACAAACAAGTTTCTGAGAATGCTTCTGTCTAGTTTTTATGGGAAGATATTTCCTTTTTCAACATAGGCCTCAAAGCGCTCCAAATGTCCACTTCCAGGTAGTGCAGAAAGAGTGTTTCAAACCTGCTCTATAAAAGGGAATATTCAACTCTGTGACTTGAATGCAAACATCACAAAGCACTTTCTGAGAATGCTTCCGTCTAGATTTTATATGAAGATATTCCCGTTTCCAAGGAACTCTTCCTAGCTATCTAAATATCAACTTGCAGATTCTACTAAAGGAATGTTTCCAAAATGCTGTATCCACACAAAGGTTCAACTCTGTTAATTGAGGACATACAGCACAAAGAAGTTTCTGAGAATGCTTCTGTCTAGTTTTTACTTGAAGATATTTCCTTTGTCACCATAGGCCTGAAAGCGCTTGAAACGTCAGCTTGCAGATACTACAGAAAGAGTGTTTCAAACCTGCTCTATGAAAGGGAATGTTCAGTTCTGTGACTTGAATGCAAACATCACAAAGAAGTTCCTGAGAATGCTTCTCTCTAGATTTTATATGTAATCCCGTTTCCAACGAAATCCTCAAAGCTATCCAAATATCCACTTTCAGATTCCACAAAAAGAGTGTTTCAAAACTGCTCTGTAAAAAGAAAGGTTCATCTCTGTTAGTTGAATACACACATCACAAACAAGTTTCTGAGAATGCTTCTGTCTAGTTTTTATGGGAAGATATTTCCTTTTTCAACATAGGCCTCAAGCGCTCCAAACGTCCACTTCCAGGTAGTGCAGAAAGAGTGTCTCAAACCTGGTATATAACAGGGAACATTCTACTCTGTGACTTGAATGAAAACATCACAAAGCAGTTTCTGAGAATGCTTCTGTGTTGATTTTATATGAAGATATTCCCGTTTCCAACGAAACCTTCAAATCTATCCAAATATCCACCTGCAGATCCTACAAAAAGAGTGTTTCCAAAATGCTGTATCAAAACAAAGGTTCAACTCTGTTAGTTGAGAACACACATCGCAAATAAGTTTCTGAGAATGCTTCTGTCTAGTTTTTATTTGAAGATATTTCCCTTTTCACCACAGGCCTGAAAGCGCTTGAAACGTCCGCTTGCAGATACTACAGAAAGAGTGTTTCAAAGCTGCTCAATGAAAGGGAATGTTCAGTTCTGTGACTTGAATGCAAACATCACAAAGAAGTTCCTGAGAATGCTTCTCTCTAGGTTTTATATGTAATCCCGTTTCCAACGAAATCCTCAAAGCTATCCAAATATCCACTTTCAGATTCCACAAAAAGAGTGTTTCAAAACTGCTCTGTAAAAAGAAAGGTTCATCTCTGTTAGTTGAATACACACATCACAAACAAGTTTCTGAGAATGCTTCTGTCTAGTTCTTATGGGAAGATATTTCCTTTTTCATCATAGGCCTCAAAGCGCTGCAAATGTCCAATTCCAGGTAGTGCAGAAAGAGTGTCTCAAACCTGGTATATAACAGGGAACATTCTACTCTGTGACTTGAATGAAAACATCACAAAGCAGTTTCTGAGAATGCTTCCGTCTAGTATTTTATATGAAGATATTCCCGTTTCCAACGAAACCTTCAAAGCTATCCGAATATCCACCTGCAGATTCTACAAAAAGAGTGTTTCCAAAATGCCATATCAAAACAAAGGTTCAACTCTGTTAGTTGAGAACACACATCGCAAATAAGTTTCTGAGAATGCTTCTGTCTAGTTTTTACTTGAAGATATTTCCTTTCTCACCATAGGCCTGAAAGCGCTTGAAACGTCAGCTTGCAGATACTACAGAAAGAGTGTTTCAAACCTGCTCTATGAAAGGGAATGTTCAGTTCTGTGACTTGAATGCAAACATCACAAAGAAGTTCCTGAGAATGCTTCTCTCTAGGTTTTATATGTAATCCCGTTTCCAACGAAATCCTCAAAGCTATCCAAATATCCACTTTCAGATTCCACAAAAAGAGTGTTTCAAAACTGCTCTGTAAAAAGAAAGGTTCATCTCTGTTAGTTGAATACACACATCACAAACAAGTTTCTGAGAATGCTTCTGTCTAGTTTTTATGGGAAGATATTTCCTTTTTCATCATAGGCCTCAAAGCGCTGCAAATGTCCACTTCCAGGTAGTGCAGAAAGAGTGTCTGAAACCTGGTATATAACAGGGAAGATTCTACTCTGTGACTTGAATGAAAACATCACAAAGCAGTTTCTGAGAATGCTTCCGTCTAGATTTTATATGAAGATATTCCCGTTTCCAACGAAACCTTCAAAGCTATCTGAATATCCACCTGCAGATTCTACAAAATGAGTGTTTCCAAAATGCCGTATCAAAACAAAGGTTCAACTCTGTTAGTTGAGAACACACATGGCAAATAAGTTCCTGAGAATGCTTCTGTCTAGTTTTTACTTGAAGATATTTCCTTTCTCACCATAGGCCTGAAAGCGCTTGAAACGTCCGCTTGCAGATACTACAGAAAGAGTGTTTCAAACATGCTCTATGAAAGGGAATGTTCAGTTCTGTGACTTGAATGCAAACATCACAAAGAAGTTCCTGAGAATGCTTCTGTCTAGATTTTATATGAAGATATCCCGTGTCCAACGAAATCCTCAAAGGTATCAAACTATCCACTTGCAGATTCTACAAAAAGAGTGCTTCAAAACTGCTCTGTCAAAAGGAAGGTTCAACTCTATTACTTGAGTACACACATCACAAGGAAGTTTCTGAGAATGCTTCTGTCTAGTTTTTATGGGAAGATATTTCCTTTTTCAACATAGGCCTCAAAGCGCTCCAAACGTCCACTTCCAGGTAGTGCAGAAAGAGTGTCTCAAACCTGGTATATAACAGGGAACATTCTACTCTGTGACTTGAATGCAAACATCACAAAGCAGTTTCTGAGAATGCTTCCGTCTAGATTTTATATGAAGATATTCCCGTTTCCAACGAAACCTTAAAAAGCTATCCGAATATCCACCTGCAGATTCTACAAAAAGAGTGTTTCCAAAATGCCGTATCAAAACAAAGGTTCAACTCTGTTAGTTGAGAACACACATGGCAAATAAGTTTCTGAGAATGCTTCTGTCTAGTTTTTACTTGAAGATATTTCCTTTCTCACCATAGGCCTGAAAGCGCTTGAAACGTCAGCTTGCAGATACTACAGAAAGAGTGTTTCAAACCTGCTCTATGAAAGGGAATGTTCAGTCCTGTGACTTGAAGGCAAACATCAAAAAGAAGTTCCTGAGAATGCTTCTCCCTAGATTTTATATGTAATCCCGTTTCCAACGAAATCCGCAAAGCTATCCAAATATCCACTTTCAGATTCCACAAAAAGAGTGTTTCAAAACTGCTCTGTAAAAAGAAAGGTTCATCTCTGTTAGTTGAATACACACATCACAAACAAGTTTCTGAGAATGCTTCTGTCTAGTTTTTATGGGAAGATATTTCCTTTTTCAACATAGGCCTCAAAGCGCTCCAAATGTCCACTTCCAGGTAGTGCAGAAAGAGTGTTTCAAACCTGCTCTATAAAAGGGATTATTCAACTCTGTGACTTGAATGCAAACATCACAAAGCACTTTCTGAGAATGCTTCTGTCTTGATTTTATATGAAGATATTCCCGTTTCCAACGAAACCTTCAAAGCTATCCAAATATTCACTTGCAGATTCTACTAAAAGAGTGTTTCCAAAATGTTGTATCAAAACAAAGGTTCAACTCTGTTAGTTGAGGACACACATCGCAAATAAGTTTCTGAGAATGCTTCTGTCTAGTTTTTATTTGAAGATATTTCCTTTCTTACCATAGGCCTGAAAGCGCTTGAAATGTCCGTTTGCAGATACTACAGAAGGAGTGTTTCAAACATGCTCTATGAAAGGGAATGTTCAGTTCTGTGACGTGAATGCAAACATCACAAAGAAGTTCCTGAGAATGCTTCTCCCTAGATTTTATATGTAATCCCGTTTCCAACGAAATCCGCAAAGCTATCCAAATATCCACTTTCAGATTCCACAAAAAGAGTGTTTCAAAACTGCTCTGTAAAAAGAAAGGTTCATCTCTGTTAGTTGAATACACACATCACAAACAAGTTTCTGAGAATGCTTCTGTCTAGTTTTTATGGGAAGATATTACCTTTTTCATCATAGGCCTCAAAGCGCTGCAAATGTCCACTTCCAAATATTACAAAAAGAGTGTTTCAAACCTGCTGTATGAAGGGAAGTGTTCAACTCTATGAGTTGAATGCAAACATCACAGAGAAGTTTCTGAGAATGCTTCTGTCTTGATTTTATATGAAGATATTCCCATTTCCAACGAAACCTTCAAAGCTATTCAAATATCCACTTGCAGATTCTACAAAAAGAGTGTTTCCAAAATGTTGTATCAAAAGAAAGGTTCAACTCTGTTAGTTGAGGACACACATCGCAAATAAGTTTCTGAGAATGCTTCTGTCTAGTTTTTATTTGAAGATATTTCCTTTCTCACCATAGGCCTGAAAGCGTTTGAAATGTCCGTTTGCAGATACTACAGAAAGAGTGTTTCAAACCTGCTCTATGAAAGGGAATGTTCAGTTCTGTGACTTGAATGCAAATATCACAAAGAAGTTCCTGAGAATGCTTCTCTCTAGGTTTTATATGTAATCCCGTTTCCAACGAAATCCTCAAAGCTATCCAAATATCCACTTTCAGATTCCACAAAAAGAGTGTTTCAAAACTGCTCTGTAAAAAGAAAGGTTCATCTCTGTTAGTTGAATACACACATCACAAACAAGTTTCTGAGAATGCTTCTGTCTAGTTTTTATGGGAAGATATTTCCTTTTTCAACATAGGCCTCAAAGCGCTCCAAACGTCCACTTCCAGGTAGTGCAGAAAGAGTGTCTCAAACCTGGTGTATAACAGGGAACATTCTACTCTGTGACTTGAATGAAAACATCACAAAGCAGTTTCTGAGAATGCTTTCGTCTAGATTTTATATGAAGATATTCCCGTTTCCAAAGAAACCTTCAAAGCTATCCGAATATCCACCTGCAGATTCTACAAAAAGAGTGTTTCCAAAATGCCGTATCAAAACAAAGGTTCAACTCTGTTAGTTGAGAACACACATGGCAAATAAGTTTCTGAGAATGCTTCTGTCTAATTTTTACTTGAAGATATTTCCTTTCTCACCATAGGCCTGAAAGCGCTTGAAACGTCCGCTTGCAGATACTACAGAAAGAGTGTTTCAAACATGCTCTATGAAAGGGAATGTTCAGTTCTGTGACTTGAATGCAAACATCACAAAGAAGTTCCTGAGAATGCTTCTGTCTAGATTTTATATGAAGATATCCCGTGTCCAAAGAAATCCTCAAAGGTATCAAAATATCCACTTGCAGATTCTACAAAAAGAGTGCTTCAAAACTGCTCTGTCAAAAGGAAGGCTCAACTCTGTTACTTAACTGCACACATCACAAGAAAGATTCTGAGAATGCTTCTGTCCGGTTTTTAGGAGAAGATATCTCCTTTTTCACCATAGGCTTCAAAGCGCTGCCAATGTCCACTTCCAAATATTACAAAAAGAGTATTTCAAACCAGCTCTATGAAAGGAAGTGTTCAACTCTATGAGTTGAATGCAAACATCACAGACAAGATTCTGAGAATGCTTCCGTCTAGATTTTATATGAAGATATTCCCGTTTGCAAGGAAATCTTCCTAGCTATCTAAATATGAACTTGCAGATTCTACTAAAGGAATGTTTCCAAAATGCCGTATCGAAACAAAGGTTCAACTCTGTTAATTGAGGATATACAGCACAAAGAAGTGTCTGCGAATGCTTCTGTCTAGATTTTATATGAAGATATCCCATGTCCAACGAAATCCTCAAAGGTATCAAAATATCCACTTGCAGATTCTACAAAAAGAGTGCTTCAAAACTGCTCTGGCAAAAGGAAGGTTCAACTCTGTTACTTGAGTACACACATCACAAGGAAGTTTCTGAGAATGCTTCTCTCTAGATTTTATATGTAATCCCGTTTCCAACGAAATCCTCAAAGCTATCCAAATATCCACTTTCAGATTCCACAAAAAGAGTGTTTCAAAACTGCTCTGTAAAAAGAAAGGTTCATCTCTGTTAGTTGAATACACACATCACAAACAAGTTTCTGAGAATGCTTCTGTCTAGTTTTTATGGGAAGATATTTCCTTTTTCAACATAGGCCTCAAAGCGCTCCAAATGTCCACTTCCAGGTAGTGCAGAAAGAGTGTTTCAAACCGGCTCTATAAAAGGGAATATTCAACTCTGTGACTTGAATGCAAACATCACAAAGCACTTTCTGAGAATGCTTCCGTCTAGATTTTATATGAAGATATTCCCGTTTCCAAGGAAATCTTCCTAGCTATCTAAATATCAACTTGCAGATTCTACTAAAGGAATGTTTCCAAAATGCTGTATCCACACAAAGGTTCAACTCTGTTAATTGAGGACATACAGCACAAAGAAGTTTCTGAGAATGCTTCTGTCTAGTTTTTACTTGAAGATATTTCCTTTCTCACCATAGGCCTGAAAGCGTTTGAAATGTCCGTTTGCAGATACTACAGAAAGAGTGTTTCAAACATGCTCTATGAAAGGGAATGTTCAGTTCTGTGACGTGAATGCAAACATCACAAAGAAGTTCCTGAGAATGCTTCTCCCTAGATTTTATATGTAATCCCGTTTCCAACGAAATCCGCAAAGCTATCCAAATATCCACTTTCAGATTCCACAAAAAGAGTGTTTCAAAACTGCTCTGTAAAAAGAAAGGTTCATCTCTGTTAGTTGAATACACACATCACAAACAAGTTTCTGAGAATGCTTCTGTCTAGTTTTTATGGGAAGATATTACCTTTTTCATCATAGGCCTCAAAGCGCTGCAAATGTCCACTTCCAAATATTACAAAAAGAGTGTTTCAAACCTGCTGTATGAAGGGAAGTGTTCAACTCTATGAGTTGAATGCAAACATCACAGAGAAGTTTCTGAGAATGCTTCCGTCTAGATTTTATATGAAGATATTCCCGTTTCCAACGAAACCTTCAAAGCTATTCGAATATCCACCTGCAGATTCTACAAAAAGAGTGTTTCCAAAATGCCGTATCAAAACAAAGGTTCAACTCTGTTAGTTGAGAACACACATGGCAAATAAGTTTCTGAGAATGTTTCTGTCTAGTTTTTACTTGAAGATATTTCCTTTCTCACCATAGGCCTGAAAGCGCTTGAAACGTCAGCTTGCAGATACTACAGAAAGAGTGTTTCAAACCTGCTCTATAAAAGGGAATGTTCAGTCCTGTGACTTGAAGGCAAACATCACAAAGAAGTTCCTGAGAATGCTTCTCCCTAGATTTTATATGTAATCCCGTTTCCAACGAAATCCTCAAAGCTATCCAAATATCCACTTTCAGATTCCACAAAAAGAGTGTTTCAAAACTGCTCTGTAAAAAGAAAGGTTCATCTCTGTTAGTTGAATACACACATCACAAACAAGTTTCTGAGAATGATTCTGTCTAGTTTTTATGGGAAGATATTTCCTTTTTCATCATAGGCCTCAAAGCGCTGCAAATGTCCACTTCCAGGTAGTGCAGAAAGAGTGTCTGAAACCTGGTATATAACAGGGAAGATTCTACTCTGTGACTTGAATGAAAACATCACAAAGCAGTTTCTGAGAATGCTTCTGTCTTGATTTTATATGAAGATATTCCCGTTTCCAACGAAACCTTCAAAGCTATTCAAATATCCACTTGCAGATTCTACAAAAAGAGTGTTTCCAAAATGTTGTATCAAAAGAAAGGTTCAACTCTGTTAGTTGAGGACACACATCGCAAATAAGTTTCTGAGAATGCTTCTGTCTAGTTTTGATTTGAAGATATTTCCTTTCTTACCATAGGCCTGAAAGCGCTTGAAATGTCCGTTTGCAGATACTACAGAAAGAGTGTTTCAAACATGCTCTATGAAAGGGAATGTTCAGTTCTGTGACGTGAATGCAAACATCACAAAGAAGTTCCTGAGAATGCTTCTCTCTAGATTTTATATGTAATCCCGTTTCCAACGAAATCCTCAAAGCTATCCAAATATCCACTTTCAGATTCCACAAAAAGAGTGTTTCAAAACTGCTCTGTAAAAAGAAAGGTTCATCTCTGTTAGTTGAATACACACATCACAAACAAGTTTCTGAGAATGCTTTCTGTCTAGTTTTTATGGGAAGATATTTCCTTTTTCATCATAGGCCTCAAAGCGCTGCAAATGTCCACTTCCAGGTAGTGCAGAAAGAGTGTCTCAAACCTGGTATATAACAGGGAACATTCTACTCTGTGACTTGAATGAAAACATCACAAAGCAGTTTCTGAGAATGCTTCCGTCTAGATTTTATATGAAGATATTCCCGTTTCCAACGAAACCTTCAAAGCTATCCGAATATCCACCTGCAGATTCTACAAAAAGAGTGTTTCCAAAATGCCGTATCAAAACAAAGGTTCAACTCTGTTAGTTGAGAACACACATGGCAAATAAGTTTCTGAGAATGCTTCTGTCTAGTTTTTATTTGAAGATATTTCCTTTCTCACCATAGGCCTGAAAGCGTTTGAAATGTCCGTTTGTAGATACTACAGAAAGAGTGTTTCAAACATGCTCTATGAAAGGGAATGTTCAGTTCTGTGACGTGAATGCAAACATCACAAAGAAGTTCCTGAGAATGCTTCTCTCTAGATTTTATATGTAATCCCGTTTCCAACGAAATCCTCAAAGCTATCCAAATATCCACTTTCAGATTCCACAAAAAGAGTGTTTCAAAACTGCTCTGTAAAAAGAAAGGTTCATCTCTGTTAGTTGAATACACACATCACAAACAAGTTTCTGAGAATGCTTCTGTCTAGTTTTTAAGGGAAGATATTTCCTTTTTCATCATAGGCCTCAAAGCGCTCCAAATGTCCACTTCCAGATAGTGCAGAAAGAGTGTCTCAAACCTGGTATATAAAAGGGAACATTCTACTCTGTGACTTCAATGAAAACATCACAAAGCAGTTTCTGAGAATGCTTCCGTCTCGATTTTATATGAAGATATTCCCGTTTCCAACGAAACCTTCAAAGCTATCCGAATATCCACCTGCAGATTCTACAAAAAGAGTGTTTCCAAAATGCCGTATCAAAACAAAGGTTCAACTCTGTTAGTTGAGAACACACATGGCAAATAAGTTTCTGAGAATGCTTCTGTCTAGTTTTTACTTGAAGATATTTCCTTTCTCACCATAGGCCTGAAAGCGCTTGAAACGTCCGCTTGCAGATACTACAGAAAGAGTGTTTCAAACATGCTGTATGAAAGGGAATGTTCAGTTCTGTGACTTGAATGCAAACATCACAAAGAAGTTCCTGAGAATGCTTCTCTCTAGGTTTTATATGTAATCCCGTTTCCAACGAAATCCTCAAAGCTATCCAAATATCCACTTTCAGATTCCACAAAAAGAGTGTTTCAAAACTGCTGTGTAAAAAGAAAGGTTCATCTCTGTTAGTTGAATACACACATCACAAACAAGTTTCTGAGAATGCTTCTGTCTAGTTTTTATGGGAAGATATTTCCTTTTTCAACATAGGCCTCAAAGCGCTCCAAATGTCCACTTCCAGGTAGTGCAGAAAGAGTGTTTCAAAACTGCTCTATAAAAGGGAATATTCAACTCTGTGACTTGAATGCAAACATCACAAAGCACTTTCTGAGAATGCTTCCGTCTAGATTTTATATGAAGATATTCCCGTTTCCAACGAAACCTTCAAAGCTATCCGAATATCCACCTGCAGATTCTACAAAAAGAGTATTTCCAAAATGCCGTATCAAAACAAAGGTTCCACCCTGTTAGTTGAGAACATACATGGCAAATAAGTTTCTGAGAATGCTTCTGTCTAGTTTTTACTTGAAGATATTTCCTTTCTCACCATAGGCCTGAAAGCGCTTGAAACGTCAGCTTGCAGATACTACAGAAAGAGTGTTTCAAACCTGCTCTATGAAAGGGAATGTTCAGTTCTGTGACTTGAATGCAAACATCACAAAGAAGTTCCTGAGAATGCTTCTCTCTAGGTTTTATATGTAATCCCGTTTCCAACGAAATCCTCAAAGCTATCCAAATATCCACTTTCAGATTCCACAAAAAGAGTGTTTCAAAACTGCTCTGTAAAAAGAAAAGTTCATCTCTGTTAGTTGAATACACACATCACAAACAAGTTTCTGAGAATGCTTCTGTCTAGTTTTTATGGGAAGATATTTCCTTT
The DNA here is from genome assembly GCF_000001405.40 of Homo sapiens. Taxonomy (NCBI): domain Eukaryota; kingdom Metazoa; phylum Chordata; class Mammalia; order Primates; family Hominidae; genus Homo; species Homo sapiens. The sequence continues at coordinate 45,061,048 of NC_000009.12, read as the reverse complement.
TTCATCATAGGCCTCAAAGCGCTGCAAATGTCCACTTCCAGGTAGTGCAGAAAGAGTGTCTCAAACCTGGTATATAACAGGGAACATTCTACTCTGTGACTTGAATGAAAACATCACAAAGCAGTTTCTGAGAATGCTTCTGTCTTGATTTCATATGAAGATATTCCCGTTTCCAACGAAACCTTCAAAGTTATCCAAATATCCACTTGCAGATTCTACAAAAAGAGTGTTTCCAAAATGTTGTATCAAAAGAAAGGTTCAACTCTGTTAGTTGAGGACACACAACGCAAATAAGTTTCTGAGAATGCTTCTGTCTAGTTTTTGCTTGAAGATATTTCCTTTCTCACCATAGGCCTGAAAGCGCTTGAAACGTCAGCTTGCAGATACTACAGAAAGAGTGTTTCAAACCTGCTCTATGAAAGGGAATGTTCAGTTCTGTGACTTGAATGCAAACATCACAAAGAAGTTCCTGAGAATGCTTCTGTCTAGATTTTATATGAAGATATCCCGTGTCCAACGAAATCCTCAAAGGTATCAAAATATCCACTTGCAGATTCTACAAAAAGAGTGCTTCAAAACTGCTCTGTCAAAAGGAAGGTTCAACTCTGTTACTTGAGTACACACATCACAAGGAAGTTTCTGAGAATGCTTCTGTCTAGTTTTTATGGGAAGATATTTCCTTTTTCAACATAGGCCTCAAAGCGCTCCAAATGTCCACTTCCAGGTAGTGCAGAAAGAGTGTTTCAAACCTGCTCTATAAAAGGGAATATTCAACTCTGTGACTTGAATGCAAACATCACAAAGCACTTTCTGAGAATGCTTCTGTCTTGATTTTATATGAAGATATTCCCGTTTCCAACGAAACCTTCAAAGCTATCCAAATATCCACTTGCAGATTCTACAAAAAGAGTGTTTCCAAAGTGCTGTATCCAAACAAAGGTTCAACTCTTTTAGTTGAGAACACACATCGCAAATAAGTTTCTGAGAATGCTTCTGTCTAGTTTTTATTTGAAGATATTTCCTTTCTTACCATAGTCCTGAAAGCGCTTGAAATGTCCGTTTGCAGATACTACAGAAAGAGTGTTTCAAACATGCTCTATGAAAGGGAATGTTCAGTTCTGTGACTTGAATGCAAACATCACAAAGAAGTTCCTGAGAATGCTTCTGTCTAGATTTTATATGAAGATATGCCGTTTCCAAAGAAATCCTCAAAGGTATCCAAATATCTAGTGCCAGATTCTACAAAAAGACTGTTTCAAAACGGCTCTGTCAAAAGTAAGGTTCAACTCTGTTACTTGAGTACACACATCACAAGGAAGTTTCTGAGAATTCTTCTGTCTAGTTTTTATGGGAAGATATTTCCTTTTTCAACATAGGCCTCAAAGCGCTCCAAATGTCCACTTCCAGGTAGTGCAGAAAGAGTGTTTCAAACCTGCTCTATAAAAGGGAATATTCAACTCTGTGACTTGAATGCAAACATCACAAAGCACTTTCTGAGAATGCTTCCGTCTAGATTTTATATGAAGATATTCCCGTTTCCAACGAAACCTTCAAAGCTATCCGAATATCCACCTGCAGATTCTACAAAAAGAGTGTTTCCAAAATGCCGTATCAAAACAAAGGTTCAACTCTGTTAGTTGAGAACACACATGGCAAATAAGTTTCTGAGAATGCTTCTGTCTAGTTTTTACTTGAAGATATTTCCTTTCTCACCATAGGCCTGAAAGCGCTTGAAACGTCCGCTTGCAGATACTACAGAAAGAGTGTTTCAAACATGCTCTATGAAAGGGAATGTTCAGTTCTGTGACTTGAATGCAAACATCACAAAGAAGTTCCTGAGAATGCTTCTCTCTAGATTTTATATGTAATCCCGTTTCCAACGAAATCCTCAAAGCTATCCAAATATCCACTTTCAGATTCCACAAAAAGAGTGTTTCAAAACTGCTCTGTAAAAAGAAAGGTTCATCTCTGTTAGTTGAATACACACATCACAAACAAGTTTCTGAGAATGCTTCTGTCTAGTTTTTATGGGAAGATATTTCCTTTTTCATCATAGGCCTCAAAGCGCTGCAAATGTCCACTTCCAGGTAGTGCAGAAAGAGTGTCTCAAACCTGGTATATAACAGGGAACATTCTACTCTGTGACTTGAATGAAAACATCACAAAGCAGTTTCTGAGAATGCTTCCGTCTAGATTTTATATGAAGATATTCCCGTTTCCAACGAAACCTTCAAAGCTATCCGAATATCCACCTGCAGATTCTACAAAAAGAGTGTTTCCAAAATGCCATATCAAAACAAAGGTTCAACTCTGTTAGTTGAGAACACACATGGCAAATAAATTTCTGAGAATGCTTCTGTCTAGTTTTTACTTGAAGATATTTCCTTTCTCACCATAGGCCTGAAAGCGCTTGAAACGTCAGCTTGCAGATACTACAGAAAGAGTGTTTCAAACCTGCTCTATGAAAGGGAATGTTCAGTTCTGTGACTTGAATGCAAACATCACAAAGAAGTTCCTGAGAATGCTTCTCTCTAGGTTTTATATGTAATCCCGTTTCCAACGAAATCCTCAAAGCTATCCAAATATCCACTTTCAGATTCCACAAAAAGAGTGTTTCAAAACTGCTCTGTAAAAAGAAAGGTTCATCTCTGTTAGTTGAATACACACATCACAAACAAGTTTCTGAGAATGCTTCTGTCTAGTTTTTATGGGAAAATATTTCCTTTTTCAACATAGGCCTCAAAGCGCTCCAAATGTCCACTTCCAGGTAGTGCAGAAAGAGTGTTTCAAACCTGCTCTATAAAAGGGAATATTCAACTCTGTGACTTGAATGCAAACATCACAAAGCACTTTCTGAGAATGCTTCTGTCTTGATTTTATATGAAGATATTCCCGTTTCCAAAGAAACCTTCAAAGCTATCCAAACATCCACCTGCAGATCCTACAAAAAGAGTGTTTCCAAAATGCTGTATCAAAACAAAGGTTCAACTCTGTTAGCTGAGAACACACATCGCAAATAAGTTTCTGAGAATGCTTCTGTCTAGTTTTTATTTGAAGATATTTCCTTTTTCACCACAGGCCTGAAAGCGCTTGAAACGTCCACTTGCAGATACTACAGAAAGAGTGTTTCAAACCTGCTCTATGAAAGGGAATGTTCAGTTCTGTGACTTGAATGCAAACATCACAAAGAAGTTCCTGAGAATGCTTCTCTCTAGGTTTTATATGTAATCCCGTTTCCAACGAAATCCTCAAAGCTATCCAAATATCCACTTTCAGATTCCACAAAAAGAGTGTTTCAAAACTGCTCTGTAAAAAGAAAGGTTCATCTCTGTTAGTTGAATACACACATCACAAACAAGTTTCTGAGAATGCTTCTGTCTAGTTTTTATGGGAAGATATTTCCTTTTTCAACATAGGCCTCAAAGCGCTCCAAACGTCCACTTCCAGGTAGTGCAGAAAGAGTGTCTCAAACCTGGTATATAACAGGGAACATTCTACTCTGTGACTTGAATGAAAACATCACAAAGCAGTTTCTGAGAATGCGTCTGTCTTGATTTTATATGAAGATATTCCCGTTTCCAACGAAACCTTCAAAGCTATCCAAATATCCACCTGCAGATCCTACAAAAAGAGTGTTTCCAAAATGCTGTATCAAAACAAAGGTTCAACTCTGTTAGCTGAGAACACACATCGCAAATAAGTTTCTGAGAATGCTTCTGTCTAGTTTTTACTTGAAGATATTTCCTTTCTCACCATAGGCCTGAAAGCGTTTGAAATGTCCGTTTGCAGATACTACAGAAAGAGTGTTTCAAACATGCTCTATGAAAGGGAATGTTCAGTTCTGTGACGTGAATGCAAACATCACAAAGAAGTTCCTGAGAATGCTTCTCCCTAGATTTTATATGTAATCCCGTTTCCAACGAAATCCGCAAAGCTATCCAAATATCCACTTTCAGATTCCACAAAAAGAGTGTTTCAAAACTGCTCTGTAAAAAGAAAGGTTCATCTCTGTTAGTTGAATACACACATCACAAACAAGTTTCTGAGAATGCTTCTGTCTAGTTTTTATGGGAAGATATTTCCTTTTTCAACATAGGCCTCAAAGCGCTCCAAATGTCCACTTCCAGGTAGTGCAGAAAGAGTGTTTCAAACCTGCTCTGTAAAAGGGAATATTCAACGCTGTGACTTGAATGCAAACATCACAAAGCACTTTCTGAGAATGCTTCCGTCTAGATTTTATATGAAGATATTCCCGTTTCCAACGAAACCTTCAAAGCTATCCGAATATCCACCTGCAGATTCTACAAAAAGAGTGTTTCCAAAATGCCGTATCAAAACAAAGGTTCCACTCTGTTAGTTGAGAACATACATGGCAAATAAGTTTCTGAGAATGCTTCTGTCTAGTTTTTACTTGAAGATATTTCCTTTCTCACCATAGGCCTGAAAGCGCTTGAAAAGTCAGCTTGCAGATACTACAGAAAGAGTGTTTCAAACCTGCTCTATGAAAGGGAATGTTCAGTTCTGTGACTTGAATGCAAACATCACAAAGAAGTTCCTGAGAATGCTTCTCTCTAGGTTTTATATGTAATCCCGTTTCCAACGAAATCCTCAAAGCTATCCAAATATCCACTTTCAGATTCCACAAAAAGAGTGTTTCAAAACTGCTCTGTAAAAAGAAAGGTTCATCTCTGTTAGTTGAATACACACATCACAAACAAGTTTCTGAGAATGCTTCTGTCCAGTTTTTATGGGAACATATTTCCTTTTTCAACATAGGCCTCAAAGCGCTCCAAATGTCCACTTCCAGGTAGTGCAGAAAGAGTGTTTCAAACCTGCTCTATAAAAGGGAATATTCAACTCTGTGACTTGAATGCAAACATCACAAAGCACTTTCTGAGAATGCTTCCGTCTAGATTTTATATGAAGATATTCCCGTTTCCAACGAAACCTTCAAAGCTATCCGAATATCCACCTGCAGATTCTACAAAAAGAGTGTTTCCAAAATGCCGTATCAAAACAAAGGTTCAACTCTGTTAGTTGAGAACACACATGGCAAATAAGTTTCCTGAGAATGCTTCTGTCTAGTTTTTACTTGAAGATATTTCCTTTGTCACCATAGGCTTGAAAGCGCTTGAAACGTCAGCTTGCAGATACTACAGAAAGAGTGTTTCAAACCTGCTCTATGAAAGGGAATGTTCAGTCCTGTGACTTGAAGGCAAACATCACAAAGAAGTTCCTGAGAATGCTTCTCTCTAGGTTTTATATGTAATCCCGTTTCCAACGAAATCCTCAAAGCTATCCAAATATCCACTTTCAGATTCCACAAAAAGAGTGTTTCCAAACTGCTCTGTAAAAAGAAAGGTTCATCTCTGTTAGTTGAATACACACATCACAAACAAGTTTCTGAGAATGCTTCTGTCTAGTTTTTATGGGAAGATATTACCTTTTTCATCATAGGCCTCAAAGCGCTGCAAATGTCCACTTCCAAATATTACAAAAAGAGTGTTTCAAACCTGCTGTATGAAGGGAAGTGTTCAACTCTATGAGTTGAATGCAAACATCACAGAGAAGTTTCTGAGAATGCTTCCGTCTAGATTTTATATGAAGATATTCCCGTTTCCAAGGAACTCTTCCTAGCTATCTAAATATCAACTTGCAGATTCTACTAAAGGAATGTTTCCAAAATGCTGTATCCACACAAAGGTTCAACTCTGTTAATTGAGGACATACAGCACAAAGAAGTTTCTGAGAATGCTTCTGTCTAGTTTTTACTTGAAGATATTTCCTTTCTCACCATAGGCCTGAAAGCGCTTGAAACGTCAGCTTGCAGATACTACAGAAAGAGTGTTTCAAACCTGCTCTATGAAAGGGAATGTTCAGTCCTGTGACTTGAAGGCAAACATCAAAGAGAAGTTCCTGAGAATGCTTCTCTCTAGGTTTTATATGTAATCCCGTTTCCAACGAAATCCTCAAAGCTATCCAAATATCCACTTTCAGATTCCACAAAAAGAGTGTTTCAAAACTGCTCTGTAAAAAGAAAGGTTCATCTCTGTTAGTTGAATACACACATCACAAACAAGTTTCTGAGAATGCTTCTGTCTAGTTTTTATGGGAAGATATTTCCTTTTTCATCATAGGCCTCAAAGCGCTCCAAATGTCCACTTCCAGGTAGTGCAGAAAGAGTGTCTCAAACCTGGTATATAACAGGGAACATTCTACTCTGTGACTTGAATGAAAACATCACAAAGCAGTTTCTGAGAATGCTTCCGTCTAGATTTTATATGAAGATATTCCCGTTTCCAACGAAACCTTCAAAGCTATCCGAATATCCACCTGCAGATTCTACAAAAAGAGTGTTTCCAAAATGCCATATCAAAACAAAGGTTCAACTCTGTTAGTTGAGAACACACATCGCAAATAAGTTTCTGAGAATGCTTCTGTCTAGTTTTTACTTGAAGATATTTCCTTTCTCACCATAGGCCTGAAAGTGCTTGAAACGTCAGCTTGCAGATACTACAGAAAGAGTGTTTCAAACCTGCTCTATGAAAGGGAATGTTCAGTTCTGTGACTTGAATGCAAACATCACAAAGAAGTCGTCCTGAGAATGCTTCTGTCTAGATTTTATATGAAGATATCCCGTGTCTAACGAAATCCTCAAAGGTATCAAAATATCCACTTGCAGATTCTACAAAAAGAGTGCTTCAAAACTGCTCTGTCAAAATGAAGGTTCACCTCTGTTACTTGAGAACACACATCACAAGAAAGATTCTGAGAATGCTTCTGTCTAGTTTTTATGGGAAGATATTTCCTTTTTCATCATAGGCCTCAAAGCGCTCCAAATGTCCACTTCAATGTAGTGCAGAAAGAGTGTCTCAAACCTGGTATATAAAAGGGAACATTCTACTCTGTGACTTGAATGAAAACATTACAAAGCAGTTTCTGAGAATGCTTCCGTCTAGATTTTATATGAAGATATTCCCGTTTCCAACGAAACCTTCAAAGCTATCCGAATATCCACCTGCAGATTCTACAAAAAGAGTGTTTCCAAAATGCCATATCAAAACAAAGGTTCAACTCTGTTAGTTGAGAACACACATGGCAAATAAGTTTCTGAGAATGCTTCTGTCTAGTTTTTACTTGAAGCATATTTCCTTTCTCACCATAGGCCTGAAAGCGCTTGAAACGTCAGCTTGCAGATACTACAGAAAGAGTGTTTCAAACCTGCTCTATGAAAGGGAATGTTCAGTCCTGTGACTTGAAGGCAAACATCACAAAGAAGTTCCTGAGAATGCTTCTCTCTAGGTTTTATATGTAATCCCGTTTCCAACGAAATCCTCAAAGCTATCCAAATATCCACTTTCAGATTCCACAAAAAGAGTGTTTCAAAACTGCTCTGTAAAAAGAAAGGTTCATCTCTGTTAGTTGAATACACACATCACAAACAAGTTTCTGAGAATGCTTCTGTCTAGTTTTTATGGGAAGATATTTCCTTTTTCAACATAGGCCTCAAAGCACTCCAAACGTCCACTTCCAGGTAGTGCAGAAAGAGTGTCTCAAACCTGGTATATAACAGGGAACATTCTACTCTGTGACTTGAATGAAAACATCACAAAGCAGTTTCTGAGAATGCTTCCGTCTAGATTTTATATGAAGATATTCCCGTTTCCAAGGAAATCTTCCTAGCTATCTAAATATCAACTTGCAGATTCTACTAAAGGAATGTTTCCAAAATGCTGTATCCACACAAAGGTTCAACTCTGTTAATTGAGGACATACAGCACAAAGAAGTTTCTGAGAATGCTTCTGTCTAGTTTTTATTTGAAGATATTTCCTTTCTCACCACAGGCCTGAAAGCGCTTAAAACGTCCGCTTGCAGATACTACAGAAAGAGTGTTTCAAACCTGCTCTATGAAAGGGAATGTTCAGTTCTGTGACTTGAATGCAAACATCACAAAGAAGTTCCTGAGAATGCTTCTCTCTAGATTTTATATGTAATCCCGTTTCCAACGAAATCCTCAAAGCTATCCAAATATCCACTTTCAGATTCCACAAAAAGAGTGTTTCAAAACTGCTCTGTAAAAAGAAAGGTTCATCTCTGTTAGTTGAATACACACATCACAAACAAGTTTCTGAGAATGCTTCTGTCTAGTTTTTATGGGAAGATATTTCCTTTTTCATCATAGGCCTCAAAGCGCTCCAAATGTCCACTTCCAGATAGTGCAGAAAGAGTGTCTCAAACCTGGTATATAAAAGGGAACATTCTACTCTGTGACTTCAATGAAAACATCACAAAGCAGTTTCTGAGAATGCTTCCGTCTAGATTTTATATGAAGATATTCCCGTTTCCAAAGAAACCTTCAAAGCTATCCGAATATCCACCTGCAGATTCTACAAAAAGAGTGTTTCCAAAATGCCGTATCAAAACAAAGGTTCAACTCTGTTAGTTGAGAACACACATGGCAAATAAGTTTCTGAGAATGCTTCTGTCTAGTTTTTACTTGAAGATATTTCCTTTCTCACCATAGGCCTGAAAGCGCTTGAAACGTCAGCTTGCAGATACTACAGAAAGAGTGTTTCAAACATGCTCCATGAAAGGGAATGTTCAGTTCTGTGACTTGAATGCAAACATCACAAAGAAGTTCCTGAGAATGCTTCTCCCTAGATTTTATATGTAATCCCGTTTCCAACGAAATCCGCAAAGCTATCCAAATATCCACTTTCAGATTCCACAAAAAGAGTGTTTCAAAACTGCTCTGTAAAAAGAAAGGTTCATCTCTGTTAGTTGAATACACACATCACAAACAAGTTTCTGAGAATGCTTCTGTCTAGTTTTTATGGGAAGATATTTCCTTTTTCATCATAGGCCTCAAAGCGCTCCAAATGTCCACTTCCAGATAGTGCAGAAAGAGTGTCTCAAACCTGGTATATAAAAGGGAACATTCTACTCTGTGGCTTGAATGAAAACATCACAAAGCAGTTTCTGAGAATGCTTCCGTCTAGATTTTATATGAAGATATTCCCGTTTCCAACGAAACCTTCAAAGCTATCCGAATATCCACCTGCAGATTCTACAAAAAGAGTGTTTCCAAAATGCCGTATCAAAACAAAGGTTCAACTCTGTTAGTTGAGAACACACATGGCAAATAAGTTTCTGAGAATGCTTCTGTCTAGTTGTTACGTGAAGATATTTCCTTTCTCACCATAGGCCTGAAAGCGCTTGAAACGTCCGCTTGCAGATACTACAGAAAGAGTGTTTCAAACGTGCTCTATGAAAGGGAATGTTCAGTTCTGTGACTTGAATGCAAACATCACAAAGAAGTTCCTGAGAATGCTTCTCCCTAGATTTTATATGTAATCCCGTTTCCAACGAAATCCTCAAAGCTATCCAAATATGCACTTTCAGATTCCACAAAAAGAGTGTTTCAAAACTGCTCTGTAAAAAGAAAGGTTCATCTCTGTTAGTTGAATACACACATCACAAACAAGTTTCTGAGAATGCTTCTGTCTAGTTTTTATGGGAAGTTATTTCCTTTTTCAACATAGGCCTCAAAGCGCTCCAAATGTCCACTTCCAGGTAGTGCAGAAAGAGTGTTTCAAACCTGCTCTATAAAAGGGAATATTCAACTCTGTGACTTGAATGCAAACATCACAAAGCACTTTCTGAGAATGCTTCCGTCTAGATTTTATATGAAGATATTCCCGTTTCCAACGAAACCTTCAAAGCTATCCGAATATCCACCTGCAGATTCTACAAAAAGAGTGTTTCCAAAATGCCGTATCAAAACAAAGGTTCAACTCTGTTAGTTGAGAACACACATGGCAAATAAGTTTCTGAGAATGCTTCTGTCTAGTTTTTATTTGAAGATATTTCCTTTCTCACCATAGGCCTGAAAGCGTTTGAAATGTCCGTTTGCAGATACTACAGAAAGAGTGTTTCAAACATGCTCTATGAAAGGGAATGTTCAGTTTTGTGACGTGAATGCAAACATCACAAAGAAGTTCCTGAGAATGCTTCTCTCTAGGTTTCATATGTAATCCCGTTTCCAACAAAATCCTCAAAGCTATCCAAATATCCACTTTCAGAATCCACAAAAAGAGTGTTTCAAAACTGCTCTGTAAAAAGAAAGGTTCATCTCTGTTAGTTGAATACACACATCACAAACAAATTTCTGAGAATGCTTCTGTCTAGTTTTTATGGGAAGATATTTCCTTTTTCATCATAGGCCTCAAAGCGCTGCAAATGTCCACTTCCAGGTAGTGCAGAAAGAGTGTCTGAAACCTGGTATATAACAGGGAAGATTCTACTCTGTGACTTGAATGAAAACATCACAAAGCAGTTTCTGAGAATGCTTCCGTCTAGATTTTATATGAAGATATTCCCGTTTCCAACGAAACCTTCAAAGCTATCCGAATATCCACCTGCAGATTCTACAAAAAGAGTGTTTCCAAAATGCCATATCAAAACAAAGGTTCAACTCTGTTAGTTGAGAACACACATCGCAAATAAGTTTCTGAGAATGCTTCTGTCTAGTTTTTACTTGAAGATATTTCCTTTCTCACCATAGGCCTGAAAGCGCTTGAAACGTCAGCTTGCAGATACTACAGAAAGACTGTTTCAAACCTGCTCTATGAAAGGGAATGTTCAGTTCTGTGACTTGAATGCAAACATCACAAAGAAGTTCCTGAGAATGCTTCTCTCTAGGTTTTATATGTAATCCCGTTTCCAACGAAATCCTCAAAGCTATCCAAATATCCACTTTCAGATTCCACAAAAAGAGTGTTTCAAAACTGCTCTGTAAAAAGAAAGGTTCATCTCTGTTAGTTGAATACACACATCACAAACAAGTTTCTGAGAATGCTTCTGTCCAGTTTTTATGGGAAGATATTTCCTTTTTCAACATAGGCCTCAAAGCGCTCCAAATGTCCACTTCCAGGTACTGCAGAAAGAGTGTTTCAAACCTGCTCTATAAAAGGGAATATTCAACTCTGTGACTTGAATGCAAACATCACAAAGCACTTTCTGAGAATGCTTCCGTCTAGATTTTATATGAAGATATTCCCGTTTCCAAGGAAATCTTCCTAGCTATCTAAATATCAACTTGCAGATTCTACTAAAGGAATGTTTCCAAAATGCTGTATCCACACAAAGGTTCAACTCTGTTAATTGAGGACATACAGCACAAAGAAGTTTCTGAGAATGCTTCTGTCTAGATTTTATATGAAGATATCCCGTGTCCAACGAAATCCTCAAAGGTATCAAAATATCCACTTGCAGATTCTACAAAAAGAGTGCTTCAAAACTGCTCCGTCAAAAGGAAGGTTCAACTCTGTTACTTGAGTACACACATCACAAGGAAGTTTCTGAGAATGCTTCTGTCTGGTTTTTAGGAGAAGATATTTCCTTTTTCAACATAGGCCTCAAAGCGCTGCAAATGTCCACTTCCAAATATTAGAAAAACAGTGTTTCAAACCTGCTGTATGAAGGGAAGTGTTCAACTCTATGAGTTGAATGCAAACATCACAGAGAAGTTTCTGAGAATGCTTCTGTCTTGATTTTATATGAAGGTATTCCCGTTTCCAACGAAACCTTCAAAGCTATCCAAATATCCACTTGCAGATTCTACAAAAAGAGTGGTTCCAAAATGTTGTATCAAAAGAAAGGTTCAACTCTGTTAGTTGAGGACACACATCGCAAATAAGTTTCTGAGAATGCTTCTGTCTAGTTTTTATTTGAAGATATTTCCTTTTTCACCACAGGCCTGAAAGCGCTTGAAACGTCCACTTGCAGATACTACAGAAAGAGTGTTTCAAACCTGCTCTATGAAAGGGAATGTTCAGTTCTGTGACTTGAATGCAAACATCACAAAGAAGTTCCTGAGAAAGCTTCTCTCTAGATTTTATATGTAATCCCGTTTCCAACGAAATCCTCAAAGCTATCCAAATATCCACTTTCAGATTCCACAAAAAGAGTGTTTCAAAACTGCTCTGTAAAAAGAAAGGTTCATCTCTGTTAGTTGAATACACACATCGCAAACAAGTTTCTGAGAATGCTTCTGTCTAGTTTTTATGGGATGATATTTCCTTTTTCAACATAGGCCTCAAAGCACTCCAAACGTCCACTTCCATGTAGTGCAGAAAGAGTGTCTCAAACCTGGTATATAACAGGGAACATTCTACTCTGTGACTTGAATGAAAACATCACAAAGCAGTTTCTGAGAATGCTTCCGTCTAGATTTTATATGAAGATATTCCCGTTTCCAACGAAACCTTCAAAGCTATCCGAATATCCACCTGCAGATTCTACAAAAAGAGTGTTTCCAAAATGCCATATCAAAACAAAGGTTCAACTCTGTTAGTTGAGAACACACATCGCAAATAAGTTTCTGAGAATGCTTCTGTCTAGTTTTTACTTGAAGAAATTTCCTTTCTCACCATAGGCCTGAAAGCGCTTGAAACGTCAGCTTGCAGATACTACAGAAAGAGTGTTTCAAACCTGCTCTATGAAAGGGAATGTTCAGTTCTGTGACTTGAATGCAAACATCGCAAAGAAGTTCCTGAGAATGCTTCTCCCTAGATTTTATATGTAATCCCGTTTCCAACGAAATCCGCAAAGCTATCCAAATATCCACTTTCAGATTCCACAAAAAGAGTGTTTCAAAACTGCTCTGTAAAAAGAAAGGTTCATCTCTGTTAGTTGAATACACACATCACAAACAAGTTTCTGAGAATGCTTCTGTCTAGTTTTTATGGGAAGATATTTCCTTTTTCATCATAGGCCTCAAAGCGCTGCAAATGTCCACTTCCAGGTAGTGCAGAAAGAGTGTCTCAAACCTGGTATATAACAGGGAACATTCTACTCTGTGACTTGAATGAAAACATCACAAAGCAGTTTCTGAGAATGCTTCCGTCCAGATTTTATATGAAGATATTCCCGTTTCCATGGAAATCTTCCTAGCTATCTAAATATCAACTTGCAGATTCTACTAAAGGAATGTTTCCAAAATGCTGTATCCACACAAAGGTTCAACTCTGTTAATTGAGGACATAGAGCACAAAGAAGTTTCTGAGAATGCTTCTGTCTAGATTTTATATGAAGATATCCCGTGTCCAACGAAATCCTCAAAGGTATCAAAATATCCACTTGCAGATTCTACAAAAAGAGTACTTCAAAACTGCTCTGTCAAAAGGAAGGTTCAACTCTGTTACTTGAGTACATACATCACAAGAAAGATTCTGAGAATGCTTCTGTCTGGTTTTTAGGAGAAGATATCTCCTTTTTCACCATAAGCTTCAAAGCGCTGCCAATGTCCACTTCCAAATATTACAAAAAGAGTATTTCAAACCAGCTCTATGAAAGGAAGTGTTCAACTCTATGAGTTGAATGCAAACATCACAGAGAAGTTTCTGAGAATGCTTCTGTCTAGTTTTTATGGGAAGATATTTCCTTTTTCAACATAGGCCTCAAAGCGCTGCAAATGTCCACTTCCAGGTAGTGCAGAAACAGTGTCTCAAACCTGGTATATAACAGGGAAGATTCTACTCTGTGACTTGAATGAAAACATCACAAAGCAGTTTCTGAGAATGCTTCCGTCTAGATTTTATATGAAGATATTCCCGTTTCCAACGAAACCTTCAAAGCTATCCGAATATCCACCTGCATATTCTACAAAAAGAGTGTTTCCAAAATGCCGTATCAAAACAAAGGTTCAACTCTGTTAGTTGAGAACACACATGGCAAATAAGTTTCTGAGAATGCTTCTGTCTAGTTTTTACTTGAAGATATTTCCTTTCTCACCATAGGCCTGAAAGCGCTTGAAACGTCAGCTTGCAGATACTACAGAAAGAGTGTTTCAAACCTGCTCTATGAAAGGGAATGTTCAGTCCTGTGACTTGAATGCAAACATCACAAAGAAGTTCCTGAGAATGCTTCTCTCGAGATTTTATATGTAATCCCGTTTCCAACGAAATCCTCAAAGCTATCCAAATATCCACTTTCAGATTCCACAAAAAGAGTGTTTCAAAACTGCTCTGTAAAAAGAAAGGTTCATCTACTGTTAGTTGAATACACACATCACAAACAAGTTTCTGAGAATGCTTCTGTCTAGTTTTTATGGGAAGATATTTCCTTTTTCATCATAGGCCTCAAAGCGCTGCAAATGTCCACTTCCAGGTAGTGCAGAAAGAGTGTCTCAAACCTGGTATATAACAGGGAACATTCTACTCTGTGACTTGAATGAAAACATCACAAAGCAGTTTCTGAGAATGCTTCCGTCTAGATTTTATATGAAGATATTCCCGTTTCCAACGAAACCTTCAAAGCTATCCGAATATCCACCTGCAGATTCTACAAAAAGAGTGTTTCCAAAATGCCATATCAAAACAAAGGTTCAACTCTGTTAGTTGAGAACACACATCGCAAATAAGTTTCTGAGAATGCTTCTGTCTAGTTTTTACTTGAAGATATTTCCTTTCTCACCATAGGCCTGAAAGCGCTTGAAACGTCAGCTTGCAGATACTACAGAAAGAGTGTTTCAAACCTGCTCTATGAAAGGGAATGTTCAGTTCTGTGACTTGAATGCAAACATCACAAAGAAGTTCCTGAGAATGCTTCTCTCTAGGTTTTATATGTAATCCCGTTTCCAACGAAATCCTCAAAGCTATCCAAATATCCACTTTCAGATTCCACAAAAAGAGTGTTTCAAAACTGCTCTGTAAAAAGAAAGGTTCATCTCTGTTAGTTGAATACACACATCACAAACAAGTTTCTGAGAATGCTTCTGTCTAGTTTTTATGGGAAGATATTTCCTTTTTCAACATAGGCCTCAAAGCGCTCCAAACGTCCACTTCCAGGTAGTGCAGAAAGAGTGTCTCAAACCTGGTATATAACAGGGAACATTCTACTCTGTGACTTGAATGAAAACATCACAAAGCAGTTTCTGAGAATGCTTCTGTCTTGATTTTATATGAAGATATTCCCGTTTCCAACGAAACCTTCAAAGCTATCCAAATATCCACTTGCAGATTCCACAAAAAGAGTGTTTCCAAAATGTTGTATCAAAAGAAAGGTTCAACTCTGTTAGTTGAGGACACACATCGCAAATAAGTTTCTGAATATGCTTCTGTCTAGTTTTTATTTGAAGATATTTCCTTTCTCACCATAGGCCTGAAAACGTTTGAAATGTCCGTTTGCAGATACTACAGAAAGAGTGTTTCAAACATGCTCTATGGAAGGGAATGTTCAGTTCTGTGACGTGAATGCAAACATCACAAAGAAGTTCCTGAGAATGCTTCTCTCTAGATTTTATATGTAATCCCGTTTCCAACGAAATCCTCAAAGCTATCCAAATATCCACTTTCAGTTTCCACAAAAAGAGTGTTTCAAAACTGCTCTGTAAAAAGAAAGGTTCATCTCTGTTAGTTGAATACACACATCACAAACAAGTTTCTGAGAATGCTTCTGTCTGGTTTTTAGGAGAAGATATTTCCTTTTTCAACATAGGCCTCAAAGCGCTGCAAATGTCCACTTCCAAATATTACAAAAAGAGTGTTTCAAACCTGCTCTATGAAGGGAAGTGTTCAACTCTATGAGTTGAATGCAAACATCACAGAGAAGTTTCTGAGAATGTTTCTGTCTTGATTTTATATGAAGATATTCCCGTTTCCAACGAAACCTTCAAAGCTATCCAAATATCCACTTGCAGATTCTACAAAAAGAGTGTTTCCAAAATGTTGTATCAAAACAAAGGTTCAACTCTGTTAGTTGAGGACACACATCGCAAATAAGTTTCTGAGAATGCTTCTGTCTGGTTTTTAGGAGAAGATATCTCCTTTTTCACCATAGGCTTCAAAGCGCTGCCAATGTCCACTTCCAAATATTACAAAAAGAGTATTTCAAACCAGCTCTATGAAAGGAAGTGTTCAACTCTATGAGTTGAATGCAAACATCACAGAGAAGTTTCTGAGAATGCTTCTCTCTAGATTTTATATGTAATCCCGTTTCCAACGAAATCCTCAAAGCTATCCAAATATCCACTTTCAGATTCCACAAAAAGAGTGTTTCAAAACTGCTCTGTAAAAAGAAAGGTTCATCTCTGTTAGTTGAATACACACATCACAAACAAGTTTCTGAGAATGCTTCTGTCTAGTTTTTATGGGAAGATATTTCCTTTTTCAACTTAGGCCTCAAAGCGCTCCAAACGTCCACTTCCAGGTAGTGCAGAAAGAGTGTCTCAAACCTGGTATATAACAGGGAACATTCTACTCTGTGACTTGAATGAAAACATCACAAAGCAGTTTCTGAGAATGCTTCCGTCTAGACTTTATATGAAGATATTCCCGTTTCCAACGAAACCTTCAAAGCTATCCGAATATCCACCTGCAGATTCTACAAAAAGAGTGTTTCCAAAATGCCGTATCAAAACAAAGGTTCAACTCTGTTAGTTGAGAACACACATGGCAAATAAGTTTCTGAGAATGCTTCTGTCTAGTTTTTACTTGAAGATATTTCCTTTCTCACCATAGGCCTGAAAGCGCTTGAAACGTCAGCTTGCAGATACTACAGAAAGAGTGTTTCAAACCTGCTCTATGAAAGGGAATGTTCAGTTCTGTGACTTGAATGCAAACATCACAAAGAAGTTCCCGAGAATGCTTCTCTCTAGGTTTTATATGGAATCCCGTTTCCAACGAAATCCTCAAAGCTATCCAAATATCCACTTTCAGATTCCAGAAAAAGAGTGTTTCAAAACTGCTCTGTAAAAAGAAAGGTTCATCTCTGTTAGTTGAATACACACATCACAAACAAGTTTCTGAGAATGCTTCTGTCTAGTTTTTATGGGAAGATATTTCCTTTTTCAGCATAGGCCTCAAAGCGCTCCAAATGTCCACTTCCACGTAGTGCACAGAGTGTTTCAAACCTGCTCTATAAAAGGGAACATTCTACTCTGTGACATGAATGAAAACATCTCAAAGCAGTTTCTGAGAATGCTTCCGTCTAGATTTTATATGAAGATATTCCCGTTTCCAAGGAAATCTTCCTATCTAAGTATCAACTTGCAGATTCTACTAAAGGAGTGTTTCCAAAATGCTGTATCCACACAAAGGTTCAACTCTGTTAATTGAGGACATACAGCACAAAGAAGTTTCTGAGAATGCTTCTGTCTAGTTTTTATTTGAAGATATTTCCTTTCTCACCATAGGCCTGAAAGCGTATGAAATGTCCGTTTGCAGATACTACAGAAAGAGTGTTTCAAACCTGCTCTATGAAAGGGAATGTTCAGTTCTGTGACTTGAATGCAAACATCACAAAGAAGTTCCTGAGAATGCTTCTCTCTAGATTTTATATGTAATCCCGTTTCCAACGAAATCCTCAAAGCTATCCAAATATCCACTTTCAGATTCCACAAAAAGAGTGTTTCAAAACTGCTCTGTAAAAAGAAAGGTTCATCTCTGTTAGTTGAATACACACATCACAAACAAGTTTCTGAGAATGCTTCTGTCTAGTTTTTATGGGAAGATATTTCCTTTTTCAACATAGGCCTCAAAGCGCTCCAAACGTCCACTTCCAGGTAGTGCAGAAAGAGTGTCTCAAACCTGGTGTATAACAGGGAACATTCTACTCTGTGACTTGAATGAAAACATCACAAAGCAGTTTCTGAGAATGCTTCTGTCTTGATTTTATATGAAGATATTCCCGTTTCCAACGAAACCTTCAAAGCTATTCAAATATCCACTTGCAGATTCTACAAAAAGAGTGTTTCCAAAATGTTGTATCAAAAGAAAGGTTCAACTCTGTTAGTTGAGGACACACATCGCAAATAAGTTTCTGAGAATGCTTCTGTCTAGTTTTTATTTGAAGATATTTCCTTTCTCACCACAGGCCTGAAAGCGCTTAAAACGTCCGCTTGCAGATACTACAGAAAGAGTGTTTCAAACCTGCTCTATGAAAGGGAATGTTCAGTTCTGTGACTTGAATGCAAACATCACAAAGAAGTTCCTGAGAATGCTTCTCCCTAGATTTTATATGTAATCCCGTTTCCAACGAAATCCGCAAAGCTATCCAAATATCCACTTTCAGATTCCACAAAAAGAGTGTTTCAAAACTGCTCTGTAAAAAGAAAGGTTCATCTCTGTTAGTTGAATACACACATCACAAACAAGTTTCTGAGAATGCTTCTGTCTAGTTTTTATGGGAAGATATTACCTTTTTCATCATAGGCCTCAAAGCGCTGAAAATGTCCACTTCCAAATATTACAAAAAGAGTGTTTCAATCCTGCTTTATGAAGGGAAGTGTTCAACTCTATGAGGTGAATGCAAACATCACAGAGAAGTTTCTGAGAATGCTTCTGTCTTGATTTTATATGAAGATATTCCCGTTTCCAACGAAACCTTCAAAGCTATCCAAATATCCACTTGCAGATTCTACAAAAAGAGTGTTTCCAAAATGTTGTATCAAAAGAAAGGTTCAACTCTGTTAGTTGAGGACACACATCGCAAATAAGTTTCTGAGAATGCTTCTGTCTAGTTTTTATTTGAAGATATTTCCTTTCTCACCACAGGCCTGAAAGCGCTTAAAACGTCCGCTTGCAGATACTACAGAAAGAGTGTTTCAAACCTGCTCTATGAAAGGGAATGTTCAGTTCTGTGACTTGAATGCAAACATCACAAAGAAGTTCCTGAGAATGCTTCTCTCTAGGTTTTATATGTAATCCCGTTTCCAACGAAATCCTCAAAGCTATCCAAATATCCACTTTCAGATTCCACAAAAAGAGTGTTTCAAAACTGCTCTGTAAAAAGAAAGGTTCATCTCTGTTAGTTGAATACACACATCACAAACAAGTTTCTGAGAATGCTTCTGTCTAGTTTTTATGGGAAGATATTTCCTTTTTCAACATAGGCCTCAAAGCGCTCCAAATGTCCACTTCCAGGTAGTGCAGAAAGAGTGTTTCAAACCTGCTCTATAAAACGGAATATTCAACTCTGTGACTTGAATGCAAACATCACAAAGCACTTTCTGAGAATTCTTCTGTCTTGATTTTATATGAAGATATTCCCGTTTCCAACGAAACCTTCAAAGCTATTCAAATATCCACTTGCAGATTCTACAAAAAGAGTGTTTCCAAAATGTTGTATCAAAAGAAAGGTTCAACTCTGTTAGTTGAGGACACACATCGCAAATAAGTTTCTGAGAATGCTTCTGTCTAGTTTTTATTTGAAGATATTTCCTTTCTCACCACAGGCCTGAAAGCGCTTAAAACGTCCGCTTGCAGATACTACAGAAAGAGTGTTTCAAACCTGCTCTATGAAAGGGAATGTTCAGTTCTGTGACTTGAATGCAAACATCACAAAGAAGTTCCTGAGAATGCTTCTCTCTAGGTTTTATCTGTAATCCCGTTTCCAACGAAATCCTCAAAGCTATCCAAATATCCACTTTCAGATTCCACAAAAAGAGTGTTTCAAAACTGCTCTGTAAAAAGAAAGGTTCATCTCTGTTAGTTGAATACACACATCACAAACAAGTTTCTGAGAATGCTTCTGTCTGGTTTTTAGGAGAAGATATTTCCTTTTTCAACATAGGCCTCAAAGCGCTGCAAATGTCCACTTCCAAATATTACAAAAAGAGTGTTTCAAACCTGCTGTATGAAGGGAAGTGTTCAACTCTATGAGTTGAATGCAAACATCACAGAGAAGTTTCTGAGAATGCTTCTGTCTTGATTTTATATGAAGGTATTCCCGTTTCCAAAGAAACCTTCAAAGCTATCCAAATATCCACCTGCAGATCCGACAAAAAGAGTGTTTCCAAAATGCTGTATCAAAACAAAGGTTCAACTCTGTTAGCTGAGAACACACATCGCAAATAAGTTTCTGAGAATGCTTCTGTCTAGTTTTTATTTGAAGATATTTCCTTTCTCACCACAGGCCTGAAAGCGCTTAAAACGTCCGCTTGCAGATACTACAGAAAGAGTGTTTCAAACCTGCTCTATGAAAGGGAATGTTCAGTTCTGTGACTTGAATGCAAACATCACAAAGAAGTTCCTGAGAATGCTTCTCCCTAGATTTATATGTAATCCCGTTTCCAACGAAATCCGCAAAGCTATCCAAATATCCACTTTCAGATTCCACAAAAAGAGTGTTTCAAAACTGCTCTGTAAAAAGAAAGGTTCATCTCTGTTAGTTGAATACACACATCACAAACAAGTTTCTGAGAATGCTTCTGTCTAGTTTTTATGGGAAGATATTTCCTTTTTCAACATAGGCCTCAAAGCGCTCCAAATGTCCACTTCCAGGTAGTGCAGAAAGAGTGTTTCAAACCTGCTCTATAAAAGGGAATATTCAACTCTGTGACTTGAATGCAAACATCACAAAGCACTTTCTGAGAATGCTTCTGTCTTGATTTTATATGAAGATATTCCCGTTTCCAACGAAACCTTCAAAGCTATCCAAATATCCACTTGCAGATTCTACAAAAAGAGTGTTTCCAAAATGTTGTATCAAAAGAAAGGTTCAACTCTGTTAGTTGAGGACACACATCGCAAATAAGTTTCTGAGAATGCTTCTGTCTAGTTTTTACTTGAAGATATTTCCTTTCTCACCATGGGCCTGAAAGCGTTTGAAATGTCCGTTTGCAGATACTACAGAAAGAGTGTTTCAAACATGCTCTATGAAAGGGAATGTTCAGTTCTGTGACGTGAATGCAAACATCACAAAGAAGTTCCTGAGAATGCTTCTCTCTAGATTTTATATGTAATCCCGTTTCCAACGAAATCCGCAAAGCTATCCAAATATCCACTTTCAGATTCCACAAAAAGAGTGTTTCAAAACTACTCTGTAAAAAGAAAGGTTCATCTCTGTTAGTTGAATACACACATCAGAAACAAGTTTCTGAGAATGCTTCTGTCTAGTTTTTATGGGAAGATATTTCCTTTTTCAACATAGGCCTCAAAGCGCTCCAAATGTCCACTTCCAGGTAGTGCAGAAAGAGTGTTTCAAACCTGCTCTATAAAAGGGAATATTCAACTCTGTGACTTGAATGCAAACATCACAAAGCACTTTCTGAGAATGCTTCCGTCTAGATTTTATGTGAAGATATTCCCGTTTCCAAGGAAATCTTCCTAGCTATCTAAATATCAACTTGCAGATTCTACTAAAGGAACGTTTCCAAAATGCTGTATCCAAACAAAGGTTCAACTCTGTTAATTGAAGACATACAGCACAAAGAAGTTTCTGAGAATGCTTCTGTCTAGATTTTATATGAAGATATCCCGTTTCCAAAGAAATCCTCAAAGGTATCCAAATATCTACTTGCAGATTCTACAAAAAGAGTGTTTCAAAACGGCTCTGTCAAAAGGAAGGTTCAACTCTGTTACTTGAGTACACACATTACAAGGAAGTTTCTGAGAATGCTTCTGTCTGGTTTTTAGGAGAAGATATTTCCTTTTTCAACATAGGCCTCAAAGCGCTGCAAATGTCCACTTCCAAATATTACAAAAAGAGTGTTTCAAACCTGCTCTATGAAGGGAAGTGTTCACCTCTATGAGTTGAATGCAAACATCACAGAGAAGTTTCTGAGAATGCTTCTCTCTTGATTTTATATGAAGATATTCCCGTTTCCAACGAAACCTTCAAAGCTATCCGAATATCCACCTGCAGATTCTACAAAAAGAGTGTTTCCAAAATGTTGTATCAAAAGAAAGGTTCAACTCTGTTAGTTGAGGACACACATCGCAAATAAGTTTCTGAGAATGCTTCTGTCTAGTTTTTACTTGAAGATATTTCCTTTCTCACCATAGGCCTGAAAGCGCTTGAAACGTCAGCATGCAGATACTACAGAAAGATTGTTTCAAACCTACTCTATGAAAGGGAATGTTCAGTTCTGTGACTTGAATGCAAACATCACAAAGAAGTTCCTGAGAATCCTTCTCTCTAGGTTTTATATGTAATCCCGTTTCCAACGAAATCCTCAAAGCTATCCAAATATCCACTTTCAGATTCCACAAAAAGAGTGTTTCAAAACTGCTCTGTAAAAAGAAAGGTTCATCTCTGTTAGTTGAATACACACATCACAAACAAGTTTCTGAGAATGCTTCTGTCTGGTTTTTAGGAGAAGATATTTCCTTTTTCAACATAGGCCTCAAAGCGCTGCAAATGTCCACTTCCAAATATTAGAAAAAGAGTGTTTCAAACCTACTGTATGAAGGGAAGTGTTCAACTCTATGAGTTGAATGCAAACATCACAGAGAAGTTTCTGAGAATGCTTCTGTCTTGATTTCATATGAAGATATTCCCGTTTCCAACGAAACCTTCAAAGCTATCCAAATATCCACTTGCAGATTCTACAAAAAGAGTGTTTCCAAAATGTTGTATCAAAAGAAAGGTTCAACTCTGTTAGTTGAGGACACACATCGCAAATAAGTTTCTGAGAATGCTTCTGTCTAGTTTTTATTTGAAGATATTTCCTTTCTCACCACAGGCCTGAAAGCGCTTAAAACGTCCGCTTGCAGATACTACAGAAAGAGTGTTTCAAACCTGCTCTATGAAAGGGAATGTTCAGTTCTGTGACTTGAATGCAAACATCACAAAGAAGTTCCTGAGAATGCTTCTCCCTAGATTTTATATGTAATCCCGTTTCCAACGAAATCCGCAAAGCTATCCAAATATCCACTTTCAGATTCCACAAAAAGAGTGTTTCAAAACTGCTCTGTAAAAAGAAAGGTTCATCTCTGTTAGTTGAATACACACATCACAAACAAGTTTCTGAGAATGCTTCTGTCTAGTTTTTATGGGAAGATATTTCCTTTTTCAACATAGGCCTCAAAGCGCTCCAAACGTCCACTTCCGGGTAGTGCAGAAAGAGTGTCTCAAACCTGGTATATAACAGGGAACATTCTACTCTGTGACTTGAATGAAAACATCACAAAGCAGTTTCTGAGAATGCTTCCGTCTAGATTTTATATGAAGATATTCCCGTTTCCAAGGAAATCTTCCTAGCTATCTAAATATCAACTTGCAGATTCTACTAAAGGAATGTTTCCAAAATGCTGTATCCACACAAAGGTTCAACTCTGTTAATTGAGGACATACAGCACAAAGAAGTTTCTGAGAATGCTTCTGTCTAGTTTTTATTTGAAGATATTTCCTTTCTCACCACAGGCCTGAAAGCGCTTAAAACGTCCGCTTGCAGATACTACAGAAAGAGTGTTTCAAACATGCTCTATGAAAGGGAATGTTCAGTTCTGTGACTTGAATGCAAACATCACAAAGAAGTTCCTGAGAATGCTTCTCCCTAGATTTTATATGTAATCCCGTTTCCAACGAAATCCGCAAAGCTATCCAAATATCCACTTTCAGATTCCACAAAAAGAGTGTTTCAAAACTGCTCTGTAAAAAGAAAGGTTCATCTCTGTTAGTTGAATACACACATCACAAACAAGTTTCTGAGAATGCTTCTGTCTAGTTTTTATGGGAAGATATTTCCTTTTTCAACATAGGCCTCAAAGCGCTCCAAACGTCCACTTCCGGGTAGTGCAGAAAGAGTGTCTCAAACCTGGTATATAACAGGGAACATTCTACTCTGTGACTTGAATGAAAACATCACAAAGCAGTTTCTGAGAATGCTTCCGTCTAGATTTTATATGAAGATATTCCCGTTTCCAAGGAAATCTTCCTAGCTATCTAAATATCAACTTGCAGATTCTACTAAAGGAATGTTTCCAAAATGCTGTATCCACACAAAGGTTCAACTCTGTTAATTGAGGACATACAGCACAAAGAAGTTTCTGAGAATGCTTCTGTCTAGTTTTTACTTGAAGATATTTCCTTTCTCACCATAGGCCTGAAAGCGCTTGAAACGTCAGCTTGCAGATACTACAGAAAGAGTGTTTCAAACCTGCTCTATGAAAGGGAATGTTCAGTCCTGTGACTTGAAGGCAAACATCACAAAGAAGTTCCTGAGAATGCTTCTCTCTAGATTTTATATGTAATCCCGTTTCCAACGAAATCCTCAAAGCTATCCAAATATCCACTTTCAGATTCCACAAAAAGAGTGTTTCAAAACTGCTCTGTAAAAAGAAAGGTTCATCTCTGTTAGTTGAATACACACATCACAAACAAGTTTCTGAGAATGCTTCTGTCTAGTTTTTATGGGAAGTTATTTCCTTTTTCAACATAGGCCTCAAAGCGCTCCAAATGTCCACTTCCAGGTAGTGCAGAAAGAGTGTTTCAAACCTGCTCTATAAAAGGGAATATTCAACTCTGTGACTTGAATGCAAACATCACAAAGCACTTTCTGAGAATGCTTCCGTCTAGATTTTATATGAAGATATTCACGTTTCCAAGGAAATCTTCCTAGCTATCTAAATATCAACTTGCATATCCTACTAAAGGAGTGTTTCCAAAATGCTGTATCCACACAAAGGTTCAACTCTGTTAATTGAGGACATACAGCACAAAGAAGTTTCTGAGAATGCTTCCGTCTAGATTTTATATGAAGATATTCCCGTTTCCAAGGAAATCTTCCTAGCTATCTAATTATCAACTTGCAGATTCTACCAAAGGAATGTTTCCAAAATGCTGAATCGAAACAAAGGTTCAACTCTGTTAATTGAGGACATACAGCACAAAGTAGTTTCTGAGAATGCTTCAGTCTAGATTTTATATGAAGATATCCCGTGTCCAACGAAATCTTCAAAGCTATCAAAATATCCACTTGCAGATTCTACAAAAAGAGTGTTTCAAAACTGCTCTCTCAAAAGTAAGGTTCAACTCTGTTACTTGAGTACACACATCACAAGGAAGTTTCTGAGAATGCTTCTGTCTGGTTTTTAGGAGAAGATATTTCCTTTTTCACCATAGGCCTGAAAGCGCTGCCAATGTCCACTTCCAAATATTACAAAAAGAGTGTTTCAAAACAGCTCTATGAAAGGAAGTGTTCACCTCTATGAGTTGAATGCAAACATCACAGAGAAGTTTCTGAGAATGCTTCTGTGTTGATTTTATATGAAGATATTCCCGTTTCCAACGAAACCTTCAAAGCTATCTAAATATCCACCTGCAGATCCTACAAAAAGAGTGTTTCCAAAATGCTGTATCAAAACAAAAGTTCAACTCTGTTAGTTGAGGACACACATCGCAAATAAGTTTCTGAGAATGCTTCTGTCTAGTTTTTATTTGAAGATATTTCCTTTTTCACCACAGGCCTGAAAGCGCTTGAAACGTCCACTTGCAGATACTACAGAAAGAGTGTTTCAAACCTGCTCTATGAAAGGGAATGTTCAGTTCTGTGACTTGAATGCAAACATCACAAAGAAGTTCCTGAGAATGCTTTCTCCCTAGATTTTATATGTAATCCCGTTTCCAACGAAATCCGCAAAGCTATCCAAATATCCACTTTCAGATTCCACAAAAAGAGTGTTTCAAAACTACTCTCTAAAAAGAAAGGTTCATCTCTGTTAGTTGAATACACACATCAGAAACAAGTTTCTGAGAATGCTTCTGTCTAGTTTTTATGGGAAGATATTTCCTTTTTCATCCTAGGCCTAAAAGCGCTGCAAATGTCCACTTCCAGGTAGTGCAGAAAGAGTGTCTCAAACCTGGTATATAACAGGGAACATTCTACTCTGTGACTTGAATGAAAACATCACAAAGCAGTTTCTGAGAATGCTTCCGTCAAGGTTTTATATGAAGATATTCCCGTTTCCAACGAAACCTTCAAAGCTATCCGAATATCCACCTGCAGATTCTACAAAAAGAGTGTTTCCAAAATGCCGTATCAAAACAAAGGTTCAACTCTGTTAGTTGAGAACACACATGGCAAATAAGTTTCTGAGAATGCTTTCTGTCTAGTTTTTATTTGAAGATATTTCCTTTCTCACCACAGGCCTGAAAGCGCTTAAAACGTCCGCTTGCAGATACTACAGAAAGAGTGTTTCAAACCTGCTCTATGAAAGGGAATGTTCAGTTCTGTGACTTGAATGCAAACATCACAAAGAAGTTCCTGAGAATGCTTCTCTCTAGATTTTATATTTAATCCCGTTTCCAACGAAATCCTCAAAGCTATCCAAATATCCACTTTCAGATTCCACAAAAAGAGTGTTTCAAAACTGCTCTGTAAAAAGAAAGGTTCATCTCTGTTAGTTGAATACACACATCAAAAACAAGTTTCTGAGAATGCTTTCTGTCTAGTTTTTATGGGAAGATATTTCCTTCTTCATCATAGGCCTCAAAGCGCTCCAAATGTCCACTTCCAGGTAGTGCAGAAAGAGTGTCTCAAACCTGGTATATAACGGGGAACATTCTACTCTGTGACTTGAATGAAAACATCACAAAGCAGTTTCTGAGAATGCTTCCGTCTAGATTTTATATGAAGATATTCCCGTTTCCAACGAAACCTTCAAAGCTATCCGAATATCCACCTGCAGATTCTACAAAAAGAGTGTTTCCAAAATGCCATATCAAAACAAAGGTTCAACTCTGTTAGTTGAGAACACACATCGCAAATAAGTTTCTGAGAATGCTTCTGTCTAGTTTTTATTTGAAGATATTTCCTTTCTTACCATAGGCCTGAAAGCGCTTGAAATGTCCGTTTGCAGATACTACAGAAAGAGTGTTTCAAACATGCTCTATGAAAGGGAATGTTCAGTTCTGTGACTTGAATGCAAACATCACAAAGAAGTTCCTGAGAATGCTTCTCTCTAGATTTTATATGTAATCCCGTTTCCAACGAAATCCTCAAAGATATCCAAATATCCACTTTCAGATTCCACAAAAAGAGTGTTTCAAAACTGCTCTGTAAAAAGAAAGGTTCATCACTGTTAGTTGAATACACACATCACAAACAAGTTTCTGAGAATGCTTCTGTCTAGTTTTTATGGGAAGATATTTCCTTTTTCATCATAGGCCTCAAAGCGCTCCAAATGTCCACTTCCAGATAGTGCAGAAAGAGTGTCTCAAACCTGGTATATAAAAGGGAACATTCTACTCTGTGGCTTGAATGAAAACATCACAAAGCAGTTTCTGAGAATGCTTCCGTCTAGATTTTATATGAAGATATTCCCGTTTCCAACGAAACTTTCAAAGCTATCCGAATATCCACGTGCAGATTCTACAAAAAGAGTGTTTCCAAAATGCCGTATCAAAACAAAGGTTCAACTCTGTTAGTTGAGAACACACATGGCAAATAAGTTTCTGAGAATGCTTCTGTCTAGTTTTTACTTGAAGATATTTCCTTTCTCACCATAGGCCTGAAAGCGCTTGAAACGTCTGCTTGCAGATACTACAGAAAGAGTGTTTCAAACATGCTCTATGAAAGGGAATGTTCAGTTCTGTGACTTGAATGCAAACATCACAAAGAAGTTCCTGAGAATGCTTCTCCCTAGATTTTATATGTAATCCCGTTTCCAACGAAATCCTCAAAGCTATCCAAATATCCACTTTCAGATTCCACAAAAAGAGTGTTTCAAAACTGCTCTGTAAAAAGAAAGGTTCATCTCTGTTAGTTGAATACACACATCACAAACAAGTTTCTGAGAATGCTTTCTGTCTAGTTTTTATGGGAAGATATTTCCTTTTTCATCATAGGCCTCAAAGCGCTCCAAATGTCCACTTCCAGATAGTGCAGAAAGAGTGTCTCAAACCTGGTATATAAAAGGGAACATTCTACTCTGTGACTTGAATGAAAACATCACAAAGCAGTTTCTCAGAATGCTTCTGTCTTGATTTTATATGAAGATATTCCCGTTTCCAACGAAACCTTCAAACCTATCCAAATATCCACCTGCAGATTCTACCAAAAGAGTGTTTCCAAAATGTTGTATCAAAACAAAGGTTCAACTCTGTTCGTTGAGTACACACATCGCAAATAAGTTTCTGAGAATGCTTTTGTCTAGTTTTTATTTGAAGATATTTCCTTTCTCACCATAGGCCTGAAATCGTTTGAAATGGCCGCTTGCAGATACTACAGAAAGAGTGTTTCAAACCTGCTCTATGAAAGGGAATGTTCAGTTCTGTGACTTCAATGCAAACATCACAAAGAAGTTGCTGAGAATGCTTCTCCCTAGATTTTATATGTAATCCCGTTTCCAAGGAAATCCTCAAACCTATCCAAATATCCAATTTCAGATTCCACAAAAAGAGTGTTTTAAAACTGCTCTGTAAGAAGAAAGGTTCATCTCTGTTAGTTGAATACACACATCACAAACAAGTTTCTTAGAATGCTTCTGTCTAGTTTTTATGGGAAGATATTTCCTTTTTCAACATAGGCCTCAAAGCGCTCCAAATGTCCACTTCCAGGTAGTGCAGAAAGAGTGCTTCAAACCTGCTCTATTAAAGGGAATATTCTACTCTGTGACTTGAATGCAAACATCACAAGGCACTTTCTGAGAATGCATCCGTCTAGATTTTATATGAAGATATTCCCGTTTCCAAGGAAATCTTCCTAGCTATCTAAATATCAACTTGCAGATTCTAGTAAAGGAATGTTTCCAAAATGCTGTATCCACACAAAGGTTCATCTCTGTTAGTTGAATACACAAATCACAAACAAGTTTCTGAGAATGCTTCTGTCTAGTTTTTATGGGAAGATATTTCCTTTTTCAACATAGGCCTCAAAGCGCTCCAAATGTCCACTTCCAGGTAGTGCAGAAAGAGTGTTTCAAACCTGCTCTATAAAAGGGAACATTCTACTCTGTGACTTGAATGAAAACATCACAAAGCAGTTTCTGAGAATGCTTCTCCCTACATTTTATATGTAATCCCGTTTCCAACGAAATCCTCAAAGCTATCCAAATATCCACTTTCAGATTCCACAAAAAGAGTGATTCAAAACTGCTCTGTAAAAAGAAAGGTTCATCTCGGTTAGTTGAATACACACATCACAAACAAGTTTCTGAGAATGCTTCTGTCTAGTTTTTATGGGAAGATATTTCCTTTTTCAACATAGGCCTCAAAGCGCTCCAAATGTCCACTTCCAGGTAGTGCAGAAAGAGTGTTTCAAACCTGCTCTATAAAAGGGAATATTCAACTCTGTGACTTGAATGCAAACATCACAAAGCACTTTCTGAGAATGCTTCTGTCTTGATTTTATATGAAGATATTCCCGTTTCCAACGAAACCTTCAAAGCTATTCAAATATCCACTTGCAGATTCTACAAAAAGAGTGTTTCCAAAATGTTGTATCAAAAGAAAGGTTCAACTCTGTTAGTTGAGGACACACATCGCAAATAAGTTTCTGAGAATGCTTCTGCCTAATTTTTATTTGAAGATATTTCCTTTCTCACCACAGGCCTGAAAGCGCTTAAAACGTCCGCTTGCAGATACTACAGAAAGAGTGTTTCAAACCTGCTCTATGAAAGGGAATGTTCAGTTGCTGTGACTTGAATGCAAACATCACAAAGAAGTTACCTGAGAATGCTTCTCTCTAGATTTTATATGTAATCCCGTTTCCAACAAAATCCTCAAAGCTATCCAAATATCCACTTTCAGATTCCACAAAAAGAGTGTTTCAAAACTGCTCTGTAAAAAGAAAGGTTCATCTCTGTTAGTTGAATACAAACATCACAAACAAGTTTCTGAGAATGCTTCTGTCTAGTTTTTATGGGAAGATATTTCCTTTTTCAACATAGGCCTCAAAGCGCTCCAAATGTCCACTTCCAGGTAGTGCAGAAAGAGTGTTTCAAACCTGCTCTATAAAAGGGAATATTCAACTCTGTGACTTGAATGCAAACATCACAAAGCACTTTCTGAGAATGCTTCTGTCTAGTTTTTATTTGAAGATATTCCCGTTTCCAACGAAACCTTCAAAGCTATTCAAATATCCACTTGCAGATTCTACAAAAAGAGTGTTTCCAAAATGTTGTATCAAAAGAAAGGTTCAACTCTGTTAGTTGAGGACACACATCGCAAATAAGTTTCTGAGAATGCTTCTGTCTAGTTTTTATTTGAAGATATTTCCTTTCTCACCATAGGCCTGAAAGCGTTTGAAATGTCCGTTTGCAGATACTACAGAAAGAGTGTTTCAAACATGCTCTATGAAAGGGAATGTTCAGTTCTGTGACGTGAATGCAAACATCACAAAGAAGTTCCTGAGAATGCTTCTCTCTAGGTTTTATATGTAATCCCGTTTCCAACGAAATCCTCAAAGCTATCCAAATATCCACTTTCAGATTCCACAAAAAGAGTGTTTCAAAACTGCTCTGTAAAAAGAAAGGTTCATCTCTGTTAGTTGAATACACACATCACAAACAAGTTTCTGAGAATGCTTCTGTCTAGTTTTTATGGGAAGATATTTCCTTTTTCAACATAGGCCTCAAAGCGCTCCAAACGTCCACTTCCAGGTAGTGCAGAAAGAGTGTCTCAAACCTGGTGTATAACAGGGAACATTCTACTCTGTGACTTGAATGAAAACATCACAAAGCAGTTTCTGAGAATGCTTCCGTCTAGATTTTATATGAAGATATTCCCGTTTCCAACGAAACCTTCAAAGCTATCCGAATATCCACCTGCAGATTCTACAAAAAGAGTGTTTCCAAAATGCCGTATCAAAACAAAGGTTCAACTCTGTTAGTTGAGAACACACATGGCAAATAAGTTTCTGAGAATGCTTCTGTCTAGTTGTTACGTGAAGATATTTCCTTTCTCACCATAGGCCTGAAAGCGCTTCAAACGTCCGCTTGCAGATACTACAGAAAGAGTGTTTCAAACGTGCTCTATGAAAGGGAATGTTCAGTTCTGTGACTTGAATGCAAACATCACAAAGAAGTTCCTGAGAATGCTTCTCCCTAGATTTTATATGTAATCCCGTTTCCAACGAAATCCTCAAAGCTATCCAAATATGCACTTTCAGATTCCACAAAAAGAGTGTTTCAAAACTGCTCTGTAAAAAGAAAGGTTCATCTCTGTTAGTTGAATACACACATCACAAACAAGTTTCTGAGAATGCTTCTGTCTAGTTTTTATGGGAAGATATTTCCTTTTTCATCATAGGCCTCAAAGCGCTGCAAATGTCCACTTCCAGGTAGTGCAGAAAGAGTGTCTGAAACCTGGTATATAACAGGGAAGATTCTACTCTGTGACTTGAATGAAAACATCACAAAGCAGTTTCTGAGAATGCTTCTGTCTTGATTTCATATGAAGATATTCCCGTTTCCAACGAAACCTTCAAAGCTATCCAAATATCCACTTGCAGATTCTACAAAAAGAGTGTTTCCAAAATGTTGTATCAAAAGAAAGGTTCAACTCTGTTAGTTGAGGACACACATCGCAAATAAGTTTCTGAGAATGCTTCTGTCTAGTTTTTATTTGAAGATATTTCCTTTCTCACCACAGGCCTGAAAGCGCTTAAAACGTCCGCTTGCAGATACTACAGAAAGAGTGTTTCAAACCTGCTCTATGAAAGGGAATGTTCAGTTCTGTGACTTGAATGCAAACATCACAAAGAAGTTCCTGAGAGTGCTTCTCCCTAGATTTTATATGTAATCCCGTTTCCCACGAAATCCGCAAAGCTATCCAAATATCCACTTTCAGATTCCACAAAAAGAGTGTTTCAAAACTGCTCTGTAAAAAGAAAGGTTCATCTCTGTTAGTTGAATACACACATCACAAACAAGTTTCTGAGAATGCTTCTGTCTAGTTTTTATGGGAAGATATTTCCTTTTTCATCATAGGCCTCAAAGCGCTGCAAATGTCCACTTCCAGGTAGTGCAGAAAGAGTGTCTCAAACCTGGTATATAACATGGAACATTCTACTCTGTGACTTGAATGAAAACATCACAAAGCAGTTTCTGAGAATGCTTCCGTCTAGATTTTATATGAAGATATTCCCGTTTCCAACGAAACCTTCAAAGCTATCCGAATATCCACCTGCAGATTCTACAAAAAGAGTGTTTCCAAAATGCCGTATCAAAACAAAGGTTCAACTCTGTTAGTTGAGAACACACATGGCAAATAAGTTTCTGAGAATGCTTCTGTCTAGTTTTTACTTGAAGATATTTCCTTTCTCACCATAGGCCTGAAAGCGCTTGAAACGTCAGCTTGCAGATACTACAGAAAGAGTGTTTCAAACCTGCTCTATGAAAGGGAATGTTCAGTTCTGTGACTTGAATGCAAACATCACAAAGAAGTTCCTGAGAATGCTTCTCTCTAGGTTTTATATGTAATCCCGTTTCCAACGAAATCCTCAAAGCTATCCAAATATCCACTTTCAGATTCCACAAAAAGAGTGTTTCAAAACTGCTCTGTAAAAAGAAAGGTTCATCTCTGTTAGTTGAATACACACATCACAAACAAGTTTCTGAGAATGCTTCTGTCTAGTTTTTATGGGAAGATATTTCCTTTTTCATCATAGGCCTCAAAGCGCTGCAAATGTCCACTTCCAGGTAGTGCAGAAAGAGTGTCTCAAACCTGGTATATAACAGGGAACATTCTACTCTGTGACTTGAATGAAAACATCACAAAGCAGTTTCTGAGAATGCTTCCGTCTAGATTTTATATGAAGATATTCCCGTTTCCAACGAAACCTTCAAAGCTATCCGAATATCCACCTGCAGATTCTACAAAAAGAGTGTTTCCAAAATGCCATATCAAAACAAAGGTTCAACTCTGTTAGTTGAGAACACACATCGCAAATAAGTTTCTGAGAATGCTTCTGTCTAGTTTTTACTTGAAGATATTTCCTTTCTCACCATAGGCCTGAAAGCGCTTGAAACGTCAGCTTGCAGATACTACAGAAAGAGTGTTTCAAACCTGCTCTATGAAAGGGAATGTTCAGTTCTGTGACTTGAATGCAAACATCACAAAGAAGTTCCTGAGAATGCTTCTCTCTAGGTTTTATATGTAATCCCGTTTCCAACGAAATCCTCAAAGCTATCCAAATATCCACTTTCAGATTCCACAAAAAGAGTGTTTCAAAACTGCTCTGTAAAAAGAAAGGTTCATCTCTGTTAGTTGAATACACACATCACAAACAAGTTTCTGAGAATGCTTCTGTCTAGTTTTTATGGGAAGATATTTCGTTTTTCAACATAGGCCTCAAAGCGCTCCAAATGTCCACTTCCAGGTAGTGCAGAAAGAGTGTTTCAAACCTACTCTATAAAAGGGAATATTCAACTCTGTGACTTGAATGCAAACATCACAAAGCACTTTCTGAGAATGCTTCCGTCTAGATTTTATATGAAGATATTCCCGTTTCCAAGGAAATCTTCCTAGCTATCTAAATATCAACTTGCAGATTCTACTAAAGGAATGTTTCCAAAATGCTGTATCCACACAAAGGTTCAACTCTGTTAATTGAGGACATACAGCACAAAGAAGTTTCTGAGAATGCTTCTGTCTAGTTTTTACTTGAAGATATTTCCTTTCTCACCATAGGCCTGAAAGCGCTTGAAACGTCAGCTTGCAGATACTACAGAAAGAGTGTTTCAAACCTGCTCTATGAAAGGGAATGTTCAGTCCTGTGACTTGAAGGCAAACATCACAAAGAAGTTCCTGAGAATGCTTCTCTCTAGGTTTTATATGTAATCCCGTTTCCAACGAAATCCTCAAAGCTATCCAAATATCCACTTTCAGATTCCACAAAAAGAGTGTTTCAAAACTGCTCTGTAAAAAGAAAGGTTCATCTCTGTTAGTTGAATACACACATCACAAACAAGTTTCTGACAATGCTTCTGTCTAGTTTTTATGGGAAGATATTTCCTTTTTCAACATAGGCCTCAAAGCGCTCCAAACGTCCACTTCCAGGTAGTGCAGAAAGAGTGTCTCAAACCTGGTATATAACAGGGAACATTCTACTCTGTGACTTGAATGAAAACATCACAAAGCAGTTTCTGAGAATGCTTCCGTCTAGATTTTATATGAAGATATTCCCGTTTCCAACGAAACCTTCAAAGCTATCCGAATATCCACCTGCAGATTCTACAAAAAGAGTGTTTCCAAAATGCCGTATCAAAACAAAGGTTCAACTCTGTTAGTTGAGAACACACATGGCAAATAAGTTTCTGAGAATGCTTCTGTCTAGTTTTTACTTGAAGATATTTCCTTTCTCACCATAGGCCTGAAAGCGCTTGAAACGTCAGCTTGCAGATACTACAGAAAGAGTGTTTCAAACCTGCTCTATGAAAGGGAATGTTCAGTCCTGTGACTTGAAGGCAAACATCAAAAAGAAGTTCCTGAGAATGCTTCTCTCTAGGTTTTATATGTAATCCCGTTTCCAACGAAATCCTCAAAGCTATCCAAATATCCACTTTCAGATTCCACAAAAAGAGTGTTTCAAAACTGCTCTGTAAAAAGAAAGGTTCATCTCTGTTAGTTGAATACACACATCACAAACAAGTTTCTGAGAATGCTTCTGTCTAGTTTTTATGGGAAGATATTTCCTTTTTCATCATAGGCCTCAAAGCGCTGCAAATGTCCACTTCCAGGTAGTGCAGAAAGAGTGTCTCAAACCTGGTATATAACAGGGAACATTCTACTCTGTGACTTGAATGAAAACATCACAAAGCAGTTTCTGAGAATGCTTCCGTCTAGATTTTATATGAAGATATTCCCGTTTCCAACGAAACCTTCAAAGCTATCCGAATATCCACCTGCAGATTCTACAAAAAGAGTGTTTCCAAAATGCCGTATCAAAACAAAGGTTCAACTCTGTTAGTTGAGAACACACATGGCAAATAAGTTTCTGAGAATGCTTCTGTCTAGTTTTTACTTGAAGATATTTCCTTTCTCACCATAGGCCTGAAAGCGCTTGAAACGTCCGCTTGCAGATACTACAGAAAGAGTGTTTCAAACATGCTCTATGAAAGGGAATGTTCAGTTCTGTGACTTGAATGCAAACATCACAAAGAAGTTCCTGAGAATGCTTCTCCCTAGATTTTATATGTAATCCCGTTTCCAACGAAATCCGCAAAGCTATCCAAATATCCACTTTCAGATTCCACAAAAAGAGTGTTTCAAAACTGCTCTGTAAAAAGAAAGGTTCATCTCTGTTAGTTGAATACACACATCACAAACAAGTTTCTGAGAATGCTTCTGTCTAGTTTTTATGGGAAGATATTTCCTTTTTCAACATAGGCCTCAAAGCGCTCCAAACGTCCACTTCCAGGTAGTGCAGAAAGAGTGTCTCAAACCTGGTATATAACAGGGAACATTCTACTCTGTGACTTGAATGAAAACATCACAAAGCAGTTTCTGAGAATGCTTCTGTGTTGATTTTATATGAAGATATTCCCGTTTCCAACGAAACCTTCAAATCTATCCAAATATCCACCTGCAGATCCTACAAAAAGAGTGTTTCCAAAATGCTGTATCAAAACAAAGGTTCAACTCTGTTAGTTGAGAACACACATCGCAAATAAGTTTCTGAGAATGCTTCTGTCTAGTTTTTACTTGAAGATATTTCCTTTCTCACCATAGGCCTGAAAGCGTTTGAAATGTCCGTTTGCAGATACTACAGAAAGAGTGTTTCAAACATGCTCTATGAAAGGGAATGTTCAGTTCTGTGACGTGAATGCAAACATCACAAAGAAGTTCCTGAGAATGCTTCTCCCTAGATTTTATATGTAATCCCGTTTCCAACGAAATCCTCAAAGCTATCCAAATATCCACTTTCAGATTCCACAAAAAGAGTGTTTCAAAACTGCTCTGTAAAAAGAAAGGTTCATCTCTGTTAGTTGAATACACACATCACAAACAAGTTTCTGAGAATGCTTCTGTCTAGTTTTTATGGGAAGATATTACCTTTTTCATCATAGGCCTCAAAGCGCTGCAAATGTCCACTTCCAAATATTACAAAAAGAGTGTTTCAAACCTGCTGTATGAAGGGAAGTGTTCAACTCTATGAGTTGAATGCAAACATCACAGAGAAGTTTACTGAGAATGCTTTCTGTCTTGATTTTATATGAAGATATTCCCGTTTCCAACGAAACCTTCAAAGCTATTCAAATATCCACTTGCAGATTCTACAAAAAGAGTGTTTCCAAAATGTTGTATCAAAAGAAAGGTTCAACTCTGTTAGTTGAGGACACACATCGCAAATAAGTTTCTGAGAATGTTTCTGTCTAGTTTTTATTTGAAGATATTTCCTTTCTCACCATAGGCCTGAAAGCGTTTGAAATGTCCGTTTGCAGATACTACAGTAAGAGTGTTTCAAACATGCTCTATGAAAGGGAATGTTCAGTTCTGTGACGTGAATGCAAACATCACAAAGAAGTTCCTGAGAATGCTTCTCTCTAGATTTTATATGTAATCCCGTTTCCAACGAAATCCTCAAAGCTATCCAAATATCCACTTTCAGATTCCACAAAAAGAGTGTTTCAAAACTGCTCTGTAAAAAGAAAGGTTCATCTCTGTTAGTTGAATACACACATCACAAACAAATTTCTGAGAATGCTTCTGTCTAGTTTTTATGGGAAGATATTTCCTTTTTCAACATAAGACTCAAAGCGCTCTAAATGTCCACCTCCAGGTAGTGCAGAAAGAGTGTTTCAAACCTGCTCTATAAAAGGCAATATTCAACTCTGTGACTTGAATGCAAACATCACAAAGCACTTTCTGAGAATGCTTCCGTCTAGATTTTATATGAAGATATTCCCGTTTCCAAGGAAATCTTCCTAGCTATCTAAATATCTACTTGCAGATTCTACTAAAGGAATGTTTCCAAAATGCTGTATCCACACAAAGGTTCAACTCTGTTAATTGAGGACATACAGCACAAAGAAGTTTCTGAGAATGCTTGTCTGTCTAGTTTTTATTTGAAGATATTTCCTTTCTCACCATAGGCCTGAAAGCGTTTGAAATGTCCGTTTGCACATACTACAGAAAGAGTGTTTCAAACATGCTCTATGAAAGGGAATGTTCAGTTCTGTGACTTGAATGCAAACATCACAAAGAAGTTCCTGAGAATGCTTCTCTCTAGATTTTATATGTAATCCCGTTTCCAACGAAATCCTCAAAGCTATCCAAATATCCACTTTCAGATTCCACAAAAAGAGTGTTTCAAAACTGCTCTGTAAAAAGAAAGGTTCATCTCTGTTAGTTGAATACACACATCACAAACAAGTTTCTGAGAATGCTTCTGTCTAGTTTTTATGGGAAGATATTTCCTTTTTCATCATAGGCCTCAAAGCGCTCCAAATGTCCACTTCCAGATAGTGCAGAAAGAGTGTCTCAAACCTGGTATATAAAAGGGAACATTCTACTCTGTGACTTCAATGAAAACATCACAAAGCAGTTTCTGAGAATGCTTCCGTCTAGATTTTATATGAAGATATTCCCGTTTCCAACGAAACCTTCAAAGCTATCCGAATATCCACCTGCAGATTCTACAAAAAGAGTGTTTCCAAAATGCCGTATCAAAACAAAGGTTCAACTCTGTTAGTTGAGAACACACATGGCAAATAAGTTTCTGAGAATGCTTCTGTCTAGTTTTTACTTGAAGATATTTCCTTTCTCACCATAGGCCTGAAAGCGCTTGAAACGTCAGCTTGCAGATACTACAGAAAGAGTGTTTCAAACCTGCTCTATGAAAGGGAATGTTCAGTCCTGTGACTTGAAGGCAAACATCACAAAGAAGTTCCTGAGAATGCTTCTCCCTAGATTTTATATGTAATCCCGTTTCCAACGAAATCCGCAAAGCTATCCAAATATCCACTTTCAGATTCCACAAAAAGAGTGTTTCAAAACTGCTCTGTAAAAAGAAAGGTTCATCTCTGTTAGTTGAATACACACATCACAAACAAGTTTCTGAGAATGCTTCAGTCTAGTTTTTATGGGAAGATATTTCCTTTTTCAACATAGGCCTCAAAGCGCTCCAAATGTCCACTTCCAGGTAGTGCACAGAGTGTTTCAAACCGGCTCTATGAAAGGAAGTGTTCAACTCTATGAGTTGAATGCAAACATCACAGAGAAGTTTCTGAGAATGCTTCTGTCTTGATTTTATATGAAGATATTCCCGTTTCCAACGAAACCTTCAAAGCTATCCAAATATCCACATGCAGATCCTACAAAAAGAGTGTTTCCAAAATGCTGTATCAAAACAAAGGTTCAACTCTGTTAGTTGAGAACACACATCGCAAATAAGCTTCTGAGAATGCTTCTGTCTAGTTTTTATTTGAAGATATTTCCTTTCTCACCATAGGCCTGAAAGCGTTTGAAATGTCCGTTTGCAGATACTACAGAAAGACTGTTTCAAACATGCTCTGTGAAAGGGAATGTTCAGTTCTGTGACGTGAATGCAAACATCACAAAGAAGTTCCTGAGAATGCTTCTCTCTAGATTTTATATGTAATCCCGTTTCCAACGAAATCCTCAAAGCTATCCAAATATCCACTTTCAGATTCCACAAAAAGAGTGTTTCAAAACTGCTCTGTAAAAAGAAAGGTTCATCTCTGTTAGTTGAATACACACATCACAAACAAGTTTCTGAGAATGCTTCTGTCTAGTTTTTATGGGAAGATATTTCCTTTTTCATCATAGGCCTCAAAGCGCTCCAAATGTCCACTTCCAGATAGTGCAGAAAGAGTGTCTCAAACCTGGTATATAAAAGGGAACATTCTACTCTGTGACTTCAATGAAAACATCACAAAGCAGTTTCTGAGAATGCTTCTGTGTTGATTTTATATGAATATATTCCCGTTTCCAACGAAAC
This sequence comes from Homo sapiens, assembly GCF_000001405.40. NCBI lineage: Eukaryota > Metazoa > Chordata > Mammalia > Primates > Hominidae > Homo > Homo sapiens. Next base: position 45,022,421 of record NC_000009.12, on the reverse strand, counting down.
CTTCAAAGCTATCCAAATATCCACTTGCAGATTCTACAAAAAGAGTGGTTCCAAAATGTTGTATCAAAAGAAAGGTTCAACTCTGTTAGTTGAGGACACACATCGCAAATAAGTTTCTGAGAATGCTTCTGTCTAGTTTTTATTTGAAGATATTTCCTTTCTCACCATAGGCCTGAAAGCGCTTGGAATGTCCGTTTTCAGATACTACAGAAAGAGTGTTTCAAACATCCTCTATGAAAGGGAATGTTCAGTTCTGTGACGTGAATGCAAACATCACAAAGAAGTTCCTGAGAATGCTTCTCTCTAGATTTTATATGTAATCCCGTTTCCAACGAAATCCTCAAAGCTATCCAAATATCGACTTTCAGATTCCACAAAAAGAGTGTTTCAAAACTGCTCTGTAAAAAGAAAGGTTCATCTCTGTTAGTTGAATACACACATCACAAACAAGTTTCTGAGAATGCTTCTGTCTAGTTTTTATGGGAAGATATTTCCTTTTTCAACATAGGCCTCAAAGCGCTCCAAATGTCCACTTCCTGGTAGTGCACAGAGTGTTTCTAACCTGCTCTATGAAAGGAAGTGTTCAACTCTATGAGTTGAATGCAAACATCACAGAGAAGTTTCTGAGAATGCTTCCGTCTAGATTTTATATGAAGATATTCCCGTTTCCAACGAAACCTTCAAAGCTATCCGAATATCCACCTGCAGATTCTACAAAAAGAGTGTTTCCAAAATGCCGTATCAAAACAAAGGTTCAACTCTGTTAGTTGAGAACACACATGGCAAATAAGTTTCTGAGAATGCTTCTGTCTAGTTTTTACTTGAAGATATTTCCTTTCTCACCATAGGCCTGAAAGCGCTTGAAACGTCAGCTTGCAGATACTACAGAAAGAGTGTTTCAAACATGCTCTATGAAAGGGAATGTTCAGTTCTGTGACTTGAATGCAAATATCACAAAGAAGTTCCTGAGAATGCTTCTCTCTAGATTTTATATGTAATCCCGTTTCCAACGAAATCCTCAAAGCTATCCAAATATCCACTTTCAGATTCCACAAAAAGAGTGTTTCAAAACTGCTCTGTAAAAAGAAAGGTTCATCTCTGTTAGTTGAATACACACATCACAAACAAGTTTCTGAGAATGCTTCTGTCTAGTTTTTATGGGAAGATATTTCCTTTTTCAACATAGGCCTCAAAGCGCTCCAAACGTCCACTTCCAGGTAGTGCAGAAAGAGTGTCTCAAACCTGGTATATAACAGGGAACATTCTACTCTGTGACTTGAATGAAAACATCACAAAGCAGTTTCTGAGAATGCTTCCGTCTAGATTTTATATGAAGATATTCCCGTTTCCAACGAAACCTTCAAAGCTATCCGAATATCCACCTGCAGATTCTACAAAAAGAGTGTTTCCAAAATGCCGTATCAAAACAAAGGTTCAACTCTGTTAGTTGAGAACACACATCGCAAATAAGTTTCTGAGAATGCTTCTGTCTAGTTTTTACTTGAAGATATTTCCTTTCTCACCATAGGCCTGAAAGCGCTTGAAACGTCAGCTTGCAGATACTACAGAAAGAGTGTTTCAAACTTGCTCTATGAAAGGGAATGTTCAGTTCTGTGACTTGAATGCAAACATCACAAAGAAGTTCCTGAGAATGCTTCTCTCTAGGTTTTATATGTAATCCCGTTTCCAACGAAATCCTCAAAGCTATCCAAATATCCACTTTCAGATTCCACAAAAAGAGTGTTTCAAAACTGCTCTGTAAAAAGAAAGGTTCATCTCTGTTAGTTGAATACACACATCACAAACAAGTTTCTGAGAATGCTTCTGTCTAGTTTTTATGGGAAGATATTTCCTTTTTCAACATAGGCCTCAAAGCGCTCCAAATGTCCACTTCCAGGTAGTGCAGAAAGAGTGTTTCAAACCTGCTCTATAAAAGGGAATATTCAACTCTGTGACTTGAATGCAAACATCACAAAGCACTTTCTGAGAATGCTTCCGTCTGGATTTTATATGAAGATATTCCCGTTTCCAAGGAAATCTTCCTAGCTATCTAAATATCAACTTGCAGACTCTACTAAAGGAATGTTTCCAAAATGCTGTATCCACACAAAGGTTCAACTCTGTTAATTGAGGACATACAGCACAAAGAAGTTTCTGAGAATGCTTCTGTCTAGTTTTTACTTGAAGATATTTCCTTTCTCACCATAGGCCTGAAAGCGCTTGAAACGTCCGCTTGCAGATACTACAGAAAGAGTGTTTCAAACCTGCTGTATGAAAGGGAATGTTCAGTTCTGTGAATTGAATGCAAACATCACAAAGAAGTTCCTGAGAATGCTTCTCTCTAGATTTTATATGTAATCCCGTTTCCAACGAAATCCTCAAAGCTATCCAAATATCCACTTTCAGATTCCACAAAAAGAGTGTTTCAAAACTGCTCTGTAAAAAGAAAGGTTCATCTCTGTTAGTTGAATACACACATCACAAACAAGTTTCTGAGAATGCTTATCTGTCTAGTTTTTATGGGAAGATATTTCCTTTTTCAACATAGGCCTCAAAGCGCTCCAAATGTCCACTTCCAGGTAGTGCAGAAAGAGTGTTTCAAACCTGCTCTATAAAAGGGAATATTCAACTCTGTGACTTGAATGCAAACATCACAAAGCACTTTCTGAGAATGCTTCTGTCTTGATTTTATATGAAGATATTCCCGTTTCCAACGAAACCTTCAAAGCTATCCGAATATCCACCTGCAGATTCTACAAAAAGAGTGTTTCCAAAATGCCATATCAAAACAAAGGTTCAACTCTGTTAGTTGAGAACACACATCTCAAATAAGTTTCTGAGAATGCTTCTGTCTAGTTTTTACTTGAAGATATTTCCTTTCTCACCATAGGCCTGAAAGCGCTTGAAACGTCAGCTTGCAGATACTACAGAAAGAGTGTTTCAAACCTGCTCTATGAAAGGGAATGTTCAGTTCTGTGACTTGAATGCAAACATCACAAAGAAGTTCCTGAGAATGCTTCTCTCTAGATTTTATATGTAATCCCGTTTCCAACGAAATCCTCAAAGCTATCCAAATATCCACTTTCAGATTCCACAAAAAGAGTGTTTCAAAACTGCTCTGTAAAAAGAAAGGTTCATCTCTGTTAGTTGAATACACACATCACAAACAAGTTTACTGAGAATGCTTTCTGTCTAGTTTTTATGGGAAGATATTACCTTTTTCATCATAGGCCTCAAAGCGCTGCAAATGTCCACTTCCAAATATTACAAAAAGAGTGTTTCAAACCTGCTGTATGAAGGGAAGTGTTCAACTCTATGAGTTGAATGCAAACATCACAGAGAAGTTTCTGAGAATGCTTCTGTCTTGATTTTATATGAAGATATTCCCGTTTCCAACGAAACCTTCAAAGCTATCCAAATATCCACTTGCAGATTCCACAAAAAGAGTGTTTCCAAAATGTTGTATCAAAAGAAAGGTTCAACTCTGTTAGTTGAGGACACACATCGCAAATAAGTTTCTGAGAATGCTTCTGTCTAGTTTTTACTTGAAGATATTTCCTTTCTCACCATAGGCCTGAAAGCGCTTGAAACGTCAGCTTGCAGATACTACAGAAAGAGTGTTTCAAACCTGCTCTATGAAAGGGAATGTTCAGTCCTGTGACTTGAAGGCAAACATCACAAAGAAGTTCCTGAGAATGCTTCTCCCTAGATTTTATATGTAATCCCGTTTCCAACGAAATCCGCAAAGCTATCCAAATATCCACTTTCAGATTCCACAAAAAGAGTGTTTCAAAACTGCTCTGTAAAAAGAAAGGTTCATGCTCTGTTAGTTGAATACACACATCACAAACAAGTTTCCTGAGAATGCTTTCTGTCTAGTTTTTATGGGAAGATATTTCCTTTTTCAACATAGGCCTCAAAGCGCTCCAAACGTCCACTTCCAGGTAGTGCAGAAAGAGTGTCTCAAACCTGGTATATAACAGGGAACATTCTACTCTGTGACTTGAATGAAAACATCACAAAGCAGTTTCTGAGAATGCTTCCGTCTAGATTTTATATGAAGATATTCCCGTTTCCAACGAAACCTTCAAAGCTATCCGAATATCCACCTGCAGATTCTACAAAAAGAGTGTTTCCAAAATGCCGTATCAAAACAAAGGTTCAACTCTGTTAGTTGAGAACACACATGGCAAATAAGTTTCTGAGAATGCTTCTGTCTAGTTTTTACTTGAAGATATTTCCTTTCTCACCATAGGCCTGAAAGCGCTTGAAACGTCAGCTTGCAGATACTACAGAAAGAGTGTTTCAAACCTGCTCTATGAAAGGGAATGTTCAGTCCTGTGACTTGAAGGCAAACATCACAAAGAAGTTCCTGAGAATGCTTCTCTCTAGGTTTTATATGTAATCCCGTTTCCAACGAAATCCTCAAAGCTATCCAAATATCCACTTTCAGATTCCACAAAAAGAGTGTTTCAAAACTGCTCTGTAAAAAGAAAGGTTCATCTCTGTTAGTTGAATACACACATCACAAACAAGTTTCTGAGAATGCTTCCTGTCTAGTTTTTATGGGAAGATATTTCCTTTTTCATCATAGGCCTCAAAGCGCTGCAAATGTCCACTTCCAAATATTACAAAAAGAGTGTTTCAAACCTGCTGTATGAAGGGAAGTGTTCAACTCTATGAGTTGAATGCAAACATCACAGAGAAGTTTCTGAGAATGCTTCTGTCTTGATTTTATATGAAGATATTCCCGTTTCCAACGAAACCTTCAAAGCTATCCAAATATCCACTTGCAGATTCTACAAAAAGAGTGTTTCCAAAATGTTGTATCAAAACAAAGGTTCAACTCTGTTAGTTGAGGACACACATCGCAAATAAGTTTCTGAGAATGCTTCTGTCTAGTTTTTATTTGAAGATATTTCCTTTCTCACCACAGGCCTGAAAGCGCTTAAAACGTCCGCTTGCAGATACTACAGAAAGAGTGTTTCAAACCTGCTCTATGAAAGGGAATGTTCAGTTCTGTGACTTGAATGCAAACATCACAAAGAAGTTCCTGAGAATGCTTCTCTCTAGATTTTATATGTAATCCCGTTTCCAACGAAATCCTCAAAGCTATCCAAATATCCACTTTCAGATTCCACAAAAAGAGTGTTTCAAAACTGCTCTGTAAAAAGAAAGGTTCATCTCTGTTAGTTGAATACACACATCACAAACAAGTTTCTGAGAATGCTTCTGTCTAGTTTTTATGGGAAGATATTTCGTTTTTCAACATACGCCTCAAAGCGCTCCAAACGTCCACTTCCGGGTAGTGCAGAAAGAGTGTCTCAAACCTGGTATATAACAGGGAACATTCTACTCTGTGACTTGAATGAAAACATCACAAAGCAGTTTCTGAGAATGCTTCCGTCTAGATTTTATATGAAGATATTCCCGTTTCCAACGAAACCTTCAAAGCTATCGGAATATCCACCTGCAGATTCTACAAAAAGAGTGTTTCCAAAATGCCGTATCAAAACAAAGGTTCAACTCTGTTAGTTGAGAACACACATGGCAAATAAGTTTCTGAGAATGCTTCTGTCTAGTTTTTACTTGAAGATATTTCCTTTCTCACCATAGGCCTGAAAGCGCTTGAAACGTCAGCTTGCAGATACTACAGAAAGAGTGTTTCAAACCTGCTCTATGAAAGGGAATGTTCAGTCCTGTGACTTGAAGGCAAACATCACAAAGAAGTTCCTGAGAATGCTTCTCTCTAGGTTTTATATGTAATCCCGTTTCCAACGAAATCCTCAAAGCTATCCAAATATCCACTTTCAGATTCCACAAAAAGAGTGTTTCAAAACTGCTCTGTAAAAAGAAAGGTTCATCTCTGTTAGTTGAATACACACATCACAAACAAGTTTCTGAGAATGCTTCTGTCCAGTTTTTATGGGAACATATTTCCTTTTTCAACATAGGCCTCAAAGCGCTCCAAATGTCCACTTCCAGGTAGTGCAGAAAGAGTGTTTCAAACCTGCTCTATAAAAGGGAATATTCAACTCTGTGACTTGAATGCAAACATCACAAAGCACTTTCTGAGAATGCTTCTGTGTTGATTTTATATGAAGATATTCCCGTTTCCAACGAAACCTTCAAAGCTATCCAAATATCCACCTGCAGATCCTACAAAAAGAGTGTTTCCAAAATGCTGTATCAAAACAGAGGTTCAACTCTGTTAGTTGAGGACACACATCGCAAATAAGTTTCTGAGAATGCTTCTGTCTAGTTTTTATTTGAAGATATTTCCTTTCTCACCACAGGCCTGAAAGCGCTTAAAACGTCCGCTTGCAGATACTACAGAAAGAGTGTTTCAAACCTGCTCTATGAAAGGGAATGTTCAGTTCTGTGACTTGAATGCAAACATCACAAAGAAGTTCCTGAGAATGCTTCTGTCTAGATTTTATATGAAGATATCCCGTGTCCAACGAAATCCTCAAAGGTATCAAAATATCCACTTGCAGATTCTACAAAAAGAGTGCTTCAAAACTGCTCTGTCAAAAGGAAGGTTCAACTCTGTTACTTGAGTACACACATCACAAGGAAGTTTCTGAGAATGCTTCCTGTCTAGTTTTTATGGGAAGATATTTCCTTTTTCATCATAGGCCTCAAAGCGCTGCAAATGTCCACTTCCAAATATTACAAAAAGAGTGTTTCAAACCTGCTGTATGAAGGGAAGTGTTCAACTCTATGAGTTGAATGCAAACATCACAGAGAAGTTTCTGAGAATGCTTCTGTCTTGATTTTATATGAAGATATTCCCGTTTCCAACGAAACCTTCAAAGCTATCCAAATATCCACTTGCAGATTCTACAAAAAGAGTGTTTGCAAAATGCTGTATCCAAACAAAGGTTCAACTCTTTTAGTTGAGAACACACATCGCAAATAAGTTTCTGAGAATGCTTCTGTCTAGTTTTTATTTGAAGATATTTCCTTTTTCACCACAGGCCTGAAAGCGCTTGAAACGTCCGCTTGCAGATACTACAGAAAGAGTGATTCAAACCTGCTCTATGAAAGGGAATGTTCAGTTCTGTGACTTGAATGCAAACATCACACAGAAGTTCCTGAGAATGCTTCTCTCTAGGTTTTATATGTAATCCCGTTTCCAACGAAATCCTCAAAGCTATCCAAATATCCACTTTCAGATTCCACAAAAAGAGTGTTTCAAAACTGCTCTGTAAAAAGAAATGTTCATCTCTGTTAGTTGAATACACACATCACAAACAAGTTTCTGAGAATGCTTCTGTCTGGTTTTTATGGGAAGATATTTCCTTTTTCAACATAGGCCTCAAAGCGCTCCAAATGTCCACTTCCAGGTAGTGCAGAAAGAGTGTTTCAAACCTGCTCTATAAAAGGGAACATTCAACTCTGTGACTTGAATGCAAACATCACAAAGCACTTTCTGAGAATGCTTCCGTCTAGATTTTATATGAAGATATTCCCGTTTCCAACGAAACCTTCAAAGCTATCCGAATATCCACCTGCAGATTCTACAAAAAGAGTGTTTCCAAAATGCCATATCAAAACAAAGGTTCAACTCTGTTAGTTGAGAACACACATCGCAAAGAAGTTTCTGAGAATGCTTCTGTCTAGTTTTTACTTGAAGATATTTCCTTTCTCACCATAGGCCTGAAAGCGCTTGAAACGTCAGCTTGCAGATACTACAGAAAGAGTGTTTCAAACCTGCTCTATGAAAGGGAATGTTCAGTTCTGTGACTTGAATGCAAACATCACAAAGAAGTTCCTGAGAATGCTTCTCTCTAGGTTTTATATGTAATCCCGTTTCCAACGAAATCCTCAAAGCTATCCAAATATCCACTTTCAGATTCCACAAAAAGAGTGTTTCAAAACTGCTCTGTAAAAAGAAAGGTTCATCCCTGTTAGTTGAATACACACATCACAAACAAGTTTCTGAGAATGCTTCTGTCTGGTTTTTAGGAGAAGATATTTCCTTTTTCATCATAGGCCTCAAAGCGCTGCAAATGTCCACTTCCAGGTAGTGCAGAAAGAGTGTCTCAAACCTGGTATATAACAGGGAACATTCTACTCTGTGACTTGAATGAAAACATCACAAAGCAGTTTCTGAGAATGCTTCCGTCTAGATTTTATATGAAGATATTCCCGTTTCCAACGAAACCTTCAAAGCTATCCGAATATCCACCTGCAGATTCTACAAAAAGAGTGTTTCCAAAATGCCATATCAAAACAAAGGTTCAACTCTGTTAGTTGAGAACACACATCGCAAATAAGTTTCTGAGAATGCTTCTGTCTAGTTTTTACTTGAAGATATTTCCTTTCTCACCATAGGCCTGAAAGCGCTTGAAACGTCAGCTTGCAGATACTACAGAAAGAGTGTTTCAAACCTGCTCTATGAAAGGGAATGTTCAGTCCTGTGACTTGAAGGCAAACATCACAAAGGAGTTCCTGAGAATGCTTCTCTCTAGGTTTTATATGTAATCCCGTTTCCAACGAAATCCTCAAAGCTATCCAAATATCCACTTTCAGATTCCACAAAAAGAGTGTTTCAAAACTGCTCTGTAAAAAGAAAGGTTCATCTCTGTTAGTTGAATACACACATCACAAACAAGTTTCTGAGAATGCTTCTGTCTAGTTTTTATGGGAAGATATTTCGTTTTTCAACATAGGCCTCAAAGCGCTCCAAATGTCCACTTCCAGGTAGTGCAGAAAGAGTGTTTCAAACCTGCTCTATAAAAGGGAATATTCAACTCTGTGACTTGAATGCAAACATCACAAAGCACTTTCTGAGAATGCTTTCTGTCTTGATTTCATATGAAGATATTCCCGTTTCCAACGAAACCTTCAAAGTTATCCAAATATCCACGTGCAGATTCTACAAAAAGAGTGTTTCCAAAATGTTGTATCAAAAGAAAGGTTCAACTCTGTTAGTTGAGGACACACATCGCAAATAAGTTTCTGAGAATGCTTCTGTCTAGTTTTTACTTGAAGATATTTCCTTTCTCACCATAGGCCTGAAAGCGCTTGAAACGTCAGCTTGCAGATACTACAGAAAGAGTGTTTCAAACCTGCTCTATGAAAGGGAATGTTCAGTTCTGTGACTTGAATGCAAACATCACAAAGAAGTTCCTGAGAATGCTTCTCCCTAGATTTTATATGTAATCCCGTTTCCAACGAAATCCGCAAAGCTATCCAAATATCCACTTTCAGATTCCACAAAAAGAGTGTTTCAAAACTGCTCTGTAAAAAGAAAGGTTCATCTCTGTTAGTTGAATACACACATCACAAACAAGTTTCTGAGAATGCTTCTGTCTAGTTTTTATGGGAAGATAATACCTTTTACATCATAGGCCTCAAAGCGCTCCAAATGTCCACTTCCAGGTAGTGCACAGAGTGTTTCAAACCGGCTCTGTGAAAGGAAGTCTTCAACTCTATGAGTTGAATGCAAACATCACAGAGAAGTTTCTGAGAATGCTTCTGTCTTGATTTTATATGAAGATATTCCCGTTTCCAACGAAACCTTAAAAGCTATCCAAATATCCACCTGCAGATCCTACAAAAAGAGTGTTTCCAAAATGCTGTATCAAAACAAAGGTTCAAATCTGTTAGTTGAGGACACACATCGCAAATAAGTTTCTGAGAATGCTTCTGTCTAGTTTTTACTTGAAGATATTTCCTTTGTCACCATAGGCCTGAAAGCGCTTGAAACGTCAGCTTGCAGATACTACAGAAGGAGTGTTTCAAACCTGCTCTATGAAAGGGAATGTTCAGTCCTGTGACTTGAAGGCAAACATCACAAAGAAGTTCCTGAGAATGCTTCTCTCTAGGTTTTATATGTAATCCCGTTTCCAACGAAATCCTCAAAGCTATCCAAATATCCACTTTCAGATTCCACAAAAAGAGTGTTTCAAAACTGCTCTGTAAAAAGAAAGGTTCATCTCTGTTAGTTGAATACACACATCACAAACAAGTTTCTGAGAATGCTTCTGTCTAGTTTTTATGGGAAGATATTTCCTTTTTCATCATAGGCCTCAAAGCGCTGCAAATGTCCACTTCCAGGTAGTGCAGAAAGAGTGTCTCAAACCTGGTATATAACAGGGAACATTCTACTCTGTGACTTGAATGAAAACATCACAAAGCAGTTTCTGAGAATGCTTCCGTCTAGATTTTATATGAAGATATTCCCGTTTCCAAGGAAATCTTCCTAGCTATCTAAATATCAACTTGCAGATTCTACTAAAGGAATGTTTCCAAAATGCTGTATCCACACAAAGGTTCAACTCTGTTAATTGAGGACATACAGCACAAAGAAGTTTCTGAGAATGCTTCTGTCTAGTTTTTATTTGAAGATATTTCCTTTTTCACCACAGGCCTGAAAGCGCTTGAAACGTCAGCTTGCAGATACTACAGAAAGAGTGTTTCAAACCTGCACTATGAAAGGGAATGTTCAGTTCTGTGACTTGAATGCAAACATCACAAAGAAGTTCCTGAGAATGCTTCTCCCTAGATTTTATATGTAATCCCGTTTCCAACGAAATCCGCAAAGCTATCCAAATATCCACTTTCAGATTCCACAAAAAGAGTGTTTCAAAACTGCTCTGTAAAAAGAAAGGTTCATCTCTGTTAGTTGAATACACACATCACAAACAAGTTTCTGAGAATGCTTCTGTCTAGTTTTTATGGGAAGATATTTCCTTTTTCAACATAGGCCTCAAAGCGCTCCAAATGTCCACTTCCAGGTAGTGCAGAAAGAGTGTTTCAAACCTACTCTATAAAAGGGAATATTCAACTCTGTGACTTGAATGCAAACATCACAAAGGACTTTCTGAGAATGCTTCCGTCTAGATTTTATATGAAGATATTCCCGTTTCCAACGAAACCTTCAAAGCTATCCGAATATCCACCTGCAGATTCTACAAAAAGAGTGTTTCCAAAATGCCGTATCAAAACAAAGGTTCAACTCTGTTAGTTGAGAACACACATGGCAAATAAGTTTCTGAGAATGCTTCTGTCTAGTTTTTATTTGAAGATATTTCCTTTCTCACCACAGGCCTGAAAGCGCTTAAAACGTCCGCTTGCAGATACTACAGAAAGAGTGTTTCAAACATGCTCTATGAAAGGGAATGTTCAGTTCTGTGACTTGAATGCAAACATCACAAAGAAGTTCCTGAGAATGCTTCTACCTAGATTTTATATGTAATCCCGTTTCCAACGAAATCCGCAAAGCTATCCAAATATCCACTTTCAGATTCCACAAAAAGAGTGTTTCAAAACTGCTCTGTAAAAAGAAAGGTTCATCTCTGTTAGTTGAATACACACGTCACAAACAAGTTTCTGAGAACGCTTCTGTCTAGTTTTTATGGGAAGATATTTCCTTTTTCAACATAGGTCTCAAAGCGCTCCAAATGTCCACTTCCAGGTAGTGCAGAAAGAGTGTTTCAAACCTGCTCTATAAAAGGGAACATTCTACTCTGTGACTTGAATGAAGACATCACAAAGCACTTTCTGAGAATGCTTCTGTCTTGATTTTATATGAAGATATTCCCGTTTCCAACGAAACCTTCAAAGCTATTCAAATATCCACTTGCAGATTCTACAAAAAGAGTGTTTCCAAAATGTTGTATCAAAAGAAAGGTTCAACTCTGTTAGTTGAGGACACACATCGCAAATAAGTTTCTGAGAATGCTTCTGTCTAGTTTTTATTTGAAGATATTTCCTTTCTCACCACAGGCCTGAAAGCGCTTAAGACGTCCGCTTGCAGATACTACAGAAAGAGTGTTTCAAACCTGCTCTATGAAAGGGAATGTTCAGTTCTGTGACTTGAATGCAAACATCACAAAGAAGTTCCTGAGAATGCTTCTCTCTAGATTTTATATGTAATCCCGTTTCCAACGAAATCCTCAAAGCTATCCAAATATCCACTTTCAGATTCCACAAAAAGAGTGTTTCAAAACTGCTCTGTAAAAAGAAAGGTTCATCTCTGTTAGTTGAATACACACATCACAAACAAGTTTCTGAGAATGCTTCTGTCTAGTTTTTATGGGAAGATATTTCCTTTTTCATCATAGGCCTCAAAGCGCTCCAAATGTCCACTTCCATATAGTGCAGAAAGAGTGTCTCAAACCTGGTATATAAAAGGGAACATTCTACTCTGTGACTTGAATGAAAACATCACAAAGCAGTTTCTGAGAATGCTTCCGTCTAGATTTTATATGAAGATATTCCCGTTTCCAACGAAACCTTCAAAGCTATCCGAATATCCACCTGCAGATTCTACAAAAAGAGTGTTTCCAAAATGCCATATCAAAACAAAGGTTCAACTCTGTTAGTTGAGAACACACATCGCAAATAAGTTTCTGAGAATGCTTCTGTCTAGTTTTTACTTGAAGATATTTCCTTTCTCACCATAGGCCTGAAAGCGCTTGAAACGTCAGCTTGCAGATACTACAGAAAGAGTGTTTCAAACCTGCTCTATGAAAGGGAATGTTCAGTTCTGTGACTTGAATGCAAACATCACAAAGAAGTTCCTGAGAATGCTTCTCTCTAGGTTTTATATGTAATCCCGTTTCCAACGAAATCCTCAAAGCTATCCAAATATCCACTTTCAGATTCCACAAAAAGAGTGTTTCAAAACTGCTCTGTAAAAAGAAAGGTTCATCTCTGTTAGTTGAATACACACATCACAAACAAGTTTCTGAGAATGCTTCTGTCTGGTTTTTAGGAGAAGATATTTCCTTTTTCAACATAGGCCTCAAAGCGCTGCAAATGTCCACTTCCAAATATTACAAAAAGAGTGTTTCAAACCTGCTCTATGAAGGGAAGTGTTCAACTCTATGAGTTGAATGCAAACATCACAGAGAAGTTTCTGAGAATGCTTCTGTGTTGATTTTATATGAAGATATTCCCGTTTCCAACGAAACCTTCAAACCTATCCAAATATCCACCTGCAGATCCTACAAAAAGAGTGTTTCCAAAATGCTGTATCAAAACAAAGGTTCAACTCTGTTAGTTGAGAACACACATCGCAAATAAGTTTCTGAGAATGCTTTCTGTCTAGTTTTTATTTGAAGATATTTCCTTTTTCACCACAGGCCTGAAAGCGCTTGAAACTTCCGCTTGCAGATACTACAGAAAGAGTGTTTCAAACCTGCTCTATGAAAGGGAAAGTTCAGTTCTGTGACTTGAATGCAAACATCACAAAGAAGTTCCTGAGAATGCTTCTCTCTAGATTTTATATGTAATCCCGTTTCCAACGAAATCCTCAAAGCTATCCAAATATCCACTTTCAGATTCCACAAAAAGAGTGTTTCAAAACTGCTCTGTAAAAACAAATGTTCATCTCTGTTAGTTGAATACACACATCACAGACAAGTTTCTGAGAATGCTTCTGTCTAGTTTTTATGGGAAGATATTTCCTTTTTCAACATAGGCCTCAAAGCGCTCCAAACGTCCACTTCCAGGTAGTGCAGAAAGAGTGTCTCAAACCTGGTATATAACAGGGAACATTCTACTCTGTGACTTGAATGCAAACATCACAAAGCAGTTTCTGAGAATGCTTCCGTCTAGATTTTATATGAAGATATTCCCGTTTCCAACGAAACCTTCAAAGCTATCCGAATATCCACCTGCAGATACTACAAAAAGAGTGTTTCCAAAATGCCGTATCAAAACAAAGGTTCAACTCTGTTAGTTGAGAACACACATGGCAAATATGTTTCTGAGAATGCTTCTGTCTAGTTTTTACTTGAAGATATTTCCTTTCTCACCATAGGCCTGAAAGCGCTTGAAACGTCAGCTTGCAGATACTACAGAAAGAGTGTTTCAAACCTGCTCTATGAAAGGGAATGTTCAGTCCTGTGACTTGAAGGCAAACATCAAAAAGAAGTTCCTGAGAATGCTTCTCTCTAGGTTTTATATGTAATCCCGTTTCCAACGAAATCCTCAAAGCTATCCAAATATCCACTTTCAGATTCCACAAAAAGAGTGTTTCAAAACTGCTCTGTAAAAAGAAAGGTTCATCTCTGTTAGTTGAATACACACATCACAAACAAGTTTCTGAGAATGCTTCTGTCTAGTTTTTATGGGAAGATATTTCCTTTTTCATCATAGGCCTCAAAGCGCTCCAAATGTCCACTTCCAGATAGTGCAGAAAGAGTGTCTCAAACCTGGTATATAAAAGAGAACATTCTACTCTGTGACTTGAATGAAAACATCACAAAGCAGTTTCTGAGAATGCTTCCGTCTAGATTTTATATGAAGATATTCCCGTTTCCAAGGAAATCTTCCTAGCTATCTAAATATCAACTTGCAGATTCTACTAAAGGAATGTTTCCAAAATGCTGTATCCACACAAAGGTTCAACTCTGTTAATTGAGGACATACAGCACAAAGAAGTTTCTGAGAATGCTTCTGTCTAGTTTTTATTTGAAGATATTTCCTTTCTCACCACAGGCCTGAAAGCGCTTAAAACGTCCGCTTGCAGATACTACAGAAAGAGTGTTTCAAACCTGCTCTATGAAAGGGAATGTTCAGTTCTGTGACTTGAATGCAAACATCACAAAGAAGTTCCTGAGAATGCTTCTCTCTAGATTTTATATGTAATCCCGTTTCCAACGAAATCCTCAAAGCTATCCAAATATCCACTTTCAGATTCCACAAAAAGAGTGTTTCAAAACTGCTCTGTAAAAAGAAAGGTTCATCTCTGTTAGTTGAATACACACATCACAAACAAGTTTCTGAGAATGCTTCTGTCTGGTTTTTAGGAGAAGATATTTCCTTTTTCAACATAGGCCTCAAAGCGCTGCAAATGTCCACTTCCAAATATTAGAAAAAGAGTGTTTCAAACCTGCTGTATGAAGGGAAGTGTTCAACTCTATGAGTTGAATGCAAACATCACAGAGAAGTTTCTGAGAATGCTTCCGTCTAGATTTTATATGAAGATATTCCCGTTTCCAACGAAACCTTCAAAGCTATCCGAATATCCACCTGCAGATTCTACAAAAAGAGTGTTTCCAAAATGCCGTATCAAAACAAAGGTTCAACTCTGTTAGTTGAGAACACACATGGCAAATAAGTTTCTGAGAATGCTTCTGTCTAGTTTTTACTTGAAGATATTTCCTTTCTCACCATAGGCCTGAAAGCGCTTGAAACGTCAGCTTGCAGATACTACAGAAGGAGTGTTTCAAACCTGCTCTATGAAAGGGAATGTTCAGTCCTGTGACTTGAAGGCAAACATCACAAAGAAGTTCCTGAGAATGCTTCTCTCTAGATTTTATATGTAATCCCGTTTCCAACGAAATCCTCAAAGCTATCCAAATATCCACTTTCAGATTCCACAAAAAGAGTGTTTCAAAACTGCTCTGTAAAAAGAAAGGTTCATCTCTGTTAGTTGAATACACACATCACAAACAAGTTTCTGAGAATGCTTCTGTCTAGTTTTTATGGGAAGATATTTCCTTTTTCAACATAGGCCTCAAAGCGCTCCAAACGTCCACTTCCGGGTAGTGCAGAAAGAGTGTCTCAAACCTGGTATATAACAGGGAACATTCTACTCTGTGACTTGAATGAAAACATCACAAAGCAGTTTCTGAGAATGCTTCTGTCTTGATTTCATATGAAGATATTCCCGTTTCCAACGAAACCTTCAAAGCTATCCAAATATCCACTTGCAGATTCTACAAAAAGAGTGTTTCCAAAATGTTGTATCAAAAGAAAGGTTCAACTCTGTTAGTTGAGGACACACATCGCAAATAAGTTTCTGAGAATGCTTCTGTCTAGTTTTCATTTGAAGATATTTCCTTTCTCACCACAGGCCTGAAAGCGCTTAAAACGTCCGCTTGCAGATACTACAGAAAGAGTGTTTCAAACCTGCTCTATGAAAGGGAATGTTCAGTTCTGTGACTTGAATGCAAACATCACAAAGAAGTTCCTGAGAATGCTTCTCTCTAGATTTTATATGTAATCCCGTTTCCAACGAAATCCTCAAAGCTATCCAAATATCCACTTTCAGATTCCACAAAAAGAGTGTTTCAAAACTGCTCTGTAAAAAGAAAGGTTCATCTCTGTTAGTTGAATACACACATCACAAACAAGTTTCTGAGAATGCTTCTGTCTAGTTTTTATGGGAAGATATTACCTTTTTCATCATAGGCCTCAAAGCGCTGCAAATGTCCACTTCCAAATATTACAAAAAGAGTGTTTCAAACCTGCTGTATGAAGGGAAGTGTTCAACTCTATGAGTTGAATGCAAACATCACAGAGAAGTTTCTGAGAATGCTTCCGTCTAGATTTTATATGAAGATATTCCCGTTTCCAACGAAACCTTCAAAGCTATCCGAATATCCACCTGCAGATTCTACAAAAAGAGTGTTTCCAAAATGCCGTATCAAAACAAAGGTTCAACTCTGTTAGTTGAGAACACACATGGCAAATAAGTTTCTGAGAATGCTTCTGTCTAGTTTTTACTTGAAGATATTTCCTTTCTCACCATAGGCCTGAAAGCGCTTGAAACGTCAGCTTGCAGATACTACAGAAAGAGTGTTTCAAACCTGCTCTATGAAAGGGAATGTTCAGTCCTGTGACTTGAAGGCAAACATCACAAAGAAGTTCCTGAGAATGCTTCTCCCTAGATTTTATATGTAATCCCGTTTCCAACGAAATCCGCAAAGCTATCCAAATATCCACTTTCAGATTCCACAAAAAGAATGTTTCAAAACTGCTCTGTAAAAAGAAAGGTTCATCTCTGTTAGTTGAATACACACATCACAAACAAGTTTCTGAGAATGCTTCTGTCTAGTTTTTATGGGAAGATATTTCCTTTTTCAACATAGGCCTCAAAGCGCTCCAAATGTCCACTTCCAGGTAGTGCAGAAAGAGTGTTTCAAACCTGCTCTATAAAAGGGAATATTCAACTCTGTGACTTGAATGCAAACATCACAAAGCACTTTCTGAGAATGCTTCTGTCTTGATTTTATATGAAGATATTCCCGTTTCCAACGAAACCTTCAAAGCTATCCAAATATCCACTTGCAGATTCCACAAAAAGAGTGTTTCCAAAATGTTGTATCAAAAGAAAGGTTCAACTCTGTTAGTTGAGGACACACATCGCAAATAAGTTTCTGAGAATGTTTCTGTCTAGTTTTTATTTGAAGATATTTCCTTTCTCACCATAGGCCTGAAAGCGTTTGAAATGTCCGTTTGCAGATACTACAGAAAGAGTGTTTCAAACATGCTCTATGAAAGGGAATGTTCAGTTCTGTGACGTGAATGCAAACATCACAAAGAAGTTCCTGAGAATGCTTCTCCCTAGGTTTTTATATGTAATCCCGTTTCCAACGAAATCCTCAAAGCTATCCAAATATCCACTTTCAGATTCCACAAAAAGAGTGTTTCAAAACTGCTCTGTAAAAAGAAAGGTTCATCTCTGTTAGTTGAATACACACATCACAAACAAGTTTCTGAGAATGCTTCTGTCTAGTTTTTATGGGAAGATATTTCCTTTTTCAACATAGGCCTCAAAGCGCTCCAAACGTCCACTTCCAGGTAGTGCAGAAAGAGTGTCTTAAACCTGGTATATAACAGGGAACATTCTACTCTGTGACTTGAATGAAAACATCACAAAGCAGTTTCTGAGAATGCTTCCGTCTAGATTTTATATGAAGATATTCCCGTTTCCAACGAAACCTTCAAAGCTATCCGAATATCCACCTGCAGATTCTACAAAAAGAGTGTTTCCAAAATGCCATATCAAAACAAAGGTTCAACTCTGTTAGTTGAGAACACACATCGCAAATAAGTTTCTGAGAATGCTTCTGTCTAGTTTTTACTTGAAGATATTTCCTTTCTCACCATAGGCCTGAAAGCGCTTGAAACGTCAGCTTGCAGATACTACAGAAAGACTGTTTCAAACCTGCTCTATGAAAGGGAATGTTCAGTTCTGTGACTTGAATGCAAACATCACAAAGAAGTTCCTGAGAATGCTTCTCCCTAGATTTTATATGTAATCCCGTTTCCAACGAAATCCGCAAAGCTATCCAAATATCCACTTTCAGATTCCACAAAAAGAGTGTTTCAAAACTGCTCTGTAAAAAGAAAGGTTCATCTCTGTTAGTTGAATACACACATCACAAACAAGTTTCTGAGAATGCTTCTGTCTAGTTTTTATGGGAAGATATTACCTTTTTCATCATAGGCCTCAAAGCGCTGCAACTGTCCACTTCCAAATATTACAAAAAGAGTGTTTCAAACCTGCTGTATGAAGGGAAGTGTTCAACTCTATGAGTTGAATGCAAACATCACAGAGAAGTTTCTGAGAATGCTTCCGTCTAGACTTTATATGAAGATATTCCCGTTTCCAACGAAACCTTCAAAGCTATCCGTATATCCACCTGCAGATTCTACAAAAAGAGTGTTTCCAAAATGCCGTATCAAAACAAAGGTTCAACTCTGTTAGTTGAGAACACACATGGCAAATAAGTTTCTGAGAATGCTTCTGTCTAGTTTTTATTTGAAGATATTTCCTTTCTCACCACAGGCCTGAAAGCGCTTAAAACGTCCGCTTGCAGATACTACAGAAAGAGTGTTTCAAACCTGCTCTATGAAAGGGAATGTTCAGTTCTGTGACTTGAATGCAAACATCACAAAGAAGTTCCTGAGAATGCTTCTCTCTAGATTTTATATGTAATCCCGTTTCCAACGAAATCCTCAAAGCTATCCAAATATCCACTTTCAGATTCCACAAAAAGAGTGTTTCAAAACTGCTCTGTAAAAAGAAAGGTTCATCTCTGTTAGTTGAATACACACATCACAAACAAGTTTCTGAGAATGCTTCTGTCTAGTTTTTATGGGAAGATATTTCCTTTTTCAACATAGGCCTCAAAGCGCTCCAAACGTCCACTTCCATGTAGTGCAGAAAGAGTGTCTCAAACCTGGTATATAACAGGGAACATTCTACTCTGTGACTTGAATGAAAACATCACAAAGCAGTTTCTGAGAATGCTTCCGTCTAGATTTTATATGAAGATATTCCCGTTTCCAACGAAACCTTCAAAGCTATCCGAATATCCACCTGCAGATTCTACAAAAAGAGTGTTTCCAAAATGCCATATCAAAACAAAGGTTCAACTCTGTTAGTTGAGAACACACATCGCAAATAAGTTTCTGAGAATGCTTCCTGTCTAGTTTTTACTTGAAGATATTTCCTTTCTCACCATAGGCCTGAAAGCGCTTGAAACGTCAGCTTGCAGATACTACAGAAAGAGTGTTTCAAACCTGCTCTATGAAAGGGAATGTTCAGTCCTGTGACTTGAAGGCAAACATCACAAAGAAGTTCCTGAGAATGCTTCTCTCTAGGTTTTATATGTAATCCCGTTTCCAACGAAATCCTCAAAGCTATCCAAATATCCACTTTCAGATTCCACAAAAAGAGTGTTTCAAAACTGCTCTGTAAAAAGAAAGGTTCATCTCTGTTAGTTGAATACACACATCACAAACAAGTTTCTGAGAATGCTTCTGTCTAGTTTTTATGGGAAGATATTTCCTTTTTCATCATAGGCCTCAAAGCGCTGCAAATGTCCACTTCCAGGTAGTGCAGAAAGAGTGTCTCAAACCTGGTATATAACAGGGAACATTCTACTCTGTGACTTGAATGAAAACATCACAAAGCAGTTTCTGAGAATGCTTCCGTCTAGATTTTATATGAAGATATTCCCGTTTCCAACGAAACCTTCAAAGCTATCCGAATATCCACCTGCAGATTCTACAAAAAGAGTGTTTCCAAAATGCCGCATCAAAACAAAGGTTCAACTCTGTTAGTTGAGAACACACATGGCAAATAAGTTTCTGAGAATGCTTCTGTCTAGTTTTTACTTGAAGATATTTCCTTTCTCACCATAGGCCTGAAAGCGCTTGAAACGTCAGCTTGCAGATACTACAGAAAGAGTGTTTCAAACCTGCTCTATGAAAGGGAATGTTCAGTTCTGTGACTTGAATGCAAACATCACAAAGAAGTTCCTGAGAATGCTTCTCTCTAGATTTTATATGTAATCCCGTTTCCAACGAAATCCTCAAAGCTATCCAAATATCCACTTTCAGATTCCACAAAAAGAGTGTTTCAAAACTGCTCTGTAAAAAGAAAGGTTCATCTCTGTTAGTTGAATACACACATCACAAACAAGTTTCTGAGAATGCTTCTGTCTAGTTTTTATGGGAAGATATTTCCTTTTTCAACATAGGCCTCAAAGCGCTCCAAATGTCCACTTCCAGGTAGTGCAGAAAGAGTGTTTCAAACCTGCTCTATAAAAGGGAATATTCAACTCTGTGACTTGAATGCAAACATCACAAAGCACTTTCTGAGAATGCTTCCATCTAGATTTTATATGAAGATATTCCCGTTTCCAAGGAAATCTTCCTAGCTATCTAAATATCAACTTGCAGATTCTACTAAAGGAATGTTTCCAAAATGCTGTATCCACACAAAGGTTCAACTCTGTTAATTGAGGACATACAGCACAAAGAAGTTTCTGAGAATGCTTCTGTCTAGATTTTATATGAAGATATCCCGTGTCCAACGAAATCCTCAAAGGTATCAAAATATCCACTTGCAGATTCTACAAAAAGAGTGCTTCAAAACTGCTCTGTCAAAAGGAAGGTTCAACTCTGTTACTTGAGTACACACATCACAAGGAAGTTTCTGAGAATGCTTCTGTCTGGTTTTTAGGAGAAGATATTTCCTTTTTCAACATAGGCCTCAAAGCGCTGCAAATGTCCACTTCCAAATATTACAAAAAGAGTGTTTCAAACCTGCTGTATGAAGGGAAGTGTTCAACTCTATGAGTTGAATGCAAACATCACAGAGAACTTTCTGAGAATGCTTCTGTCTTGATTTTATATGAGGATATTCCCGTTTCCAACGAAACCATCAAAGCTATCCAAATATCCACCTGCAGATCCTACAAAAAGAGTGTTTCCAAAATGCTGTATCAAAACAAAGGTTCAACTCTGTTAGTTGAGAACACACATCGCAAATAAGTTTCTGAGAATGCTTCTGTCTAGTTTCTATTTGAAGATATTTCCTTTTTCACCACAGGCCTGAAAGCGCTTGAAACGTCCGCTTGCAGATACTACAGAAAGAGTGTTTCAAACCTGCTCTATGAAAGGGAATGTTCAGTTCTGTGACTTGAATGCAAACATCACAAAGAAGTTCCTGGGAATGCTTCTGTCTAGATTTTATATGAAGATACCCCGTTTCCAAAGAAATCCTCAAAGGTATCCAAATATCTACTTCCAGATTCCACAAAAAGACTGTTTCAAAACTGGTCTGTAAAAAGAAAGGTTCATCTCTGTTAGTTGAATACACACATCACAAACAAGTTTCTGAGAATGCTTCTGTCTAGTTTTTATGGGAAGATATTACCTTTTTCATCATAGGCCTCAAAGCGCTGCAAAAGTCCACTTCCAAATATTACAAAAAGAGTGTTTCAAACCTGCTGTATGAAGGGAAGTGTTCAACTCTATGAGTTGAATGCAAACATCACAGAGAAGTTTCTGAGAATGCTTCTGTCTTGATTTTATATGAAGATATTCCCGTTTCCAACGAAACCTTCAAAGCTATTCAAATATCCACTTGCAGATTCTACAAAAAGAGTGTTTCCAAAATGTTGTATCAAAAGAAAGGTTCAACTCTGTTAGTTGAGGACACACATCGCAAATAAGTTTCTGAGAATGCTTCTGTCTAGTTTTTACTTGAAGATATTTCCTTTCTCACCATAGGCCTGAAAGCGCTTGAAACGTCCGCTTGCAGATACTACAGAAAGAGTGTTTCAAACCTGCTCTATGAAAGGGAATGTTCAGTTCTGTGACTTGAATGCAAACATCACAAAGAAGTTCCTGAGAATGCTTCTCTCTAGGTTTTATATGTAATCCCGTTTCCAACGAAATCCTCAAAGCTATCCAAATATCCACTTTCAGATTCCACAAAAAGAGTGTTTCAAAACTGCTCTGTAAAAAGAAAGGTTCATCTCTGTTAGTTGAATACACACATCACAAACAAGTTTCTGAGAATGCTTCTGTCTAGTTTTTATGGGAAGATATTTCCTTTTTCATCATAGGCCTCAAAGCGCTGCAAATGTCCACTTCCAAATATTACAAAAAGAGTGTTTCAAACCTGCTGTATGAAGGGAAGTGTTCAACTCTATGAGTTGAATGCAAACATCACAGAGAAGTTTCTGAGAATGCTTCCGTCTAGATTTTATATGAAGATATTCCCGTTTCCAAGGAAATCTTCCTAGCTATCTAAATATCAACTTGCAGATTCTACTAAAGGAATGTTTCCAAAATGCTGTATCCACACAAAGGTTCAACTCTGTTAATTGAGGACATACAGCACAAAGAAGTTTCTGAGAATGCTTCTGTCTAGTTTTTACTTGAAGATATTTCCTTTCTCACCATAGGCCTGAAAGCGTTTGAAATGTCCGTTTGCAGATACTACAGAAAGAGTGTTTCAAACATGCTCTATGAAAGGGAATGTTCAGTTCTGTGACGTGAATGCAAACATCACAAAGAAGTTCCTGAGAATGCTTCTCTCTAGATTTTATATGTAATCCCGTTTCCAACGAAATCCTCAAAGCTATCCAAATATCCACTTTCAGATTCCACAAAAAGAGTGTTTCAAAACTGCTCTGTAAAAAGAAAGGTTCATCTCTGTTAGTTGAATACACACATCACAAACAAGTTTCTGAGAATGCTTCTGTCTAGTTTTTATGGGAAGATATTTCCTTTTTCAACATAGGCCTCAAAGCGCTCCAAACGTCCACTTCCAGGTAGTGCAGAAAGAGTGTCTCAAACCTGGTATATAACAGGGAACATTCTACTCTGTGACTTGAATGAAAACATCACAAAGCAGTTTCTGAGAATGCTTCCGTCTAGATTTTATATGAAGATATTCCCGTTTCCAACGAAACCTTCAAAGCTATCCGAATATCCACTTGCAGATTCTACAAAAAGAGTGTTTCCAAAATGCCGTATCAAAACAAAGGTTCAACTCTGTTAGTTGAGAACACACATGGCAAATAAGTTTCTGAGAATGCTTCTGTCTATTTTTTACTTGAAGATATTTCCTTTCTCACCACAGGCCTGAAAGCGCTTGAAACGTCAGCTTGCAGATACTACAGAAAGAGTGTTTCAAACATGCTCTATGTAAGGGAATGTTCAGGTCTGTGACTTGAATGCAAACATCACAAAGAAGTTCCTGAGAATGCTTCTCTCTAGGTTTTATATGTAATCCCGTTTCCAACGAAATCCTCAAAGCTATCCAAATATCCACTTTCAGATTCCACAAAAAGAGTGTTTCAAAACTGCTCTGTAAAAAGAAAGGTTCATCTCTGTTAGTTGAATACACACATCACAAACAAGCTTCTGAGAATGCTTCTGTCTAGTTTTTATGGGAAGATATTTCCTTTTTCAACATAGGCCTCAAAGCGCTCCAAACGTCCACTTCCAGGTAGTGCAGAAAGAGTGTCTCAAACCTGGTATATAACAGGGAACATTCTACTCTGTGACTTGAATGAAAACATCACAAAGCAGTTTCTGAGAATGCTTCCGTCTAGATTTTATATGAAGATATTCCCGTTTCCAACGAAACCTTCAAAGCTATCCGAATATCCACCTGCAGATTCTACAAAAAGAGTGTTTCCAAAATGCCATATCAAAACAAAGGTTCAACTCTGTTAGTTGAGAACACACATCGCAAATAAGTTTCTGAGAATGCTTTTGTCTAGTTTTTACTTGAAGATATTTCCTTTCTCACCATAGGCCTGAAAGCGCTTGAAACGTCAGCTTGCAGATACTACAGAAAGAGTGTTTCAAACCTGCTCTATGAAAGGGAATGTTCAGTCCTGTGACTTGAATGCAAACATCACAAAGAAGTTCCTGAGAATGCTTCTCTCTAGGTTTTATATGTAATCCCGTTTCCAACGAAATCCTCAAAGCTATCCAAATATCCACTTTCAGATTCCACAAAAAGAGTGTTTCAAAACTGCTCTGTAAAAAGAAAGGTTCATCTCTGTTAGTTGAATACACACATCACAAACAAGTTTCTGAGAATGCTTCTGTCTAGTTTTTATGGGAAGATATTTCCTTTTTCAACATTGGCCTCAAAGCGCTCCAAACGTCCACTTCCGGGTAGTGCAGAAAGAGTGTCTCAAACCTGGTATATAACAGGGAACATTCAACTCTGTGACTTGAATGAAAACATCACAAAGCAGTTTCTGAGAATGCTTCTGTCTTGATTTTATATGAAGATATTCCCGTTTCCAACGAAATCTTCAAAGCTATCCAAATATCCACTTGCAGATTCCACAAAAAGAGTGTTTCCAAAATGTTGTATCAAAAGAAAGGTTCAACTCTGTTAGTTGAGGACACACATCGCAAATAAGTTTCTGAGAATGCTTCTGTCTAGTTTTTATTTGAAGATATTTCCTTTCTCACCACAGGCCTGAAAGCGCTTAAAACGTCCGCTTGCAGATACTACAGAAAGAGTGTTTCAAACCTGCTCTATGAAAGGGAATGTTCAGTTCTGTGACGTGAATGCAAACATCACAAAGAAGTTCCTGAGAATGCTTCTCTCTAGATTTTATATTTAATCCCGTTTCCAACGAAATCCTCAAAGCTATCCAAATATCCACTTTCAGATTCCACAAAAAGAGTGTTTCAAAACTGCTCTGTAAAAAGAAAGGTTCATCTCTGTTAGTTGAATACACACATCAAAAACAAGTTTCTGAGAATGCTTCTGTCTAGTTTTTATGGGAAGATATTTCCTTTTTCATCATAGGCCTCAAAGCGCTGCAAATGTCCACTTCCAGGTAGTGCAGAAAGAGTGTCTCAAACCTGGTATATAACAGGGAACATTCTACTGTGTGACTTGAATGAAAACATCACAAAGCAGTTTCTGAGAATGCTTTCTGTCTTGATTTTATATGAAGATATTCCCGTTTCCAACGAAACCTTCAAAGCTATACAAATATCCACTTGCAGATTCTACAAAAAGAGTGTTTCCAAAATGCTGTATCCAAACAAAGGTTCAACTCTTTTAGTTGAGAACACACATCGCAAATAAGTTTCTGAGAATGCTTCTGTCTAGTTTTTATTTGAAGATATTTCCTTTTTCAACACAGGCCTGAAAGCGCTTCAAACGTCCGCTTGCAGATACTACAGAAAGAGTGTTTCAAACCTGCTCTATGAAAGGGAATGTTCAGTTCTGTGACTTGAATGCAAACATCACAAAGAAGTTCCTGAGAATGCTTCTCCCTAGATTTTCTATGTAATCCCGTTTCCAACGAAATCCGCAAAGCTATCCAAATGTCCACTTTCAGATTCCACAAAAAGAGTGTTTCAAAACTGCTCTGTAAAAAGAAGGGTTCATCTCTGTTAGTTGAATACACACATCACAAACAAGTTTCTGAGAATGTTTCTGTCTAGTTTTTATGGGAAGATATTTCCTTTTTCATCATAGGCCTCAAAGCGCTGCAAATGTCCACTTCCAAATATTACAAAAAGAGTGTTTCAAACCTGCTGTATGAAGGGAAATGTTCAACTGTATGAGTTGAATGCAAACATCACAGAGAAGTTTCTGAGAATGCTTCTGTCTTGATTTTATATGAAGATATTCCCGTTTCCAACGAAACCTTCAAAGCTATTCAAATATCCACTTGCAGATTCTACAAAAAGAGTGTTTCCAAAATGTTGTATCAAAAGAAAGGTTCAACTCTGTTAGTTGAGGACACACATCGCAAATAAGTTTCTGAGAATGCTTCTGTCTAGTTTTTACTTGAAGATATTTCCTTTCTCACCATAGGCCTGAAAGCGTTTGAAATGTCCGTTTGCAGATACTACAGAAAGAGTGTTTCAAACATGCTCTATGAAAGGGAATGTTCAGTTCTGTGACGTGAATGCAAACATCACAAAGAAGTTCCTGAGAATGCTTCTCTCTAGGTTTTATATGTAATCCCGTTTCCAACGAAATCCTCAAAGCTATCCAAATATCCACTTTCAGATTCCACAAAAAGAGTGTTTCAAAACTGCTCTGTAAAAAGAAAGGTTCATCTCTGTTAGTTGAATACACACATCACAAACAAGTTTCTGAGAATGCTTCTGTCTAGTTTTTATGGGAAGATATTTCCTTTTTCATCATAGGCCTCAAAGCGCTGCAAATGTCCACTTCCAGGTAGTGCAGAAAGAGTGTCTCAAACCTGGTATATAACAGGGAACATTCTACTCTGTGACTTGAATGAAAACATCACAAAGCAGTTTCTGAGAATGCTTCCGTCTAGATTTTATATGAAGATATTCCCGTTTCCAAGGAAATCTTCCTAGCTATCTAAATATCAACTTGCAGATTCTACTAAAGGAATGTTTCCAAAATGCTGTATCCACACAAAGGTTCAACTCTGTTAATTGAGGACATACAGCACAAAGAAGTTTCTGAGAATGCTTCTGTCTAGTTTTTATTTGAAGATATTTCCTTTCTCACCATAGGCCTGAAAGCGTTTGAAATGTCCGTTTGCAGATACTACAGAAAGAGTGTTTCAAACATGCTCTATGAAAGGGAATGTTCAGTTCTGTGACGTGAATGCAAACATCACAAAGAAGTTCCTGAGAATGCTTCTCTCTAGGTTTTATATGTAATCCCGTTTCCAACGAAATCCTCAAAGCTATCCAAATATCCACTTTCAGATTCCACAAAAAGAGTGTTTCAAAACTGCTCTGTAAAAAGAAAGGTTCATCTCTGTTAGTTGAATACACACATCACAAACAAGTTTCTGACAATGCTTCTGTCTAGTTTTTATGGGAAGATATTTCCTTTTTCATCATAGGCCTCAAAGCGCTGCAAATGTCCACTTCCAGGTAGTGCAGAAAGAGTGTCTGAAACCTGGTATATAACAGGGAAGATTCTACTCTGTGACTTGAATGAAAACATCACAAAGCAGTTTCTGAGAATGCTTCTGTCTTGATTTCATATGAAGATATTCCCGTTTCCAACGAAACCTTCAAAGCTATCCGAATATCCACCTGCAGATTCTACAAAAAGAGTGTTTCCAAAATGCCGTATCAAAAGAAAGGTTCAACTCTGTTAGTTGAGGACACACATGGCAAATAAGTTTCTGAGAATGCTTCTGTCTAGTTTTTACTTGAAGATATTTCCTTTCTCACCATAGGCCTGAAAGCGCTTGAAACGTCAGCTTGCAGATACTACAGAAAGAGTGTTTCAAACCTGCTCTATGAAAGGGAATGTTCAGTTCTGTGACTTGAATGCAAACATCACAAAGAAGTTCCTGAGAATGCTTCTCTCTAGGTTTTATATGTAATCCCGTTTCCAACGAAATCCTCAAAGCTATCCAAATATCCACTTTCAGATTCCACAAAAAGAGTGTTTCAAAACTGCTCTGTAAAAAGAAAGGTTCATCTCTGTTAGTTGAATACACACATCACAAACAAGTTTCTGAGAATGCTTCTGTCTAGTTTTTATGGGAAGATATTTCCTTTTTCATCATAGGCCTCAAAGCGCTGCAAATGTCCACTTCCAGGTAGTGCAGAAAGAGTGTCTCAAACCTGGTATATAACAGGGAACATTCTACTCTGTGACTTGAATGAAAACATCACAAAGCAGTTTCTGAGAATGCTTCCGTCTAGATTTTATATGAAGATATTCCCGTTTCCAACGAAACCTTCAAAGCTATCCGAATATCCACCTGCAGATTCTACAAAAAGAGTGTTTCCAAAATGCCATATCAAAACAAAGGTTCAACTCTGTTAGTTGAGAACACACATGGCAAATAAGTTTCTGAGAATGCTTCTGTCTAGTTTTTACTTGAAGATATTTCCTTTGTCACCATAGGCCTGAAAGCGCTTGAAACGTCAGCTTGCAGATACTACAGAAAGAGTGTTTCAAACCTGCTCTATGAAAGGGAATGTTCAGTCCTGTGACTTGAAGGCAAACATCACAAAGAAGTTCCTGAGAATGCTTCTCCCTAGATTTTATATGTAATCCCGTTTCCAACGAAATCCGCAAAGCTATCCAAATATCCACTTTCAGATTCCACAAAAAGAGTGTTTCAAAACTGCTCTGTAAAAAGAAAGGTTCATCTCTGTTAGTTGAATACACACATCACAAACAAGTTTCTGAGAATGCTTCTGTCTAGTTTTTATGGGAAGATATTACCTTTTTCATCATAGGCCTCAAAGCGCTGCAAATGTCCACTTCCAAATATTACAAAAAGAGTGTTTCAAACCTGCTGTATGAAGGGAAGTGTTCAACTCTATGAGTTGAATGCAAACATCACAGAGAAGTTTCCTGAGAATGCTTCCGTCTAGATTTTATATGAAGATATTCCCGTTTCCAACGAAACCTTCAAAGCTATCCGAATATCCACCTGCAGATTCTACAAAAAGAGTGTTTCCAAAATGCCGTATCAAAACAAAGGTTCAACTCTGTTAGTTGAGAACACACATGGCAAATAAGTTTCTGAGAATGCTTCTGTCTAGTTTTTACTTGAAGATATTTCCTTTCTCACCATAGGCCTGAAAGCGCTTGAAACGTCAGCTTGCAGATACTACAGAAAGAGTGTTTCAAACCTGCTCTATGAAAGGGAATGTTCAGTCCTGTGACTTGAAGGCAAACATCACAAAGAAGTTCCTGAGAATGCTTCTCTCTAGGTTTTATATGTAATCCCGTTTCCAACGAAATCCTCAAAGCTATCCAAATATCCACTTTCAGATTCCACAAAAAGAGTGTTTCAAAACTGCTCTGTAAAAAGAAAGGTTCATCTCTGTTAGTTGAATACACACATCACAAACAAGTTTCTGAGAATGCTTCTGTCTAGTTTTTATGGGAAGATATTACCTTTTTCATCATAGGCCTCAAAGCGCTGCAAATGTCCACTTCCAAATATTACAAAAAGAGTGTTTCAAACCTGCTGTATGAAGGGAAGTGTTCAACTCTATGAGTTGAATGCAAACATCACAGAGAAGTTTCTGAGAATGCTTGTCTGTCTTGATTTTATATGAAGATATTCCCGTTTCCAACGAAACCTTCAAAGCTATTCAAATATCCACTTGCAGATTCTACAAAAAGAGTGTTTCCAAAATGTTGTATCAAAAGAAAGGTTCAACTCTGTTAGTTGAGGACACACATCGCAAATAAGTTTCTGAGAATGCTTCTGTCTGGTTTTTAGGAGAAGATATTTCCTTTTTCAACATAGGCCTCAAAGCGCTGCAAATGTCCACTTCCAAATACTACAAAAAGAGTGTTTCAAACCTGCTCTATGAAGGGAAGTGTTCAACTCTATGAGTTGAATGCAAACATCACAGAGAAGTTTCTGAGAATGCTTCTGTCTTGATTTTATATGAAGATATTCCCGTTTCCAACGAAACCTTCAAAGCTATCCAAATATCCACTTGCAGATTCTACAAAAAGAGTGTTTCCAAAATGTTGTATCAAAACAAAGGTTCAACTCTGTTAGTTGAGAACACACATCGCAAATAAGTTTCTGAGAATGCTTCTGTCTAGTTTTTACTTGAAGATATTTCCTTTCTCACCATAGGCCTGAAAGCGCTTGAAACGTCCGCTTGCAGATACTACAGAAAGAGTGTTTCAAACATGCTCTATGAAAGGGAATGTTCAGTTCTGTGACTTGAATGCAAACATCACAAAGAAGTTCCTGAGAATGCTTCTCCCTAGATTTTATATGTAATCCCGTTTCCAACGAAATCCGCAAAGCTATCCAAATATCCACTTTCAGATTCCACAAAAAGAGTGTTTCAAAACTGCTCTGTAAAAAGAAAGGTTCATCTCTGTTAGTTGAATACACACATCACAAACAAGTTTCTGAGAATGCTTCTGTCTGGTTTTTAGGAGAAGATATTTCCTTTTTCAACATAGGCCTCAAAGCGCTGCAAATGTCCACTTCCAAATATTACAAAAAGAGTGTTTCAAACCTGCTCTATGAAGGGAAGTGTTCAACTCTATGAGTTGAATGCAAACATCACAGAGAAGTTTCTGAGAATGCTTCTGTCTTGATTTTATATGAAGATATTCCCGTTTCCAACGAAACCTTCAAAGCTATCCAAATATCCACTTGCAGATTCTACAAAAAGAGTGTTTCCAAAATGTTGTATCAAAACAAAGGTTCAACTCTGTTAGTTGAGGACACACATCGCAAATAAGTTTCTGAGAATGCTCTGTCTAGTTTTTACTTGAAGATATTTCCTTTCTCACCATAGGCCTGAAAGCGCTTGAAACGTCAGCTTGCAGATACTACAGAAAGAGTGTTTCAAACCTGCTCTATGAAAGGGAATGTTCAGTTCTGTGACTTGAATGAAAACATCACAAAGAAGTTCCTGAGAATGCTCTCTCCCTAGATTTTATATGTAATCCCGTTTCCAACGAAATCCGCAAATCTATCCAAATATCCACTTTCAGATTCCACAAAAAGAGTGTTTCAAAACTGCTCTGTAAAAAGAAAGGTTCATCTCTGTTAGTTGAATACACACATCACAAACAAGTTTCTGAGAATGCTTCTGTCTAGTTTTTATGGGAAGATATTACCTTTTTCATCATAGGCCTCAAAGCGCTGCAAATGTCCACTTCCAAATATTACAAAAAGAGTGTTTCAAACCTGCTGTATGAAGGGAAGTGTTCAACTCTATGAGTTGAATGCAAACATCACAGAGAAGTTTCTGAGAATGCTTCTGTCTTGATTTTATATGAAGATATTCCCGTTTCCAACGAAACCTTCAAAGCTATCCGAATATCCACCTGCAGATTCTACAAAAAGAGTGTTTCCAAAATGCCATATCAAAACAAAGGTTCAACTCTGTTAGTTGAGAACACACATCTCAAATAAGTTTCTGAGAATGCTTCTGTCTAGTTTTTACTTGAAGATATTTCCTTTCTCACCATAGGCCTGAAAGCGCTTGAAACGTCAGCTTGCAGATACTACAGAAAGAGTGTTTCAAACCTGCTCTATGAAAGGGAATGTTCAGTTCTGTGACTTGAATGCAAACATCACAAAGAAGTTCCTGAGAATGCTTCTCTCTAGATTTTATATGTAATCCCGTTTCCAACGAAATCCTCAAAGCCATCCAAATATCCACTTTCAGATTCCACAAAAAGAGTGTTTCAAAACTGCTCTGTAAAAAGAAAGGTTCATCTCTGTTAGTTGAATACACACATCACAAACAAGTTTCTGAGAATGCTTCTGTCTAGTTTTTATGGGAAGATATTTCCTTTTTCAACATAGGCCTCAAAGCGCTCCAAACGTCCACTTCCGGGTAGTGCAGAAAGAGTGTCTCAAACCTGGTATATAACAGGGAACATTCTACTCTGTGACTTGAATGAAAACATCACAAAGCAGTTTCTGAGAATGCTTCCGTCTAGATTTTATATGAAGATATTCCCGTTTCCAACGAAACCTTCAAAGCTATCCGAATATCCACCTGCAGATTCTACAAAAAGAGTGTTTCCAAAATGCCATATCAAAACAAAGGTTCAACTCTGTTAGTTGAGAACACACATCGCAAATAAGTTTCTGAGAATGCTTCTGTCTAGTTTTTACTTGAAGATATTTCCTTTCTCACCATAGGCCTGAAAGCGCTTGAAACGTCCGCTTGCAGATACTACAGAAAGAGTGTTTCAAACATGCTCTATGAAAGGGAATGTTCAGTTCTGTGACTTGAATGCAAACATCACAAAGAAGTTCCTGAGAATGCTTCTCTCTAGATTTTATATGTAATCCCGTTTCCAACGAAATCCTCAAAGCTATCCAAATATCCACGTTCAGATTCCACAAAAAGAGTGTTTCAAAACTGCTCTGTAAAAAGAAAGGTTCATCTCTGTTAGTTGAATACACACATCACAAACAAGTTTCTGAGAATGCTTCTGTCTAGTTTTTATGGGAAGATATTTCCTTTTTCAACATAGGCCTCAAAGCGCTCCAAATGTCCACTTCCAGGTAGTGCAGAAAGAGTGTTTCAAACCTGCTCTATAAAAGGGAATATTCAACTCTGTGACTTGAATGCAAACATCACAAAGCACTTTCTGAGAATGCTTCCGTCTAGATTTTATATGAAGATATTCCCGTTTCCAACGAAACCTTCAAAGCTATCCGAATATCCACCTGCAGATTCTACAAAAAGAGTGTTTCCAAAATGCCGTATCAAAACAAAGGTTCAACTCTGTTAGTTGAGAACACACATGGCAAATAAGTTTCTGAGAATGCTTCTGTCTAGTTTTTACTTGAAGATATTTCCTTTCTCACCATAGGCCTGAAAGCGCTTGAAACGTCAGCTTGCAGATACTACAGAAAGAGTGTTTCAAACCTGCTCTATGAAAGGGAATGTTCAGTTCTGTGACTTGAATGCAAACATCACAAAGAAGTTCCTGAGAATGCTTCTCTCTAGGTTTTATATGTAATCCCGTTTCCAACGAAATCCTCAAAGCTATCCAAATATCCACTTTCAGATTCCACAAAAAGAGTGTTTCAAAAGTGCTCTGTAAAAAGAAAGGTTCATCTCTGTTAGTTGAATACACACATCACAAACAAGTTTCTGAGAATGCTTCTGTCTAGTTTTTATGGGAAGATATTTCCTTTTTCAACATAGGCCTCAAAGCGCTCCAAATGTCCACTTCCAGGTAGTGCAGAAAGAGTGTTTCAAACCTGCTCTATAAAACGGAATATTCAACTCTGTGACTTGAATGCAAACATCACAAAGCACTTTCTGAGAATGCTTCCGTCTAGATTTTATATGAAGATATTCCCGTTTCCAACGAAACCTTCAAAGCTATCCGAATATCCACCTGCAGATACTACAAAAAGAGTGTTTCCAAAATGCCGTATCAAAACAAAGGTTCAACTCTGTTAGTTGAGAACACACATGGCAAATATGTTTCTGAGAATGCTTCTGTCTAGTTTTTACTTGAAGATATTTCCTTTCTCACCATAGGCCTGAAAGCGCTTGAAACGTCAGCTTGCAGATACTACAGAAAGAGTGTTTCAAACCTGCTCTATGAAAGGGAATGTTCAGTCCTGTGACTTGAAGGCAAACATCAAAAAGAAGTTCCTGAGAATGCTTCTCTCTAGGTTTTATATGTAATCCCGTTTCCAACGAAATCCTCAAAGCTTTCCAAATATCCACTTTCAGATTCCACAAAAAGAGTGTTTCAAAACTGCTCTGTAAAAAGAAAGGTTCATCTCTGTTAGTTGAATACACACATCACAAACAAGTTTCTGAGAATGCTTCTGTCTAGTTTTTATGGGAAGATATTTCCTTTTTCATCATAGGCCTCAAAGCGCTGCAAATGTCCACTTCCAGGTAGTGCAGAAAGAGTGTCTGAAACCTGGTATATAACAGGGAAGATTCTACTCTGTGACTTGAATGAAAACATCACAAAGCAGTTTCTGAGAATGCTTCTGTCTTGATTTCATATGAAGATATTCCCGTTTCCAACGAAACCTTCAAAGCTATCCAAATATCCACTTGCAGATTCTACAAAAAGAGTGTTTCCAAAATGTTGTATCAAAAGAAAGGTTCAACTCTGTTAGTTGAGGACACACATCGCAAATAAGTTTCTGAGAATGCTTCTGTCTAGTTTTTACTTGAAGATATTTCCTTTCTCACCATAGGCCTGAAAGCGTTTGAAATGTCCGTTTGCAGATACTACAGAAAGAGTGTTTCAAACATGCTCTATGAAAGGGAATGTTCAGTTCTGTGACGTGAATGCAAACATCACAAAGAAGTTCCTGAGAATGCTTCTCTCTAGATTTTATATGTAATCCCGTTTCCAACGAAATCCTCAAAGCTATCCAAATATCCACTTTCAGATTCCACAAAAAGAGTGTTTCAAAACTGCTCTGTAAAAAGAAAGGTTCATCTCTGTTAGTTGAATACACACATCACAAACAAGTTTCTGAGAATGCTTCTGTCTAGTTTTTATGGGAATATATTTCCTTTTTCATCATAGGCCTCAAAGCGCTCCAAATGTCCACTTCCAGATAGTGCAGAAAGAGTGTCTCAAACCTGGTATATAAAAGGGAACATTCTACTCTGTGACTTGAATGAAAACATCACAAAGCAGTTTCTGAGAATGCTTCCGTCTAGATTTTATATGAAGATATTCCCGTTTCCAACGAAACCTTCAAAGCTATCCGAATATCCACCTGCAGATTCTACAAAAAGAGTGTTTCCAAAATGCCGTATCAAAACAAAGGTTCAACTCTGTTAGTTGAGAACACACATGGCAAATAAGTTTCTGAGAATGCTTCTGTCTAGTTTTTACTTGAAGATATTTCCTTTCTCACCATAGGCCTGAAAGCGCTTGAAACGTCAGCTTGCAGATACTACAGAAAGAGTGTTTCAAACCTGCTCTATGAAAGGGAATGTTCAGTTCTGTGACTTGAATGCAAACATCACAAAGAAGTTCCTGAGAATGCTTCTATCTAGATTTTATATGAAGATATCCCGTGTCCAACGAAATCCTCAAAGGTATCAAAATATCCACTTGCAGATTCTACAAAAAGAGTGCTTCAAAACTGCTCTGTCAAAATGAATGTTCAACTCTGTTACTTGAGTACACACATCACAAGAAAGATTCTGAGAATGCTTCTGTCTAGTTTTTATGGGAAGATATTTCGTTTTTCAACATAGGCCTCAAAGCGCTCCAAATGTCCACTTCCAGGTAGTGCAGAAAGAGTGTTTCAAACCTGCTCTATAAAAGGGAATATTCAACTCTGTGACTTGAATGCAAACATCACAAAGCACTTTCTGAGAATGCTTCCGTCTAGATTTTATATGAAGATATTCCCGTTTCCAACGAAACCTTCAAAGCTATCCGAATATCCACCTGCAGATTCTACAAAAAGAGTGTTTCCAAAATGCCATATCAAAACAAAGGTTCAACTCTGTTAGTTGAGGACACACATCGCAAATAAGTTTCTGAGAATGCTTCTGTCTAGTTTTTACTTGAAGATATTTCCTTTCTCACCATAGGCCTGAAAGCGCTTGAAACGTCAGCTTGCAGATACTACAGAAAGAGTGTTTCAAACCTGCTCTATGAAAGGGAATGTTGAGTTCTGTGACTTGAATGCAAACATCACAAAGAAGTTCCTGAGAATGCTTCTCCCTAGATTTTATATGTAATCCCGTTTCCAACGAAATCCGCAAAGCTCTCCAAATATCCACTTTCAGATTCCACAAAAAGAGTGTTTCAAAACTGCTCTGTAAAAAGAGAGGTTCATCTCTGTTAGTTGAATACACACATCACAAACAAGTTTCTGAGAATGCTTCTGTCTAGTTTTTATGGGAAGATATTTCCTTTTTCATCATAGGCCTCAAAGCGCTGCAAATGTCCACTTCCAGGTAGTGCAGAAAGAGTGTCTCAAACCTGGTATATAACAGGGAACATTCTACTCTGTGACTTGAATGAAAACATCACAAAGCAGTTTCTGAGAATGCTTCCGTCAAGATTTTATATGAAGATATTCCCGTTTCCAACGAAACCTTCAAAGCTATCCGAATATCCACCTGCAGATTCTACAAAAAGAGTGTTTCCAAAATGCCGTATCAAAACAAAGGTTCAACTCTGTTAGTTGAGAACACACATGGCAAATAAGTTTCTGAGAATGCTTCTGTCTAGTTTTTACTTGAAGATATTTCCTTTCTCACCATAGGCCTGAAAGCGCTTGAAACGTCAGCTTGCAGATACTACAGAAAGAGTGTTTCAAACCTGCTCTATGAAAGGGAATGTTCAGTCCTGTGACTTGAAGGCAAACATCACAAAGAAGTTCCTGAGAATGCTTCTCTCTAGGTTTTATATGTAATCCCGTTTCCAACGAAATCCTCAAAGCTATCCAAATATCCACTTTCAGATTCCACAAAAAGAGTGTTTCAAAACTGCTCTGTAAAAAGAAAGGTTCATCTCTGTTAGTTGAATACACACATCACAAACAAGTTTCTGAGAATGCTTCTGTCTGGTTTTTAGGAGAAGATATTTCCTTTTTCAACATAGGCCTCAAAGCGCTGCAAATGTCCACTTCCAAATATTACAAAAAGAGTGTTTCAAACCTGCTGTATGAAGGGAAGTGTTCAACTCTATGAGTTGAATGCAAACATCACAGAGAAGTTTCTGAGAATGCTTCTGTCTTGATTTCATATGAAGATATTCCCGTTTCCAACGAAACCTTCAAAGCTATCCAAATATCCACTTGCAGATTCTACAAAAAGAGTGTTTCCAAAATGTTGTATCAAAAGAAAGGTTCAACTCTGTTAGTTGAGGACACACATCGCAAATACGTTTCTGAGAATGCTTCTGTCTAGTTTTTATTTGAAGATATTTCCTTTCTCACCATAGGCCTGAAAGCGTTTGAAATGTCCGTTTGCAGATACTACAGAAAGAGTGTTTCAAACATGCTCTATGAAAGGGAATGTTCAGTTCTGTGACGTGAATGCAAACATCACAAAGAAGTTCCTGAGAATGCTTCTCCCTAGATTTTATATGTAATCCCGTTTCCAACGAAATCCGCAAAGCTATCCAAATATCCACTTTCAGATTCCACAAAAAGAGTGTTTCAAAACTGCTCTGTAAAAAGAAAGGTTCATCTCTGTTAGTTGAATACACACATCACAAACAAGTTTCTGAGAATGCTTCTGTCTAGTTTTTATGGGAAGATATTTCCTTTTTCAACATAGGCCTCAAAGCGCTCCAAATGTCCACTTCCAGGTAGTGCAGAAAGAGTGTTTCAAACCTGCTCTATAAAAGGGAACATTCAACTCTGTGACTTGAATGCAAACATCACAAAGCACTTTCTGAGAATGCTTCCGTCTAGATTTTATATGAAGATATTCCCGTTTCCAACGAAACCTTCAAAGCTATCCGAATATCCACCTGCAGATTCTACAAAAAGAGTATTTCCAAAATGCCGTATCAAAACAAAGGTTCAACTCTGTTAGTTGAGAACACACATGGCAAATAAGTTTCTGAGAATGCTTCTGTCTAGTTTTTATTTGAAGATATTTCCTTTTTCACCACAGGCCTGAAAGCGCTTGAAACGTCCGCTTGCAGATACTACAGAAAGAGTGTTTCAAACCTGCTCTATGAAAGGGAATGTTCAGTTGTGTGACTTGAATGCAAACATCACAAAGAAGTTCCTGAGAATGCTTCTCCCTAGATTTTATATGTAATCCCGTTTCCAACGAAATCCTCAAAGCTATCCAAATATCCACTTTCAGATTCCACAAAAAGAGTGTTTCAAAACTGCCCTGTAAAAAGAAAGGTTCATCTCTGTTAGTTGAATACACACATCACAAACAAGTTTCTGAGAATGCTTCTGTCTAGTTTTTATGGGAAGATATTTCCTTTTTCATCATAGGCCTCAAAGCGCTGCAAATGTCCACTTCCAGGTAGTGCAGAAAGAGTGTCTGAAACCTGGTATATAACAGGGAAGATTCTACTCTGTGACTTGAATGAAAACATCACAAAGCAGTTTCTGAGAATGCTTCCGTCTACATTTTATATGAAGATATTCCCGTTTCCAAGGAAATCTTCCTAGCTATCTAATTATCAACTTGCAGATTCTTCCAAAGGAATGTTTCCAAAATGCTGTATCCACACAAAGGTTCAACTCTGTTAATTGAGGACATACAGCACAAAGAAGTTTCTGAGAATGCTTCTGTCTAGTTTTTACTTGAAGATATTTCCTTTCTCACCATAGGCCTGAAAGCGCTTGAAACGTCCGCTTGCAGATACTACAGAAAGAGTGTTTCAACCATGCTCTATGACAGGGAATGTTCAGTTCTGTGACTTGAATGCAAACATCACAAAGAAGTTCCTGAGAATGCTTCTCCCTAGATTTTATATGTAATCCCGTTTCCAACGAAATCCGCAAAGCTATCCAAATATCCACTTTCAGATTCCACAAAAAGAGTGTTTCAAAACTGCTCTGTAAAAAGAAAGGTTCATCTCTGTTAGTTGAATACACACATCACAAACAAGTTTCTGAGAATGCTTCTGTCTAGTTTTTATGGGAAGATATTACCTTTTTCATCATAGGCCTCAAAGCGCTGCAAATGTCCACTTCCAAATATTACAAAAAGAGTGTCTCAAACCTGGTATATAACAGGGAACATTCTACTCTGTGACTTGAATGAAAACATCACAAAGCAGTTTCTGAGAATGCTTCCGTCTAGATTTTATATGAAGATATTCCCGTTTCCAAGGAAATCTTCCTAGCTATCTAAATATCAACTTGCAGATTCTACTAAAGGAATGTTTCCAAAATGCTGTATCCACACAAAGGTTCAACTCTGTTAATTGAGGACATACAGCACAAAGAAGTTTCTGAGAATGCTTCTGTCTAGTTTTTATTTGAAGATATTTCCTTTCTCACCATAGGCCTGAAAGCGTTTGAAATGTCCGTTTGCAGATACTACAGAAAGAGTGTTTCAAACATGCTCTATGAAAGGGAATGTTCAGTTCTGTGACGTGAATGCAAACATCACAAAGAAGTTCCTGAGAATGCTTCTCTCTAGATTTTATATGTAATCCCGTTTCCAACGAAATCCTCAAAGCTATCCAAATATCCACTTTCAGATTCCACAAAAAGAGTGTTTCAAAACTGCTCTGTAAAAAGAAAGGTTCATCTCTGTTTGTTGAATACACACATCACAAACAAGTTTCTGAGAATGCTTCTGTCTAGTTTTTATGGGAAGATATTACCTTTTTCATCATAGGCCTCAAAGCGCTGCAAATGTCCACTTCCAAATATTACAAAAAGAGTGTTTCAAACCTGCTGTATGAAGGGAAGTGTTCAACTCTATGAGTTGAATGCAAACATCACAGAGAAGTTTCTGAGAATGCTTCTGTCTTGATTTCATATGAAGATATTCCCGTTTCCAACGAAACCTTCAAAGCTATCCAAATATCCACTTGCAGATTCTACAAAAAGAGTGTTTCCAAAATGTTGTATCAAAAGAAAGGTTCAACTCTGTTAGTTGAGGACACACATCGCAAATAAGTTTCTGAGAATGCTTCTGTCTAGTTTTTACTTGAAGATATTTCCTTTCTCACCATAGGCCTGAAAGCGTTTGAAATGTCCGTTTGCAGATACTACAGAAAGAGTGTTTCAAACATGCTCTATGAAAGGGAATGTTCAGTTCTGTGACGTGAATGCAAACATCACAAAGAAGTTCCTGAGAATGCTTCTCTCTAGATTTTATATGTAATCCCGTTTCCAACGAAATCCTCAAAGCTATCCAAATATCCACTTTCAGATTCCACAAAAAGAGTGTTTCAAAACTGCTCTGTAAAAAGAAAGGTTCATCTCTGTTAGTTGAATACACACATCACAAACAAGTTTACTGAGAATGCTTTCTGTCTAGTTTTTATGGGAAGATATTTCCTTTTTCAACATAGGCCTCAAAGCGCTCCAAACGTCCACTTCCAGGTAGTGCAGAAAGAGTGTCTCAAACCTCGTATATAACAGGGAACATTCTACTCTGTGACTTGAATGAAAACATCACAAAGCAGTTTCTGAGAATGCTTCTGTCTTGATTTCATATGAAGATATTCCCGTTTCCAACGAAACCTTCAAAGCTATTCAAATATCCACTTGCAGATTCTACAAAAAGAGTGTTTCCAAAATGTTGTATCAAAAGAAAGGTTCAACTCTGTTAGTTGAGGACACACATCGCAAATAAGTTTCTGAGAATGCTTCTGTCTAATTTTTACTTGAAGATATTTCCTTTCTCACCATAGGCCTGAAAGCGTTTGAAATGTCCGTTTGCAGATACTACAGAAAGAGTGTTTCAAACATGCTCTATGAAAGGGAATGTTCAGTTCTGTGACGTGAATGCAAACATCACAAAGAAGTTCCTGAGAATGCTTCTCTCTAGGTTTTATATGTAATCCCGTTTCCAACGAAATCCGCAAAGCTATCCAAATATCCACTTTCAGATTCCACAAAAAGAGTGTTTCAAAACTGCTCTGTAAAAAGAAAGGTTCATCTCTGTTAGTTGAATACACACATCACAAACAAGTTTCTGAGAATGCTTCTGTCTAGTTTTTATGGGAAGATATTTCCTTTTTCATCATAGGCCTCAAAGCGCTGCAAATGTCCACTTCCAGGTAGTGCAGAAAGAGTGTCTCAAACCTGGTATATAACAGGGAACATTCTACTCTGTGACTTGAATGAAAACATCACAAAGCAGTTTCTGAGAATGCTTCCGTCTAGATTTTATATGAAGATATTCCCGTTTCCAACGAAACCTTCAAAGCTATCCGAATATCCACCTGCAGATTCTACAAAAAGAGTGTTTCCAAAATGCCATATCAAAACAAAGGTTCAACTCTGTTAGTTGAGAACACACATCGCAAATAAGTTTCTGAGAATGCTTCTGTCTAGTTTTTATTTGAAGATATTTCCTTTCTCACCACAGGCCTGAAAGCGTTTGAAATGTCCGTTTGCAGATACTACAGAAAGAGTGTTTCAAACATGCTCTATGAAAGGGAATGTTCAGTTCTGTGACGTGAATGCAAACATCACAAAGAAGTTCCTGAGAATGCTTCTCCCTAGATTTTATATGTAATCCCGTTTCCAACGAAATCCGCAAAGCTATCCAAATATCCACTTTCAGATTCCACAAAAAGAGTGTTTCAAAACTGCTCTGTAAAAAGAAAGGTTCATCTCTGTTAGTTGAATACACACATCACAAACAAGTTTCTGAGAATGCTTCTGTCTAGTTTTTATGGGAAGATATTTCCTTTTTCAACATAGGCCTCAAAGCGCTCCAAATGTCCACTTCCAGGTAGTGCAGAAAGAGTGTTTCAAACCTGCTCTATAAAAGGGAATATTCAACTCTGTGACTTGAATGCAAACATCACAAAGCACTTTCTGAGAATGCTTCCGTCTAGATTTTATATGAAGATATTCCCGTTTCCAACGAAACCTTCAAAGCTATCCGAATATCCACCTGCAGATTCTACAAAAAGAGTGTTTCCAAAATGCCGTATCAAAACAAAGGTTCAACTCTGTTAGTTGAGAACACACATGGCAAATAAGTTTCTGAGAATGCTTCTGTCTAGTTTTTACTTGAAGATATTTCCTTTCTCACCATAGGCCTGAAAGCGCTTGAAACGTCAGCTTGCAGATACTACAGAAAGAGTGTTTCAAACCTGCTCTATGAAAGGGAATGTTCAGTCCTGTGACTTGAAGGCAAACATCACAAAGAAGTTCCTGAGAATGCTTCTCTCTAGATTTTATATGTAATCCCGTTTCCAACGAAATCCTCAAAGCTATCCAAATATCCACTTTCAGATTCCACAAAAAGAGTGTTTCAAAACTGCTCTGTAAAAAGAAAGGTTCATCTCTGTTAGTTGAATACACACATCACAAACAAGTTTCTGAGAATGCTTCTGTCTAGTTTTTATGGGAAGATATTTCCTTTTTCATCATAGGCCTCAAAGCGCTGCAAATGTCCACTTCCAGGTAGTGCAGAAAGAGTGTCTCAAACCTGGTATATAACAGGGAACATTCTACTCTGTGACTTGAATGAAATCATCACAAAGCAGTTTCTGAGAATGCTTCTGTCTTGATTTTATATGAAGATATTCCCGTTTCCAACGAAACCTTCAAAGCTATCCAAATATCCACTTGCAGATTCTACAAAAAGAGTGGTTCCAAAATGTTGTATCAAAAGAAAGGTTCAACTCTGTTAGTTGAGGACACACATCACAAATAAGTTTCTGAGAATGCTTCTGTCTAGTTTTTACTTGAAGATATTTCCTTTCTCACCATAGGCCTGAAAGCGCTTGAAACGTCAGCTTGCAGATACTACAGAAAGAGTGTTTCAAACCTGCTCTATGAAAGGGAATGTTCAGTCCTGTGACTTGAAGGCAAACATCACAAAGAAGTTCCTGAGAATGCTTCTGTCTAGATTTTATATGAAGATATCCCGTTTCCAAAGAAATCCTCAAAGGTGTCCAAATATCTACTTCCAGATTCTACAAAAAGACTGTTTCAAAACGGCTCTGTCAAAAGGAAGGTTCAACTCTGTTACTTGAGTACACACATCACAAGGAAGTTTCTGAGAATGCTTCTGTCTAGTTTTTATGGGAAGATATTTCCTTTTTCAACATAGGCCTCAAAGCGCTCCAAACGTCCACTTCCGGGTAGTGCAGAAAGAGTGTCTCAAACCTGGTATATAACAGGGAACATTCTACTCTGTGACTTGAATGAAAACATCACAAAGCAGTTTCTGAGAAT
Source organism: Homo sapiens (assembly GCF_000001405.40). Classification (NCBI taxonomy): domain Eukaryota; kingdom Metazoa; phylum Chordata; class Mammalia; order Primates; family Hominidae; genus Homo; species Homo sapiens. The sequence goes on along the minus strand of NC_000009.12, from coordinate 44,980,107 downwards.
GCTTCTGTCTTGATTTTATATGAAGATATTCCCGTTTCCAACGAAATCTTCAAAGCTATCCAAATATCCACTTGCAGATTCCACAGAAAGAGTGTTTCCAAAATGTTGTATCAAAAGAAAGGTTCAACTCTGTTAGTTGAGGACACACATCGCAAATAAGTTTCTGAGAATGCTTCTGTTTAGTTTTTATTTGAAGATATTTCCTTTCTCACCATAGGCCTGAAAGCGTTTGAAATGTCCGTTTGCAGATACTACAGAAAGAGTGTTTCAAACATGCTCTATGAAAGGGAATGTTCAGCTCTGTGACGTGAATGCAAACATCACAAAGAAGTTCCTGAGAATGCTTCTCTCTAGGTTTTATATGTAATCCCGTTTCCAACGAAATCCTCAAAGCTATCCAAATATCCACTTTCAGATTCCACAAAAAGAGTGTTTCAAAACTGCTCTGTAAAAAGAAAGGTTCATCTCTGTTAGTTGAATACACACATCACAAACAAGTTTCTGAGAATGCTTCTGTCTAGTTTTTATGGGAAGATATTACCTTTTTCATCATAGGCCTCAAAGCGCTGCAAATGTCCACTTCCAAATATTACAAAAAGAGTGTTTCAAACCTGCTGTATGAAGGGAAGTGTTCAACTCTATGAGTTGAATGCAAACATCACAGAGAAGTTTCTGAGAATGCTTCTGTCTTGATTTTATATGAAGATATTCCCGTTTCCAACGAAACCTTCAAAGCTATTCAAATATCCACTTGCTGATTCTACAAAAAGAGTGTTTCCAAAATGTTGTATCAAAAGAAAGGTTCAACTCTGTTAGTTGAGGACACACATCGCAAATAAGTTTCTGAGAATGCTTCTGTCTAGTTTTTACTTGAAGATATTTCCTTTCTCACCATAGGCCTGAAAGCGCTTGAAACGTCAGCTTGCAGATACTACAGAAAGAGTGTTTCAAACCTGCTCTATGAAAGGGAATGTTCAGTTCTGTGACTTGAATGCAAACATCACAAAGAAGTTCCTGAGAATTCTTCTCTCTAGGTTTTATATGTAATCCCGTTTCCAACGAAATCCTCAAAGCTATCCAAATATCCACTTTCAGATTCCACAAAAAGAGTGTTTCAAAACTGCTCTGTAAAAAGAAAGGTTCATCTCTGTTAGTTGAATACACACATCAAAAACAAGTTTCTGAGAATGCTTCTGTCTAGTTTTTATGGGAAGATATTTCCTTTTTCAACATAGGCCTCAAAGCGCTCCAAATGTCCACTTCCAGGTAGTGCAGAAAGAGTGTTTCAAACCTGCTCTATAAAAGGGAATATTCAACTCTGTGACTTGAATGCAAACATCACAAAGCACTTTCTGAGAATGCTTCTGTCTTGATTTCATATGAAGATATTCCCGTTTCCAACGAAACCTTCAAAGCTATCCAAATATCCACTTGCAGATTCTACAAAAAGAGTGTTTCCAAAATGTTGTATCAAAAGAAAGGTTCAACTCTGTTAGTTGAGGACACACATCGCAAATAAGTTTCTGAGAATGCTTCTGTCTAGTTTTTATTTGAAGATATTTCCTTTCTCACCACAGGCCTGAAAGGGCTTAAAACGTCCGCTTGCAGATACTACAGAAAGAGTGTTTCAAACCTGCTCTATGAAAGGGAATGTTCAGTTCTGTGACTTGAATGCAAACATCACAAAGAAGTTCCTGAGAATGCTTCTCCCTAGATTTTATATGTAATCCCGTTTCCAACGAAATCCGCAAAGCTATCCAAATATCCACTTTCAGATTCCACAAAAAGAGTGTTTCAAAACTGCTCTGTAAAAAGAAAGGTTCATCTCTGTTAGTTGAATACACACATCACAAACAAGTTTCTGAGAATGCTTCTGTCTTGTTTTTAGGAGAAGATATTTCCTTTTTCAACATAGGCCTCAAAGCGCTGCAAATGTCCACTTCCAAATATTACAAAAAGAGTGTTTCAAACCTGCTCTATGAAGGGAAGTGTTCAACTCTATGAGTTGAATGCAAACATCACAGAGAAGTTTCTGAGAATGCTTCTGTCTTGATTTCATATGAAGATATTCCCGTTTCCAACGAAACCTTCAAAGCTATCCAAATATCCACTTGCAGATTCTACAAAAAGAGTGTTTCCAAAATGTTGTATCAAAAGAAAGGTTCAACTCTGTTAGTTGAGGACACACATCGCAAATAAGTTTCTGAGAATGCTGCTGTCTAGTTTTTATTTGAAGATATTTCCTTTCTCACCATAGGCCTGAAAGCGTTTGAAATGTCCGTTTGCAGATACTACAGAAAGAGTGTTTCAAACATGCTCTATGAAAGGGAATGTTCAGTTCTGTGACGTGAATGCAAACATCACAAAGAAGTTCCTGAGAATGCTTCTGTCTAGATTTTATATGAAGATATCCCGTGTCCAACGAAATCCTCAAAGGTATCAAAATATCCACTAGTAGATTCTGCAAAAAGAGTGCTTCAAAACTGCTCTGTCAAAATGAAGGTTCAACTCTGTTACTTGAGTACACACATCACAAGAAAGATTCTGAGAATACTTCTGTCTAGTTTTTATGGGAAGATATTTCCTTTTTCAACATAGGCCTCAAAGCGCTCCAAATGTCCACTTCCAGGTAGTGCAGAAAGAGTGTTTCAAACCTGCTCTATAAAAGGGAACATTCAACTCTGTGACTTGAATGCAAACATCACAAAGCACTTTCTGAGAATGCTTCCGTCTTGATTTTATATGAAGATATTCCCGTTTCCAACGAAACCTTCAAAGCTATTCAAATATCCACTTGCAGATTCTACAAAAAGAGTGTTTCCAAAATGTTGTATCAAAAGAAAGGTTCAACTCTGTTAGTTGAGGACACACATCGCAAATAAGTTTCTGAGAATGCTTATCTGTCTAGTTTTTATTTAAAGATATTTCCTTTCTTACCATAGGCCTGAAAGCGCTTGAAATGTCCGTTTGCAGATACTACAGAAAGAGTGTTTCAAACATGCTCTATGAAAGGGAATGTTCAGTTCTGTGACGTGAATGCAAACATCACAAAGAAGTTCCTGAGAATGCTTCTCTCTAGATTTTATATGTAATCCCGTTTCCAACGAAATCCTCAAAGCTATCCAAATATCCACTTTCAGATTCCACAAAAAGAGTGTTTCAAAACTGCTCTGTAAAAACAAAGGTTCATCTCTGTTAGTTGAATACACACATCACAAACAAGTTTCTGAGAATGCTTCTGTCTAGTTTTTATGGGAAGATATTTCCTTTTTCATCATCGGCCTCAAAGCGCTCCAAATGTCCACTTCCAGATAGTGCAGAAAGAGTGTCTCAAACCTGGTATATAAAAGGGAACATTCTACTCTGTGACTTGAATGAAAACATCACAAAGCAGTTTCTGAGAATGCTTCCGTCTAGATTTTATATGAAGATATTCCCGTTTCCAACGAAACCTTCAAAGCTATCCGAATATCCACCTGCAGATTCTACAAAAAGAGTGTTTCCAAAATGCCGTATCAAAACAAAGGTTCAACTCTGTTAGTTGAGAACACACATGGCAAATAAGTTTCTGAGAATGCTTCTGTCTAGTTTTTACTTGAAGATATTTCCTTTCTCACCATAGGCCTGAAAGCGCTTGAAACGTCCGCTTGCAGATACTACAGAAAGAGTGTGTCAAACATGCTCTACGAAAGGGAATGTTCAGTTCTGTGACTTGAATGCAAACATCACAAAGAAGTTCCTGAGAATGCTTCTCTCTAGGTTTTATATGTAATCCCGTTACCAACGAAATCCTCGAAGCTATCCAAATATCCACTTTCAGATTCCACAAAAAGAGTGTTTCAAAACTGCTCTGTAAAAAGAAAGGTTCATCTCTGTTAGTTGAATACACACATCACAAACAAGTTTCTGAGAATGCTTCTGTCTAGTTTTTATGGGAAGATATTTCCTTTTTCAACATAGGCCTCAAAGCGCTCCAAATGTCCACTTCCAGGTAGTGGAGAAAGAGTGTTTCAAACCTGCTCTATAAAAGGGAATACTCAACTCTGTGACTTGAATGCAAACATCACAAAGCACTTTCTGAGAATGCTTCCGTCTAGATTTTATATGAAGATATTCCCGTTTCGAAGGAAATCTTCCTAGCTATCTAAATATCAACTTGCAGATTCTACTAAAGGAATGTTTCCAAAATGCTGTATCCACACAAAGGTTCAACTCTGTTAATTGAGGACATACAGCACAAAGAAGTTTCTGAGAATGCTTCTGTCTAGATTTTATATGAATATATCCCGTGTCTAACGAAATCCTCAAAGGTATCAAAATATCCACTTGCAGATTCTACAAAAAGAGTGCTTCAAAACTGCTCTGTCAAAATGAAGGTTCAACTCTGTTACTTGAGTACACACATCACAAGAAAGATTCTGAGAATGCTTCTCCCTAGATTTTATATGTAATCCCGTTTCCAACGAAATCCGCAAAGCTATCCAAATATCCACTTTCAGATTCCACAAAAAGAGTGTTTCAAAACTGCTCTGTAAAAAGAAAGGTTCATCTCTTGTTAGTTGAATACACACATCACAAACAAGTTTCTGAGAATGCTTCTGTCTAGTTTTTATGGGAAGATATTTCCTTTTTCAACATAGGCCTCAAAGCGCTCCAAATGTCCACTTCCAGGTAGTGCAGAAAGAGTGTTTCAAACCTGCTCTATAAAAGGGAATATTCAACTCTGTGACTTGAATGCAAACATCACAAAGCACTTTCTGAGAATGCTTCTGTCTTGATTTCATATGAAGATATTCCCGTTTCCAACGAAACCTTCAAAGCTATCCAAATATCCACTTGCAGATTCTACAAAAAGAGTGTTTCCAAAATGTTGTATCAAAAGAAAGGTTCAACTCTGTTAGTTGAGGACACACATCGCAAATAAGTTTCTGAGAATGCTTCTGTCTAGTTTTTATTTGAAGATATTTCCTTTCTCACCACAGGCCTGAAAGCGCTTAAAACGTCCGCTTGCAGATACTACAGAAAGAGTGTTTCAAACCTGCTCTATGAAAGGGAATGTTCAGTTCTGTGACTTGAATGCAAACATCACAAAGAAGTTCCTGAGAATGCTTCTCTCTAGATTTTATATGTAATCCCGTTTCCAACGAAATCCTCAAAGCTATCCAAATATCCACTTTCAGATTCCACAAAAAGAGTGTTTCAAAACTGCTCTGTAAAAAGAAAGGTTCATCTCTGTTAGTTGAATACACACATCACAAACAAGTTTCTGAGAATGCTTCTGTCTAGTTTTTATGCGAAGATATTTCCTTTTTCAACATAGGCCTCAAAGCGCTCCAAATGTCCACTTCCAGTTAGTGCAGAAAGAGTGTTTCAAACCGGCTCTATAAAAGGGAATATTCAACTCTGTGACTTGAATGCAAACATCACAAAGCACTTTCTGAGAATGCTTCCGTCTAGATTTTATATGAAGATATTCCCGTTTCCAACGAAACCTTCAATGCTATCCGAATATCCACCTGCAGATTCTACAAAAAGAGTGTTTCCAAAATGCCGTATCAAAACAAAGGTTCAACTCTGTTAGTTGAGAACACACATGGTAAATAAGTTTCTGAGAATGCTTCTGTCTAGTTTTTACTTGAAGATATTTCCTTTCTCACCATAGGCCTGAAAGCGCTTGAAACGTCAGCTTGCAGATACTACAGAAAGAGTGTTTCAAACCTGCTCTATGAAAGGGAATGTTCAGTCCTGTGACTTGAAGGCAAACATCACAAAGAAGTTCCTGAGAATGCTTCTCCCTAGATTTTATATGTAATCCCGTTTCCAACGAAATCCTCAAAGCTATCCAAATATCCACTTTCAGATTCCACAAAAAGAGTGTTTCAAAACTGCTCTGTAAAAAGAAAGGTTCATCTCTGTTAGTTGAATACACACATCACAAACAAGTTTCTGAGAATGCTTCTGTCTAGTTTTTATGGGAAGATATTTCCTTTTTCATCATAGGCCTCAAAGCGCTCCAAATGTCCACTTCCAGGTAGTGCAGAAAGAGTGTCTCAAACCTGGTATATAAAAGGGAACATTCTACTCTGTGACTTCAATGAAAACATCACAAAGCAGTTTCTGAGAATGCTTCCGTCTAGATTTTATATGAAGATATTCCCGTTTCCAACGAAACCTTCAAAGCTATCCGAATATCCACCTGCAGATTCTACAAAAAGAGTGTTTCCAAAATGCCGTATCAAAACAAAGGTTCAACTCTGTTAGTTGAGAACACACATGGCAAATAAGTTTCTGAGAATGCTTCTGTCTAGTTTTTACTTGAAGATATTTCCTTTCTCACGATAGGCCTGAAAGCGCTTGAAACGTCAGCTTGCAGATACTACAGAAAGAGTGTTTCAAACCTGCTCTATGAAAGGGAATGTTCAGTTCTGTGACTTGAATGCAAACATCACAAAGAAGTTCCTGAGAATGCTTCTCTCTAGGTTTTATATGTAATCCCGTTTCCAACGAAATCCTCAAAGCTATCCAAATATCCACTTTCAGATTCCACAAAAAGAGTGTTTCAAAACTGCTCTGTAAAAAGAAAGGTTCATCTCTGTTAGTTGAATACACACATCACAAACAAGTTTCTGAGAATGCTTCTGTCTAGTTTTTATGGGAAGATATTTCCTTCTTCATCATAGGCCTCAAAGCGCTCCAAATGTCCACTTCCAGGTAGTGCAGAAAGAGTGTCTCAAACCTGGTATATAACGGGGAACATTCTACTCTGTGACTTGAATGAAAACATCACAAAGCAGTTTCTGAGAATGCTTCCGTCTAGATTTTATATGAAGATATTCCCGTTTCCAACGAAACCTTCAAAGCTATCCGAATATCCACCTGCAGATTCTACAAAAAGAGTGTTTCCAAAATGCCGTATCAAAACAAAGGTTCAACTCTGTTAGTTGAGAACACACATGGCAAATAAGTTTCTGAGAATGCTTCTGTCTAGTTTTTACTTGAAGATATTTCCTTTCTCACCATAGGCCTGAAAGCGCTTGAAACGTCAGCTTGCAGATACTACAGAAAGAGTGTTTCAAACCTGCTCTATGAAAGGGAATGTTCAGTTCTGTGACTTGAATGCAAACATCACAAAGAAGTTCCTGAGAATGCTTCTCTCTAGATTTTATATGTAATCCCGTTTCCAACGAAATCCTCAAAGCTATCCAAATATCCACTTTCAGATTCCACAAAAAGAGTGTTTCAAAACTGCTCTGTAAAAAGAAAGGTTCATCTCTGTTAGTTGAATACACACATCACAAACAAGTTTCTGAGAATGCTTCTGTCTAGTTTTTATGGGAAGATATTTCCTTTTTCAACATAGGCCTCAAAGCGCTCCAAATGTCCACTTCCAGGTAGTGCAGAAAGAGTGTTTCAAACCTGCTCTATAAAAGGGAATATTCAACTCTGTGACTTGAATGCAAACATCACAAAGCACTTTCTGAGAATGCTTCTGTCTTGATTTTATATGAAGATATTCCCGTTTCCAACGAAACCTTCAAAGCTATCCAAATATCCACTTGCAGATTCTACAAAAAGAGTGTTTCCAAAATGTTGTATCAAAAGAAAGGTTCAACTCTGTTAGTTGAGGACACACATCGCAAATAAGTTTCTGAGAATGCTTCTGTCTAGTTTTTACTTGAAGATATTTCCTTTCGCACCATAGGCCTGAAAGCGCTTGAAACGTCCGCTTGCAGATACTACAGAAAGAGTGTTTCAAACATGCTCTATGAAAGGGAATGTTCAGTTCTGTGACTTGAATGCAAACATCACAAAGAAGTTCCTGAGAATGCTTCTCTCTAGATTTTATATGTAATCCCGTTTCCAACGAAATCCTCAAAGCTATCCAAATATCCACTTTCAGATTCCACAAAAAGAGTGTTTCAAAACTGCTCTGTAAAAAGAAAGGTTCATCTCTGTTAGTTGAATACACACATCACAAACAAGTTTCTGAGAATGCTTCTGTCTAGTTTTTATGGGAAGATATTTCCTTTTTCATCATAGGCCTCAAAGCGCTGCAAATGTCCACTTCCAGGTAGTGCAGAAAGAGTGTCTCAAACCTGGTATATAACAGGGAACATTCTACTGTGTGACTTGAATGAAAACATCACAAAGCAGTTTCTGAGAATGCTTCCGTCTAGATTTTATATGAAGATATTCCCGTTTCCAACGAAACCTTCAAAGCTATCCGAATATCCACCTGCAGATTCTACAAAAAGAGTGTTTCCAAAATGCCATATCAAAACAAAGGTTCAACTCTGTTAGTTGAGAACACACATCGCAAATAAGTTTCTGAGAATGCTTCTGTCTAGTTTTTACTTGAAGATATATCCTTTCTCACCATAGGCCTGAAAGCGCTTGAAACGTCAGCTTGCAGATACTACAGAAAGAGTGTTTCAAACCTGCTCTATGAAAGGGAATGTTCAGTTCTGTGACTTGAATGCAAACATCACAAAGAAGTTCCTGAGAATGCTTCCCTCTAGATTTTATATGTAATCCCGTTTCCAACGAAATCCTCAAAGCTATCCAAATATCCACTTTCAGATTCCACAAAAAGAGTGTTTCAAAACTGCTCTGTAAAAAGAAAGGTTCATCTCTGTTAGTTGAATACACACATCACAAACAAGTTTCTGAGAATGCTTCTGTCTAGTTTTTATGGGAAGATATTTCCTTTTTCATCATAGGCCTCAAAGCGCTGCAAATGTCCACTTCCAGGTAGTGCAGAAAGAGTGTCTGAAACCTGGTATATAACAGGGAAGATTCTACTCTGTGACTTGAATGAAAACATCACAAAGCAGTTTCTGAGAATGCTTCCGTCTAGATTTTATATGAAGATATTCCCGTTTCCAACGAAACCTTCAAAGCTATCCGAATATCCACCTGCAGATTCTACAAAAAGAGTGTTTCCAAAATGCCATATCAAAACAAAGGTTCAACTCTGTTAGTTGAGAACACACATCGCAAATAAGTTTCTGAGAATGCTTCTGTCTAGTTTTTACTTGAAGATATTTCCTTTCTCACCATAGGCCTGAAAGCGCTTGAAACGTCAGCTTGCAGATACTACAGAAAGAGTGTTTCAAACCTGCTCTATGAAAGGGAATGTTCAGTCCTGTGACTTGAAGGCAAACATCACAAAGAAGTTCCTGAGAATGCTTCTCTCTAGGTTTTATATGTAATCCCGTTTCCAACGAAATCCTCAAAGCTATCCAAATATCCACTTTCAGATTCCACAAAAAGAGTGTTTCAAAACTGCTCTGTAAAAAGAAAGGTTCATCTCTGTTAGTTGAATACACACATCACAAACAAGTTTCTGAGAATGCTTCTGTCTAGTTTTTATGGGAAGATATTTCCTTTTTCATCATAGGCCTCAAAGCGCTGCAAATGTCCACTTCCAGGTAGTGCAGAAAGAGTGTCTCAAACCTGGTATATAACAGGGAACATTCTACTCTGTGACTTGAATGAAAACATCACAAAGCAGTTTCTGAGAATGCTTCCGTCTAGATTTTATATGAAGATATTCCCGTTTCCAACGAAACGTTCAAAGCTATCCGAATATCCACCTGCAGATTCTACAAAAAGAGTGTTTCCAAAATGCCATATCAAAACAAAGGTTCAACTCTGTTAGTTGAGAACACACATCGCAAATAAGTTTCTGAGAATGCTTCTGTCTAGTTTTTACTTGAAGATATTTCCTTTCTCACCATAGGCCTGAAAGCGCTTGAAACGTCAGCTTGCAGATACTACAGAAAGAGTGTTTCAAACCTGCTCTATGAAAGGGAATGTTCAGTTCTGTGACTTGAATGCAAACATCACAAAGAAGTTCCTGAGAATGCTTCTCTCTAGGTTTTATATGTAATCCCGTTTCCAACAAAATCCTCAAAGCCATCCAAATATCCACTTTCAGAATCCACAAAAAGAGTGTTTCAAAACTGCTCTGTAAAAAGAAAGGTTCATCTCTGTTAGTTGAATACACACATCACAAACAAATTTCTGAGAATGCTTCTGTCTAGTTTTTATGGGAAGATATTTCCTTTTTCAACATAGGCCTCAAAGCGCTCCAAATGTCCACTTCCAGGTAGTGCAGAAAGAGTGTTTCAAACCTGCTCTATAAAAGGGAATATTCAACTCTGTGACTTGAATGCAAACATCACAAAGCACTTTCTGAGAATGCTTCCGTCTAGATTTTATATGAAGATATTCCCGTTTCCAACGAAATCTTCAAACCTATCCGAATATCCACCTGCAGATTCTACAAAAAGAGTGTTTCCAAAATGCCATATCAAAACAAAGGTTCAACTCTGTTAGTTGAAAACACACATGGCAAATAAGTTTCTGAGAATGCTTCTGTCTAGTTTTTACTTGAAGATATTTCCTTTCTCACCATAGGCCTGAAAGCGCTTGAAACGTCAGCTTGCAGATACTACAGAAAGACTGTTTCAAACCTGCTCTATGAAAGGGAATGTTCAGTTCTGTGACTTGAATGCAAACATCACAAAGAAGTTCCTGAGAATGCTTCTCTCTAGGTTTTATATGTAATCCCGTTTCCAACGAAATCCTCAAAGCTATCCAAATATCCACTTTCAGATTCCACAAAAAGAGTGTTTCAAAACTGCTCTGTAAAAAGAAAGGTTCATCTCTGTTAGTTGAATACACACATCACAAACAAGTTTCTGAGAATGCTTCTGTCTAGTTTTTATGGGAAGATATTTCCTTTTTCATCATAGGCCTCAAAGCGCTGCAAATGTCCACTTCCAGGTAGTGCAGAAAGAGTGTCTCAAACCTGGTATATAACAGGGAACATTCTACTCTGTGACTTGAATGAAAACATCACAAAGCAGTTTCTGAGAATGCTTCCGTCTAGATTTTATATGAAGATATTCCCGTTTCCAACGAAACCTTCAAAGCTATCCGAATATCCACCTGCAGATTCTACAAAAAGAGTGTTTCCAAAATGCCATATCAAAACAAAGGTTCAACTCTGTTAGTTGAGAACACACATCGCAAATAAGTTTCTGAGAATGCTTCTGTCTAGTTTTTATTTGAAGATATTTCCTTTCTCACCATAGGCCTGAAAGCGTTTGAAATGTCCGTTTGTAGATACTACAGAAAGAGTGTTTCAAACATGCTCTATGAAAGGGAATGTTCAGTTCTGTGACGTGAATGCAAACATCACAAAGAAGTTCCTGAGAATGCTTCTCTCTAGGTTTTATATGTAATCCCGTTTCCAACGAAATCCTCAAAGCTATCCAAATATCCACTTTCAGATTCCACAAAAAGAGTGTTTCAAAACTGCTCTGTAAAAAGAAAGGTTCATCTCTGTTAGTTGAATACACACATCACAAACAAGTTTCTGAGAATGCTTCTGTCTAGTTTTTATGGGAAGATATTTCCTTTTTCAACATAGGCCTCAAAGCGCTCCAAACGTCCACTTCCGGGTAGTGCAGAAAGAGTGTCTCAAACCTGGTATATAACAGGGAACATTCTACTCTGTGACTTGAATGAAAACATCACAAAGCAGTTTCTGAGAATGCTTCCGTCTAGATTTTATATGAAGATATTCCCGTTTCCAACGAAACCTTCAAAGCTATCCGAATATCCACCTGCAGATTCTACAAAAAGAGTGTTTCCAAAATGCCATATCAAAACAAAGGTTCAACTCTGTTAGTTGAGAACACACATGGCAAATAAGTTTCTGAGAATGCTTCTGTCTAGTTTTTATTTGAAGATATTTCCTTTCTCACCACAGGCCTGAAAGCGCTTAAAACGTCCGCTTGCAGATACTACAGAAAGAGTGTTTCAAACATGCTCTATGAAAGGGAATGTTCAGTTCTGTGACTTGAATGCAAACATCACAAAGAAGTTCCTGAGAATGCTTCTCTCTAGGTTTTATATGTAATCCCGTTTCCAACGAAATCCTCAAAGCCATCCAAATATCTACTTTCAGACTCCACAAAAAGAGTGTTTCAAAACTGCTCTGTAAAAAGAAAGGTTCATCTCTGTTAGTTGAATACACACATCACAAACAAGTTTCTGAGAATGCTTCTGTCTAGTTTTTATGGGAAGATATTACCTTTTTCATCATAGGCCTCAAAGCGCTGCAAATGTCCACTTCCAAATATTACAAAAAGAGTGTTTCAAACCTGCTGTATGAAGGGAAGTGTTCAACTCTATGAGTTGAATGCAAACATCACAGAGAAGTTTCTGAGAATGCTTCTGTCTTGATTTTATATGAAGATATTCCCGTTTCCAACGAAACCTTCAAAGCTATCCAAATATCCACTTGCAGATTCTACAAAAAGAGTGGTTACAAAATGTTGTATCAAAAGAAAGGTTCAACTCTGTTAGTTGAGGACACACATCGCAAATAAGTTTCTGAGAATGCTTCTGTCTAGTTTTTATTTGAAGATATTTCCTTTCTCACCACAGGCCTGAAAGCGCTTAAAACGTCCGCTTGCAGATACTACAGAAAGAGTGTTTCAAACATGCTCTATGAAAGGGAATGTTCAGTTCTGTGACTTGAATGCAAACATCACAAAGAAGTTCCTGAGAATGCTTCTCTCTAGATTTTATATGTAATCCCGTTTCCAACGAAATCCTCAAAGCTATCCAAATATCCACTTTCAGATTCCACAAAAAGAGTGTTTCAAAACTGCTCTGTAAAAAGAAAGGTTCATCTCTGTTAGTTGAATACACACATCAGAAACAAGTTTCTGAGAATGCTTCTGTCTAGTTTTTATGGGAAGATATTTCCTTTTTCATCATAGGCCTCAAAGCGCTGCAAATGTCCACTTCCAGGTAGTGCAGAAAGAGTGTCTCAAACCTGGTATATAACAGGGAACATTCTACTCTGTGACTTGAATGAAAACATCACAAAGCAGTTTCTGAGAATGCTTCCGTCAAGATTTTATATGAAGATATTCCCGTTTCCAACGAAACCTTCAAAGCTATCCGAATATCCACCTGCAGATTCTACAAAAAGAGTGTTTCCAAAATGCCATATCAAAACAAAGGTTCAACTCTGTTAGTTGAGAACACACATCGCAAATAAGTTTCTGAGAATGCTTCTGTCTAGTTTTTATTTGAAGATATTTCCTTTCTCACCACAGGCCTGAAAGCGCTTAAAACGTCCGCTTGCAGATACTACAGAAAGAGTGTTTCAAACCTGCTCTATGAAAGGGAATGTTCAGTTCTGTGACTTGAATGCAAACATCACAAAGAAGTTCCTGAGAATGCTTCTCTCTAGATTTTATATGTAATCCCGTTTCCAACGAAATCCTCAAAGCTATCCAAATATCCACTTTCAGATTCCACAAAAAGAGTGTTTCAAAACTGCTCTGTAAAAAGAAAGGTTCATCTCTGTTAGTTGAATACACACATCACAAACAAGTTTCTGAGAATGCTTCTGTCTGGTTTTTAGGAGAAGATATTTCCTTTTTCAACATAGGCCTCAAAGCGCTGCAAATGTCCACTTCCAAATATTACAAAAAGAGTGTTTCAAACCTGCTCTATGAAGGGAAGTGTTCAACTCTATGAGTTGAATGCAAACATCACAGAGAAGTTTCTGAGAATGCTCCGTCAAGATTTTATATGAAGATATTCCCGTTTCCAACGAAACCTTCAAAGCTATCCGAATATCCACCTGCAGATTCTACAAAAAGAGTGTTTCCAAAATGCCATATCAAAACAAAGGTTCAACTCTGTTAGTTGAGAACACACATCGCAAATAAGTTTCTGAGAATGCTTTCTGTCTAGTTTTTATTTGAAGATATTTCCTTTCTTACCATAGGCCTGAAAGCGCTTGAAATGTCCGTTTGCAGATACTACAGAAAGAGTGTTTCAAACATGCACTATGAAAGGGAATGTTCAGTTCTGTGGCGTGAATGCAAACATCACAAAGAAGTTCCTGAGAATGCTTCTCTCTAGGTTTTATATGTAATCCCGTTTCCAACGAAATCCTCAAAGCTATCCAAATATCCACTTTCAGATTCCACAAAAAGAGTGTTTCAAAACTGCTCTGTAAAAAGAAAGGTTCATCTCTGTTAGTTGAATACACACATCACAAACAAGTTTCTGAGAATGCTTCTGTCTAGTTTTTATGGGAAGATATTTCCTTTTTCATCATAGGCCTCAAAGCGCTCCAAATGTCCACTTCCAGATAGTGCAGAAAGAGTGTCTCAAACCTGGTATATAAAAGGGAACATTCTCCTCTGTGACTTGAATGAAAACATCACAAAGCAGTTTCTGAGAATGCTTCCGTCTAGATTTTATATGAAGATATTCCCGTTTCCAACGAAACCTTCAAAGCTATCCGAATATCCACCTGCAGATTCTACAAAAAGAGTGTTTCCAAAATGCCGTATCAAAACAAAGGTTCAACTCTGTTAGTTGAGAACACACATGGCAAATAAGTTTCTGAGAATGCTTCTGTCTAGTTTTTATTTGAAGATATTTCCTTTCTCACCACAGGCCTGAAAGCGCTTAAAACGTCCGCTTGCAGATACTACAGAAAGAGTGTTTCAAACCTGCTCTATGAAAGGGAATGTTCAGTTCTGTGACTTGAATGCAAACATCACAAAGAAGTTCCTGAGAATGCTTCTCTCTAGATTTTATATGTAATCCCGTTTCCAACGAAATCCTCAAAGCTATCCAAATATCCACTTTCAGATTCCACAAAAAGAGTGTTTCAAAACTGCTCTGTAAAAAGAAAGGTTCATCTCTGTTAGTTGAATACACACATCACAAACAAGTTTCTGAGAATGCTTCTGTCTAGTTTTTATGGGAAGATATTTCGTTTTTCAACATAGGCCTCAAAGCGCTCCAAATGTCCACTTCCAGGTAGTGCAGAAAGAGTGTTTCAAACCTGCTCTATAAAAGGGAATATTCAACTCTGTGACTTGAATGCAAACATCACAAAGCACTTTCTGAGAATGCTTCCGTCTAGATTTTATATGAAGATATTCCCGTTTCCAACGAAACCTTCAAAGCTATCCGAATATCCACCTGCAGATTCTACAAAAAGAGTGTTTCCAAAATGCCGTATCAAAACAAAGGTTCAACTCTGTTAGTTGAGAACACACATGGCAAATAAGTTTCTGAGAATGCTTCTGTCTAGTTTTTATTTGAAGATATTTCCTTTCTCACCATAGGCCTGAAAGCGTTTGAAATGTCCGTTTGTAGATACTACAGAAAGAGTGTTTCAAACATGCTCTATGAAAGGGAATGTTCAGTTCTGTGACGTGAATGCAAACATCACAAAGAAGTTCCTGAGAATGCTTCTCCCTAGATTTTATATGTAATCCCGTTTCCAACGAAATCCGCAAAGCTATCCAAATATCCACTTTCAGATTCCACAAAAAGAGTGTTTCAAAACTGCTCTGTAAAAAGAAAGGTTCATCTCTGTTAGTTGAATACACACATCACAAACAAGTTTCTGAGAATGCTTCTGTCTAGTTTTTATGGGAAGATATTTCGTTTTTCAACATAGGCCTCAAAGCGCTCCAAATGTCCACTTCCAGGTAGTGCAGAAAGAGTGTTTCAAACCTGCTCTATAAAAGGGAATATTCAACTCTGTGACTTGAATGCAAACATCACAAAGCACTTTCTGAGAATGCTTCTGTCTTGATTTTATATGAAGATATTCCCGTTTCCAACGAAACCTTCAAAGCTATCCAAATATCCACCTGCAGATCCTACAAAAAGAGTGTTTCCAAAATGCTGTATCAAAACAAAGGTTCAACTCTGTTAGTTGAGAACACACATCGCAAATAAGTTTCTGAGAATGCTTCTGTCTAGTTTTTACTTGAAGATATTTCCTTTCTCACCATAGGCCTGAAAGCGCTTGAAACGTCAGCTTGCAGATACTACAGAAAGAGTGTTTCAAACCTGCTCTATGAAAGGGAATGTTCAGTCCTGTGACTTGAAGGCAAACATCACAAAGAAGTTCCTGAGAATGCTTCTGTCTAGATTTTATATGAAGATATCCCGTGTCTAACGAAATCCTCAAAGGTATCAAAATATCCACTTGCAGATTCTACAAAAAGAGTGCTTCAAAACTGCTCTGTCAAAATGAAGGTTCACCTCTGTTACTTGAGTACACACATCACAAGAAAGATTCTGAGAATGCTTCTGTCTAGTTTTTGTGGGAAGATATTTCCTTTTTCATCATAGGCCTCAAAGCGCTGCAAATGTCCACTTCCAAATATTACAAAAAGAGTGTTTCAAACCTGCTGTATGAAGGGAAGTGTTCAACTCTATGAGTTGAATGCAAACATCACAGAGAAGTTTCTGAGAATGCTTCTGTCTTGATTTTATATGAAGATATTCCCGTTTCCAACGAAACCTTCAAAGCTATTCAAATATCCACTTGCAGATTCTACAAAAAGAGTGTTTCCAAAATGTTGTATCAAAAGAAAGGTTCAACTCTGTTAGTTGAGGACACACATCGCAAATAAGTTTCTGAGAATGCTTCTGTCTAGTTTTTATTTGAAGATATTTCCTTTCTCACCACAGGCCTGAAAGCGCTTAAAACGTCCGCTTGCAGATACTACAGAAAGAGTGTTTCAAACATGCTCTATGAAAGGGAATGTTCAGTTCTGTGACTTGAATGCAAACATCACAAAGAAGTTCCTGAGAATGCTTCTCTCTAGATTTTATATGTAATCCCGTTTCCAACGAAATCCTCAAAGCTATCCAAATATCCACTTTCAGATTCCACAAAAAGAGTGTTTCAAAACTGCTCTGTAAAAAGAAAGGTTCATCTCTGTTAGTTGAATACACACATCACAAACAAGTTTCTGAGAATGCTTCTGTCTAGTTTTTATGGGAAGATATTTCCTTTTTCATCATAGGCCTCAAAGCGCTCCAAATGTCCACTTCCAGATAGTGCAGAAAGAGTGTCTCAAACCTGGTATATAAAAGGGAACATTCTACTCTGTGACTTGAATGAAAACATCACAAAGCAGTTTCTGAGAATGCTTCTGTCTTGATTTTATATGAAGATATTCCCGTTTCCAACGAAACCTTCAAAGCTATCCAAATCTCCACTTGCAGATTCTACTAAAAGAGTGTTTCCAAAATGTTGTATCAAAACAAAGGTTCAACTCTGTTAGTTGAGGACACACATCGCAAATAAGTTTCTGAGAATGCTTCTGTCGAGTTTTTATTTGAAGATATTTCCTTTCTTACCATAGGCCTGAAAGCGCTTGAAATGTCCGTTTGCAGATACTACAGAAAGAGTGTTTCAAACATGCTCTATGAAAGGGAATGTTCAGTTCTGTGACGTGAATGCAAACATCACAAAGAAGTTCCTGAGAATGCTTCTCCCTAGATTTTATATGTAATCCCGTTTCCAACGAAATCCGCAAAGCTATCCAAATATCCACTTTCAGATTCCACAAAAAGAGTGTTTCAAAACTGCTCTGTAAAAAGAAAGGTTCATCTCTGTTAGTTGAATACACACATCACAAACAAGTTTCTGAGAATGCTTCTGTCTAGTTTTTATGGGAAGATATTTCCTTTTTCAACATAGGCCTCAAAGCGCTCCAAATGTCCACTTCCAGGTAGTGCAGAAAGAGTGTTTCAAACCTGCTCTATAAAAGGGAATATTCAACTCTGTGACTTGAATGCAAACATCACAAAGCACTTTCTGAGAATGCTTCTGTCTTGATTTCATATGAAGATATTCCCGTTTCCAACGAAACCTTCAAAGCTATCCAAATATCCACTTGCAGATTCTACAAAAAGAGTGTTTCCAAAATGTTGTATCAAAAGAAAGGTTCAACTCTGTTAGTTGAGGACACACATCGCAAATAAGTTTCTGAGAATGCTTCTGTCTAGTTTTTATTTGAAGATATTTCCTTTCTCACCACAGGCCTGAAAGCGCTTAAAACGTCCGCTTGCAGATACTACAGAAAGAGTGTTTCAAACCTGCTCTATGAAAGGGAATGTTCAGTTCTGTGACTTGAATGCAAACATCACAAAGAAGTTCCTGAGAATGCTTCTCTCTAGGTTTTATATGTAATCCCGTTTCCAACGAAATCCTCAAAGCTATCCAAATATCCACTTTCAGATTCCACAAAAAGAGTGTTTCAAAACTGCTCTGTAAAAAGAAAGGTTCATCTCTGTTAGTTGAATACACACATCACAAACAAGTTTCTGAGAATGCTTCTGTCTAGTTTTTATGGGAAGATATTTCCTTTTTCAACATAGGCCTCAAAGCGCTCCAAACGTCCACTTCCGGGTAGTGCAGAAAGAGTGTCTCAAACCTGGTATATAACAGGGAACATTCTACTCTGTGACTTGAATGAAAACATCACAAAGCAGTTTCTGAGAATGCTTCTCTGTTGATTTTATATGAAGATATTCCCGTTTCCAACGAAACCTTCAAAGCTATCCAAATATCCACCTGCAGATCCTACAAAAAGAGTGTTTCCAAAATGCTGTATCAAAACAAAGGTTCAACTCTGTTAGTTGAGAACACACATCGCAAATAAGTTTCTGAGAATGCTTCTGTCTAGTTTTTACTTGAAGATATTTCCTTTCTCACCATAGGCCTGAAAGCGCTTGAAACGTCAGCTTGCAGATACTACAGAAAGAGTGTTTCAAACCTGCTCTATGAAAGGGAATGTTCAGTCCTGTGACTTGAAGGCAAACATCACAAAGAAGTTCCTGAGAATGCTTCTCCCTAGATTTTATATGTAATCCCGTTTCCAACGAAATCCGCAAAGCTATCCAAATATCCACTTTCAGATTCCACAAAAAGAGTGTTTCAAAACTGCTCTGTAAAAAGAAAGGTTCATCTCTGTTAGTTGAATACACACATCACAAACAAGTTTCTGAGAATGCTTCTGTCTAGTTTTTATGGAAAGATATTTCCTTTTTCAACATAGGCCTCAAAGCGCTCCAAACGTCCACTTCCAGGTAGTGCAGAAAGAGTGTCTCAAACCTGGTATATAACAGGGAACATTCTACTCTGTGACTTGAATGAAAACATCACAAAGCAGTTTATGAGAATGCTTCCGTCTAGATTTTATATGAAGATATTCCCGTTTCCAACGAAACCTTCAAAGCTATCCGAATATCCACCTGCAGATTCTACAAAAAGAGTGTTTCCAAAATGCCGTATCAAAACAAAGGTTCAACTCTGTTAGTTGAGAACACACATGGCAAATAAGTTTCTGAGAATGCTTCTGTCTAGTTTTTACTTGAAGATATTTCCTTTCTCACCATAGGCATGAAAGCGCTTGAAACGTCAGCTTGCAGATACTACAGAAAGAGTGTTTCAACCCTGCTCTATGAAAGGGAATGTTCAGTTCTGTGACTTGAATGCAAATATCACAAAGAAGTTCCTGAGAATGCTTCTCTCTAGGTTTTATATGTAATCCCGTTTCCAACGAAATCCTCAAAGCTATCCAAATATCCACTTTCAGATTCCACAAAAAGAGTGTTTCAAAACTGCTCTGTAAAAAGAAAGGTTCATCTCTGTTAGTTGAATACACACATCACAAACAAGTTTCTGAGAATGCTTCTGTCTAGTTTTTATGGGAAGATATTTCCTTTTTCAACATAGGCCTCAAAGCGCTCCAAACGTCCACTTCCAGGTAGTGCAGAAAGAGTGTCTCAAACCTGGTGTATAACAGGGAACATTCTACTCTGTGACTTGAATGAAAACATCACAAAGCAGTTTCTGAGAATGCTTCCGTCTAGATTTTATATGAAGATATTCCCGTTTCCAACGAAACCTTCAAAGCTATCCGAATATCCACCTGCAGATTCTACAAAAAGAGTGTTTCCAAAATGCCATATCAAAACAAAGGTTCAACTCTGTTAGTTGAGAACACACATCGCAAATAAGTTTCTGAGAATGCTTCTGTCTAGTTTTTACTTGAAGATATTTCCTTTCTCACCATAGGCCTGAAAGCGCTTGAAACGTCAGCTTGCAGATACTACAGAAAGAGTGTTTCAAACCTGCTCTATGAAAGGGAATGTTCAGTTCTGTGACTTGAATGCAAACATCACAAAGAAGTTCCTGAGAATGCTTCTCCCTAGATTTTATATGTAATCCCGTTTCCAACGAAATCCGCAAAGCTATCCAAATATCCACTTTCAGATTCCACAAAAAGAGTGTTTCAAAACTGCTCTGTAAAAAGCAAAGGTTCATCTCTGTTAGTTGAATACACACATCACAAACAAGTTTCTGAGAATGCTTCTGTCTAGTTTTTATGGGAAGATATTTCCTTTTTCAACATAGGCCTCAAAGCGCTCCAAATGTCCACTTCCAGGTAGTGCAGAAAGAGTGTTTCAAACCTGCTCTATAAAAGGGAATATTCAACTCTGTGACTTGAATGCAAACATCACAAAGCAGTTTCTGAGAATGCTTCCGTCTAGATTTTATATGAAGATATTCCCGTTTCCAAGGAAATCTTCCTAGCTATCTAAATATCAACTTGCAGATTCTACTAAAGGAATGTTTCCAAAATGCTGTATCCACACAAAGGTTCAACTCTGTTAATTGAGGACATACAGCACAAAGAAGTTTCTGAGAATGCTTCTGTCTAGTTTTTATTTGAAGATATTTCCTTTCTCACCACAGGCCTGAAAGCGCTTAAAACGTCCGCTTGCAGATACTACAGAAAGAGTGTTTCAAACCTGCTCTATGAAAGGGAATGTTCAGTTCTGTGACTTGAATGCAAACATCACAAAGAAGTTCCTGAGAATGCTTCTCCCTAGATTTTATATGTAATCCCGTTTCCAACGAAATCCACAAAGCTATCCAAATATCCACTTTCAGATTCCACAAAAAGAGTGTTTCAAAACTGCTCTGTAAAAAGAAAGGTTCATCTCTGTTAGTTGAATACACACATCACAAACAAGTTTCTGAGAATGCTTCTGTCTAGTTTTTATGGGAAGATATTACCTTTTTCATCATAGGCCTCAAAGCGCTGCAAATGTCCACTTCCAAATATTACAAAAAGAGTGTTTCAAACCTGCTGTATGAAGGGAAGTGTTCAACTCTATGAGTTGAATGCAAACATCAAAGAGAAGTTTCTGAGAATGCTTCTGTCTTGATTTTATATGAAGATATTCCCGTTTCCAACGAAACCTTCAAAGCTATTCAAATATCCACTTGCAGATTCTACAAAAAGAGTGTTTCCAAAATGTTGTATCAAAAGAAAGGTTCAACTCTGTTAGTTGAGGACACACATCGCAAATAAGTTTCTGAGAATGCTTCTGTCTAGTTTTTATTTGAAGATATTTCCTTTCTCACCATAGGCCTGAAAGCGTTTGAAATGTCCGTTTGCAGATACTACAGAAAGAGTGTTTCAAACATGCTCTATGAAAGGGAATGTTCAGTTCTGTGACGTGAATGCAAACATCACAAAGAAGTTCCTGAGAATGCTTCTCCCTAGATTTTATATGTAATCCCGTTTCCAACGAAATCCGCAAAGCTATCCAAATATCCACTTTCAGATTCCACAAAAAGAGTGTTTCAAAACTGCTCTGTAAAAAGAAAGGTTCATCTCTGTTAGTTGAATACACACATCACAAACAAGTTTCTGAGAATGCTTCTGTCTAGTTTTTATGGGAAGATATTTCCTTTTTCAACATAGGCCTCAAAGCGCTCCAAACGTCCACTTCCAGGTAGTGCAGAAAGAGTGTCTCAAACCTGGTATATAACAGGGAACATTCTACTCTGTGACTTGAATGAAAACATCACAAAGCAGTTTCTGAGAATGCTTCCGTCTAGATTTTATATGAAGATATTCCCGTTTCCAACGAAACCTTCAAAGCTATCCGAATATCCACCTGCAGATTCTACAAAAAGAGTGTTTCCAAAATGCCATATCAAAACAAAGGTTCAACTCTGTTAGTTGAGAACACACATCGCAAATAAGTTTCTGAGAATGCTTCTGTCTAGTTTTTATTTGAAGATATTTCCTTTCTCACCACAGGCCTGAAAGCGCTTAAAACGTCCGCTTGCAGATACTACAGAAAGAGTGTTTCAAACCTGCTCTATGAAAGGGAATGTTCAGTTCTGTGACTTGAATGCAAACATCACAAAGAAGTTCCTGAGAATGCTTCTCCCTAGATTTTATATGTAATCCCGTTTCCAACGAAATCCGCAAAGCTATCCAAATATCCACTTTCAGATTCCACAAAAAGAGTGTTTCAAAACTGCTCTGTAAAAAGAAAGGTTCATCTCTGTTAGTTGAATACACACATCACAAACAAGTTTCTGAGAATGCTTCTGTCTAGTTTTTATGGGAAGATATTTCCTTTTTCAACATAGACCTCAAAGCGCTCCAAATGTCCACTTCCAGGTAGTGCACAGAGTGTTTCAAACCGGCTCTATGAAAGGAGGTGTTCAACTCTATGAGTTGAATGCAAACATCACAGAGAAGTTTCTGAGAATGCTTCCGTCTAGATTTTATATGAAGATATTCCCGTTTCCAACGAAACCTTCAAAGCTATCCGAATATCCACCTGCAGATTCTACAAAAAGAGTGTTTCCAAAATGCCATATCAAAACAAAGGTTCTACCCTGTTAGTTGAGAACACACATCGCAAATAAGTTTCTGAGAATGCTTCTGTCTAGTTTTTACTTGAAGATATTTCCTTTCTCACCATAGGCCTGAAAGCGCTTGAAACGTCAGCTTGCAGATACTACAGAAAGAGTGTTTCAAACCTGCTCTATGAAAGGGAATGTTCAGTTCTGTGACTTGAATGCAAACATCACAAAGAAGTTCCTGAGAATGCTTCTCTCTAGGTTTTATATGTAATCCCGTTTCCAACGAAATCCTCAAAGCTATCCAAATATCCACTTTCAGATTCCACAAAAAGAGTGTTTCAAAACTGCTCTGTAAAAAGAAAGGTTCATCTCTGTTAGTTGAATACACACATCACAAACAAGTTTCTGAGAATGCTTCTGTCTAGTTTTTATGGGAAGATATTTCCTTTTTCATCATAGGCCTCAAAGCGCTCCAAATGTCCACTTCCAGGTAGTGCAGAAAGAGTGTCTCAAACCTGGTATATAACAGGGAACATTCTACTCTGTGACTTGAATGAAAACATCACAAAGCAGTTTATGAGAATGCTTCTGTCTTGATTTTATATGAAGATATTCCCGTTTCCAACGAAACCTTCAAAGCTATTCAAATATCCACTTGCAGATTCTACAAAAAGAGTGTTTCCAAAATGTTGTATCAAAAGAAAGTTTCAACTCTGTTAGTTGAGGACACACATGGCAAATAAGTTTCTGAGAATGCTTCTGTCTAGTTTTTACTTGAAGATATTTCCTTTCTCACCATAGGCCTGAAAGCGCTTGAAACGTCAGCTTGCAGATACTACAGAAAGAGTGTTTCAAACCTGCTCTATGAAAGGGAATGTTCAGTCCTGTGACTTGAAGGCAAACATCACAAAGAAGTTCCTGAGAATGCTTCTCCCTAGATTTTATATGTAATCCCGTTTCCAACGAAATCCGCAAAGCTCTCCAAATATCCACTTTCAGATTCCACAAAAAGAGTGTTTCAAAACTGCTCTGTAAAAAGAGAGGTTCATCTCTGTTAGTTGAATACACACATCACAAACAAGTTTCTGAGAATGCTTCTGTCTAGTTTTTATGGGAAGATATTTCCTTTTTCAACATAGGCCTCACAGCGCTCCAAATGTCCACTTCCAGGTAGTGCAGAAAGAGTGTTTCAAACCTGCTCTATAAAAGGGAATATTCAACTCTGTGACTTGAATGCAAACATCACAAAGCACTTTCTGAGAATGCTTCCGTCTAGATTTTATATGAAGATATTCCCGTTTCCAAGGAAATCTTCCTAGCTATCTAAATATCAACTTGCAGATTCTACTAAAGGAATGTTTCCAAAATGCTGTATCCACACAAAGGTTCAACTCTGTTAATTGAGGACATACAGCACAAAGAAGTTTCTGAGAATGCTTCTGTCTAGTTTTTACTTGAAGATATTTCCTTTCTCACCATAGGCCTGAAAGCGCTTGAAACGTCAGCTTGCAGATACTACAGAAAGAGTGTTTCAAACCTGCTCTATGAAAGGGAATGTTCAGTCCTGTGACTTGAAGGCAAACATCACAAAGAAGTTCCTGAGAATGCTTCTCTCTAGATTTTATATGTAATCCCGTTTCCAACGAAATCCTCAAAGCTATCCAAATATCCACTTCCAGATTCCACAAAAAGAGTGTTTCAAAACTGCTCTGTAAAAAGAAAGGTTCATCTCTGTTAGTGGAATACACACATCACAAACAAGTTTCTGAGAATGCTTCTGTCTAGTTTTTATGGGAAGATATTTCCTTTTTCATCATGGGCCTCAAAGCGCTCCAAATGTCCACTTCCAGGTAGTGCGGAAAGAGTGTCTCAAACCTGGTATATAACAGGGAACATTCTACTCTGTGACTTGAATGAAAACATCACAAAGCAGTTTCTGAGAATGCTTCCGTCTAGATTTTATATGAAGATATTCCCGTTTCCAACGAAACCTTCAAAGCTATCCGAATATCCACCTGTAGATTCTACAAAAAGAGTGTTTCCAAAATGCCATATCAAAACAAAGGTTCAACTCTGTTAGTTGAGAACACACATGGCAAATAAGTTTCTGAGAATGCTTCTGTCTAGTTTTTACTTGAAGATATTTCCTTTCTCACCATAGGCCTGAAAGCGCTTGAAACTGTCCGCTTGCAGATACTACAGAAAGAGTGTTTCAAACCTGCTCTATGAAAGGGAATGTTCAGTTCTGTGACTTGAATGCAAACATCACAAAGAAGTTCCTGAGAATGCTTCTCTCTAGGTTTTATATGTAATCCCGTTTCCAACGAAATCCTCAAAGCTATCCAAATATCCACTTTCAGATTCCACAAAAAGAGTGTTTCAAAACTGCTCTGTAAAAAGAAAGGTTCATCTCTGTTAGTTGAATACACACATCACAAACAAGTTTCTGAGAATGCTTCCGTCTAGTTTTTATGGGAAGATATTTCCTTTTTCAACATAGGCCTCAAAGCGGCTCCAAATGTCCACTTCCAGGTAGTGCAGAAAGAGTGTTTCAAACCTGCTCTATAAAAGGGAATATTCAACTCTGTGACTTGAATGCAAACATCACAAAGCACTTTCTGAGAATGCTTCCGTCTAGATTTTATATGAAGATATTCCCGTTTCCAAGGAAATCTTCCTAGCTATCTAAATATCAACTTGCAGATTCTACTAAAGGAATGTTTCCAAAATGCTGTATCCACACAAAGGTTCAACTCTGTTAATTGAGGACATACAGCACAAAGAAGTTTCTGAGAATGCTTCTGTCTAGTTTTTATTTGAAGATATTTCCTTTCTCACCATAGGCCTGAAAGCGTTTGAAATGTCCGTTTGCAGATACTACAGAAAGAGTGTTTCAAACATGCTCTATGAAAGGGAATGTTCAGTTCTGTGACGTGAATGCAAACATCACAAAGAAGTTCCTGAGAATGCTTCTCTCTAGATTTTATATGTAATCCCGTTTCCAACGAAATCCTCAAAGCTGTCCAAATATCCACTTTCAGATTCCACAAAAAGAGTGTTTCAAAACTGCTCTGTAAAAAGAAAGGTTCATCTCTGTTAGTTGAATACACACATCACAAACAAGTTTCTGAGAATGCTTCTGTCTAGTTTTTATGGGAAGATATTTCCTTTTTCATCATAGGCCTCAAAGCGCTCCAAATGTCCACTTCCAGATAGTGCAGAAAGAGTGTCTCAAACCTGGTATATAAAAGGGAACATTCTACTCTGTGACTTGAATGAAAACATCACAAAGCAGTTTCTGAGAATGCTTCCGTCTAGATTTTATATGAAGATATTCCCGTTTCCAACGAAACCTTCAAAGGTATCCGAATATCCACCTGCAGATTCTACAAAAAGAGTGTTTCCAAAATGCCGTATCCACACAAAGGTTCAACTCTGTTAGTTGAGAACACACATGGCAAATAAGTTTCTGAGAATGCTTCTGTCTAGTTTTTATTGGAAGATATTACCTTTTTCATCATACGCCTCAAAGCGCTGCAAATGTCCACTTCCAAATATTACAAAAAGAGTGTTTCAAACCTGCTGTATGAAGGGAAGTGTTCAACTCTATGAGTTGAATGCAAACATCACAGAGAAGTTTCTGAGAATGCTTCTGTCTTGATTTTATATGAAGATATTCCCGTTTCCAACGAAACCTTCAAAGCTATCCAAATATCCACTTGCAGATTCCACAAAAAGAGTGTTTCCAAAATGTTGTATCAAAAGAAAGGTTCAACTCTGTTAGTTGAGGACACACATCGCAAATAAGTTTCTGAGAATGCTTCTGTCTAGTTTTTATTTGAAGATATTTCCTTTCTCACCACAGGCCTGAAAGCGCTTAAAACGTCCGCTTGCAGATACTACAGAAAGAGTGTTTCAAACCTGCTCTATGAAAGGGAATGTTCAGTTCTGTGACTTGAATGCAAACATCACAAAGAAGTTCCTGAGAATGCTTTTGTCTAGATTTTATTTGAAGATATCCCGTATCTAACGAAATCCTCAAAGGTATCAAAATATCCACTTGCAGATTCTACAAAAAGAGTGCTTCAAAACTGCTCTGTCAAAATGAAGGTTCAACTCTGTTACTTGAGTACACACATCACAAGAAAGATTCTGAGAATGCTTCTGTCTGGTTTTTAGGAGAAGATATCTCCTTTTTCACCATAGGCTTCAAAGCGCTGCCAATGTCCACTTCCAAATATTACAAAAAGAGTATTTCAAACCAGCTCTATGAAAGGAAGTGTTCAACTCTATGAGTTGAATGCAAACATCACAGAGAAGTTTCTGAGAATGCTTCTGTGTTGATTTTATATGAAGATATTCCCGTTTCCAAAGAAACCTTCAAAGCTATCCAAATATCCACCTGCAGATCCTACAAAAAGGGTGTTTCCAAAATGCTGTATCAAAACAAAGGTTCAACTCTGTTAGCTGAGAACACACATCGCAAATAAGTTTCTGAGAATGCTTCTGTCTAGTTTTTATTTGAAGATATTTCCTTTTTCACCACAGGCCTGAAAGCGCTTGAAACGTACACTTGCAGATACTACAGAAAGAGTGTTTCAAACCTGCTCTATGAAAGGGAATGTTCAGTTCTGTGACTTGAATGCAAACATCACAAAGAAGTTCCTGAGAATGCTTCTCTCTAGATTTTATATGTAATCCCGTTTCCAACGAAATCCTCAAAGCTATCCAA
Organism: Homo sapiens; assembly: GCF_000001405.40. Lineage (NCBI taxonomy): Eukaryota > Metazoa > Chordata > Mammalia > Primates > Hominidae > Homo > Homo sapiens. The sequence continues at coordinate 44,952,832 of NC_000009.12, read as the reverse complement.
ATATCCACTTTCAGATTCCACAAAAAGAGTGTTTCAAAACTGCTCTGTAAAAAGAAAGGTTCATCTCTGTTAGTTGAATACACACATCACAAACAAGTTTCTGAGAATGCTTCTGTCTAGTTTTTATGGGAAGATATTTCGTTTTTCAACATAGGCCTCAAAGCGCTCCAAACGTCCACTTCCGGGTAGTGCAGAAAGAGTGTCTCAAACCTGGTATATAACAGGGAACATTCTACTCTGTGACTTGAATGAAAACATCACAAAGCAGTTTCTGAGAATGCTTCTGTCTTGATTTCATATGAAGATATTCCCGTTTCCAACGAAACCTTCAAAGCTATCCAAATATCCACTTGCAGATTCTACAAAAAGAGTGTTTCCAAAATGTTGTATCAAAAGAAAGGTTCAACTCTGTTAGTTGAGGACACACATCGCAAATAAGTTTCTGAGAATGCTTCTGTCTAGTTTTTATTTGAAGATATTTCCTTTCTCACCATAGGCCTGAAAGCGTTTGAAATGTCCGTTTGCAGATACTACAGAAAGAGTGTTTCAAACATGCTCTATGAAAGGGAATGTTCAGTTCTGTGACGTGAATGAAAACATCACAAAGAAGTTCCTGAGAATGCTTCTCTCTAGGTTTTATATGTAATCCCGTTTCCAACGAAATCCTCAAAGCTATCCAAATATCCACTTTCAGATTCCACAAAAAGAGTGTTTCAAAACTGCTCTGTAAAAAGAAAGGTTCATCTCTGTTAGTTGAATACACACATCACAAACAAGTTTCTGAGAATGCTTCTGTCCAGTTTTTATGGGAACATATTTCCTTTTTCAACATAGGCCTCAAAGCGCTCCAAATGTCCACTTCCAGGTAGTGCAGAAAGAGTGTTTCAAACCTGCTCTATAAAAGGGAATATTCAACTCTGTGACTTGAATGCAAACATCACAAAGCACTTTCTGAGAATGCTTCCGTCTAGATTTTATATGAAGATATTCCCGTTTCCAACGAAACCTTCAAAGCTATCCGAATATCCACCTGCAGATTCTACAAAAAGAGTGTTTCCAAAATGCCGTATCAAAACAAAGGTTCAACTCTGTTAGTTGAGAACACACATGGCAAATAAGTTTCTGAGAATGCTTCTGTCTAGTTTTTACTTGAAGATATTTCCTTTCTCACCATAGGCCTGAAAGCGCTTGAAACGTCAGCTTGCAGATACTACAGAAAGAGTGTTTCAAACCTGCTCTATGAAAGGGAATGTTCAGTTCTGTGACTTGAATGCAAACATCACAAAGAAGTTCCTGAGAATGCTTCTCCCTAGATTTTATATGTAATCCCGTTTCCAACGAAATCCGCAAAGCTATCCAAATATCCACTTTCAGATTCCACAAAAAGAGTGTTTCAAAACTGCTCTGTAAAAAGAAAGGTTCATCTCTGTTAGTTGAATACACACATCACAAACAAGTTTCTGAGAATGCTTCTGTCTAGTTTTTATGGGAAGATATTTCCTTTTTCATCATAGGCCTCAAAGCGCTGCAAATGTCCACTTCCAAATATTACAAAAAGAGTGTTTCAAACCTGCTGTATGAAGGGAAGTGTTCAACTCTATGAGTTGAATGCAAACATCACAGAGAAGTTTCTGAGAATGCTTCTGTCTTGATTTTATATGAAGATATTCCCGTTTCCAACGAAACCTTCAAAGCTATTCAAATATCCACCTGCAGATTCTACAAAAAGAATGTTTCCAAAATGCCATATCAAAACAAAGGTTCAACTCTGTTAGTTGAGAACACACATCGCAAATAAGTTTCTGAGAATGCTTCTGTCTAGTTTTTATTTGAAGATATTTCCTTTTTCACCACAGGCCTGAAAGCGCTTGAAACGTCAGCTTGCAGATACTACAGAAAGAGTGTTTCAAACCTGCACTATGAAAGGGAATGTTCAGTTCTGTGACTTGAATGCAAACATCACAAAGAAGTTCCTGAGAATGCTTCTCCCTAGATTTTATATGTAATACCGTTTCCAACGAAATCCTCAAAGCTATCCAAATATCCACTTTCAGATTCCACAAAAAGAGTGTTTCAAAACTGCTCTGTAAAAAGAAAGGTTCATCTCTGTTAGTTGAATACACACATCACAAACAAGTTTCTGAGAATGCTTCTGTCTAGTTTTTATGGGAAGATATTACCTTTTTCATCATAGGCCTCAAAGCGCTGCAAATGTCCACTTCCAAATATTACAAAAAGAGTGTTTCAAACCTGCTGTATGAAGGGAAGTGTTCAACTCTATGAGTTGAATGCAAACATCACAGAGAAGTTTCTGAGAATGCTTCTGTCTTGATTTTATATGAAGATATTCCCGTTTCCAAAGAAACCTTCAAAGCTATCCAAATATCCACTTGCAGATTCTACAAAAAGAGTGTTTCCAAAATGTTGTATCAAAAGAAAGGTTCAACTCTGTTAGTTGAGGAAACACATCGCAAACAAGTTTCTGAGAATGCTGCTGTCTAGTTTTTATTTGAAGATATTTCCTTTCTCACCATAGGCCTGAAAGCATTTGAAATGTCCGTTTGCAGATACTACAGAAAGAGTGTTTCAAACATGCTCTATGAAAGGGAATGTTCAGTTCTGTGACGTGAATGCAAACATCACAAAGAAGTTCCTGAGAATGCTTCTCTCTAGATTTTATATGTAATCCCGTTTCCAACGAAATCCTCAAAGCTATCCAAATATCCACTTTCAGATTCCACAAAAAGAGTGTTTCAAAACTGCTCTGTAAAAAGAAAGGTTCATCTCTGTTAGTTGAATACACACATCACAAACAAGTTTCTGAGAATGCTTCTGTCTAGTTTTTATGGGAAGATATTTCCTTTTTCATCATAGGCCTCAAAGCGCTGCAAATGTCCACTTCCAGGTAGTGCAGAAAGAGTGTCTCTAACCTGGTATATAACAGGGAACATTCTACTCTGTGACTTGAATGAAAACATCACAAAGCAGTTTCTGAGAATGCTTCCGTCTAGACTTTATATGAAGATATTCCCGTTTCCAACGAAACCTTCAAAGCTATCCGTATATCCACCTGCAGATTCTACAAAAAGAGTGTTTCCAAAATGCCGTATCAAAACAAAGGTTCAACTCTGTTAGTTGAGAACACACATGGCAAATAAGTTTCTGAGAATGCTTCTGTCTAGTTTTTACTTGAAGATATTTCCTTTCTCACCATAGGCCTGAAAGCGCTTGAAACGTCAGCTTGCAGATACTACAGAAAGAGTGTTTCAAACCTGCTCTATGAAAGGGAATGTTCAGTCCTGTGACTTCAAGGCAAACATCACAAAGAAGTTCCTGAGAATGCTTCTCTCTAGGTTTTATATGTAATCCCGTTTCCAACGAAATCCTCAAAGCTATCCAAATATCCACTTTCAGATTCCACAAAAAGAGTGTTTCAAAACTGCTCTGTAAAAAGAAAGGTTCATCTCTGTTAGTTGAATACACACATCACAAACAAGTTTCTGAGAATGCTTCTGTCTGGTTTTTAGGAGAAGATATTTCCTTTTTCAACATAGGCCTCAAAGCGCTGCAAATGTCCACTTCCAAATATTACAAAAAGAGTGTTTCAAACCTGCTGTATGAAGGGAAGTGTTCAACTCTATGAGTTGAATGCAAACATCACAGAGAAGTTTCTGAGAATGCTTCTGTCTTGATTTTATATGAAGATATTCCCGTTTCCAACGAAACCTTCAAAGCTATCCAAATATGCACTTGCAGATTCTACTAAAAGAGTGTTTCCAAAATGTTGTATCAAAACAAAGGTTCAACTCTGTTAGTTGAGGACACACATCGCAAATAAGTTTCTGAGAATGCTTCTGTCTAGTTTTTATTTGAAGATATTTCCTTTCTCACCACAGGCCTGAAAGCGCTTAAAACGTCCGCTTGCAGATACTACAGAAAGAGTGTTTCAAACATGCTCTATGAAAGGGAATGTTCAGTTCTGTGACTTGAATGCAAACATCACAAAGAAGTTCCTGAGAATGCTTCTCTCTAGATTTTATATGTAATCCCGTTTCCAACGAAATCCTCAAAGCTATCCAAATATCCACTTTCAGATTCCACAAAAAGAGTGTTTCAAAACTGCTCTGTAAAAAGAAAGGTTCATCTCTGTTAGTTGAATACACACATCACAAACAAGTTTCTGAGAATGCTTCTGTCTAGTTTTTATGGGAAGATATTTCCTTTTTCAACATAGGCCTCAAAGCGTTCCAAATGTCCACTTCCAGGTAGTGCAGAAAGAGTGTTTCAGACCTGCTCTATAAAAGGGAATATTCAACTCTGTGACTTGAATGCAAACATCACAAAGCACTTTCTGAGAATGCTTCCGTCAAGATTTTATATGAAGATATTCCCGTTTCCAACGAAACCTTCAAAGCTATCCGAATATCCACCTGCAGATTCTACAAAAAGAGTGTTTCCAAAATGCCGTATCAAAACAAAGGTTCAACTCTGTTAGTTGAGAACACACATGGCAAATAAGTTTCTGAGAATGCTTCTGTCTAGTTTTTACTTGAAGATATTTCCTTTCTCACCATAGGCCTGAAAGCCCTTGAAACGTCAGCTTGCAGATACTACAGAAAGAGTGTTTCAAACCTGCTCTATGAAAGGGAATGTTCAGTCCTGTGACTTGAAGGCAAACATCACAAAGAAGTTCCTGAGAATGCTTCTCTCTAGGTTTTATATGTAATCCCGTTTCCAACGAAATCCTCAAAGCTATCCAAATATCCACTTTCAGATTCCACAAAAAGAGTGTTTCAAAACTGCTCTGTAAAAAGAAAGGTTCATCTCTGTTAGTTGAATACACACATCACAAACAAGTTTCTGAGAATGCTTCTGTCTAGTTTTTATGGGAAGATATTACCTTTTTCATCATAGGCCTCAAAGCGCTGCAAATGTCCACTTCCAAATATTACAAAAAGAGTGTTTCAAACCTGCTGTATGAAGGGAAGTGTTCAACTCTATGAGTTGAATGCAAACATCACAGAGAAGTTTCTGAGAATGCTTCCGTCTAGATTTTATATGAAGATATTCCCGTTTCCAACGAAACCTTTAAAGCTATCCGAATATCCACCTGCAGATTCTACAAAAAGAGTGTTTCCAAAATGCCGTATGAAAACAAAGCTTCAACTCTGTTAGTTGAGAACACACATGGCAAATAAGTTTCTGAGAATGCTTCTGTCTAGTTTTTACTTGAAGATATTTCCTTTCTCACCATAGGCCTGAAAGCGCTTGAAACGTCAGCTTGCAGATACTACAGAAAGAGTGTTTCAAACCTGCTCTATGAAAGGGAATGTTCAGTTCTGTGACTTGAATGCAAACATCACAAAGAAGTTCCTGAGAATGCTTCTCTCTAGATTTTATATGTAATCCCGTTTCCAACGAAATCCTCAAAGCTATCCAAATATCCACTTTCAGATTCCACAAAAAGAGTGTTTCAAAACTGCTCTGTAAAAAGAAAGGTTCATCTCTGTTAGTTGAATACACACATCACAAACAAGTTTCTGAGAATGCTTCTGTCTAGTTTTTATGGGAAGATATTTCCTTTTTCATCATAGGCCTCAAAGCGCTCCAAATGTCCACTTCCAGGTAGTGCAGAAAGAGTGTCTCAAACCTGGTATATAACAGGGAACATTCTACTCTGTGACTTGAATGAAAACATCACAAAGCAGTTTCTGAGAATGCTTCTGTCTTGATTTTATATGAAGATATTCCCGTTTCCAAAGAAACCTTCAAAGCTATCCAAATATCCACCTGCAGATCCTACAAAAAGAGTGTTTCCAAAATGCTGTATCAAAACAAAGGTTCAACTCTGTTAGCTGAGAACACACATCGCAAATAAGTTTCTGAGAATGCTTCTGTCTAGTTTTTATTTGAAGATATTTCCTTTTTCACCACAGGCCTGAAAGCGCTTGAAACGTCCACTTGCAGATACTACAGAAAGAGTGTTTCAAACCTGCTCTATGAAAGGGAATGTTCAGTTCTGTGACTTGAATGCAAACATCACAAAGAAGTTCCTGAGAATGCTTCTCCCTAGCTTTTATATGTAATCCCGTTTCCAACGAAATCCTCAAAGCTATCCAAATATCCACTTTCAGATTCTACAAAAAGAGTGTTTCAAAACTGCTCTGTAAAAAGAAAGGTTCATCTCTGTTAGTTGAATACACACATCACAAACAAGTTTCTGAGAATGCTTCTGTCTAGTTTCTATGGGAAGATACTTCCTTTTTCAACATAGGCCTCAAAGCGCTCCAAATGTCCACTTCCAGGTAGTGCACTGAGTGTTTCAAACCTGCTCTATAAAAGGGAACATTCTACTCTGTGACTTGAATGAAGACATCACAAAGCAGTTTCTGAGAATGCTTCCGTCTAGATTTTATATGAAGATATTCCCGTTTCCAACGAAACCTTCAAAGCTATCCGAATATCCACCTGCAGATTCTACAAAAAGAGTGTTTCCAAAATGCCGTATCAAAACAAAGGTTCAACTCTGTTAGTTGAGAACACACATGGCAAATAAGTTTCTGAGAATGCTTCTGTCTAGTTTTTATTTGAAGATATTTCCTCTTTCACCACAGGCCTGAAAGCGCTAGAAACGTCCGCTTGCAGATACTACAGAAAGAGTGTTTCAAACCTGCTCTATGAAAGGGAATGTTCAGTTCTGTGACTTGAATGCAAACATCACAGAGGAGTTCCTGAGAATGCTTATCCCTAGATTTTATATGTAATCCCGTTTCCAACGAAATCCTCAAAGCTATCCAAATATCCACTTTCAGATTCCACAAAAAGAGTGTTTCAAAACTGCTCTGTAAAAAGAAAGGTTCATCTCTGTTAGTTGAATACACACATCACAAACAAGTTTCTGAGAATGCTTCTGTCTAGTTTTTATGGGAAGATATTTCCTTTTTCAACATAGGCCTCAAAGCGCTCCAAACGTCCACTTCCAGGTAGTGCACAGAGTGTTTCAAACCTGCTCTATGAAACGAAGTGTTCAACTCTATGAGTTGAAGGCAAACATCACAGAGAAGTTTCTGAGAATGCTTCTGTCTTGATTTTATATGAGGATATTCCCGTTTCCAACGAAACCATCAAAGCTATCCAAATATCCACCTGCAGATCCTACAAAAAGCGTGTTTCCAAAATGCTGTATCAAAACAAAGGTTCAACTCTGTTAGTTGAGAACACACATCGCAAATAAGTTTCTGAGAATGCTTCTGTCTAGTTTTTACTTGAAGATATTTCCTTTCTCACCATAGGCCTGAAAGCGCTTGAAACGTCAGCTTGCAGATACTACAGAAAGAGTGTTTCAAACCTGCTCTATGAAAGGGAATGTTCAGTCCTGTGACTTGAAGGCAAACATCACAAAGAAGTTCCTGAGAATGCTTCTGTCTAGGTTTTATATGAAGATATCCCGTTTCCAAAGAAATTCTCAAATGTATCCAAATATCTACTTCCAGATTCTACAAAAACACTGTTTCAAAACGGCTCTGTCAAAAGTAAGGTTCAACTCTGTTACTTGAGTACACACATCACACGGAAGCTTCTGAGAATGCTTCTGACTGGTTTTTAGGAGAAGATATTTCCTTTTTCAACATAGGCCTCAAAGCGCTGCAAATGTCCACTTCCAAATATTACAAAAAGAGTGCTTCAAACCTGCTGTATGAAGGGAAGTGTTCAACTCTATGAGTTGAATGCAAACATCACAGATAAGTTTCTGAAAATGCTTCTGTCTTGATTTTATATGAAGATATTCCCGTTTCCAACGAAACCTTCAAAGCTATCCAAATATCCACTTGCAGATTCTACAAAAAGAGTGTTTCCAAAATGTTGTATCAAAACAAAGGTTCAACTCTGTTAGTTGAGGACACACATCGCAAATAAGTTTCTGAGAATGCTTCTGTCTAGTTTTTATTTGAAGATATTTCCTTTCTCACCATAGGCCTGAAAGCGTTTGAAATGTCCGTTTGCAGATACTACAGAAAGAGTGTTTCAAACATGCTCTATGAAAGGGAATGTTCAGTTCTGTGACGTGAATGCAAACATCACAAAGAAGTTCCTGAGAATGCTTCTCTCTAGATTTTATATGTAATCCCGTTTCCAACGAAATCCTCAAAGCTATCCAAATATCCACTTTCAGATTCCACAAAAAGAGTGTTTCAAAACTGCTCTGTAAAAAGAAAGGTTCATCTCTGTTAGTTGAATACACACATCACAAACAAGTTTCTGAGAATGCTTCTGTCTAGTTTTTCTGGGAAGATATTTCCTTTTTCATCATAGGCCTCAAAGCGCTGCAAATGTCCACTTCCAGGTAGTGCAGAAAGAGTGTCTCAAACCTGGTATATAACAGGGAACATTCTACTCTGTGACTTGAATGAAAACATCACAAAGCAGTTTCTGAGAATGCTTCCGTCTAGATTTTATATGAAGATATTCCCGTTTCCAACGAAACCTTCAAAGCTATCCGAATATCCACCTGTAGATTCTACAAAAAGAGTGTTTCCAAAATGCCATATCAAAACAAAGGTTCAACTCTGTTAGTTGAGAACACACATGGCAAATAAGTTTCTGAGAATGCTTCTGTCTAGTTTTTACTTGAAGATATTTCCTTTCTCACCATAGGCCTGAAAGCGCTTGAAACGTCAGCTTGCAGATACTACAGAAAGAGTGTTTCAAACCTGCTCTATGAAAGGGAATGTTCAGTTCTGTGACTTGAATGCAAACATCACAAAGAAGTTCCTGAGAATGCTTCTGTCTAGATTTTATATGAAGATATCCCGTGTCCAACGAAATCCTCAATGGTATCAAAATATCCACTTGCAGATTCTACAAAAAGAGTGCTTCAAAACTGCTCTGTAAAAAGAAAGGTTCATCTCTGTTAGTTGAATACACACATCACAAACAAGTTTCTGAGAATGCTTCTGTCTAGTTTTTATGGGAAGATATTTCCTTTTTCAACATAGGCCTCAAAGCGCTCCAAATGTCCACTTCCAGGTAGTGCAGAAAGAGTGTTTCAAACCTGCTCTATAAAAGGGAATATTCAACTCTGTGACTTGAATGCAAACATCACAAAGCACTTTCTGAGAATGCTTCCGTCTAGATTTTATATGAAGATATTCCCGTTTCCAACGAAACCTTCAAAGCTATCCGAATATCCACCTGCAGATTCTACAAAAAGAGTGTTTCCAAAATGCCGTATCAAAACAAAGGTTCAACTCTGTTAGTTGAGAACACACATGGCAAATAAGTTTCTGAGAATGCTTCTGTCTAGTTTTTACTTGAAGATATTTCCTTTCTCACCATAGGCCTGAAAGCGCTTGAAACGTCAGCTTGCAGATACTACAGAAAGAGTGTTTCAAACCTGCTCTATGAAAGGGAATGTTCAGTCCTGTGACTTGAAGGCCAACATCACAAAGAAGTTGCCTGAGAATGCTTCTCTCTAGGTTTTATATGTAATCCCGTTTCCAACGAAATCCTCAAAGCTATCCAAATATCCACTTTCAGATTCCACAAAAAGAGTGTTTCAAAACTGCTCTGTAAAAAGAAAGGTTCATCTCTGTTAGTTGAATACACACATCACAAACAAGTTTCTGAGAATGCTTCTGTCTAGTTTTTATGGGAAGATATTTCCTTTTTCATCATAGGCCTCAAAGCGCTGCAAATGTCCACTTCCAGGTAGTGCAGAAAGAGTGTCTCAAACCTGGTATATAACAGGGAACATTCTACTCTGTGACTTGAATGAAAACATCACAAAGCAGTTTCTGAGAATGCTTCCGTCTAGATTTTATATGAAGATATTCCCGTTTCCAACGAAACCTTCAAAGCTATTCGAATATCCACCTGCAGATTCTACAAAAAGAGTGTTTCCAAAATGCCGTATCAAAACAAAGGTTCAACTCTGTTAGTTGAGAACACACATGGCAAATAAGTTTCTGAGAATGTTTCTGTCTAGTTTTTACTTGAAGATATTTCCTTTCTCACCATAGGCCTGAAAGCGCTTGAAACGTCAGCTTGCAGATACTACAGAAAGAGTGTTTCACACCTGCTCTATGAAAGGGAATGTTCAGTTCTGTGACTTGAATGCAAACATCACAAAGAAGTTCCTGAGAATGCTTCTGTCTAGATTTTATATGAAGATATCCCGTTTCCAAAGAAATCCTCAAAGGTATCCAAATATCTACTTCCAGATTCCACAAAAAGACTGTTTCAAAACTGGTCTCTAAAAAGAAAGGTTCATCTCTGTTAGTTGAATACACACATCACAAACAAGTTTCTGAGAATGCTTCTGTCTAGTTTTTATGGGAAGATATTTCCTTTTTCATCATAGGCCTCAAAGCGCTCCAAATGTCCACTTCCAGATAGTGCAGAAAGAGTGTCTCAAACCTGGTATATAAAAGGGAACATTCTACTCTGTGACTTCAATGAAAACATCACAAAGCAGTTTCTGAGAATGCTTCCGTCTAGATTTTATATGAAGATATTCCCGTTTCCAACGAAACCTTCAAAGCTATCCGAATATCCACCTGCAGATTCTACAAAAAGAGTGTTTCCAAAATGCCATATCAAAACAAAGGTTCAACTCTGTTAGTTGAGAACACACATCGCAAATAAGTTTCTGAGAATGCTTCTGTCTAGTTTTTATTTGAAGATATTTCCTTTCTCACCACAGGCCTGAAAGCGCTTAAAACGTCCGCTTGCAGATACTACAGAAAGAGTGTTTCAAACCTGCTCTATGAAAGGGAATGTTCAGTTCTGTGACTTGAATGCAAACATCACAAAGAAGTTCCTGAGAATGCTTCTGTCTAGATTTTATATGAAGATATCCCGTGTCCAACGAAATCCTCAAAGGTATCAAAATATCCACTTGCAGATTCTACAAAAAGAGTGCTTCAAAACTGCTCTGTCAAAAGGAAGGTTCAACTCTGTTACTTGAGTACACACATCACAAGGAAGTTTCTGAGAATGCTTCTGTCTGGTTTTTAGGAGAAGATATTTCCTTTTTCAACATAGGCCTCAAAGCGCTGCAAATGTCCACTTCCAAATATTACAAAAAGAGTGTTTCAAACCTGCTCTATGAAGGGAAGTGTTCACCTCTATGAGTTGAATGCAAACATCACAGAGAAGTTTCTGAGAATGCTTCTGTCTTGATTTTATATGAAGATATTCCCGTTTCCAACGAAACCTTAAAAGCTATCCAAATATCCACCTGCAGATCCTACAAAAAGAGTGTTTCCAAAATGCTGTATCAAAACAAAGGTTCAACTCTGTTAGTTGAGGACACACATCGCAAATAAGTTTCTGAGAATGCTTCTGTCTAGTTTTTATTTGAAGATATTTCCTTTCTCACCACAGGCCTGAAAGCGCTTAAAACGTCCGCTTGCAGATACTACAGAAAGAGTGTTTCAAACCTGCTCTATGAAAGGGAATGTTCAGTTCTGTGACTTGAATGCAAACATCACAAAGAAGTTCCTGAGAATGCTTCTCCCTAGATTTTATATGTAATCCCGTTTCCAACGAAATCCTCAAAGCTATCCAAATATCCACTTTCAGATTCCACAAAAAGACTGTTTCAAAACTGCTCTGTAAAAAGAAAGGTTCATCTCTGTTAGTTGAATACACACATCACAAACAAGTTTCTGAGAATGCTTCTGTCTAGTTTTTATGGGAAGATATTTCCTTTTTCATCATAGGCCTCAAAGCGCTGCAAATGTCCACTTCCAGGTAGTGCAGAAAGAGTGTCTCAAACCTGGTATATAACAGGGAACATTCTACTCTGTGACTTGAATGAAAACATCACAAAGCAGTTTCTGAGAATGCTTCCGTCTAGATTTTCTATGAAGATATTCCCGTTTCCAACGAAACCTTCAAAGCTATCCGAATATCCACCTGCAGATTCTACAAAAAGAGTGTTTCCAAAATGCCGTATCAAAACAAAGGTTCAACTCTGTTAGTTGAGAACACACATGGCAAATAAGTTTCTGAGAATGCTTCTGTCTAGTTTTTACTTGAAGATATTTCCTTTCTCTCCATAGGCCTGAAAGCGCTTGAAACGTCCGCTTGCAGATACTACAGAAAGAGTGTTTCAAACATGCTCTATGAAAGGGAATGTTCAGTTCTGTGACTTGAATGCAAACATCACAAAGAAGTTCCTCAGAATGCTTCTCTCTAGATTTTATATGTAATCCCGTTTCCAACGAAATCCTCAAAGCTATCCAAATATCCACTTTCAGATTCCACAAAAAGAGTGTTTCAAAACTGCTCTGTAAAAAGAAAGGTTCATCTCTGTTAGTTGAATACACACATCACAAACAAGTTTCTGAGAATGCTTCTGTCTACTTTTTATGGGAAGATATTTCCTTTTTCAACATAGGGCTCAAAGCGCTCCAAACGTCCACTTCCAGGTAGTGCAGAAAGAGTGTCTCAAACCTGGTATATAACAGCGAACATTCTACTCTGTGACTTGAATGAAAACATCACAAAGCAGTTTCTGAGAATGCTTCTGTCTTGATTTTATATGAAGATATTCCCGTTTCCAAAGAAACCTTCAAAGCTATCCAAACATCCACCTGCAGATCCTACAAAAAGAGTGTTTCCAAAATGCTGTATCAAAACAAAGGTTCAACTCTGTTAGCTGAGAACACACATCGCAAATAAGTTTCTGAGAATGCTTCTGTCTAGTTTTTATTTGAAGATATTTCCTTTTTCACCACAGGCCTGAAAGCGCTTGAAACGTCCACTTGCAGATACTACAGAAAGAGTGTTTCAAACCTGCTCTATGAAAGGGAATGTTCAGTTCTGTGACTTGAATGCAAACATCACAAAGAAGTTCCTGAGAATGCTTCTCCCTAGATTTTATATGTAATCCCGTTTCCAACGAAATCCTCAAAGCTATCCAAATATCCACTTTCAGATTCCACAAAAAGAGTGTTTCAAAACTGCTCTGTAAAAAGAAAGGTTCATCTCTGTTAGTTGAATACACACATCACAAACAAGTTTCTGAGAATGATTCTGTCTAGTGTTTATGGGAAGATATTTCCTTTTTCAACATAGGCCTCAAAGCGCTCCAAATGTCCACTTCCAGGTAGTGCAGAAAGAGTGTCTCAAACCTGCTCTATAAAAGGGAACATTCTACTCTGTGACTTGAATGAAACATCACAAAGCAGTTTCTGAGAATGCTTCCGTCTAGATTTTATATGAAGATATTCCCGTTTCCAACGAAACCTTCAAAGCTATCCGAATATCCACTTGCAGATTCTACAAAAAGAGTGTTTCCAAAATGCCGTATCAAAACAAAGGTTCAACTCTGTTAGTTGAGAACACACATGGCAAATAAGTTTCTGAGAATGCTTCTGTCTATTTTTTACTTGAAGATATTTCCTTTCTCACCACAGGCCTGAAAGCGCTTGAAACGTCAGCTTGCAGATACTACAGAAAGAGTGTTTCAAACATGCTCTATGTAAGGGAATGTTCAGGTCTGTGACTTGAATGCAAACATCACAAAGAAGTTCCTGAGAATGCTTCTCTCTAGATTTTATATGTAATCCCGTTTCCAACGAAATCCTCAAAGCTATCCAAATATCCACTTTCAGATTCCACAAAAAGAGTGTTTCAAAACTGCTCTGTAAAAAGAAAGGTTCATCTCTGTTAGTTGAATACACACATCACAAACAAGTTTCTGAGAATGCTTCTGTCTAGTTTTTATGGGAAGATATTTCCTTTTTCAACATAGGCCTCAAAGCGCTCCAAATGTCCACTTCCAGGTAGTGCAGAAAGAGTGTTTCAAACCTGCTCTATAAAAGGGAATATTCAACTCTGTGACTTGAATGCAAACATCACAAAGCACTTTCTGAGAATGCTTCCGTCTAGATTTTATATGAAGATATTCCCGTTTCCAACGAAACCTTCAAAGCTATCCGAATATCCACCTGCAGATTCTACAAAAAGAGTGTTTCCAAAATGCCGTATCAAAACAAAGGTTCAACTCTGTTAGTTGAGAACACACATGGCAAATAAGTTTCTGAGAATGCTTCTGTCTAGTTTTTATTTGAAGATATTTCCTTTCTCACCATAGGCCTGAAAGCGTTTGAAATGTCCGTTTGCAGATACTACAGAAAGAGTGTTTCAAACATGCTCTATGAAAGGGAATGTTCAGTTCTGTGACGTGAATGCAAACATCACAAAGAAGTTGCCTGAGAATGCTTCTCTCTAGATTTTATATGTAATCCCGTTTCCAACGAAATCCTCAAAGCTATCCAAATATCCACTTTCAGATTCCACAAAAAGAGTGTTTCAAAACTGCTCTGTAAAAAGAAAGGTTCATCTCTGTTCGTTGAATACACACATCTCAAACAAGTTTCTGAGAATGCTTCTGTCTGGTTTTTAGGAGAAGATATTTCCTTTTTCAACATAGGCCTCAAAGCGCTGCAAATGTCCACTTCCAAATATTAGAAAAAGAGTGTTTCAAACCTGCTGTATGAAGGGAAGTGTTCAACTCTATGAGTTGAATGCAAACATCACAGAGAAGTTTCTGAGAATGCTTCCGTCTAGATTTTATATGAAGATATTCCCGTTTCCAACGAAACCTTCAAAGCTATCCGAATATCCACCTGCAGATTCTACAAAAAGAATGTTTCCAAAATGCCATATCAAAACAAAGGTTCAACTCTGTTAGTTGAGAACACACATCGCAAATAAGTTTCTGAGAATGCTTCTGTCTAGTTTTTACTTGAAGATATTTCTTTTCTCACCATAGGCCTGAAAGCGCTTGAAACGTCAGCTTGCAGACAATACAGAAAGAGTGTTTCAAACCTGCTCTATGAAAGGGAATGTTCAGTTCTGTGACTTGAATGCAAACATCACAAAGAAGTTCCTGAGAATGCTTCTCCCTAGATTTTATATGTAATCCCGTTTCCAACGAAATCCGCAAAGCTATCCAAATATCCACTTTCAGATTCCACAAAAAGAGTGTTTCAAAACTGCTCTGTAAAAAGAAAGGTTCATCTCTGTTAGTTGAATACACACATCACAAACAAGTTTCTGAGAATGCTTCTGTCTGGTTTTTAGGAGAAGATATTTCCTTTTTCAACATAGGCCTCAAAGCGCTGCAAATGTCCACTTCCAAATATTAGAAAAAGAGTGTTTCAAACCTGCTGTATGAAGGGAAGTGTTCAACTCTATGAGTTGAATGCAAACATCACAGAGAAGTTTCTGAGAATGCTTCTGTCTTGATTTCATATGAAGATATTCCCGTTTCCAACGAAACCTTCAAAGTTATCCAAATATCCACTTGCAGGTTCTACAAAAAGAGTGTTTCCAAAATGTTGTATCAAAAGAAAGGTTCAACTCTGTTAGTTGAGGACACACATCGCAAATAAGTCTCTGAGAATGCTTCTGTCTAGTTTTTACTTGAAGATACTTCCTTTCTCACCATAGGCCTGAAAGCGCTTGAAACGTCCGCTTGCAGATACTACAGAAAGAGTGTTTCAAACATGCTCTATGACAGGGAATGTTAAGTTCTGTGACTTGAATGCAAACATCACAAAGAAGTTCCTGAGAATGCTTCTCTCTAGGTTTTATATGTAATCCCGTTTCCAACGAAATCCTCAAAGCTATCCAAATATCCACTTTCAGATTCCACAAAAAGAGTGTTTCAAAACTGCTCTGTAATAAGAAAGGTTCATCCCTGTTAGTTGAATACACACATCACAAACAAGTTTCTGAGAATGCTTCTGTCTAGTTTTTATGGGAAGATATTTCCTTTTTCAACATAGGCCTCAAAGCGCTCCAAACGTCCACTTCCAGGTAGTGCAGAAAGAGTGTCTCAAACCTGGTATATAACAGGGAACATTCTACTCTGTGACTTGAATGAAAACATCACAAAGCAGTTTCTGAGAATGCTTCTGTCTTGATTTCATATGAAGATATTCCCGTTTCCAACGAAACCTTCAAAGTTATCCAAATATCCACTTGCAGATTCTACAAAAAGAGTGTTTCCAAAATGTTGTATCAAAAGAAAGGTTCAACTCTGTTAGTTGAGGACACACATCGCAAATAAGTCTCTGAGAATGCTTCTGTCTAGTTTTTATTTGAAGATATTTCCTTTCTCACCACAGGCCTGAAAGCGCTTAAAACGTCCGCTTGCAGATACTACAGAAAGAGTGTTTCAAACCTGCTCTATGAAAGGGAATGTTCAGTTCTGTGACTTGAATGCAAACATCACAAAGAAGTTCCTGAGAATGCTTCTCCCTAGATTTTATATGTAATCCCGTTTCCAACGAAATCCGCAAAGCTATCCAAATATCCACTTTCAGATTCCACAAAAAGAGTGTTTCAAAACTGCTCTGTAAAAAGAAAGGTTCATCTCTGTTAGTTGAATACACACATCACAAACAAGTTTCTGAGAATGCTTCTGTCTAGTTTTTATGGGAAGATATTTCCTTTCTCAACATAGGCCTCAAAGCGCTCCAAACGTCCACTTCCAGGTAGTGCAGAAAGAGTGTCTCAAACCTGGTATATAACAGGGAACATTCTACTCTGTGACTTGAATGAAAACATCACAAAGCAGTTTCTGAGAATGCTTCCGTCTAGATTTTATATGAAGATATTCCCGTTTCCAACGAAACCTTCAAAGCTATCCGAATATCCACCTGCAGATTCTTCAAAAAGAGTGTTTCCAAAATGCCGTATCAAAACAAAGGTTCAACTCTGTTAGTTGAGAACACACATGGCAAATAAGTTTCTGAGAATGCTTCTGTCTAGTTTTTACTTGAAGATATTTCCTTTCTCACCATAGGCCTGAAAGCGCATGAAACGTCAGCTTGCAGATACTACAGAAAGAGTGTTTCAAACCTGCTCTATGAAAGGGAATGTTCAGTTCTGTGACTTGACTGCAAACATCACAAAGAAGTTCCTGAGAATGCTTCTCTCTAGGTTTTATATGTAATCCCGTTTCCAACGAAATCCTCAAAGCTATCCAAATATCCACTTTCAGATTCCACAAAAAGAGTGTTTCAAAACTGCTCTGTAAAAAGAAAGGTTCATCTCTGTTAGTTGAATACACACATCACAAACAAGTTTCTGAGAATGCTTCTTTCTAGTTTTTATGGGAAGATATTACCTTTTTCATCATAGGCTTCAAAGCGCTGCAAAAGTCCACTTCCAAATATTAGAAAAAGAGTGTTTCAAACCTGCTGTATGAAGGGAAGTGTTCAACTCTATGAGTTGAATGCAAACATCACAGAGAAGTTTCTGAGAATGCTTCTGTCTTGATTTTATATGAAGATATTCCCGTTTCCAACGAAACCTTCAAAGCTATCCAAATATCCACTTGCAGATTCCACAAAAAGAGTGTTTCCAAAATGTTGTATCAAAAGAAAGGTTCAACTCTGTTAGTTGAGGACACACATCGCAAATAAGTTTCTGAGAATGCTTCCTGTCTAGTTTTTATTTGAAGATATTTCCTTTCTTACCATAGTCCTGAAAGCGCTTGAAATGTCCGTTTGCAGATACTACAGAAAGAGTGTTTCAAACATGCTCTATGAAAGGGAATGTTCAGTTCTGTGACTTGAATGCAAACATCACAAAGAAGTTCCTGAGAATGCTTCTCCCTAGATTTTATATGTAATCCCGTTTCCAACGAAATCCTCAAAGCTATCCAAATATCCACTTTCAGATTCCACAAAAAGAGTGTTTCAAAACTGCTCTGTAAAAACAAAGGTTCATCTCTGTTAGTTGAATATACACATCACAAATAAGTTTCTGAGAATGCTTCTGTCTAGTTTTTATGGGAAGATATTTCCTTTTTCATCATAGGCCTCAAAGCGCTCCAAATGTCCACTTCCAGGTAGTGCAGAAATAGTGTCTCAAACCTGGTATATAACAGGGAACATTCTACTCTGTGACTTGAATGAAAACATCACAAAGCAGTTTCTGAGAATGCTTCCGTCTAGATTTTATATGAAGATATTCCCGTTTCCAACGAAACCTTCAAAGCTATCCGAATATCCACCTGCAGATTCTACAAAAAGAGTGTTTCCAAAATGCCATATCAAAACAAAGGTTCAACTCTGTTAGTTGAGAACACACATCGCAAATAAGTTTCTGAGAATGCTTCTGTCTAGTTTTTATTTGAAGATATTTCCTTTTTCACCACAGGCCTGAAAGCGCTTGAAACTTCCGCTTGCAGATGCTACAGAAAGAGTGTTTCAAAGCTGCTCTATGAAAGGGAATGTTCAGTTCTGTGACTTGAATGCAAACATCACAAAGAAGTTCCTGAGAATGCTTCTCCCTAGATTTTATATGTAATCCCGTTTCCAACGAAATCCTCAAAGCTATCCAAATATCCACTTTCAGATTCCACAAAAAGAGTGTTTCAAAACTGCTCTGTAAAAAGAAAGGTTCATCTCTGTTAGTTGAATACACACATCACAAACAAGTTTCTGAGAATGCTTCTGTCTAATTTTTATGGGAAGATATTTCCTTTTTCAACATACGCCTCAAAGCGCTCCAAACGTCCACTTCCAGGTAGTGCAGAAAGAGTGTCTCAAACCTGGTATATAACAGGGAACATTCTACTCTGTGACTTGAATGAAAACATCACAAAGCAGTTTCTGAGAATGCTTCCGTCTAGATTTTATATGAAGATATTCCCGTTTCCAACGAAACCTTCAAAGCTATCCGAATATCCACCTGCAGATTCTACAAAAAGAGTGTTTCCAAAATGCCGTATCAAAACAAAGGTTCAACTCTGTTAGTTGAGAACACACATGGCAAATAAGTTTCTGAGAATGCTTCTGTCTAGTTTTTACTTGAAGATATTTCCTTTCTCACCATAGGCCTGAAAGCGCTTGAAACATCAGCTTGCAGATACTACAGAAAGAGAGTTTCAAACCTGCTCTATGAAAGGGAATGTTCAGTTCTGTGACTTGAATGCAAACATCACAAAGAAGTTCCTGAGAATGCTTCTCTCTAGGTTTTATATGTAATCCCGTTTCCAACGAAATCCTCAAAGCTATCCAAATATCCACTTTCAGATTCCACAAAAAGAGTGTTTCAAAACTGCTCTGTAAAAAGAAAGGTTCATCTCTGTTAGTTGAATACACACATCACAAACAAGTTTCTGAGAATGCTTCTGTCTAGTTTTTATGGGAAGATATTTCCTTTTTCAACATAGGCCTCAAAGCGCTGCAAATGTCCACTTCCAGGTAGTGCAGAAACAGTGTCTCAAACCTGGTATATAACAGGGAAGATTCTACTCTGTGACTTGAATGAAAACATCACAAAGCAGTTTCTGAGAATGCTTCCGTCTAGATTTTATATGAAGATATTCCCGTTTCCAACGAAACCTTCAAAGCTATCCGAATATCCACCTGCAGATTCTACAAAAAGAGTGTTTCCAAAATGCCGTATCAAAACAAAGGTTCAACTCTGTTAGTTGAGAACACACATGGCAAATAAGTTTCTGAGAATGCTTCTGTCTAGTTTTTACTTGAAGATATTTCCTTTCTCACCATAGGCCTGAAAGCGCTTGAAACGTCAGCTTGCAGATACTACAGAAAGAGTGTTTCAAACCTGCTCTATGAAAGGGAATGTTCAGTCCTGTGACTTGAATGCAAACATCACAAAGAAGTTCCTGAGAATGCTTCTCCCTAGATTTTATATGTAATCCCGTTTCCAACGAAATCCGCAAAGCTATCCAAATATCCACTTTCAGATTCCACAAAAAGAGTGTTTCAAAACTGCTCTGTAAAAAGAAAGGTTCATCTCTGTTAGTTGAATACACACATCACAAACAAGTTTCTGAGAATGCTTCTGTCTAGTTTTTATGGGAAGATATTTCCTTTTTCATCATAGGCCTCAAAGCGCTGCAAATGTCCACTTCCAAATATTACAAAAAGAGTGTTTCAAACCTGCTGTATGAAGGGAAGTGTTCAACTCTATGAGTTGAATGCAAACATCACAGAGAAGTTTGCTGAGAATGCTTCTGTCTTGAATTTATATGAAGATATTCCCGTTTCCAACGAAACCTTCAAAGCTATCCAAATATCCACTTGCAGATTCTACAAAAAGAGTGGTTCCAAAATGTTGTATCAAAAGAAAGGTTCAACTCTGTTAGCTGAGGACACACATCGCAAATAAGTTTCTGAGAATGCTTCTGTCTAGTTCTTATTTGAAGATATTTCCTTTTTCACCACATGCCTGAAAGCGCTTGAAACGTCCGCTTGCAGATACTACAGAAAGAGTGTTTCAAACCTGCTCTATGAAAGGGAATGTTCAGTTCTGTGACTTGAATGCAAACATCACAAAGAAGTTCCTGAGAATGCTTCTCTCTAGATTTTATATGTAATCCCGTTTCCAACGAAATCCTCAAAGCTATCCAAATATCCACTTTCAGATTCCACAAAAAGAGTGTTTCAAAACTGCTCTGTAAAAAGAAAGGTTCATCTCTGTTAGTTGAATACACACATCACAAACAAGTTTCTGAGAATGCTTCTGTCTAGTTTTTATGGGAAGATATTACCTTTTTCATCATAGGCCTCAAAGCGCTGCAAATGTCCACTTCCAAATATTACAAAAAGAGTGTTTCAAACCTGCTGTATGAAGGGAAGTGTTCAACTCTATGAGTTGAATGCAAACATCACAGAGAAGTTTCTGAGAATGCTTCTGTCTTGATTTCATATGAAGATATTCCCGTTTCCAACGAAACCTTCAAAGCTATCCAAATATCCACTTGCAGATTCTACAAAAAGAGTGTTTCCAAAATGTTGTATCAAAAGAAAGGTTCAACTCTGTTAGTTGAGGACACACATCGCAAATAAGTTTCTGAGAATGCTTCTGTCTAGTTTTTATTTGAAGATATTTCCTTTCTCACCACAGGCCTGAAAGTGCTTAAAACGTCCGCTTGCAGATACTACAGAAAGAGTGTTTCAAACCTGCTCTATGAAAGGGAATGTTCAGTTCTGTGACTTGAATGCAAACATCACAAAGAAGTTCCTGAGAATGCTTCTCTCTAGATTTTATATGTAATCCCGTTTCCAACGAAATCCTCAAAGCTATCCAAATATCCACTTTCAGATTCCACAAAAAGAGTGTTTCAAAACTGCTCTGTAAAAAGAAAGGTTCATCTCTGTTAGTTGAATACACAGATCACAAACAAGTTTCTGAGAATGCTTCTGTCTAGTTTTTATGGGAAGATATTTCCTTTTTCATCATAGGCCTCAAAGCGCTGCAAATGTCCACTTCCAAATATTACAAAAAGAGTGTTTCAAACCTGCTGTATGAAGGGAAGTGTTCAACTCTATGAGTTGAATGCAAACATCACAGAGAAGTTTCTGAGAATGCTTCCGTCTAGATTTTATATGAAGATATTCCCGTTTCCAAGGAAATCTTCCTAGCTATCTAAATATCTACTTGCAGATTCTACTAAAGGAATGTTTCCAAAATGCTGTATCCACACAAAGGTTCAACTCTGTTAATTGAGGACATACAGCACAAAGAAGTTTCTGAGAATGCTTGTCTGTCTAGTTTTTATTTGAAGATATTTCCTTTCTCACCATAGGCCTGAAAGCGTTTGAAATGTCCGTTTGCACATACTACAGAAAGAGTGTTTCAAACATGCTCTATGAAAGGGAATGTTCAGTTCTGTGACTTGAATGCAAACATCACAAAGAAGTTCCTGAGAATGCTTCTCTCTAGGTTTTATATGTAATCCCGTTTCCAACGAAATCCTCAAAGCTATCCAAATATCCACTTTCAGATTCCACAAAAAGAGTGTTTCAAAACTGCTCTGTAAAAAGAAAGGTTCATCTCTGTTAGTTGAATACACACATCACAAACAAGTTTCTGAGAATGCTTCTGTCTAGTTTTTATGGGAAGATATTTCCTTTTTCAACATAGGCCTCAAAGCGCTCCAAATGTCCACTTCCAGGTAGTGCAGAAAGAGTGTTTCAAACCTGCTCTATAAAAGGGAATATTCAACTCTGTGACTTGAATGCAAACATCACAAAGCACTTTCTGAGAATGCTTCCGTCTAGATTTTATATGAAGATATTCCCGTTTCCAAGGAAATCTTCCTAGCTATCTAAATATCAACTTGCATATCCTACTAAAGGAGTGTTTCCAAAATGCTGTATCCACACAAAGGTTCAACTCTGTTAATTGAGGACATACAGCACAAAGAAGTTTCTGAGAATGCTTCTGTCTAGTTTTTATTTGAAGATATTTCCTTTCTCACCATAGGCCTGAAAGCGTTTGAAATGTCCGTTTGCAGATACTACAGAAAGAGTGTTTCAAACATGCTCTATGAAAGGGAATGTTCAGTTCTGTGACGTGAATGCAAACATCACAAAGAAGTTCCTGAGAATGCTTCTCTCTAGATTTTATATGTAATCCCGTTTCCAACGAAATCCTCAAAGCTATCCAAATATCCACTTTCAGATTCCACAAAAAGAGTGTTTCAAAACTGCTCTGTAAAAAGAAAGGTTCATCTCTGTTAGTTGAATACACACATCACAAACAAGTTTGCTGAGAATGCTTCTGTCTAATTTTTATGGGAAGATATTTCCTTTTTCAACATACGCCTCAAAGCGCTCCAAACGTCCACTTCCAGGTAGTGCAGAAAGAGTGTCTCAAACCTGGTATATAACAGGGAACATTCTACTCTGTGACTTGAATGAAAACATCACAAAGCAGTTTCTGAGAATGCTTCCGTCTAGATTTTATATGAAGATATTCCCGTTTCCAACGAAACCTTCAAAGCTATCCGAATATCCACCTGCAGATTCTACAAAAAGAGTGTTTCCAAAATGCCATATCAAAACAAAGGTTCAACTCTGTTAGTTGAGAACACACATGGCAAATAAGTTTCTGAGAATGCTTCTGTCTAGTTTTTACTTGAAGATATTTCCTTTCTCACCATAGGCCTGAAAGCGCTTGAAACGTCAGCTTGCAGATACTACAGAAAGAGTGTTTCAAACCTGCTCTATGAAAGGGAATGTTCAGTTCTGTGACTTGAATGCAAACATCACAAAGAAGTTCCTGAGAATGCTTCTCTCTAGATTTTATATGTAATCCCGTTTCCAACGAAATCCTCAAAGCTATCCAAATATCCACTTTCAGATTCCACAAAAAGAGTGTTTCAAAACTGCTCTGTAAAAAGAAAGGTTCATCTCTGTTAGTTGAATACACACATCACAAACAAGTTTCTGAGAATGCTTCTGTCTAGTTTTTATGGGAAGATATTTCCTTTTTCATCATAGGCCTCAAAGCGCTGCAAATGTCCACTTCCAGGTAGTGCAGAAAGAGTGTCTCAAACCTGGTATATAACAGGGAACATTCTACTCTGTGACTTGAATGAAAACATCACAAAGCAGTTTCTCAGAATGCTTCCGTCTAGATTTTATATGAAGATATTCCCGTTTCCAACGAAACCTTCAAAGCTATCCGAATATCCACCTGCAGATTCTACAAAAAGAGTGTTTCCAAAATGCCATATCAAAACAAAGGTTCAACTCTGTTAGTTGAGAACACACATCGCAAATAAGTTTCTGAGAATGCTTCTGTCTAGTTTTTATTTGAAGATATTTCCTTTCTCACCACAGGCCTGAAAGCGCTTAAAACGTCCGCTTGCAGATACTACAGAAAGAGTGTTTCAAACATGCTCTATGAAAGGGAATGTTCAGTTCTGTGACTTGAATGCAAACATCACAAAGAAGTTCCTGAGAATGCTTCTCTCTAGGTTTTATATGTAATCCCGTTTCCAACGAAATCCTCAAAGCTATCCAAATATCCACTTTCAGATTCCACAAAAAGAGTGTTTCAAAACTGCTCTGTAAAAAGAAAGGTTCATCTCTGTTAGTTGAATACACACATCACAAACAAGTTTCTGAGAATGCTTCTGTCTAGTTTTTATGGGAAGATATTACCTTTTTCATCATAGGCCTCAAAGCGCTGCAAATGTCCACTTCCAAATATTACAAAAAGAGTGTTTCAAACCTGCTGTATGAAGGGAAGTGTTCAACTCTATGAGTTGAATGCAAACATCACAGAGAAGTTTCTGAGAATGCTTCCGTCTAGATTTTATATGAAGATATTCCCGTTTCCAAGGAACTCTTCCTAGCTATCTAAATATCAACTTGCAGATTCTACTAAAGGAATGTTTCCAAAATGCTGTATCCACACAAAGGTTCAACTCTGTTAATTGAGGACATACAGCACAAAGAAGTTTCTGAGAATGCTTCTGTCTAGTTTTTATTTGAAGATATTTCCTTTCTCACCATAGGCCTGAAAGCGTTTGAAATGTCCGTTTGCAGATACTACAGAAAGAGTGTTTCAAACATGCTCTATGAAAGGGAATGTTCAGTTCTGTGACGTGAATGCAAACATCACAAAGAAGTTCCTGAGAATGCTTCTCCCTAGATTTTATATGTAATCCCGTTTCCAACGAAATCCGCAAAGCTATCCAAATATCCACTTTCAGATTCCACAAAAAGAGTGTTTCAAAACTGCTCTGTAAAAAGAAAGGTTCATCTCTGTTAGTTGAATACACACATCACAAACAAGTTTCTGAGAATGCTTCTGTCTAGTTTTTATGGGAAGATATTTCCTTTTTCATCATAGGCCTCAAAGCGCTGCAAATGTCCACTTCCAGGTAGTGCAGAAAGAGTGTCTCAAACCTGGTATATAACAGGGAACATTCTACTCTGTGACTTGAATGAAAACATCACAAAGCAGTTTCTGAGAATGCTTCCGTCTAGATTTTATATGAAGATATTCCCGTTTCCAACGAAACCTTCAAAGCTATCCGAATATCCACCTGCAGATTCTACAAAAAGAGTGTTTCCAAAATGCCATATCAAAACAAAGGTTCAACTCTGTTAGTTGAGAACACACATCGCAAATAAGTTTCTGAGAATGCTTCTGTCTAGTTTTTACTTGAAGATATTTCCTTTCTCACCATAGGCCTGAAAGCGCTTGAAACGTCAGCTTGCAGATACTACAGAAAGACTGTTTCAAACCTGCTCTATGAAAGGGAATGTTCAGTTCTGTGACTTGAATGCAAACATCACAAAGAAGTTCCTGAGAATGCTTCTCTCTAGGTTTTATATGTAATCCCGTTTCCAACGAAATCCTCAAAGCTATCCAAATATCCACTTTCAGATTCCACAAAAAGAGTGTTTCAAAACTGCTCTGTAAAAAGAAAGGTTCATCTCTGTTAGTTGAATACACACATCACAAACAAGTTTCTGAGAATGCTTCTGTCCAGTTTTTATGGGAACATATTTCCTTTTTCAACATAGGCCTCAAAGCGCTCCAAATGTCCACTTCCAGGTAGTGCAGAAAGAGTGTTTCAAACCTGCTCTATAAAAGGGAATATTCAACTCTGTGACTTGAATGCAAACATCACAAAGCACTTTCTGAGAATGCCTTCCGTCTAGATTTTATATGAAGATATTCCCGTTTCCAAGGAAATCTTCCTAGCTATCTAAATATCAACTTGCAGATTCTACTAAAGGAATGTTTCCAAAATGCTGTATCCACACAAAGGTTCAACTCTGTTAATTGAGGACATACAGCACAAAGAAGTTTCTGAGAATGCTTTCTGTCTAGTTTTTATTTGAAGATATTTCCTTTTTCACCACAGGCCTGAAAGCGCTTGAAACTTCCGCTTGCAGATACTACAGAAAGAGTGTTTCAAACCTGCTCTATGAAAGGGAATGTTCAGTTCTGTGACTTGAATGCAAACATCACAAAGAAGTTCCTGAGAATGCTTCTCCCTAGATTTTATATGTAATCCCGTTTCCAACGAAATCCGCAAAGCTATCCAAATATCCACTTTCAGATTCCACAAAAAGAGTGTTTCAAAACTGCTCTGTAAAAAGAAAGGTTCATCTCTGTTAGTTGAATACACACATCACAAACAAGTTTCTGAGAATGCTTCTGTCTAGTTTTTATGGGAAGATATTTCCTTTTTCAACATAGGGCTCAAAGCGCTCCAAACGTCCACTTCCAGGTAGTGCAGAAAGAGTGTCTCAAACCTGGTATATAACAGCGAACATTCTACTCTGTGACTTGAATGAAAACATCACAAAGCAGTTTCTGAGAATGCTTCTGTCTTGATTTCATATGAAGATATTCCCGTTTCCAACGAAACCTTCAAAGCTATCCAAATATCCACTTGCAGATTCTACAAAAAGAGTGTTTCCAAAATGTTGTATCAAAAGAAAGGTTTAACTCTGTTAGTTGAGGACACACATCGCAAATAAGTTTCTGAGAATGCTTCTGTCTAGTTTTTATTTGAAGATATTTCCTTTCTCACCACAGGCCTGAAAGCGCTTAAAACGTCCGCTTGCAGATACTACAGAAAGAGTGTTTCAAACCTGCTCTATGAAAGGGAATGTTCAGTTCTGTGACTTGAATGCAAACATCACAAAGAAGTTCCTGAGAATGCTTCTCTCTAGATTTTATATGTAATCCCGTTTCCAACGAAATCCTCAAAGCTATCCAAATATCCACTTTCAGATTCCACAAAAAGAGTGTTTCAAAACTGCTCTGTAAAAAGAAAGGTTCATCTCTGTTAGTTGAATACACACATCACAAACAAGTTTCTGAGAATGCTTCTGTCTAGTTTTTATGGGAAGATATTACCTTTTTCATCATAGGCCTCAAAGCGCTGCAAATGTCCACTTCCAAATATTACAAAAAGAGTGTTTCAAACCTGCTGTATGAAGGGAAGTGTTCAACTCTATGAGTTGAATGCAAACATCACAGAGAAGTTTCTGAGAATGCTTCTGTCTTGATTTTATATGAAGATATTCCCGTTTCCAACGAAACCTTCAAAGCTATTCAAATATCCACTTGCTGATTCTACAAAAAGAGTGTTTCCAAAATGTTGTATCAAAAGAAAGGTTCAACTCTGTTAGTTGAGGACACACATCGCAAATAAGTTTCTGAGAATGCTTCTGTCTAGTTTTGATTTGAAGATATTTCCTTTCTTACCATAGGCCTGAAAGCGCTTGAAATGTCCGTTTGCAGATACTACAGAAAGAGTGTTTCAAACATGCTCTATGAAAGGGAATGTTCAGTTCTGTGACGTGAATGCAAACATCACAAAGAAGTTCCTGAGAATGCTTCTCTCTAGATTTTATATGTAATCCCGTTTCCAACGAAATCCTCAAAGCTATCCAAATATGCACTTTCAGATTCTACAAAAAGAGTGTTTCAAAACTGCTCTGTAAAAAGAAAGGTTCATCTCTGTTAGTTGAATACACACATCACAACCAAGTTTCTGAGAATGCTTCTGTCTAGTTTTTATGGGAAGATATTTCCTTTTTCATCATAGGCCTCAAAGCGCTCCAAATGTCCACTTCCAGATAGTGCAGAAAGAGTGTCTCAAACCTGGTATATAAAAGGGAACATTCTACTCTGTGACTTGAATGAAAACATCACAAAGCAGTTTCTGAGAATGCTTCCGTCTAGATTTTCTATGAAGATATTCCCGTTTCCAACGAAACCTTCAAAGCTATCCGAATATCCACCTGCAGATTCTACAAAAAGAGTGTTTCCAAAATGCCGTATCCAAACAAAGGTTCAACTCTGTTAGTTCAGAACACACATGGCATATAAGTTTCTGAGAATGCTTCTGTCTAGTTTTTACTTGAAGATATTTCCTTTGTCACCATAGGCCTGAAAGCGCTTGAAACGTCAGCTTGCAGATACTACAGAAAGAGTGTTTCAAACCTGCTCTATGAAAGGGAATGTTCAGT
Organism: Homo sapiens; assembly: GCF_000001405.40. Taxonomy (NCBI): domain Eukaryota; kingdom Metazoa; phylum Chordata; class Mammalia; order Primates; family Hominidae; genus Homo; species Homo sapiens. The sequence continues at coordinate 44,925,038 of NC_000009.12, read as the reverse complement.
CCTGTGACTTGAATGCAAACATCACAAAGAAGTTCCTGAGAATGCTTCTCTCTAGGTTTTATATGTAATCCCGTTTCCAACGAAATCCTCAAAGCTATCCAAATATCCACTTTCAGATTCCACAAAAAGAGTGTTTCAAAACTGCTCTGTAAAAAGAAAGGTTCATCTCTGTTAGTTGAATACACACATCACAAACAAGTTTCTGAGAATGCTTCTGTCTAGTTTTTATGGGAAGATATTTCGTTTTTCAACATAGGCCTCAAAGCGCTCCAAATGTCCACTTCCAGGTAGTGCAGAAAGAGTGTTTCAAACCTGCTCTATAAAAGGGAATATTCAACTCTGTGACTTGAATGCAAACATCACAAAGCACTTTCTGAGAATGCTTCCGTCTAGATTTTATATGAACATATTCCCGTTTCCAACGAAACCTTCAAAGCTATCCGAATATCCACCTGCAGATTCTACAAAAAGAGTGTTTCCAAAATGCCATATCAAAACAAAGGTTCAACTCTGTTAGTTGAGAACACACATCGCAAAGAAGTTTCTGAGAATGCTTCCGTCTAGATTTTATATGAAGATATTCCCGTTTCCAAGGAAATCTTCCTAGCTATCTAAATATCAACTTGCAGATTCTACTAAAGGAATTTTTCCAAAATGCTGTATCCACACAAAGGTTCAACTCTGTTAATTGAGGACATACAGCACAAAGAAGTTTCTGAGAATGCTTCTGTCTAGATTTTATATTAAGATATCCCGTGTCTAACGAAATACTCAAAGGTATCAAAATATCCACTTGCAGATTCTACAAAAAGAGTGCTTCAAAACTGCTCTGTCAAAATGAAGGTTCACCTCTGTTACTTGAGTACACACATCACAAGAAAGATTCTGAGAATGCTTCTGTCTGGTTTTTAGGAGAAGATATCACCTTTTTCACCATAGGCTTCAAAGCGCTGCCAATGTCCACTTCCAAATATTACAAAAAGAGAATTTCAAACCAGCTCTATGAAAGGAAGTGTTCAACTCTATGAGTTGAATGCAAACATCACAGAGAAGTTTCTGAGAATGCTTCCGTCTAGATTTTATATGAAGATATTCCCGTTTCCAACGAAACCTTCAAAGCTATCCGAATATCCACCTGCAGATTCTACAAAAAGAGTGTTTCCAAAATGCCGTATCAAAACAAAGGTTCAACTCTGTTAGTTGAGAACACACATGGCAAATAAGTTTCTGACAATGCTTCTGTCTAGTTTTTACTTGAAGATATTTCCTTTCTCACCATAGGCCTGAAAGCGCTTGAAACGTCAGCTTGCAGATACTACAGAAAGACTGTTTCAAACCTGCTCTATGAAAGGGAATGTTCAGTTCTGTGACTTGAATGCAAACATCACAAAGAAGTTCCTGAGAATGCTTCTCTCTAGGTTTTATATGTAATCCCGTTTCCAACGAAATCCTCAAAGCTATCCAAATATCCACTTTCAGATTCCACAAAAAGAGTGTTTCAAAACTGCTCTGTAAAAAGAAAGGTTCATCTCTGTTAGTTGAATACACACATCACAAACAAGTTTCTGAGAATGCTTCTGTCTAGTTTTTATGGGAAGATATTTCCTTTTTCAACATAGGCCTCAAAGCGCTCCAAATGTCCACTTCCAGGTAGTGCAGAAAGAGTGTTTCAAACCTGCTCTATAAAAGGGAACATTCTACTCTGTGACTTGAATGAAGACATCACAAAGCACTTTCTGAGAATGCTTCCGTCTAGATTTTATATGAAGATATTCCCGTTTCCAACGAAACCTTCAAAGCTATCCGAATATCCACCTGCAGATTCTACAAAAAGAGTGTTTCCAAAATGCCGTATCAAAACAAAGGTTCAACTCTGTTAGTTGAGAACACACATGGCAAATAAGTTTCTGAGAATGCTTCTGTCTAGTTTTTACTTGAAGATATTTCCTTTCTCACCATAGGCCTGAAAGCGCTTGAAACGTCCGCTTGCAGATACTACAGAAGGAGTGTTTCAAACATGCTCTATGAAAGGGAATGTTCAGTTCTGTGACTTGAATGCAAACATCACAAAGAAGTTCCTGAGAATGCTTCTCTCTAGATTTTATATGTAATCCCGTTTCCAACGAAATCCTCAAAGCTATCCAAATATCCACTTTCAGATTCCACAAAAAGAGTGTTTCAAAACTGCTCTGTAAAAAGAAAGGTTCATCTCTGTTAGTTGAATACACACATCACAAACAAGTTTCTGAGAATGCTTCTGTCTAGTTTTTATGGGAAGATATTTCCTTTTTCAACATAGGCCTCAAAGCGCTCCAAACGTCCACTTCCAGGTAGTGCAGAAAGAGTGTCTCAAACCTGGTATATAACAGGGAACATTCTACTCTGTGACTTGAATGAAAACATCACAAAGCAGTTTCTGAGAATGCTTCCGTCTAGATTTTATATGAAGATATTCCCGTTTCCAACGAAACCTTCAAAGCTATCCGAATATCCACCTGCAGATTCTACAAAAAGAGTGTTTCCAAAATGCCATATCAAAACAAAGGTTCAACTCTGTTAGTTGAGAACACACATCGCAAATAAGTTTCTGAGAATGCTTCTGTCTAGTTTTTACTTGAAGATATTTCCTTTCTCACCATAGGCCTGAAAGCGCTTGAAACGTCAGCTTGCAGATACTACAGAAAGACTGTTTCAAACCTGCTCTATGAAAGGGAATGTTCAGTTCTGTGACTTGAATGCAAACATCACAAAGAAGTTCCTGAGAATGCTTCTCTCTAGGTTTTATATGTAATCCCGTTTCCAACGAAATCCTCAAAGCTATCCAAATATCCACTTTCAGATTCCACAAAAAGAGTGTTTCAAAACTGCTCTGTAAAAAGAAAGGTTCATCTCTGTTAGTTGAATACACACATCACAAACAAGTTTCTGAGAATGCTTCTGTCTAGTTTTTATGGGAAGATATTTCCTTCTTCATCATAGGCCTCAAAGCGCTCCAAATGTCCACTTCCAGGTAGTGCAGAAAGAGTGTCTCAAACCTGGTATATAACGGGGAACATTCTACTCTGTGACTTGAATGAAAACATCACAAAGCAGTTTCTGAGAATGCTTCCGTCTAGATTTTATATGAAGATATTCCCGTTTCCAACGAAACCTTCAAAGCTATCCGAATATCCACCTGCAGATTCTACAAAAAGAGTGTTTCCAAAATGCCATATCAAAACAAAGGTTCAACTCTGTTAGTTGAGAACACACATCGCAAATAAGTTTCTGAGAATGCTTCTGTCTAGTTTTTACTTGAAGATATTTCCTTTCTCACCATAGGCCTGAAAGCGCTTGAAACGTCAGCTTGCAGATACTACAGAAAGACTGTTTCAAACCTGCTCTATGAAAGGGAATGTTCAGTTCTGTGACTTGAATGCAAACATCACAAAGAAGTTCCTGAGAATGCTTCTCCCTAGATTTTATATGTAATCCCGTTTCCAACGAAATCCGCAAAGCTATCCAAATATCCACTTTCAGATTCCACAAAAAGAGTGTTTCAAAACTGCTCTGTAAAAAGAAAGGTTCATCTCTGTTAGTTGAATACACACATCACAAACAAGTTTCTGAGAATGCTTCTGTCTAGTTTTTATGGGAAGATATTTCCTTTTTCAACATAGGCCTCAAAGCGCTCCAAATGTCCACTTCCAGGTAGTGCAGAAAGAGTGTTTCAAACCTGCTCTATAAAAGGGAATATTCAACTCTGTGACTTGAATGCAAACATCACAAAGCACTTTCTGAGAATGCTTCTGTCTTGATTTTATATGAAGATATTCCCGTTTCCAACGAAACCTTCAAAGCTATCCAAATATCCACCTGCAGATCCTACAAAAAGAGTGTTTCCAAAATGCTGTATCAAAACAAAGGTTCAACTCTGTTAGTTGAGAACACACATCGCAAATAAGTTTCTGAGAATGCTTCTGTCTAGTTTTTATGGGAAGATATTTCCTTTCTCACCATAGGCCTGAAAGCGCTTAAAACGTCCGCTGGCAGATACTACAGAAAGAGTGTTTCAAACCTGCTCTATGAAAGGGAATGTTCAGTTCTGTGACTTGAATGCAAACATCACAAAGAAGTTCCTGAGAATGCTTCTCCCTAGATTTTATATGTAATCCCGTTTCCAACGAAATCCGCAAAGCTATCCAAATATCCACTTTCAGATTCCACAAAAAGAGTGTTTCAAAACTGCTCTGTAAAAAGAAAGGTTCATGCTCTGTTAGTTGAATACACACATCACAAACAAGTTTCCTGAGAATGCTTTCTGTCTAGTTTTTATGGGAAGATATTTCCTTTTTCAACATAGGCCTCAAAGCGCTCCAAATGTCCACTTCCAGGTAGTGCAGAAAGAGTGTTTCAAACCTGCTCTATAAAAGGGAACATTCAACTCTGTGACTTGAATGCAAACATCACAAAGCACTTTCTGAGAATGCTTCCGTCTAGATTTTATATGAAGATATTCCCGTTTCCAACGAAACCTTCAAAGCTATCCGAATATCCACCTGCAGATTCTACAAAAAGAGTGTTTCCAAAATGCCGTATCAAAACAAAGGTTCAACTCTGTTAGTTGAGAACACACATGGCAAATAAGTTTCTGAGAATGCTTCTGTCTAGTTTTTATTTGAAGATATTTCCTTTCTCACCACAGGCCTGAAAGCGCTTAAAACGTCCGCTTGCAGATACTACAGAAAGAGTGTTTCAAACCTGCTCTATGAAAGGGAATGTTCAGTTCTGTGACTTGAATGCAAACATCACAAAGAAGTTCCTGAGAATGCTTCTCTCTAGGTTTTATCTGTAATCCCGTTTCCAACGAAATCCTCAAAGCTATCCAAATATCCACTTTCAGATTCCACAAAAAGAGTGTTTCAAAACTGCTCTGTAAAAAGAAAGGTTCATCTCTGTTAGTTGAATACACACATCACAAACAAGTTTCTGAGAATGCTTCTGTCTAGTTTTTATGGGAAGATATTTCCTTTTTCAACATAGGCCTCAAAGCGCTCCAAATGTCCACTTCCAGGTAGTGCAGAAAGAGTGTTTCAAACCTGCTCTATAAAAGGGAATATTCAACTCTGTGACTTGAATGCAAACTTCACAAAGCACTTTCTGAGAATGCTTCCGTCTAGATTTTATATGAAGATATTCCCGTTTCCAAGGAAATCTTCCTAGCTATCTAAATATCAACTTGCAGATTCTACTAAAGGAATGTTTCCAAAATGCTGTATCCACACAAAGGTTCAACTCTGTTAATTGAGGACATACAGCACAAAGAAGTTTCTGAGAATGCTTCTGTCTAGTTTTTACTTGAAGATATTTCCTTTCTCACCATAGGCCTGAAAGCGCTTGAAACGTCAGCTTGCAGATACTACAGAAAGAGTGTTTCAAACCTGCTCTATGAAAGGGAATGTTCAGTTCTGTGACGTGAATGCAAACATCACAAAGAAGTTACCTGAGAATGCTTCTCTCTAGATTTTATATGTAATCCCGTTTCCAACGAAATCCTCAAAGCTATCCAAATATCCACTTTCAGATTCCACAAAAAGAGTGTTTCAAAACTGCTCTGTAAAAAGAAAGGTTCATCTCTGTTAGTTGAATACACACATCACAAACAAGTTTCTGAGAATGCTTCTGTCTAGTTTTTATGGGAAGATATTACCTTTTTCATCATAGGCCTCAAAGCGCTGCAAATGTCCACTTCCAAATATTACAAAAAGAGTGTTTCAAACCTGCTGTATGAAGGGAAGTGTTCAACTCTATGAGTTGAATGCAAACATCACAGAGAAGTTTCTGAGAATGCTTCTGTCTTCATTTTATATGAAGATATTCCCGTTTCCAACGAAACCTTCAAAGCTATCCAAATATCCACTTGCAGATTCTACAAAAAGAGTGTTTCCAAAATGTTGTATCAAAAGAAAGGTTCAACTCTGTTAGTTGAGGACACACATCGCAAATAAGTTTCTGAGAATGCTTCTGTCTAGTTTTTTCTTGAAGATATTTCCTTTCTCACCATACGCCTGAAAGCGCTTGAAACGTCCGCTTGCAGATACTACAGAAAGAGTGTTTCAAACATGCTCTATGAAAGGGAATGTTCAGTTCTGTGACTTGAATGCAAACATCACAAAGAAGTTCCTGAGAATGCTTCTCCCTAGATTTTATATGTAATCCCGTTTCCAACGAAATCCTCAAAGCTATCCAAATATCCACTTTCAGATTCCACAAAAAGAGTGTTTCAAAACTGCTCTGTAAAAAGAAAGGTTCATCTCTGTTAGTTGAATACACACATCACAAACAAGTTTCTGAGAATGCTTCTGTCTAGTTTTTATGGGAAGATATTTCCTTTTTCAACATACGCCTCAAAGCGCTCCAAATGTCCACTTCCAGGTAGTGCACAGAGTGTTTCAAACCTGCTCTATGAAAGGAAGTGTTCAACTCTATGAGTTGAATGCAAGCATCACAGAGAAGTTTCTGAGAATGCTTCCGTCTAGATTTTATATGAAGATATTCCCGTTTCCAACGAAACCTTCAAAGCTATCCGAATATCCACCTGCAGATTCTACAAAAAGAGTGTTTCCAAAATGCCGTATCAAAACAAAGGTTCAACTCTGTTAGTTGAGAACACACATGGCAAATAAGTTTCTGAGAATGCTTCTGTCTAGTTTTTATTTGAAGATATTTCCTTTCTCACCACAGGCCTGAAAGCGCTTAAAACGTCCGCTTGCAGATACTACAGAAAGAGTGTTTCAAACCTGCTCTATGAAAGGGAATGTTCAGTTCTGTGACTTGAATGCAAACATCACAAAGAAGTTCCTGAGAATGCTTTTCTCTAGATTTTATATGTAATCCCTTTTCAAACGAAATCCTCAAAGCTATCCAAATAACCACTTTCAGATTCCACAAAAAGAGTGTTTCAAAACTGCTCTGTAAAAAGAAAGGTTCATCTCTGTTAGTTGAATACACACATCACAAACAAGTTTCTGAGAATGCTTCTGTCTGGTTTTTAGGAGAAGATATTTCCTTTTTCAACATAGGCCTCAAAGCGCTGCAAATGTCCACTTCCAAATATTACAAAAAGAGTGTTTCAAACCTGCTGTATGAAGGGAAGTGTTCAACTCTATGAGTTGAATGCAAACATCACAGAGAAGTTTCTGAGAATGCTTCCGTCTAGATTTTATATGAAGATATTCCCGTTTCCAACGAAACCTTCAAAGCTATCCGAATATCCACCTGCAGATTCTACAAAAAGAGTGTTTCCAAAATGCCGTATCAAAACAAAGCTTCAACTCTGTTAGTTGAGAACACACATGGCAAATAAGTTTCTGAGAATGCTTCTGTCTAGTTTTTACTTGAAGATATTTCCTTTCTCACCATAGGCCTGAAAGCGCTTGAAACGTCAGCTTGCAGATACTACAGAAAGAGTGTTTCAAACCTGCTCTATGAAAGGGAATGTTCAGTTCTGTGACTTGAATGCAAACATCACAAAGAAGTTCCTGAGAATGCTTCTCTCTAGGTTTTATATGTAATCCCGTTTCCAACGAAATCCTCAAAGCTATCCAAATATCCACTTTCAGATTCCACAAAAAGAGTGTTTCAAAACTGCTCTGTAAAAAGAAAGGTTCATCTCTGTTAGTTGAATACACACATCACAAACAAGTTTCTGAGAATGCTTCTGTCTAGTTTTTATGGGAAGATATTTCATTTTTCAACATAGGCCTCAAAGCGCTCCAAATGTCCACTTCCAGGTAGTGCAGAAAGAGTGTTTCAAACCTGCTCTATAAAAGGGAATATTCAACTCTGTGACTTGAATGCAAACATCACAAAGCACTTTCTGAGAATGCTTCCGTCTAGATTTTATATGAAGATATTCCCGTTTCCAAGGAAATCTTCCTAGCTATCTAAATATCAACTTGCAGATTCTACTAAAGGAATGTTTCCAAAATGCTGTATCCACACAAAGGTTCAACTCTGTTAATTGAGGACATACAGCACAAAGAAGTTTCTGAGAATGCTTCTGTCTAGTTTTTATGGGAAGATATTACCTTTTTCATCACAGGCCTCAAAGCGCTGCAAATGTCCACTTCCAAATATTACAAAAAGAGTGTTTCAAACCTGCTGTATGAAGGGAAGTGTTCAACTCTATGAGTTGAATGCAAACATCACAGAGAAGTTTCTGAGAATGCTTCCGTCTAGATTTTATATGAAGATATTCCCGTTTCCAACGAAACCTTCAAAGCTATCCGAATATCCACCTGCAGATTCTATAAAAAGAGTGTTTCCAAAATGCCATATCAAAACAAAGGTTCAACTCTGTTAGTTGAGAACACACATCGCAAATAAGTTTCTGAGAATGCTTCTGTCTAGTTTTTATGGGAAGATATTTCCTTTTTCATCATAGGCCTCAAAGCGCTGCAAATGTCCACTTCCAGGTAGTGCAGAAAGAGTGTCTCAAACCTGGTATATAACAGGGAACATTCTACTCTGTGACTTGAATGAAAACATCACAAAGCAGTTTCTGAGAATGCTTCCGTCTAGATTTTATATGAAGATATTCCCGTTTCCAACGAAACCTTCAAAGCTATCCGAATATCCACCTGCAGATTCTACAAAAAGAGTGTTTCCAAAATGCAATATCAAAACAAAGGTTCAACTCTGTTAGTTGAGAACACACATCGCAAATAAGTTTCTGAGAATGCTTCTGTCTAGTTTTTACTTGAAGATATTTCCTTTCTCACCATAGGCCTGAAAGCGCTTGAAACGTCAGCTTGCAGATACTACAGAAAGAGTGTTTCAAACCTGCTCTATGAAAGGGAATGTTCAGTTCTGTGACTTGAATGCAAACATCACAAAGAAGTTCCTGAGAATGCTTCTCTCTAGATTTTATATGTAATCCCGTTTCCAACGAAATCCTCAAAGCTATCCAAATATCCACTTTCAGATTCCACAAAAAGAGTGTTTCAAAACTGCTCTGTAAAAAGAAAGGTTCATCTCTGTTAGTTGAATACACACATCACAAACAAGTTTCTGAGAATGCTTCTGTCTAGTTTTTATGGGAAGATATTTCCTTTATCATCATAGGCCTCAAAGCGCTCCAAATGTCCACTTCCAGATAGTGCATAAAGAGTGTCTCAAACCTGGTGTATAAAAGCGAAGATTCTACTCTGTGACTTGAATGAAAACATCACAAAGCAGTTTCTGAGAATGCTTCCGTCTAGATTTTATATGAAGATATTCCCGTTTCCAACGAAACCTTCAAAGCTATCCGAATATCCACCTGCAGATTCTACAAAAAGAGTGTTTCCAAAATGCCGTATCAAAACAAAGGTTCAACTCTGTTAGTTGAGAACACACATGGCAAATAAGTTTCTGAGAATGCTTCTGTCTAGTTTTTACTTGAAGATATTTCCTTTCTCACCATAGGCCTGAAAGCGCTTGAAACGTCAGCTTGCAGATACTACAGAAAGAGTGTTTCAAACCTGCTCTATGAAAGGGAATGTTCAGTTCTGTGACTTGAATGCAAACATCACAAAGAAGTTCCTGAGAATGCTTCTCTCTAGGTTTTATATGTAATCCCGTTTCCAACGAAATCCTCAAAGCAATCCAAATATCCACTTTCAGATTCCACAAAAAGAGTGTTTCAAAACTCCTCTGTAAAAAGAAAGGTTCATCTCCGTTAGTTGAATACACACATCACAAACAAGTTTCTGAGAATGCTTCTGTCTAGTTTTTATGGGAAGATATTTCCTTTTTCAACATAGGCCTCAAAGAGCTCCAAATGTCCACTTCCAGGTAGTGCAGAAAGAGTGTTTCAAACCTGCTCTATAAAAGGGAATATTCAACTCTGTGACTTGAATGCAAACATCACAAAGCAGTTTCTGAGAATGCTTCCGTCTAGATTTTATATGAAGATATTCCCGTTTCCAAGGAAATCTTCCTAGCTATCTAAATATCAACTTGCAGATTCTACTAAAGGAATGTTTCCAAAATGCTGTATCCACACAAAGGTTCAACTCTGTTAATTGAGGACATACAGCACAAAGAAGTTTCTGAGAATGCTTCTGTCTAGATTTTATATGAAGATATCCCGTGTCCGACGAAATCCTCAAAGGTATCAAAATATCCACTTGCAGATTCTACAAAAAGAGTGCTTCAAAACTGCTCTGTCAAAAGGAAGGTTCAACTCTGTTACTTGAGTACACACATCACAAGGAAGTTTCTGAGAATGCTTCTGTCTGGTTTTTATGAGAAGATATTTCCTTTTTCAACATAGGCCTCAAAGCGCTGCAAATGTCCACTTCCAGGTAGTGCAGAAAGAGTGTCTCAAACCTGGTATATAACAGGGAATATTCTACTCTGTGACTTGAATGAAAACATCACAAAGCAGTTTCTGAGAATGCTTCCGTTTAGATTTTATATGAAGATATTCCCGTTTCCAACGAAACCTTCAAAGCTATCCGTATATCCACCTGCAGATTCTACAAAAAGAGTGTTTCCAAAATGCCATATCAAAACAAATGTTCAACTCTGTTAGTTGAGAACACACATCGCAAATAAGTTTCTGAGAATGCTTCTGTCTAGTTTTTACTTGAAGATATTTCCTTTCTCACCATAGGCCTGAAAGCGCTTGAAACGTCAGCTTGCAGATACTACAGAAAGAGTGTTTCAAACCTGCTCTATGAAAGGGAATGTTCAGTTCTGTGACTTGAATGCAAACATCACAAAGCAGTTCCTGAGAATGCTTCTCTCTAGGTTTTATATGTAATCCCGTTTCCAACGAAATCCTCAAAGCTATCCAAATATCCACTTTCAGATTCCACAAAAAGAGTGTTTCAAAACTGCTCCGTAAAAAGAAAGGTTCATCTCTGTTAGTTGAATACACACATCACAAACAAGTTTCTGAGAATGCTTCTGTCTAGTTTTTATGGGAAGATATTTCCTTTTTCATCATAGGCCTCAAAGCGCTGCAAATGTCCACTTCCAGGTAGTGCAGAAAGAGTGTCTCAAACCTGGTATATAACAGGGAACATTCTACTCTGTGACTTGAATGAAAACATCACAAAGCAGTTTCTGAGAATGCTTCCGTCTAGATTTTATATGAAGATATTCCCGTTTCCAACGAAACCTTCAAAGCTATCCGAATATCCACCTGCAGATTCTACAAAAAGAGTGTTTCCAAAATGCCATATCAAAACAAAGGTTCAACTCTGTTAGTTGAGAACACACATCGCAAATAAGTTTCTGAGAATGCTTCTGTCTAGTTTTTATTTGAAGATATTTCCTTTTTCACCACAGGCCTGAAAGCGCTTGAAACTTCCGCTTGCAGATACTACAGAAACAGTGTTTCAAACCTGCTCTATGAAAGGGAATGTTCAGTTCTGTGACTTGAATGTCAACATCACAAAGAAGTTCCTGAGAATGCTTCTCCCTAGATTTTATATGTAATCCCGTTTCCAACGAAATCCTCAAAGCTATCCAAATATCCACTTTCAGATTCCACAAAAAGAGTGTTTCAAAACTGCTCTGTAAAAAGAAAGGTTCATCTCTGTTAGTTGAATACACACATCACAAACAAGTTTCTGAGAATGCTTCTGTCTAGTTTTTATGGGAAGATATTTCCTTTTTCATCATAGGCCTCAAAGCGCTGCAAATGTCCACTTCCAGGTAGTGCAGAAAGAGTGTCTCAAACCTGGTATATAACAGGGAACATTCTACTCTGTGACTTGAATGAAAACATCACAAAGCAGTTTCTGAGAATGCTTCCGTCTAGATTTTATATGAAGATATTCCCGTTTCCAACGACACCTTCAAAGCTATCCGAATATCCACCAGCAGATTCTACAAAAAGAGTGTTTCCAAAATGCCGTATCAAAACAAAGCTTCAACTCTGTTAGTTGAGAACACACATGGCAAATAAGTTTCTGAGAATGCTTCTGTCTAGTTTTTACTTGAAGGTATTTCCTTTCTCACCATAGGCCTGAAAGCGCTTGAAACGTCCGCTTGCAGATACTACAGAAAGAGTGTTTCAAACATGCTCTATGAAAGGGAATGTTCAGTTCTGTGACTTGAATGCAAACATCACAAAGAAGTTCCTGAGAATGCTTCTCCCTAGGATTTTATATGTAATCCCGTTTCCAACGAAATCCGCAAAGCTATCCAAATATCCACTTTCAGATTCCACAAAAAGAGTGTTTCAAAACTGCTCTGTAAAAAGAAAGGTTCATCTCTGTTAGTTGAATACACACATCACAAACAAGTTTCTGAGAATGCTTCTGTCTAGTTTTTATGGGAAGATATTACCTTTTTCATCATAGGCCTCAAAGCGCTGCAAATGTCCACTTCCAAATATTACAAAAAGAGTGTTTCAAACCTGCTGTATGAAGGGAAGTGTTCAACTCTATGAGTTGAATGCAAACATCACAGAGAAGTTTCTGAGAATGCTTCTGTCTTGATTTTATATGAAGATATTCCCGTTTCCAACGAAACCTTCAAAGCTATTCAAATATCCACTTGCAGATTCTACAAAAAGAGTGTTTCCAAAATGTTGTATCAAAAGAAAGGTTCAACTCTGTTAGTTGAGGACACACATCGCAAATAAGTTTCTGAGAATGCTTCTGTCTAGTTTTTACTTGAAGATATTTCCTTTCTCACCATAGGCCTGAAAGCGCTTGAAACGTCCGCTTGCAGATACTACAGAAAGAGTGTTTCAAACATGCTCTATGAAAGGGAATGTTCAGTTCTGTGACTTGAATGCAAACATCACAAAGAAGTTCCTGAGAATGCTTCTCTCTACATTTTATATGTAATCCCGTTTCCAACGAAATCCTCAAAGCTATCCAAATATCCACTTTCAGATTCCACAAAAAGAGTGTTTCAAAACTGCTCTGTAAAAAGAAAGGTTCATCTCTGTTAGTTGAATACACACATCACAAACAAGTTTCTGAGAATGCTTCTGTCTAGTTTTTATGGGAAGATATTTCCTTTTTCAACATAGGCCTCAAAGCGCTCCAAATGTCCACTTCCAGGTAGTGCAGAAAGAGTGTTTCAAACCTGCTCTATAAAAGGGAACATTCAACTCTGTGACTTGAATGCAAACATCACAAAGCACTTTCTGAGAATGCTTCCGTCTAGATTTTATATGAAGATATTCCCGTTTCCAAGGAAATCTTCCTAGCTATCTAAATATCAACTTGCAGATTCTACTAAAGGAATGTTTCCAAAATGCTGTATCCACACAAAGGTTCAACTCTGTTAATTGAGGACATACAGCACAAAGAAGTTTCTGAGAATGCTTCTGTCTAGTTTTTATTTGAAGATATTTCCTTTCTCACCACAGGCCTGAAAGCGCTTGAAATGTCCGGTTGCAGATACTACAGAAAGAGTGTTTCAAACATGCTCTATGAAAGGGAATGTTCAGTTCTGTGACTTGAATGCAAACATCACAAAGAAGTTCCTGAGAATGCTTCTCTCTAGATTTTGTATGTAATCCCGTTTCCAACGAAATCCTCAAAGGTATCCAAATATCCACTTTCAGATTCCACAAAAAGAGTGTTTTAAAACTGCTCTGTAAAAAGAAAGGTTCATCTCTGTTAGTTGAATACACACATCACAAACAAGCTTCTGAGAATGCTTCTTTCTTGATTTTATATGAAGATATTTCCGTTTCCAACAAAATCTTCAAAGCTATCCAAATATCCACCCGCAGATTCTACAAAAACAGTGTTTCCAAAATGCTGTATCAAAACAAAGGTTCAACTCTGTTAGTTGGGGACACACATCACTAATAAGTTTCTGAGAATGTTTCTGTCTAGTTTTTACTTGAAGATATTTCCTTTCTCACCATAGGCCTGAAAGCGTTTGAAATGTCCGTTTGCAGATACTACAGAAAGAGTGTTTCAAACATGCTCTATGAAAGGGAATGTTCAGTTCTGTGACGTGAATGCAAACATCACAAAGAAGTTCCTGAGAATGCTTCTCCCTACTTTTTATATGTAATCCCGTTTCCAAAGAATTCCTCAAAGCTATCCAAATATCCACTTTCGGATTCCACAAAAAGAGTGTTTCAAAACTACTCTGTAAAAAGAAAGGTTCATCTCTGTTAGTTGAATACACACATCACAAACAAGTTTCTGAGAATGCTTCTGTCTAGTTTTTATGGGAAGATATTTCCTTTTTCATCATAGGCCTCAAAGCGCTGCAAATGTCCACTTCCAAATATTACAAAAAGAGTGTTTCAAACCTGCTGTATGAAGGGAAGTGTTCAACTCTATGAGTTGAATGCAAACATCACAGAGAAGCTTCTGAGAATGCTTCCGTCTAGATTTTATATGAAGATATTCCCGTTTCCAACGAAACCTTCAAAGCTATCCGAATATCCACCTGCAGATTCTACAAAAAGAGTGTTTCCAAAATGCCGTATCAAAACAAAGGTTCAACTCTGTTAGTTGAGAACACACATGGCAAATAAGTTTCTGAGAATGCTTCTGTCTAGTTTTTACTTGAAGATATTTCCTTTCTCACCATAGGCCTGAAAGCGCATGAAACGGTCAGCTTGCAGATACTACAGAAAGAGTGTTTCAAACCTGCTCTATGAAAGGGAATGTTCAGTCCTGTGACTTGAAGGCAAACATCACAAAGAAGTTCCTGAGAATGCTTCTCTCTAGGTTTTATATGTAATCCCGTTTCCAACGAAATCCTCAAAGCTATCCAAATATCCACTTTCAGATTCCACAAAAAGAGTGTTTCAAAACTGCTCTGTAAAAAGAAAGGTTCATCTCTGTTAGTTGAATACACACATCACAAACAAGTTTCTGAGAATGCTTCTGTCTGGTTTTTAGGAGAAGATATTTCCTTTTTCAACATAGGCCTCAAAGCGCTGCAAATGTCCACTTCCAAATATTACAAAAAGAGTGTTTCAAACCTGCTGTATGAAGGGAAGTGTTCAACTCTATGAGTTGAATGCAAACATCACAGAGAAGTTTCTGAGAATGCTTCTGTCTTGATTTCATATGAAGATATTCCCGTTTCCAACGAAACCTTCAAAGCTATCCAAATATCCACTTGCAGATTCTACAAAAAGAGTGTTTCCAAAATGTTGTATCAAAAGAAAGGTTCAACTCTGTTAGTTGAGGACACACATCGCAAATAAGATTCTGAGAATGCTTCTGTCTAGTTTTTATTTGAAGATATTTCCTTTCTCACCACAGGCCTGAAAGCGCTTAAAACGTCCGCTTGCAGATACTACAGAAAGAGTGTTTCAAACCTGCTCTATGAAAGGGAATGTTCAGTTCTGTGACTTGAATGCAAACATCACAAAGAAGTTCCTGAGAATGCTTCTCCCTAGTATTTTATATGTAATCCCGTTTCCAACGAAATCCGCAAATCTATCCAAATATCCACTTTCAGATTCCACAAAAAGAGTGTTTCAAAACTGCTCTGTAAAAAGAAAGGTTCATCTCTGTTAGTTGAATACACCCATCACAAACAAGTTTCTGAGAATGCTTCTGTCTAGTTTTTATGGGAAGATATTACCTTTTTCATCATAGGCCTCAAAGCGCTGCAAATGTCCACTTCCAAATATTACAAAAAGAGTGTTTCAAACCTGCTGTATGAAGGGAAGTGTTCAACTCTATGAGTTGAATGCAAACATCACAGAGAAGTTTCTGAGAATGCTTCTGCCTTGATTTTATATGAAGATATTCCCGTTTCCAACGAAACCTTCAAAGCTATTCAAATATCCACTTGCAGATTCTACAAAAAGAGTGTTTCCAAAATGTTGTATCAAAAGAAAGGTTCAACTCTGTTAGTTGAGGACACACATCGCAAATAAGTTTCTGAGAATGCTTCTGTCTAGTTTTTATTTGAAGATATTTCCTTTCTCACCATAGGCCTGAAAGCGTTTGAAATGTCCGTTTGCAGATACTACAGAAAGAGTGTTTCAAACATGCTCTATGAAAGGGAATGTTCAGTTCTGTGACGTGAATGCAAACATCACAAAGAAGTTCCTGAGAATGCTTCTCTCTAGATTTTATATGTAATCCCGTTTCCAACGAAATCCTCAAAGCTATCCAAATATCCACTTTCAGATTCCACAAAAAGAGTGTTTCAAAACTGCTCTGTAAAAAGAAAGGTTCATCTCTGTTAGTTGAATACACACATCACAAACAAGTTTCTGAGAATGCTTCTGTCTAGTTTTTATGGGAAGATATTTCCTTTTTCAACATAGGCCTCAAAGCGCTCCAAATGTCCACTTCCAGGTAGTGCAGAAAGAGTGTTTCAAACCTGCTCTATAAAAGGGAATATTCAACTCTGTGACTTGAATGCAAACATCACAAAGCACTTTCTGAGAATGCTTCCGTCTAGATTTTATATGAAGATATTCCCGTTTCCAAGGAAATCTTCCTAGCTATCTAAATATCAACTTGCAGATTCTACTAAAGGAATGTTTCCAAAATGCCGTATCCACACAAAGGTTCAACTCTGTTAATTGAGGACATACAGCACAAAGAAGTTTCTGAGAATGCTTCTGTCTAGATTTTATATGAAGATATCCCGTTTCCAAAGAAATCCTCAAAGGTATCCAAATATCTACTTCCAGATTCCACAAAAAGACTGTTTCAAAACTGGTCTGTAAAAAGAAAGGTTCATCTCTGTTAGTTGAATACACACATCACAAACAAGTTTCTGAGAATGCTTCTCTCTAGATTTTATATGTAATCCCGTTTCCAACGAAATCCTCAAAGCTATCCAAATATCCACTTGCAGATTCCACAAAAAGAGTGTTTCAAAACTGCTCTGTAAAAAGAAAGGTTCATCTCTGTTAGTTGAATACACACATCACAAACAAGTTTCTGAGAATGCTTCTGTCTAGTTTTTATGGGAAGATATTTCCTTTTTCATCATAGGCCTCAAAGCGCTCCAAATGTCCACTTCCAGATAGTGCAGAAAGGGTGTCTCAAACCTGGTATATAAAAGGGAACATTCTACTCTGTGACTTGAATGAAAACATCACAAAGCAGTTTCTGAGAATGCTTCCGTCTAGATTTTATATGAAGATATTCCCGTTTCCAACGAAACCTTCAAAGCTATCCGAATATCCACCTGCAGATTCTACAAAAAGAGTGTTTCCAAAATGCCATATCAAAACAAAGGTTCAACTCTGTTAGTTGAGAACACACATGGCAAATATGTTTCTGAGAATGCTTCTGTCTAGTTTTTACTTGAAGATATTTCCTTTCTCACCATAGGCCTGAAAGCGCTTGAAACGTCAGCTTGCAGATACTACAGAAAGAGTGTTTCAAACCTGCTCTATGAAAGGGAATGTTCAGTTCTGTGACTTGAATGCAAACATCACAAAGAAGTTCCTGAGAATGCTTCTCTCTAGGTTTTATATGTAATCCCGTTTCCAACGAAATCCTCAAAGCTATCCAAATATCCACTTTCAGATTCCACAAAAAGAGTGTTTCAAAACTGCTCTGTAAAAAGAAAGGTTCATCTCTGTTAGTTGAATACACACATCACAAACAAGTTTCTGAGAATGCTTCTGTCTAGTTTTTATGGGAAGATATTTCCTTTTTCAACATAGGCCTCAAAGCGCTCCAAATGTCCACTTCCAGGTAGTGCAGAAAGAGTGTTTCAAACCTGCTCTATAAAAGGGAATATTCAACTCTGTGACTTGAATGCAAACATCACAAAGCACTTTCTGAGAATGCTTCCGTCTAGATTTTATATGAAGATATTCCCGTTTCCAAGAAATCTTCCTAGCTATCTAAATATCAACTTGCAGATTCTACTAAAGGAATGTTTCCAAAATGCTGTATCCACACAAAGGTTCAACTCTGTTAATTGAGGACATACAGCACAAAGAAGTTTCTGAGAATGCTTCTGTCTAGTTTTTACTTGAAGATATTTCCTTTCTCACCAAAGGCCTGAAAGCGCATGAAACGTCAGCTTGCAGATACTACAGAAAGAGTGTTTCAAACCTGCTCTATGAAAGGGAATGTTCAGTCCTGTGACTTGAAGGCAAACATCACAAAGAAGTTCCTGAGAATGCTTCTCCCTAGATTTTATATGTAATCCCGTTTCCAACGAAATCCGCAAAGCTATCCAAATATCCACTTTCAGATTCCACAAAAAGAGTGTTTCAAAACTGCTCTGTAAAAAGAAAGGTTCATCTCTGTTAGTTGAATACACACATCACAAACAAGTTTCTGAGAATGCTTCTGTCTAGTTTTTATGGGAAGATATTTCCTTTTTCAACATAGGCCTCAAAGCGCTCCAAACGTCCACTTCCAGGTAGTGCAGAAAGAGTGTCTCAAACCTGGTATATAACAGGGAAGATTCTACTCTGTGACTTGAATGAAAACATCACAAAGCAGTTTCTGAGAATGCTTCTGTCTTGATTTTATATGAAGATATTCCCGTTTCCAACGAAACCTTCAAAGCTATTCAAATATCCACTTGCAGATTCTACAAAAAGAGTGGTTCCAAAATGTTGTATCAAAAGAAAGGTTCAACTCTGATAGTTGAGGACACACATCGCAAATAAGTTTCTGAGAATGCTTCTGTCTAGTTTTTATTTGAAGATATTTCCTTTCTCACCATAGGCCTGAAAGCGTTTGAAATGTCCGTTTGCAGATACTACAGAAAGAGTGTTTCAAACATGCTCTATGAAAGGGAATGTTCAGTTCTGTGACGTGAATGCAAACATCACAAAGAAGTTCCTGAGAATGCTTCTCTCTAGATTTTATATGTAATCCCGTTTCCAACGAAATCCTCAAAGCTATCCAAATATCCACTTTCAGATTCCACAAAAAGAGTGTTTCAAAACTGCTCTGTAAAAAGAAAGGTTCATCTCTGTTAGTTGAATACACACATCAAAAACAAGTTTCTGAGAATGCGTCTGTCTAGTTTTTATGGGAAGATATTTCCTTTTTAACATAGGCCTCAAAGCGCTCCAAACGTCCACTTCCAGGTAGTGCAGAAAGAGTGTCTCAAACCTGGTATATAACAGGGAACATTCTACTCTGTGACTTGAATGAAAACATCACAAAGCAGTTTCTGAGAATGCTTCTGTCTTGATTTTATATGAAGATATTCCCGTTTCCAACGAAACCTTCAAAGCTATCCAAATATCCACTTGCAGATTCTACAAAAAGAGTGTTTCCAAAATGTTGTATCAAAAGAAAGGTTCAACTCTGTTAGTTGAGGACACACATCGCAAATAAGTTTCTGAGAATGCTTCTGTCTAGTTTTTATTTGAAGATATTTCCTTTCTCACCACAGGCCTGAAAGCGCTTAAAACGTCCGCTTGCAGATACTACAGAAAGAGTGTTTCAAACCTGCTCTATGAAAGGGAATGTTCAGTTCTGTGACTTGAATGCAAACATCACAAAGAAGTTCCTGAGAATGCTTCTCTCTAGATTTTATATGTAATCCCGTTTCCAACGAAATCCTCAAAGCTATCCAAATATCCACTTTCAGATTCCACAAAAAGAGTGTTTCAAAACTGCTCTGTAAAAAGAAAGGTTCATCTCTGTTAGTTGAATACACACATCACAAACAAGTTTCTGAGAATGCTTCTGTCTAGTTTTTATGGGAAGATATTTCCTTTTTCAACATAGGCCTCAAAGCGCTCCAAATGTCCACTTCCAGGTAGTGCAGAAAGAGTGTTTCAAACCTGCTCTATAAAAGGGAATATTCAACTCTGTGACTTGAATGCAAACATCACAAAGCACTTTCTGCGAATGCTTCCGTCAAGATTTTATATGAAGATATTCCCGTTTCCAACGAAACCTTCAAAGCTATCCGAATATCCACCTGCAGATTCTACAAAAAGAGTGTTTCCAAAATGCCGTATCAAAACAAAGGTTCAACTCTGTTAGTTGAGAACACACATGGCAAATAAGTTTCTGAGAATGCTTCTGTCTAGTTTTTACTTGAAGATATTTCCTTTCTCACCATAGGCCTGAAAGCGCTTGAAATGTCCGTTTGCAGATACTACAGAAAGAGTGTTTCAAACCTGCTCTATGAAAGGGAATGTTCAGTTCTGTGACTTGAATGCAAACATCACAAAGAAGTTCCTGAGAATGCTTCTCTCTAGGTTTTATATGTAATCCCGTTTCCAACGAAATCCTCAAAGCTATCCAAATATCCACTTTCAGATTCCACAAAAAGAGTGTTTCAAAACTGCTCTGTAAAAAGAAAGGTTCATCTCTGTTAGTTGAATACACACATCACAAACAAGTTTCTGAGAATGCTTCTGTCTAGTTTTTATGGGAAGATATTTCCTTTTTCAACATAGGCCTCAAAGCGCTCCAAATGTCCACTTCCAGGTAGTGCAGAAAGAGTGTTTCAAACCTACTCTATAAAAGGGAATATTCAACTGTGTGACTTGAATGCAAACATCACAAAGCACTTTCTGAGAATGCTGCTGTCTTGATTTTATATGAAGATATTCCCGTTTCCAACGAAACCTTCTAAGCTATCCAAATATCCACTTGGAGATTCTACAAAAAGAGTGTTTCCAAAATGTTGTATCAAAAGAAAGGTTCAACTCTGTTAGTTGAGGACACACATCGCAAATAAGTTTCTGAGAATGCTTCTGTCTAGTTTTTATTTGAAGATATTTCCTTTCTCACCACAGGCCTGAAAGCGCTTAAAACGTCCGCTTGCAGATACTACAGAAAGAGTGTTTCAAACCTGCTCTATAAAAGGGAATGTTCAGTTCTGTGACTTGAATGCAAACATCACAAAGAAGTTCCTGAGAATGCTTCTCCCTAGATTTTATATGTAATCCCGTTTCCAACGAAATCCGCAAATCTATCCAAATATCCACTTTCAGATTCCACAAAAAGAGTGTTTCAAAACTGCTCTGTAAAAAGAAAGGTTCATCTCTGTTGGTTGAATACACACATCACAAACAAGTTTCTGAGAATGCTTCTGTCTAGTTTTTATGGGAAGATATTTCCTTTTTCAACATAGGCCTCAAAGCGCTCCAAATGTCCACTTCCAGGTAGTGCAGAAAGAGTGTTTCAAACCTGCTCTATAAAAGGGAATATTCAACTCTGTGACTTGAATGCAAACATCACAAAGCACTTTCTGAGAATGCTTCCGTCTAGATTTTATATGAAGATATTCCCGTTTCCAACGAAACCTTCAAAGCTATCCGAATATCCACCTGCAGATTCTACAAAAAGAGTGTTTCCAAAATGCCGTATCAAAACAAAGGTTCAACTCTGTTAGTTGAGAACACACATGGCAAATAAGTTTCTGAGAATGCTTCTGTCTAGTTTTTACTTGAAGATATTTCCTTTCTCACCATAGGCCTGAAAGCGCTTGAAACGTCAGCTTGCAGATACCACAGAAAGAGTGTTTCAAACCTGCTCTATGAAAGGGAATGTTCAGTTCTGTGACTTGAATGCAAACATCACAAAGAAGTTCCTGAGAATGCTTCTCTCTAGGTTTTATATGTAATCCCGTTTCCAACGAAATCCTCAAAGCTATCCAAATATCCACTTTCAGATTCCACAAAAAGAGTGTTTCAAAACTGCTCTGTAAAAAGAAAGGTTCATCTCTGTTAGTTGAATACACACATCACAAACAAGTTTCTGAGAATGCTTCTGTCTAGTTTTTATGGGAAGATATTTCCTTTTTCATCATAGGCCTCAAAGCGCTGCAAATGTCCACTTCCAAATATTACAAAAAGAGTGTTTCAAACCTGCTGTATGAAGGGAAGTGTTCAACTCTATGAGTTGAATGCAAACATCACAGAGAAGTTTCTGAGAATGCTTCTGTCTTGATTTTATATGAAGATATTCCCGTTTCCAACGAAACCTTCAAAGCTATCCAAATATCCACTTGCAGATTCTACAAAAAGAGTGTTTCCAAAATGTTGTATCAAAACAAAGGTTCAACTCTGTTAGTTGAGGACACACATCGCAAATAAGTTTCTGAGAATGCTTCTGTCTAGTTTTTACTTGAAGATATTTCCTTTCTCACCATAGGCCTGAAAGCGCTTGAAACGTCAGCTTGCAGATACTACAGAAAGAGTGTTTCAAACCTGCTCTATGAAAGGGAATGTTCAGTTCTGTGACTTGAATGCAAACATCACAAAGAAGTTCCTGAGAATGCTTCTCCCTAGATTTTATATGTAATCCCGTTTCCAACGAAATCCGCAAAGCTATCCAAATATCCACTTTCAGATTCCACAAAAAGAGTGTTTCAAAACTGCTCTGTAAAAAGAAAGGTTCATCTCTGTTAGTTGAATACACACATCACAAACAAGTTTCTGAGAATGCTTCTGTCTAGTTTTTATGGGAAGATATTTCCTTTTTCAACATAGGCCTCAAAGCGCTCCAAATGTCCACTTCCAGGTAGTGCACAGAGTGTTTCAAACCTGCTCTATGAAAGGAAGTGTTCAACTGTATGGGTTGAATGCAAGCATCACAGAGAAGTTTCTGAGAATGCTTCCGTCTAGATTTTATATGAAGATATTCCCGTTTCCAACGAAACCTTCAAAGCTATCCGAATATCCACCTGCAGATTCTACAAAAAGAGTGTTTCCAAAATGCCGTATCAAAACAAAGGTTCAACTCTGTTAGTTGAGAACACACATGGCAAATAAGTTTCTGAGAATGCTTCTGTCTAGTTTTTACTTGAAGATATTTCCTTTCTCACCATAGGCCTGAAAGCGCTTGAAACGTCAGCTTGCAGATACTACAGAAAGAGTGTTTCAAACCTGCTCTATGAAAGGGAATGTTCAGTCCTGTGACTTGAAGGCAAACATCACAAAGAAGTTCCTGAGAATGCTTCTCCCTAGATTTTATATGTAATCCCGTTTCCAACGAAATCCGCAAAGCTATCCAAATATCCACTTTCAGATTCCACAAAAAGAGTGTTTCAAAACTGCTCTGTAAAAAGAAAGGTTCATCTCTGTTAGTTGAATACACACATCACAAACAAGTTTCTGAGAATGCTTCTGTCTAGTTTTTATGGGAAGATATTTCCTTTTTCAACATAGGCCTCAAAGCGCTCCAAACGTCCACTTCCAGGTAGTGCAGAAAGAGTGTCTCAAACCTGGTATATAACAGGGAACATTCTACTCTGTGACTTGAATGAAAACATCACAAAGCAGTTTCTGAGAATGCTTCCGTCTAGATTTTATATGAAGATATTCCCGTTTCCAACGAAACCTTCAAAGCTATCCGAATATCCACCTGCAGATTCTACAAAAAGAGTGTTTCCAAAATGCCGTATCAAAACAAAGGTTCAACTCTGTTAGTTGAGGACACACATCGCAAATAAGTTTCTGAGAATGCTTCTGTCTAGTTTTTACTTGAAGATATTTCCTTTCTCACCATAGGCCTGAAAGCGCTTGAAACGTCAGCTTGCAGATACTACAGAAAGAGTGTTTCAAACCTGCTCTATGAAAGGGAATGTTCAGTCCTGTGACTTGAAGGCAAACATCACAAAGAAGTTCCTGAGAATGCTTCTCTCTAGGTTTTATATGTAATCCCGTTTCCAACGAAATCCTCAAAGCTATCCAAATATCCACTTTCAGATTCCACAAAAAGAGTGTTTCAAAACTGCTCTGTAAAAAGAAAGGTTCATCTCTGTTAGTTGAATACACACATCACAAACAAGTTTCTGAGAATGCTTCTGTCTAGTTTTTATGGGAAGATATTACCTTTTTCATCATAGGCCTCAAAGCGCTGCAAATGTCCACTTCCAAATATTACAAAAAGAGTGTTTCAAACCTGCTGTATGAAGGGAAGTGTTCAACTCTATGAGTTGAATGCAAACATCACAGAGAAGTTTCTGAGAATGCTTCCGTCTAGATTTTATATGAAGATATTCCCGTTTCCAACGAAACCTTCAAAGCTATCCGAATATCCACCTGCAGATTCTACAAAAAGAGTGTTTCCAAAATGCCGTATCAAAACAAAGGTTCAACTCTGTTAGTTGAGAACACACATGGCAAATAAGTTTCTGAGAATGCTTCTGTCTAGTTTTTACTTGAAGATATTTCCTTTCTCACCATAGGCCTGAAAGCGCTTGAAACGTCAGCTTGCAGATACTACAGAAAGACTGTTTCAAACCTGCTCTATGAAAGGGAATGTTCAGTTCTGTGACTTGAATGCAAACATCACAAAGAAGTTCCTGAGAATGCTTCTCTCTAGATTTTATATGTAATCCCGTTTCCAACGAAATCCTCAAAGCTATCCAAATATCCACTTTCAGATTCCACAAAAAGAGTGTTTCAAAACTGCTCTGTAAAAAGAAAGGTTCATCTCTGTTAGTTGAATACACACATCACAAACAAGTTTCTGAGAATGCTTCTGTCTAGTTTTTATGGGAAGATATTTCCTTTTTCATCATAGGCCTCAAAGCGCTGCAAATGTCCACTTCCAGGTAGTGCAGAAAGAGTGTCTCAAACCTGGTATATAACAGGGAACATTCTACTCTGTGACTTGAATGAAAACATCACAAAGCAGTTTCTGAGAATGCTTCCGTCTAGATTTTATATGAAGATATTCCCGTTTCCAACGAAACCTTCAAAGCTATCCGAATATCCACCTGCAGATTCTACAAAAAGAGTGTTTCCAAAATGCCATATCAAAACAAAGGTTCTACCCTGTTAGTTGAGAACACACATCGCAAATAAGTTTCTGAGAATGCTTCTGTCTAGTTTTTACTTGAAGATATTTCCTTTCTCACCATAGGCCTGAAAGCGCTTGAAACGTCAGCTTGCAGATACTACAGAAAGAGTGTTTCAAACCTGCTCTATGAAAGGGAATGTTCAGTTCTGTGACTTGAATGCAAACATCACAAAGAAGTTCCTGAGAATGCTTCTCCCTAGATTTTATATGTAATCCCGTTTCCAACGAAATCCGCAAAGCTATCCAAATATCCACTTTCAGATTCCACAAAAAGAGTGTTTCAAAACTGCTCTGTAAAAAGAAAGGTTCATCTCTGTTAGTTGAATACACACATCACAAACAAGTTTCTGAGAATGCTTCTGTCTAGTTTTTATGGGAAGATATTTCCTTTTTCATCATAGGCCTCAAAGCGCTGCAAATGTCCACTTCCAAATATTACAAAAAGAGTGTTTCAAACCTGCTGTATGAAGGGAAGTGTTCAACTCTATGAGTTGAATGCAAACATCACAGAGAAGTTTCTGAGAATGCTTCTGTCTTGATTTTATATGAAGATATTCCCGTTTCCAACGAAACCTTCAAAGCTATTCAAATATCCACTTGCAGATTCTACAAAAAGAGTGTTTCCAAAATGTTGTATCAATAGAAAGGTTCAACTCTGTTAGTTGAGGACACACATCGCAAATAAGTTTCTGAGAATGCTTCTGTCTAGTTTTTATTTGAAGATATTTCCTTTCTCACCATAGGCCTGAAAGCGTTTGAAATGTCCGTTTGCAGATACTACAGAAAGAGTGTTTCAAACATGCTCTATGAAAGGGAATGTTCAGTTCTGTGACTTGAATGCAAACATCACAAAGAAGTTCCTGAGAATGCTTCTCTCTAGATTTTATATGTAATCCCGTTTCCAACGAAATCCTCAAAGCTATCCAAATATCCACTTTCAGATTCCACAAAAAGAGTGTTTCAAAACTGCTCTGTAAAAAGAAAGGTTCATCTCTGTTAGTTGAATACACACATCACAAACAAGTTTCTGAGAATGCTTCTGTCTAGTTTTTATGGGAAGATATTTCCTTTTTCAACATAGGCCTCAAAGCGCTCCAAACGTCCACTTCCGGGTAGTGCAGAAAGAGTGTCTCAAACCTGGTATATAACAGGGAACATTCTACTCTGTGACTTGAATGAAAACATCACAAAGCAGTTTCTGAGAATGCTTCCGTCTAGATTTTATATGAAGATATTCCCGTTTCCAACGAAACCTTCAAAGCTATCCGAATATCCACCTGCAGATTCTTCAAAAAGAGTGTTTCCAAAATGCCATATCAAAACAAAGGTTCAACTCTGTTAGTTGAGAACACACATCGCAAATAAGTTTCTGAGAATGCTTCTGTCTAGTTTTTACTTGAAGATATTTCCTTTGTCACCATAGGCCTGAAAGCGCTTGAAACGTCAGCTTGCAGATACTACAGAAAGAGTGTTTCAAACCTGCTCTATGAAAGGGAATGTTCAGTCCTGTGACTTGAAGGCAAACATCACAAAGAAGTTCCTGAGAATGCTTCTCTCTAGATTTTATATGTAATCCCGTTTCCAACGAAATCCTCAAAGCTATCCAAATATCCACTTTCAGATTCCACAAAAAGAGTGTTTCAAAACTGCTCTGTAAAAAGAAAGGTTCATCTCTGTTAGTTGAATACACACATCACAAACAAGTTTCTGAGAATGCTTCTGTCTAGTTTTTATGGGAAGATATTACCTTTTTCGTCATAGGCCTCAAAGCGCTGCAAATGTCCACTTCCAAATATTACAAAAAGAGTGTTTCAAACCTGCTGTATGAAGGGAAGTGTTCAACTCTATGAGTTGAATGCAAACATCACAGAGAAGTTTCGGAGAATGCTTCTGTCTTGATTTTATATGAAGATATTCCCGTTTCCAACGAAACCTTCAAAGCGATCCAAATATCCACTTGCAGATTCTACAAAAAGAGTGTTTCCAAAATGTTGTATCAAAAGAAAGGTTCAACTCTGTTAGTTGAGGACACACATCGCAAATAAGTTTCTGAGAATGCTTCTGTCTAGTTTTTATTTGAAGATATTTCCTTTCTCACCACAGGCCTGAAAGCGCTTAAAACGTCCGCTTGCAGATACTACAGAAAGAGTGTTTCAAACCTGCTCTATGAAAGGGAATGTTCAGTTCTGTGACTTGAATGCAAACATCACAAAGAAGTTCCTGAGAATGCTTCTCCCTAGATTTTATATGTAATCCCGTTTCCAACGAAATCCGCAAAGCTATCCAAATATCCACTTTCAGATTCCACAAAAAGAGTGTTTCAAAACTGCTCTGTAAAAAGAAAGGTTCATCTCTGTTAGTTGAATACACACATCACAAACAAGTTTCTGAGAATGCTTCTGTCTAGTTTTTATGGGAAGATATTACCTTTTTCATCATAGGCATCAAAGCGCTGCAAATGTCCACTTCCAAATATTACAAAAAGAGTGTTTCAAACCTGCTGTATGAAGGGAAGTGTTCAACTCTATGAGTTGAATGCAAACATCACAGAGAAGTTTCTGAGAATGCTTCCGTCTACATTTTATATGAAGATATTCCCGTTTCCAAGGAAATCTTCCTAGCTATCTAAATATCAACTTGCAGATTCTACTAAAGGAATGTTTCCAAAATGCTGTATCCACACAAAGGTTCAACTCTGTTAATTGAGGACATACAGCACAAAGAAGTTTCTGAGAATGCTTCTGTCTAGTTTTTATTTGAAGATATTTCCTTTTTCACTACAGGCCTGAAAGCGCTTGAAACGTCCGCTTGCAGATACTACAGAAAGAGTGTTTCAAACCTGCTCTATGAAAGGGAATGTTCAGTTCTGTGACTTGAATGCAAACATCACAAAGAAGTTCCTGAGAATGCTTCTCCCTAGATTTTATATGTAATCCCGTTTCCAACGAAATGCTCAAAGCTATCCAAATATCCACTTTCAGATTCCACAAAAAGAGTGTTTCAAAACTGCTCTGTAAAAAGAAAGGTTCATCTCTGTTAGTTGAATACACACATCACAAACAAGTTTCTGAGAATGCTTCTGTCTAGTTTTTATGGGAAGATATTTCCTTTTTCAACATACGCCTCAAAGCGCTCCAAATGTCCACTTCCAGGTAGTGCACAGAGTGTTTCAAACCTGCTCTATGAAAGGAAGTATTCAACTCTATGAGTTGAATGCAAGCATCACAGAGAAGTTTCTGAGAATGCTTCCGTCTAGATTTTATGTGAAGATATTCCCGTTTCCAAGGAAATCTTCCTAGCTATCTAAATATCAACTTGCAGATTCTACTAAAGGAGTGTTTCCAAAATGCTGTATCGAAACAAAGGTTCAACTCTGTTAATTGAGGACATACAGCACAAAGAAGTTTCTGAGAATGCTTCTGTCTAGTTTTTATTTGAAGATATTTCCTTTCTCACCATAGGCCTGAAAGCGTTTGAAATGTCCGTTTGCAGATACTACAGAAAGAGTGTTTCAAACATGCTCTATGAAAGGGAATGTTCAGTTCTGTGACTTGAATGCAAACATCACAAAGAAGTTCCTGAGAATGCTTCTCTCTAGGTTTTATATGTAATCCCGTTTCCAACGAAATCCTCAAAGCTATCCAAATATCCACTTTCAGATTCCACAAAAAGAGTGTTTCAAAACTGCTCTGTAATAAGAAAGGTTCATCCCTGTTAGTTGAATACACACATCACAAACAAGTTTCTGAGAATGCTTCTGTCTGGTTTTTAGGAGAAGATATTTCCTTTTTCAACATAGGCCTCAAAGCGCTGCAAATGTCCACTTCCAAATATTAGAAAAAGAGTGTTTCAAACCTGCTGTATGAAGGGAAGTGTTCAACTCTATGAGTTGAATGCAAACATCACAGAGAAGTTTCTGAGAATGCTTCTGTCTTGATTTCATATGAAGATATTCCCGTTTCCAACGAAACCTTCAAAGCTATCCAAATATCCACTTGCAGATTCTACAAAAAGAGTGTTTCCAAAATGTTGTATCAAAAGAAATGTTCAACTCTGTTAGTTGAGGACACACATCGCAAATAAGTTTCTGAGAATGCTTCTGTCTAGTTTTTATTTGAAGATATTTCCTTTCTCACCACAGGCCTGAAAGCGCTTAAAACGTCCGCTTGCAGATACTACAGAAAGAGTGTTTCAAACCTGCTCTATGAAAGGGAATGTTCAGTTCTGTGACTTGAATGCAAACATCACAAAGAAGTTCCTGAGAATGCTTCTCTCTAGATTTTATATTTAATCCCGTTTCCAACGAAATCCTCAAAGCTATCCAAATATCGACTTTCAGATTCCACAAAAAGAGTGTTTCAAAACTGCTCTGTAAAAAGAAAGGTTCATCTCTGTTAGTTGAATACACACATCACAAACAAGTTTCTGAGAATGCTTCTGTCTAGTTTTTATGGGAAGATATTTCCTTTTTCAACATAGGCCTCAAAGCGCTCCAAACGTCCACTTCCAGGTAGTGCAGAAAGAGTGTCTCAAACCTGGTATATAACAGGCAACATTCTACTCTGTGACTTGAATGAAAACATCACAAAGCAGTTTCTGAGAATGCTTCCGTCTAGATTTTATATGAAGATATTCCCGTTTCCAACGAAACCTTCAAAGCTATCCGAATATCCACCTGCAGATTCTACAAAAAGAGTGTTTCCAAAATGCCGTATCAAAACAAAGGTTCAACTCTGTTAGTTGAGAACACACATGGCAAATAAGTTTCTGAGAATGCTTCTGTCTAGTTTTTACTTGAAGATATTTCCTTTCTCACCATAGGCCTGAAAACGCATGAAACGTCAGCTTGCAGATACTACAGAAAGAGTGTTTCAAACCTGCTCTATGAAAGGGAATGTTCAGTTCTGTGACTTGAATGCAAACATCACAAAGAAGTTCCTGAGAATGCTTCTCTCTAGGTTTTATATGTAATCCCGTTTCCAACGAAATCCTCAAAGCTATCCAAATATCCACTTTCAGATTCCACAAAAAGAGTGTTTCAAAACTGCTCTGTAAAAAGAAAGGTTCATCTCTGTTAGTTGAATACACACATCACAAACAAGTTTCTGAGAATGCTTCCTGTCTAGTTTTTATGGGAAGATATTTCCTTTTTCATCATAGGCCTCAAAGCGCTGCAAATGTCCACTTCCAAATATTACAAAAAGAGTGTTTCAAACCTGCTGTATGAAGGGAAGTGTTCAACTCTATGAGTTGAATGCAAACATCACAGAGAAGTTTCTGAGAATGCTTTCTGTCTTGATTTCATATGAAGATATTCCCGTTTCCAACGAAACCTTCAAAGCTATCCAAATATCCACTTGCAGATTCTACAAAAAGAGTGTTTCCAAAATGTTGTATCAAAAGAAAGGTTCAACTCTGTTAGTTGAGGACACACATCGCAAATAAGTTTCTGAGAATGCTTCTGTCTAGTTTTTATTTGAAGATATTTCCTTTCTCACCACAGGCCTGAAAGCGCTTAAAACGTCCGCTTGCAGATACTACAGAAAGAGTGTTTCAAACATGCTCTATGAAAGGGAATGTTCAGTTCTGTGACTTGAATGCAAACATCACAAAGAAGTTCCTGAGAATGCTTCTCTCTAGATTTTATATGTAATCCCGTTTCCAACGAAATCCTCAAAGCTATCCAAATATCCACTTTCAGATTCCACAAAAAGAGTGTTTCAAAACTGCTCTGTAAAAAGAAAGGTTCATCTCTGTTAGTTGAATACACACATCACAAACAAGTTTCTGAGAATGCTTCTGTCTAGTTTTTATGGGAAGATATTACCTTTTTCATCATAGGCCACAAAGCGCTGCAAAAGTCCACTTCCAAATATTACAAAAAGAGTGTTTCAAACCTGCTGTATGAAGGGAAGTGTTCAACTCTATGAGTTGAATGCAAACATCACAGAGAAGTTTCTGAGAATGCTTCCGTCTTGATTTTATATGAAGATATTCCCGTTTCCAACGAAACCTTCAAAGCTATTCAAATATCCACTTGCAGATTCTACAAAAAGAGTGTTTCCAAAATGTTGTATCAAAAGAAAGGTTCAACTCTGTTAGTTGAGGACACACATCGCAAATAAGTTTCTGAGTAATGCTTCTGTCTAGTTTTTACTTGAAGATATTTCCTTTCACACCATAGGCCTGAAAGCGCTTGAAACGTCCGCTTGCAGAAACTACAGAAAGAGTGTTTCAAACCTGCTCTATGAAAGGGAATGTTCAGTTCTGTGACTTGAATGTAAACATCACAAAGAAGTTCCTGAGAATGCTTCTCTCTAGATTTTATATGTAATCCCGTTTCCAACGAAATCCTCAAAGCTATCCAAATATCCACTTTCAGATTCCACAAAAAGAGTGTTTCAAAACTGCTCTGTAAAAAGAAAGGTTCATCTCTGTTAGTTGAATACACACATCACAAACAAGTTTCTGAGAATGCTTCTGTCTAGTTTTTATGGGAAGATATTTCCTTTTTCATCATAGGCCTCAAAGCGCTGCAAATGTCCACTTCCAAATATTACAAAAAGAGTGTTTCAAACCTGCTGTATGAAGGGAAGTGTTCAACTCTATGAGTTGAATGCAAACATCACAGAGAAGTTTCTGAGAATGCTTCTGTCTTGATTTTATATGAAGATATTCCCGTTTCCAACGAAACCTTCAAAGCTATTCAAATATCCACTTGCAGATTCTACAAAAAGAGTGTTTCCAAAATGTTGTATCAAAAGAAAGGTTCAACTCTGTTAGTTGAGGACACACATCGCAAATAAGTTTCTGAGAATGCTTCTGTCTAGTTTTTACTTGAAGATATTTCCTTTCTCACCATAGGCCTGAAAGCGTTTGAAACGTCCGTTTGCAGATACTACAGAAAGAGTGTTTCAAACATGCTCTATGAAATGGAATGTTCAGTTCTGTGACGTGAATGCAAACATCACAAAGAAGTTCCTGAGAATGCTTCTCTCTAGGTTTTATATGTAATCCCGTTTCCAACGAAATCCTCATAGCTATCCAAATATCCACTTTCAGATTCCACAAAAAGAGTGTTTCAAAACTGCTCTGTAAAAAGAAAGGTTCATCTCTGTTAGTTGAATACACACATCACAAACAAGTTTCTGAGAATGCTTCTGTCTAGTTTTTATGGGAAGATATTTCCTTTTTCAACATAGGCCTCAAAGCGCTCCAAACGTCCACTTCCAGGTAGTGCAGAAAGAGTGTCTCAAACCTGGTATATAACAGGGAACATTCTACTCTGTGACTTGAATGAAAACATCACAAAGCAGTTTCTGAGAATGCTTCTGTCTAGTTTTTATTTGAAGATATTCCCGTTTCCAACGAAACCTTCAAAGCTATTCAAATATCCACTTGCAGATTCTACAAAAAGAGTGTTTCCAAAATGTTGTATCAAAAGAAAGGTTCAACTCTGTTAGTTGAGGACACACATCGCAAATAAGTTTCTGAGAATGCTTCTGTCTAGTTTTTACTTGAAGATATTTCCTTTCTCACCATAGGCCTGAAAGCGCTTGAAACGTCAGCTTGCAGATACTACAGAAAGAGTGTTTCAAACCTGCTCTATGAAAGGGAATGTTCAGTCCTGTGACTTCAAGGCAAACATCACAAAGAAGTTCCTGAGAATGCTTCTCTCTAGGTTTTATATGTAATCCCGTTTCCAACGAAATCCTCAAAGCTATCCAAATATCCACTTTCAGATTCCACAAAAAGAGTGTTTCAAAACTGCTCTGTAAAAAGAAAGGTTCATCTCTGTTAGTTGAATACACACATCACAAACAAGTTTCTGAGAATGCTTCTGTCTAGTTTTTATGGGAAGATATTTCCTTTTTCATCATAGGCCTCAAAGCGCTGCAAATGTCCACTTCCAGGTAGTGCAGAAAGAGTGTCTCAAACCTGGTATATAACAGGGAACATTCTACTCTGTGACTTGAATGAAAACATCACAAAGTAGTTTCTGAGAATGCTTCCGTCTAGATTTTATATGAAGATATTCCCGTTTCCAACGAAACCTTCAAAGCTATCCGAATATCCACCTGCAGATTCTACAAAAAGAGTGTTTCCAAAATGCCATATCAAAACAAAGGTTCAACTCTGTTAGTTGAGAACACACATCGCAAATAAGTTTCTGAGAATGCTTCTGTCTAGTTTTTACTTGAAGATATTTCCTTTCTCACCATAGGCCTGAAAGCGCTTGAAACGTCAGCTTGCAGATACTACAGAAAGAGTGTTTCAAACCTGCTCTATGAAAGGGAATGTTCAGTTCTGTGACTTGAATGCAAACATCACAAAGAAGTTCCTGAGAATGCTTCTCTCTAGATTTTATATGTAATCCCGTTTCCAACGAAATCCTCAAAGCTATCCAAATATCCACTTTCAGATTCCACAAAAAGAGTGTTTCAAAACTGCTCTGTAAAAAGAAAGGTTCATCTCTGTTAGTTGAATACACACATCACAAACAAGTTTCTGAGAATGCTTCTGTCTAGTTTTTATGGGAAGATATTTCCTTTTTCAACATAGGCCTCAAAGCGCTCCAAATGTCCACTTCCAGGTAGTGCAGAAAGAGTGTTTCAAACCTACTCTATAAAAGGGAATATTCAACTCTGTGACTTGAATGCAAACATCACAAAGCACTTTCTGAGAATGCTTCCGTCTAGATTTTATATGAAGATATTCCCGTTTCCAACGAAACCTTCAAAGCTATCCGAATATCCACCTGCAGATTCTACAAAAAGAGTGTTTCCAAAATGCCGTATCAAAACAAAGGTTCAACTCTGTTAGTTGAGAACACACATGGCAAATAAGTTTCTGAGAATGCTTCTGTCTAGTTTTTACTTGAAGATATTTCCTTTCTCACCATAGGCCTGAAAGCGCTTGAAACGTCAGCTTGCAGATACTACAGAAAGAGTGTTTCAAACCTGCTCTATGAAAGGGAATGTTCAGTCCTGTGACTTGAAGGCAAACATCACAAAGAAGTTCCTGAGAATGCTTCTCTCTAGGTTTTATATGTAATCCCGTTTCCAACGAAATCCTCAAAGCTATCCAAATATCCACTTTCAGATTCCACAAAAAGAGTGTTTCAAAACTGCTCTGTAAAAAGAAAGGTTCATCTCTGTTAGTTGAATACACACATCACAAACAAGTTTCTGAGAATGCTTCTGTCTAGTTTCTATGGGAAGATATTTCCTTTTTCAACATAGGCCTCAAAGCGCTCCAAATGTCCACTTCCAGGTAGTGCACAGAGTGTTTCAAACCTGCTCTATAAAAGGGAACATTCTACTCTGTGACTTGAATGAAGACATCACAAAGCAGTTTCTGAGAATGCTTCCGTCTAGATTTTAAATGAAGATATTCCCTTTTCCAAGGAAATCTTATTAGCTATCTAAATATCAACTTGCAGATTCTACTAAAGGAATGTTTCCAAAATGCTGTATCCACACAAAGGTTCAACTCTGTTAATTGAGGACATACAGCACAAAGAAGTTCCTGAGAATGCTTCTGTCTAGATTTTATATGAAGATACCCCGTTTCCAAAGAAATCCTCAAAGGTATCCAAATATCTAGTTCCAGATTCTACAAAAAGACTGTTTCAAAACGGCTCTGTCAAAAGTAAAGTTCAACTCTGTTACTTGAGTACACACATCACAAGGAAGTTTCTGAGAATGCTTCTCTCTAGATTTTATATGTAATCCCGTTTCCAACGAAATCCTCAAAGCTATCCAAATATCCACTTTCAGATTCCACAAAAAGAGTGTTTCAAAACTGCTCTGTAAAAAGAAAGGTTCATCTCTGTTAGTTGAATACACACATCACAAACAAGTTTCTGAGAATGCTTCTGTCTAGTTTTTATGGGAAGATATTTCCTTTTTCAACATAGGCCTCAAAGCGCTCCAAATGTCCACTTCCAGGTAGTGCAGAAAGAGTGTTTCAAACCTGCTCTATAAAAGGGAATATTCAACTCTGTGACTTGAATGCAAACATCACAAAGCACTTTCTGAGAATGCTTCCGTCTAGATTTTATAGGAAGATATTCCCGTTTCCAACGAAACCTTCAAAGCTATCCGAATATCCACCTGCAGATTCTACAAAAAGAGTGTTTCCAAAATGCCGTATCAAAACAAAGGTTCAACTCTGTTAGTTGAGAACACACATGGCAAATAAGTTTCTGAGAATGCTTCTGTCTAGTTTTTACTTGAAGATATTTCCTTTCTCACCATAGGCCTGAAAGCGCTTGAAACGTCAGCTTGCAGATATTACAGAAAGAGTGTTTCAAACCTGCTCTATGAAAGGGAATGTTCAGTCCTGTGACTTGAAGGCAAACATCACAAAGAAGTTCCTGAGAATGCTTCTCTCTAGGTTTTATATGTAATCCCGTTTCCAACGAAATCCTCAAAGCTATCCAAATATCCACTTTCAGATTCCACAAAAAGAGTGTTTCAAAACTGCTCTGTAAAAAGAAAGGTTCATCTCTGTTAGTTGAATACACACATCACAAACAAGTTTCTGAGAATGCTTCTGTCTAGTTTTTATGGGAAGATATTTCCTTTTTCAACATAGGCCTCAAAGCGCTCCAAATGTCCACTTCCAGGTAGTGCAGAAAGAGTGTTTCAAACCTGCTCTATAAAAGGGAATATTCAACTCTGTGACTTGAATGCAAACATCACAAAGCACTTTCTGAGAATGCTTTCCGTCTAGATTTTATATGAAGATATTCCCGTTTCCAACGAAACCTTCAAAGCTATCCGTATATCCACCTGCAGATTCTACAAAAAGAGTGTTTCCAAAATGCCGTATCAAAACAAAGGTTCAACTCTGTTAGTTGAGAACACACATGGCAAATAAGTTTCTGAGAATGCTTCTGTCTAGTGTTTACTTGAAGATATTCCCTTTCTCACCATAGGCCTGAAAGCGCTTGAAACGTCCGCTTGCAGATACTACAGAAAGAGTGTTTCAAACATGCTCTATGAAAGGGAATGTTCAGTTCTGTGACTTGAATGCAAACATCACAAAGAAGTTCCTGAGAATGCTTCTCTCTAGATTTTATATGTAATCCCGTTTCCAACGAAATCCTCAAAGCTATCCAAATATCCACTTTCAGATTCCACAAAAAGAGTGTTTCAAAACTGCTCTGTAAAAAGAAAGGTTCATCTCTGTTAGTTGAATACACACATCACAAACAAGTTTCTGAGAATGCTTCTGTCTAGTTTTTATGGGAAGATATTTCCTTTTTCAACATAGGCCTCAAAGCGCTCCAAATGTCCACTTCCAGGTAGTGCAGAAAGAGTGTTTCAAACCTGCTCTATAAAAGGGAATATTCAACTCTGTGACTTGAATGCAAACATCACAAAGCACTTTCTGAGAATGCTTCCGTCTAGATTTTATTTGAAGATATTCCCATTTCCAAGGAAATCTTCCTAGCTATCTAAATATCAACTTGTAGATTCTACTAAAGGAATGTTTCCAAAATGCTGTATCGAAACAAAGGTTCAACTCTGTTAATTGAGGACATACAGCACAAAGAAGTTTCTGAGAATGCTTCTGTCTAGTTTTTATTTGAAGATATTTCCTTTTTCACCACAGGCCTGAAAGCGCTTGAAACGTCCGCTTGCAGATACTACAGAAAGAGTGTTTCAAACCTGCTCTATGAAAGGGAATGTTCAGTTCTGTGACTTGAATGCAAACATCACAAAGAAGTTCCTGAGAATGCTTCTCTCTAGATTTTATATGTAATCCCGTTTCCAACGAAATCCTCAAAGCTATCCAAATATCCACTTTCAGATTCCACAAAAAGAGTGTTTCAAAACTGCTCTGTAAAAAGAAAGGTTCATCTCTGTTAGTTGAATACACACATCACAAACAAGTTTCTGAGAATGCTTCTGTCTAGTTTTTATGGGAAGATATTTCCTTTTTCATCATAGGCCTCAAAGCGCTCCAAATGTCCACTTCCAGATAGTGCAGAAAGAGTGTCTCAAACCTGGTATATAAAAGGGAACATTCTACTCTGTGACTTCAATGAAAACATCACAAAGCAGTTTCTGAGAATGCTTCCGTCTAGATTTTATATGAAGATATTCCCGTTTCCAACGAAACCTTCAAAGCTATCCGAATATCCACCTGCAGATTCTACAAAAAGAGTGTTTCCAAAATGCCATATCAAAACAAAGGTTCAACTCTGTTAGTTGAGAACACACATCGCAAATAAGTTTCTGAGAATGCTTCTGTCTAGTTTTTACTTGAAGATATTTCCTTTGTCACCATAGGCCTGAAAGCGCTTGAAACGTCAGCTTGCAGATACTACAGAAAGAGTGTTTCAAACCTGCTCTATGAAACGGAATGTTCAGTCCTGTGACTTGAAGGCAAACATCACAAAGAAGTTCCTGAGAATGCTTCTCTCTAGGTTTTATATGTAATCCCGTTTCCAACGAAATCCTCAAAGCTATCCAAATATCCACTTTCAGATTCCACAAAAAGAGTGTTTCAAAACTGCTCTGTAAAAAGAAAGGTTCATCTCTGTTAGTTGAATACACACATCACAAACAAGTTTCTGAGAATGCTTCTGTCTAGTTTTTATGGGAAGATATTTCCTTTTTCAACATAGGCCTCAAAGCGCTCCAAACGTCCACTTCCAGGTAGTGCAGAAAGAGTGTCTCAAACCTGGTATATAACAGGGAACATTCTACTCTGTGACTTGAATGAAAACATCACAAAGCAGTTTCTGAGAATGCTTCCGTCTAGATTTTATATGAAGATATTCCCGTTTCCAACGAAACCTTCAAAGCTATCCGAATATCCACCTGCAGATTCTACAAAAAGAGTGTTTCCAAAATGCCGTATCAAAACAAAGGTTCAACTCTGTTAGTTGAGAACACACATGGCAAATAAGTTTCTGAGAATGCTTCTGTCTAGTTTTTACTTGAAGATATTTCCTTTCTCACCATAGGCCTGAAAGCGCTTGAAACGTCAGCTTGCAGATACTACAGAAAGAGTGTTTCAAACCTGCTCTATGAAAGGGAATGTTCAGTCCTGTGACTTGAATGCAAACATCACAAAGAAGTTCCTGAGAATGCTTCTCTCTAGGTTTTATATGTAATCCCGTTTCCAACGAAATCCTCAAAGCTATCCAAATATCCACTTTCAGATTCCACAAAAAGAGTGTTTCAAAACTGCTCTGTAAAAAGAAAGGTTCATCTCTGTTAGTTGAATACACACATCACAAACAAGTTTCTGAGAATGCTTCTGTCTGGTTTTTAGGAGAAGATATTTCCTTTTTCAACATAGGCCTCAAAGCGCTGCAAATGTCCACTTCCAAATATTAGAAAAAGAGTGTTTCAAACCTGCTGTATGAAGGGAAGTGTTCAACTCTATGAGTTGAATGCAAACATCACAGAGAAGTTTCTGAGAATGCTTCTGTCTTGATTTCATATGAAGATATTCCCGTTTCCAACGAAACCTTCAAAGCTATCCAAATATCCACTTGCAGATTCTACAAAAAGAGTGTTTCCAAAATGTTGTATCAAAGGAAAGGTTCAACTCTGTTAGTTGAGGACACACATCGCAAATAAGTTTCTGAGAATGCTTCTGTCTAGTTTTTATTTGAAGATATTTCCTTTCTCACCACAGGCCTGAAAGCGCTTAAAACGTCCGCTTGCAGATACTACAGAAAGAGTGTTTCAAACCTGCTCTATGAAAGGGAATGTTCAGTTCTGTGACTTGAATGCAAACATCACAAAGAAGTTCCTGAGAATGCTTCTCTCTAGATTTTATATGTAATCCCGTTTCCAACGAAATCCTCAAAGCTATCCAAATATCCACTTTCAGATTCCACAAAAAGAGTGTTTCAAAACTGCTCTGTAAAAAGAAAGGTTCATCTCTGTTAGTTGAATACACACATCACAAACAAGTTTCTGAGAATGCTTCTGTCTAGTTTTTATGGGAAGATATTTCCTTTTTCAACATAGGCCTCAAAGCGCTCCAAATGTCCACTTCCAGGTAGTGCAGAAAGAGTGTTTCAAACCTGCTCTATAAAAGGGAATATTCAACTCTGTGACTTGAATGCAAACATCACAAAGCACTTTCTGAGAATGCTTCCGTCTAGATTTTATATGAAGATATTCCCGTTTCCAACGAAACCTTCAAAGCTATCCGAATATCCACCTGTAGATTCTACAAAAAGAGTGTTTCCAAAATGCCGTATCAAAACAAAGGTTCAACTCTGTTAGTTGAGAACACACATGGCAAATAAGTTTCTGAGAATGCTTCTGTCTAGTTTTCATTTGAAGATATTTCCTTTTTCACCACAGGCCTGAAAGCGCTTCAAACGTCCGCTTGCAGATACTACAGAAAGAGTGTTTCAAACATGCTCTATGAAAGGGAATGTTCAGTTCTGTGACTTTAATGCAAACATCACAAAGAAGTTCCTGAGAATGCTTCTCTCTAGATTTTATATGTAATCCCGTTTCCAACGAAATCCTCAAAGCTATCCAAATATCCACTTTCAGATTCCAGAAAAAGAGTGTTTCAAAACTGCTCTGTAAAAAGAAAGGTTCATCTCTGTTAGCTGAATACACACATCACAAACAAGTTTCTGAGAATGCTTCTGTCTAGTTTTTATGGGAAGATATTTCCTTTTTCATCATAGGCCTCAAAGCGCTGCAAATGTCCACTTCCAAATATTACAAAAAGAGTGTTTCAAACCTGCAGTATGAAGGGAAGTGTTCAACTCTGTGAGTTGAATGCAAACATCACAGAGAAGTTTCTGAGGATGCTTCTGTCTTTATTTTATATGAAGATATTCCCGTTTCCAACGAAACCTTCAAAGCTATCCAAATATCCACTTGCTGATTCTACAAAAAGAGTGTTTCCAAAATGCCGTATCAAAACAAAGGTTCAACTCTGTTAGTTGAGAACACACATGGCAAATAAGTTTCTGAGAATGCTTCTGTCTAGTTTTTACTTGAAGATATTTCCTTTCTCACCGTAGGCCTGAAAGCGCTTGAAACGTCAGCTTGCAGATACTACAGAAAGAGTGTTTCAGACCTGCTCTATGAAAGGGAATGTTCAGTCCTGTGACTTGAAGGCAAACATCACAAAGGAGTTCCTGAGAATGCTTCTCTCTAGGTTTTATATGTAATCCCGTTTCCAACGAAATCCTCCAAGCTATCCAAATATCCACTTTCAGATTCCACAAAAAGAGTGTTTCAAAACTGCTCTGTAAAAAGAAAGGTTCATCTCTGTTAGTTGAATACACACATCACAAACAAGTTTCTGAGAATGCTTCTGTCTAGTTTTTATGGGAAGATATTTCCTTTTTCAACATAGGCCTCAAAGCGCTCCAAACGTCCACTTCCAGGTAGTGCAGAAAGAGTGTCTCAAACCTGGTGTATAACAGGGAACATTCTACTCTGTGACTTGAATGAAAACATCACAAAGCAGTTTCTGAGAATGCTTCTGTCTTGATTTCATATGAAGATATTCCCGTTTCCAACGAAACCTTCAAAGCTATCCAAATATCCACTTGCAGATTCTACAAAAAGAGTGTTTCCAAAATGTTGTATCAAAAGAAAGGTTCAACTCTGTTAGTTGAGGACACACATCGCAAATAAGTTTCTGAGAATGCTTCTGTCTAGTTTTTATTTGAAGATATTTCCTTTCTCACCACAGGCCTGAAAGCGCTTAAAACGTCCGCTTGCAGATACTACAGAAAGAGTGTTTCAAACCTGATCTATGAAAGGGAATGTTCAGTTCTGTGACTTGAATGCAAACATCACAAAGAATTTCCTGAGAATGCTTCTCCCTAGATTTTATATGTAATCCCGTTTCCAACGAAATCCGCAAAGCTATCCAAATATCCACTTTCAGATTCCACAAAAAGAGTGTTTCAAAACTGCTCTGTAAAAAGAAAGGTTCATCTCTGTTAGTTGAATACACACATCACAAACAAGTTTCTGAGAATGCTTCTGTCTAGTTTTTATGGGAAGATATTTCCTTTTTCAACATAGGCCTCAAAGCGCTCCAAACGTCCACTTCCAGGTAGTGCAGAAAGAGTGTCTCAAACCTGGTATATAACAGGGAACATTCTACTCTGTGACTTGAATGCAAACATCACAAAGCAGTTTCTGAGAATGCTTCCGTCTAGATTTTAT
Source organism: Homo sapiens (assembly GCF_000001405.40). Classification (NCBI taxonomy): domain Eukaryota; kingdom Metazoa; phylum Chordata; class Mammalia; order Primates; family Hominidae; genus Homo; species Homo sapiens. Next base: position 44,884,171 of record NC_000009.12, on the reverse strand, counting down.
ATGAAGATATTCCCGTTTCCAACGAAACCTTCAAAGCTATCCGAATATCCACCTGCAGATTCTACAAAAAGAGTGTTTCCAAAATGCCGTATCAAAACAAAGGTTCAACTCTGTTAGTTGAGAACACACATGGCAAATAAGTTTCTGAGAATGCTTCTGTCTAGTTTTTACTTGAAGATATTTCCTTTCTCACCATAGGCCTGAAAGCGCTTGAAACGTCAGCTTGCAGATACTACAGAAAGAGTGTTTCAAACCTGCTCTATGAAAGGGAATGTTCAGTTCTGTGACTTGAATGCAAACATCACAAAGAAGTTCCTGAGAATGCTTCTCTCTAGGTTTTATATGTAATCCCGTTTCCAACGAAATCCTCAAAGCTATCCAAATATCCACTTTCAGATTCCACAAAAAGAGTGTTTCAAAACTGCTCTGTAAAAAGAAAGGTTCATCTCTGTTAGTTGAATACACACATCACAAACAAGTTTCTGAGAATGCTTCTGTCTAGTTTTTATGGGAAGATATTTCCTTTTTCATCATAGGCCTCAAAGCGCTCCAAATGTCCACTTCCAGGTAGTGCAGAAAGAGTGTCTCAAACCTGGTATATAACAGGGAACATTCTACTCTGTGACTTGAATGAAAACATCACAAAGCAGTTTCTGAGAATGCTTCCGTCTAGATTTTATATGAAGATATTCCCGTTTCCAACGAAACCTTCAAAGCTATCCGAATATCCACCTGCAGATTCTACAAAAAGAGTGTTTCCAAAATGCCGTATCAAAACAAAGGTTCAACTCTGTTAGTTGAGAACACACATGGCAAATAAGTTTCTGAGAATGCTTCTGTCTAGTTTTTACTTGAAGATATTTCCTTTCTCACCATAGGCCTGAAAGCGCTTGAAACGTCAGCTTGCAGATACTACAGAAAGAGTGTTTCAAACCTGCTCTATGAAAGGGAATGTTCAGTCCTGTGACTTGAAGGCAAACATCACAAAGAAGTTCCTGGGAATGCTTCTCTCTAGGTTTTATATGTAATCCCGTTTCCAACGAAATCCTCAAAGCTATCCAAATATCCACTTTCAGATTCCACAAAAAGAGTGTTTCAAAACTGCTCTGTAAAAAGAAAGGTTCATCTCTGTTAGTTGAATACACACATCACAAACAAGTTTCTGAGAATGCTTCTGTCTAGTTTTTATGGGAAGATATTTCCTTTTTCAACATAGGCCTCAAAGCGCTCCAAACGTCCACTTCCGGGTAGTGCAGAAAGAGTGTCTCAAACCTGGTATATAACAGGGAACATTCTACTCTGTGACTTGAATGAAAACATCACAAAGCAGTTTCTGAGAATGCTTCTGTCTTGATTTCATATGAAGATATTCCCGTTTCCAACGAAACCTTCAAAGCTATCCAAATATCCACTTGCAGATTCTACAAAAAGAGTGTTTCCAAAATGTTGTATCAAAAGAAAGGTTCAACTCTGTTAGTTGAGGACACACATCGCAAATAAGTTTCTGAGAATGCTTCTGTCTAGTTTTTATTTGAAGATATTTCCTTTCTCACCATAGGCCTGAAAGCGTTTGAAATGTCCGTTTGCAGATACTACAGAAAGAGTGTTTCAAACATGCTCTATGAAAGGGAATGTTCAGTTCTGTGACGTGAATGCAAACATCACAAAGAAGTTCCTGAGAATGCTTCTCCCTAGATTTTATATGTAATCCCGTTTCCAACGAAATCCGCAAAGCTATCCAAATATCCACTTTCAGATTCCACAAAAAGAGTTTTTCAAAACTGCTCTGTAAAAAGAAAGGTTCATCTCTGTTAGTTGAATACACACATCACAAACAAGTTTCTGAGAATGCTTCTGTCTAGTTTTTATGGGAAGATATTTCCTTTTTCAACATAGGCCTCAAAGCGCTCCAAATGTCCACTTCCAGGTAGTGCAGAAAGAGTGTTTCAAACCTGCTCTATAAAAGGGAATATTCAACTCTGTGACTTGAATGCAAACATCACAAAGCACTTTCTGAGAATGCTTCCGTCTAGATTTTATATGAAGATATTCCCGTTTCCAACGAAACCTTCAAAGCTATCCGAATATCCACCTGCAGATTCTACAAAAAGAGTGTTTCCAAAATGCCGTATAAAAACAAAGGTTCAACTCTGTTAGTTGAGAACACACATGGCAAATAAGTTTCTGAGAATGCTTCTGTCTAGTTTTTACTTGAAGATATTTCCTTTCTCACCATAGGCCTGAAAGCGTTTGAAATGTCCGTTTGCAGATACTACAGAAAGAGTGTTTCAAACATGCTCTATGAAAGGGAATGTTCAGTTCTGTGACGTGAATGCAAACATCACAAAGAAGTTCCTGAGAATGCTTCTCTCTAGATTTTATATGTAATCCCGTTTCCAACGAAATCCTCAAAGCTATCCAAATATCCACTTTCAGATTCCACAAAAAGAGTGTTTCAAAACTGCTCTGTAAAAAGAAAGGTTCATCTCTGTTAGTTGAATACACACATCACAAACAAGTTTCTGAGAATGCTTCTGTCTGGTTTTTAGGAGAAGATATTTCCTTTTTCAACATAGGCCTCAAAGCGCTGCAAATGTCCACTTCCAAATATTACAAAAAGAGTGTTTCAAACCTGCTGTATGAAGGGAAGTGTTCAACTCTATGAGTTGAATGCAAACATCACAGAGAAGTTTCTGAGAATGCTTCTGTCTTGATTTCATATGAAGATATTCCCGTTTCCAACGAAACCTTCAAAGCTATCCAAATATCCACTTGCAGATTCTACAAAAAGAGTGTTTCCAAAATGTTGTATCAAAAGAAAGGTTCAACTCTGTTAGTTGAGGACACACATCGCAAATAAGTTTCTGAGAATGCTTCTGTCTAGTTTTTATTTGAAGATATTTCCTTTCTCACCACAGGCCTGAAAGCGCTTAAAACGTCCGCTTGCAGATACTACAGAAAGAGTGTTTCAAACCTGCTCTATGAAAGGGAATGTTCAGTTCTGTGACATGAATGCAAACATCACAAAGAAGTTCCTGAGAATGCTTCTCCCTAGATTTTATATGTAATCCCGTTTCCAACGAAATCCGCAAAGCTATCCAAATATCCACTTTCAGATTCCACAAAAAGAGTGTTTCAAAACTGCTCTGTAAAAAGAAAGGTTCATCTCTGTTAGTTGAATACACACATCACAAACAAGTTTCTGAGAATGCTTCTGTCTAGTTTTTATGGGAAGATATTACCTTTTTCATCATAGGCCTCAAAGCGCTGCAAATGTCCACTTCCAAATATTACAAAAAGAGTGTTTCAAACCTGCTGTATGAAGGGAAGTGTTCAACTCTATGAGTTGAATGCAAACATCACAGAGAAGTTTCTGAGAATGCTTCTGTCTTGATTTTATATGAAGATATTCCCGTTTCCAACGAAACCTTCAAAGCTATTCAAATATCCACTTGCAGATTCTACAAAAAGAGTGTTTCCAAAATGTTGTATCAAAAGAAAGGTTCAACTCTGTTAGTTGAGGACACACATCGCAAATAAGTTTCTGAGAATGCTTCTGTCTAGTTTTTATTTGAAGATATTTCCTTTCTCACCACAGGCCTGAAAGCGCTTAAAACGTCCGCTTGCAGATACTACAGAAAGAGTGTTTCAAACCTGCTCTATGAAAGGGAATGTTCAGTTCTGTGACTTGAATGCAAACATCACAAAGAAGTTCCTGAGAATGCTTCTCCCTAGATTTTATATGTAATCCCGTTTCCAACGAAATCCGCAAAGCTATCCAAATATCCACTTTCAGATTCCACAAAAAGAGTGTTTCAAAACTGCTCTGTAAAAAGAAAGGTTCATCTCTGTTAGTTGAATACACACATCACAAACAAGTTTCTGAGAATGCTTCTGTCTAGTTTTTATGGGAAGATATTACCTTTTTCATCATAGGCCACAAAGCGCTGCAAAAGTCCACTTCCAAATATTACAAAAAGAGTGTTTCAAACCTGCTGTATGAAGGGAAGTGTTCAACTCTATGAGTTGAATGCAAACATCACAGAGAAGTTTCTGAGAATGCTTCTGTCTTGATTTTATATGAAGATATTCCCGTTTCCAACGAAACCTTCAAAGCTATCCAAATATCCACCTGCAGATTCTACAAAAAGAGTTTTTCCAAAATGCTGTATCAAAACAAAGGTTCAACTCTGTTAGTTGAGAACACACATCGCAAATAAGTTTCTGAGAATGCTTCTGTCTAGTTTTTATTTGAAGATATTTCCTTTTTCACCACAGGCCTGAAAGCGCTTGAAACGTCCGCTTGCAGATACTACAGAAAGAGTGTTTCAAACCTGCTCTATGAAAGGGAATGTTCAGTTCTGTGACTTGAATGCAAACATCACAAAGAAGTTCCTCAGAATGCTTCTCCCTAGATTTTATATGTAATCCCGTTTCCAACGAAATCCTCAAAGCTATCCAAATATCCACTTTCAGATTCCACAAAAAGAGTGTTTCAAAACTGCTCTGTAAAAAGAAAGGTTCATCTCTGTTAGTTGAATACACACATCACAAACAAGTTTCTGAGAATGATTCTGTCTAGTTTTTATGGGAAGATATTACCTTTTTCATCATAGGCCTCAAAGCGCTGCAAATGTCCACTTCCAAATATTACAAAAAGAGTGTTTCAAACCTGCTGTATGAAGGGAAGTGTTCAACTCTATGAGTTGAATGCAAACATCACAGAGAAGTTTCTGAGAATGCTTCTGTCTTGATTTTATATGAAGATATTCCCGTTTCCAACGAAACCTTCAAAGCTATTCAAATATCCACTTGCAGATTCTACAAAAAGAGTGTTTCCAAAATGTTGTATCAAAAGAAAGGTTCAACTCTGTTAGTTGATGACACACATCGCAAATAAGTTTCTGAGAATGCTTCTGTCTAGTTTTTATTTGAAGATATTTCCTTTCTCACCATAGGCCTGAAAGCGTTTGAAATGTCCGTTTCCAGATACTACAGAAAGAGTGTTTCAAACATGCTCTATGAAAGGGAATGTTCAGTTTCGTGACGTGAATGCAAACATCACAAAGAAGTTCCTGAGAATGCTTCTCTCTAGATTTTATATGTAATCCCGTTTCCAACGAAATCCTCAAAGCTATCCAAATATCCACTTTCAGATTCCACAAAAAGAGTGTTTCAAAACTGCTCTGTAAAAAGAAAGGTTCATCTCTGTTAGTTGAATACACACATCACAAACAAGTTTCTGAGAATGCTTCTGTCTAGTTTTTATGGGAAGATATTTCCTTTTTCAACATACGCCTCAAAGCGCTCCAAACGTCCACTTCCAGGTAGTGCAGAAAGAGTGTCTCAAACCTGGTATATAACAGGGAACATTCTACTCTGTGACTTGAATGAAAACATCACAAAGCAGTTTCTGAGAATGCTTCCGTCTACATTTTATATGAAGATATTCCCGTTTCCAACGAAACCTTCAAAGCTATCCGAATATCCACCTGCAGATTCTACAAAAAGAGGGTTTCCAAAATGCCGTATCAAAACAAAGGTTCAACTCTGTTAGTTGAGAACACACATGGCAAATAAGTTTCTGAGAATGCTTCTGTCTAGTTTTTACTTGAAGATATTTCCTTTCTCACCATAGGCATGAAAACGCATGAAACGTCAGCTTGCAGATACTACAGAAAGAGTGTTTCAAACCTGCTCTATGAAAGGGAACGTTCAGTCCTGTGACTTGAATGCAAACATCACAAAGAAGTTCCTGAGAATGCTTCTCTCTAGGTTTTATATGTAATCCCGTTTCCAACGAAATCCTCAAAGCTATCCAAATATCCACTTTCAGATTCCACAAAAAGAGTGTTTCAAAACTGCTCTGTAAAAAGAAAGGTTTATCTCTGTTAGTTGAATACACACATCACAAACAAGTTTCTGAGAATGCTTCTGTCTAGTTTTTATGGGAAGATATTACCTTTTTCATCATAGGCCTCAAAGCGCTGCAAATGTCCACTTCCAAATATTACAAAAAGAGTGTTTCAAACCTGCTGTATGAAGGGAAGTGTTCAACTCTATGAGTTGAATGCAAACATCACAGAGAAGTTTCTGAGAATGCTTCTGTCTTGATTTTATATGAAGATATTCCCGTTTCCAACGAAACCTTCAAAGCTATTCAAATATCCACTTGCAGATTCTACAAAAAGAGTGTTTCCAAAATGTTGTATCAAAAGAAAGGTTCAACTCTGTTAGTTGAGGACACACATCGCAAATAAGTTACTGAGAATGTTTCTGTCTAGTTTTTATTTGAAGATATTTCCTTTCTCACCATAGGCCTGAAAGCGTTTGAAATGTCCGTTTGCAGATACTACAGAAAGAGTGTTTCAAACATGCTCTATGAAAGGGAATGTTCAGTTCTGTGACGTGAATGCAAACATCACAAAGAAGTTCCTGAGAATGCTTCTCTCTAGATTTTATATGTAATCCCGTTTCCAACGAAATCCTCAAAGCTATCCAAATATCCACTTTCAGATTCCACAAAAAGAGTGTTTCAAAACTGCTCTGTAAAAACAAAGGTTCATCTCTGTTAGTTGAATACACACATCACAAACAAGTTTCTGAGAATGCTTCTGTCTAGTTTTTATGGGAAGATATTTCCTTTTTCATCATAGGCCTCAAAGCGCTGCAAATGTCCACTTCCAGGTAGTGCAGAAAGAGTGTCTCAAACCTGGTATATAACAGGGAACATTCTACTCTGTGACTTGAATGAAAACATCACAAAGCAGTTTCTGAGAATGCTTCCGTCTAGATTTTATATGAAGATATTCCCGTTTCCAACGAAACCTTCAAAGCTATCCGAATATCCACCTGCAGATTCTACAAAAAGAGTGTTTCCAAAATGCCATATCAAAACAAAGGTTCAACTCTGTTAGTTGAGAACACACATCGCAAATAAGTTTCTGAGAATGCTTCTGTCTAGTTTTTATTTCAAGATATTTCCTTTTTCACCACAGGCCTGAAAGCGCTTCAAACGTCCGCTTGCAGATACTACAGAAAGAGTGTTTCAAACCTGCTCTATGAAAGGGAATGTTCAGTTCTGTGACTTGAATGCAAACATCACAAAGAAGTTCCTGAGAATGCTTCTCCCTAGATTTTATATGTAATCCCGTTTCCAACGAAATCCGCAAAGCTATCCAAATATCCACTTTCAGATTCCACAAAAAGAGTGTTTCAAAACTGCTCTGTAAAAAGAAAGGTTCATCTCTGTTAGTTGAATACACACATCACAAACAAGTTTCTGAGAATGCTTCTGTCTAGTTTCTATGGGAAGATATTTCCTTTTTCAACATAGGCCTCAAAGCGCTCCAAATGTCCACTTCCAGGTAGTGCACAGAGTGTTTCAAACCTGCTCTATAAAAGGGAACATTCTACTCTGTGACTTGAATGAAGACATCACAAAGCAGTTTCTGAGAATGCTTCCGTCTAGATTTTATATGAAGATATTCCCGTTTCCAAGGAAATCTTCGTAGCTATCTAAATATCAACTTGCAGATTCTACTAAAGGAATGTTTCCAAAATGCTGTATCCACACAAAGGTTCAACTCTGTTAATTGAGGACATACAGCACAAAGAAGTTTCTGAGAATGCTTCTGTCTAGATTTTATATGAAGATATCCCGTGTCTAACGAAATCCCCAAAGGTATCAAAATATCCACTTGCAGATTCTACAAAAAGAGTGCTTCAAAACTGCTCTGTCAAAATGAAGATTCAACTCTGTTACTTGAGTACACACATCACAAGAAAGATTCTGAGAATGCTTCTGTCTGGTTTTTAGGAGAAGATATCTCCTTTTTCACCATAGGCTTCAAAGCGCTGCAAATGTCCACTTCCAAATATTACAAAAAGAGTATTTCAAACCAGCTCTATGAAAGGAAGTGTTCAACTCTATGAGTTGAATGCAAACAGAACAGAGAAGTTTCTGAGAATGCTTCTGTCTTGATTTTATATGAAGATATTCCCGTTTCCAAAGAAACCTTCAAAGCTATCCAAATATCCACCTGCAGATCCTACAAAAAGAGTGTTTCCAAAATGCTGTATCAAAACAAAGGTTGAACTCTGTTAGCTGAGAACACACATCGCAAATAAGTTTCTGAGAATGCTTCTGTCTAGTTTTTATTTGAAGATATTTCCTTTTTCACCACAGGCCTGAAAGCGCTTGAAACGTCCACTTGCAGAAACTACAGAAAGAGTGTTTCAAACCTGCTCTATGAAAGGGAATGTTCAGTTCTGTGACTTGAATGCAAACATCACAAAGAAGTTCCTGAGAATGCTTCTCTCTAGATTTTATATGTAATCCCGTTTCCAACGAAATCCTCAAAGCTATCCAAATATCCACTTTCAGATTCCACAAAAAGAGTGTTTCAAAACTGGCTCTGTAAAAAGAAAGGTTCATCTCTGTTAGTTGAATACACACATCACAAACAAGTTTCTGAGAATGCTTCTGTCTAGTTTTTATGGGAAGATATTTCCTTTTTCATCATAGGCCTCAAAGCGCTCCAAATGTCCACTTCCAGATAGTGCAGAAAGAGTGTCTCAAACCTGGTATATAAAAGGGAACATTCTACTCTGTGACTTGAATGAAAACATCACAAAGCAGTTTCTGAGAATGCTTCCGTCTAGATTTTATATGAAGATATTCCCGTTTCCAACGAAACCTTCAAAGCTATCCGAATATCCACCTGCAGATTCTACAAAAAGAGTGTTTCCAAAATGCCATATCAAAACAAAGGTTCAACTCTGTTAGTTGAGAACACACATCGCAAATAAGTTTCTGAGAATGCTTCTGTCTAGTTTTTACTTGAAGATATTTCCTTTCTCACCATAGGCCTGAAAGCGCTTGAAACGTCAGCTTGCAGATACTACAGAAAGAGTGTTTCAAACCTGCTCTATGAAAGGGAATGTTCAGTCCTGTGACTTGAAGGCAAACATCACAAAGAAGTTCCTGAGAATGCTTCTCTCTAGGTTTTATATGTAATCCCGTTTCCAACGAAATCCTCAAAGCTATCCAAATATCCACTTTCAGATTCCACAAAAAGAGTGTTTCAAAACTGCTCTGTAAAAAGAAAGGTTCATCTCTGTTAGTTGAATACACACATCACAAACAAGTTTCTGAGAATGCTTCTGTCTAGTTTTTATGGGAAGATATTTCCTTTTTCAACATAGGCCTCAAAGCGCTCCAAACGTCCACTTCCAGGTAGTGCAGAAAGAGTGTCTCAAACCTGGTATATAACAGGGAACATTCTACTCTGTGACTTGAATGAAAACATCACAAAGCAGTTTCTGAGAATGCTTCCGTCTAGATTTTATATGAAGATATTCCCGTTTCCAACGAAACCTTCAAAGCTATCCGAATATCCACCTGCAGATTCTACAAAAAGAGTGTTTCCAAAATGCCGTATCAAAACAAAGGTTCAACTCTGTTAGTTGAGAACACACATGGCAAATAAGTTTCGGAGAATGCTTCTGTCTAGTTTTTACTTGAAGATATTTCCTTTCTCACCATAGGCCTGAAAGCGCTTGAAACGTCAGCTTGCAGATACTACAGAAAGAGTGTTTCAAACCTGCTCTATGAAAGGGAATGTTCAGTCCTGTGACTTGAAGGCAAACATCAAAAAGAAGTTCCTGAGAATGCTTCTCTCTAGGTTTTATATGTAATCCCGTTTCCAACGAAATCCTCAAAGCTATCCAAATATCCACTTTCAGATTCCACAAAAAGAGTGTTTCAAAACTGCTCTGTAAAAAGAAAGGTTCATCTCTGTTAGTTGAATACACACATCACAAACAAGTTTCTGAGAATGCTTCTGTCTAGTTTTTATGGGAAGATATTTCCTTTTTCAACATAGGCCTCAAAGCGTTCCAAATGTCCACTTCCAGGTAGTGCAGAAAGAGTGTTTCAGACCTGCTCTATAAAAGGGAATATTCAACTCTGTGACTTGAATGCAAACATCACAAAGCACTTTCTGAGAATGCTTCCGTCTAGATTTTATATGAAGATATTCCCGTTTCCAACGAAACCTTCAAAGCTATCCGAATATCCACCTGCAGATTCTACAAAAAGAGTGTTTCCAAAATGCCGTATCAAAACAAAGGTTCAACTCTGTTAGTTGAGAACACACATGGCAAATAAGTTTCTGAGAATGCTTCTGTCTAGTTTTTACTTGAAGATATTTCCTTTCTCACCATAGGCCTGAAAGCGCTTGAAACGTCAGCTTGCAGATACTACAGAAAGAGAGTTTCAAACCTGCTCTATGAAAGGGAATGTTCAGTCCTGTGACTTGAATGCAAACATCACAAAGAAGTTCCTGAGAATGCTTCTCTCTAGGTTTTATATGTAATCCCGTTTCCAACGAAATCCTCAAAGCTATCCAAATATCCACTTTCAGATTCCACAAAAAGAGTGTTTCAAAACTGCTCTGTAAAAAGAAAGGTTCATCTCTGTTAGTTGAATACACACATCACAAACAAGTTTCTGAGAATGCTTCTGTCTATTTTTTATGGGAAGATATTTCCTTTTTCAACATAGGCCTCAAAGCGCTCCAAATGTTCACTTCCAGGTAGTGCAAAAAGAGTGTTTCAAACCTGCTCTATAAAAGAGAATATTCAACTCTGTGACTTGAATGCAAACATCACAAAGCACTTTCTGAGAATGCTTCTGTCTTGATTTCATATGAAGATATTCCCGTTTCCAACGAAACCTTCAAAGCTATCCAAATATCCACTTGCAGATTCTACAAAAAGAGTGTTTCCAAAATGTTGTATCAAAAGAAAGGTTCAACTCTGTTAGTTGAGGACACACATCGTAAATAAGTTTCTGAGAATGCTTCTGTCTAGTTTTTATTTGAAGATATTTCCTTTCTCACCACAGGCCTGAAAGCGCTTAAAACGTCCGCTTGCAGATACTACAGAAAGAGTGTTTCAAACCTGCTCTATGAAAGGGAATGTTCAGTTCTGTGACTTGAATGCAAACATCACAAAGAAGTTCCTGAGAATGCTTCTCCCTAGATTTTATATGTAATCCCGTTTCCAACGAAATCCGCAAAGCTATCCAAATATCCACTTTCAGATTCCACAAAAAGAGTGTTTCAAAACTGCTCTGTAAAAAGAAAGGTTCATCTCTGTTAGTTGAATACACACATCACAAACAAGTTTCTGAGAATGCTTCTGTCTAGTTTTTATGGGAAGATATTTCCTTTTTCAACATAGGCCTCAAAGCGCTCCAAATGTCCACTTCCAGGTAGTGCAGAAAGAGTGTTTCAAACCTGCTCTATAAAAGGGAATATTCAACTCTGTGACTTGAATGCAAACATCACAAAGCACTTTCTGAGAATGCTTCCGTCTAGATTTTATATGAAGATATTCCCGTTTCCAACGAAACCTTCAAAGCTATCCGAATATCCACCTGCAGATGCTACAAAAAGAGTGTTTCCAAAATGCCGTATCAAAACAAAGGTTCAACTCTGTTAGTTGAGAACACACATGGCAAATAAGTTTCTGAGAATGCTTCTGTCTAGTTTTTACTTGAAGATATTTCCTTTCTCACCATAGGCCTGAAAGCGCTTGAAACGTCAGCTTGCAGATACTACAGAAAGAGTGTTTCAAACCTGCTCTATGAAAGGGAATGTTCAGTCCTGTGACTTGAATGCAAACATCACAAAGAAGTTCCTGAGAATGCTTCTCTCTAGGTTTTATATGTAATCCAGTTTCCAACGAAATCCTCAATGCTATCCAAATATCCACTTTCAGATTACACAAAAAGAGTGTTTCAAAACTGCTCTGTAAAAAGAAAGGTTCATCTCTGTTAGTTGAATACACACATCACAAACAAGTTTCTGAGAATGCTTTCTGTCTAGTTTTTATGGGAAGATATTACCTTTTTCATCATAGGCCTCAAAGCGCTGCAAATGTCCACTTCCAAATATTACAAAAAGAGTGTTTCAAACCTGCTGTATGAAGGGAAGTGTTCAACTCTATGAGTTGAATGCAAACATCACAGAGAAGTTTCTGAGAATGCTTCTGTCTTGATTTTATATGAAGATATTCCCGTTTCCAACGAAACCTTCAAAGCTATCCAAATATCCACTTGCAGATTCTTCAAAAAGAGTGTTTCCAAAATGTTGTATCAAAAGAAAGGTTCAACTCTGTTAGTTGAGGACACACATCGCAAATAAGTTTCTGAGAATGCTTCTGTCTAGTTTTTATTTGAAGATATTTCCTTTCTCACCACAGGCCTGAAAGCGCTTAAAACGTCCGCTTGCAGATACTACAGAAAGAGTGTTTCAAACATGCTCTATGAAAGGGAATGTTCAGTTCTGTGACTTGAATGCAAACATCACAAAGAAGTTCCTGAGAATGCTTCTCTCTAGATTTTATATGTAATCCCGTTTCCAACGAAATCCTCAAAGCTATCCAAATATCCACTTTCAGATTCCACAAAAAGAGTGTTTCAAAACTGCTCTGTAAAAAGAAAGGTTCATCTCTGTTAGTTGAATACACACATCACAAACAAGTTTCTGAGAATGCTTCTGTCTAGTTTTTATGGGAAGATATTTCCTTTTTCATCATAGGCCTCAAAGCGCTGCAAATGTCCAATTCCAGGTAGTGCAGAAAGAGTGTCTCAAACCTGGTATATAACAGGGAACATTCTACTCTGTGACTTGAATGAAAACATCACAAAGCAGTTTCTGAGAATGCTTCCGTCTAGATTTTATATGAAGATATTCCCGTTTCCAACGAAACCTTCAAAGCTATCCGAATATCCACCTGCAGATTCTACAAAAAGAGTGTTTCCAAAATGCCATATCAAAACAAAGGTTCAACCCTGTTAGTTGAGAACACACATGGCAAATAAGTTTCTGAGAATGCTTCTGTCTAGTTTTTACTTGAAGATATTTCCTTTCTCACCATAGGCCTGAAAGCGCTTGAAACGTCAGCTTGCAGATACTACAGAAAGAGTGTTTCAAACCTGCTCTATGAAAGGGAATGTTCAGTTCTGTGACTTGAATGCAAACATCACAAAGAAGTTCCTGAGAATGCTTCTCCCTAGATTTTATATGTAATCCCGTTTCCAACGAAATCCTCAAAGTTATCCAAATATCCACTTTCAGATTCCACAAAAAGAGTGTTTCAAAACTGCTCTGTAAAAAGAAAGGTTCATCTCTGTTAGTTGAATACACACATCACAAACAAGTTTCTGAGAATGCTTCTGTCTAGTTTTTATGGGAAGATATTTCCTTTTTCAACATAGGCCTCAAAGCGCTCCAAACGTCCACTTCCAGGTAGTGCAGAAAGAGTGTCTCAAACCTGGTATATAACAGGGAACATTCTACTCTGTGACTTGAATGAAAACATCACAAAGCAGTTTCTGAGAATGCTTCCGTCTAGATTTTATATGAAGATATTCCCGTTTCCAACGAAACCTTCAAAGCTATCCGAATATCCACCTGCAGATTCTACAAAAAGAGTGTTTCCAAAATGCCATATCAAAACAAAGGTTCAACTCTGTTAGTTGAGAACACACATCGCAAATAAGTTTCTGAGAATGCTTCTGTCTAGTTTTTACTTGAAGATATTTCCTTTCTCACCATAGGCCTGAAAGCGCTTGAAACGTCAGCTTGCAGATACTACAGAAAGACTGTTTCAAACCTGCTCTATGAAAGGGAATGTTCAGTTCTGTGACTTGAATGCAAACATCACAAAGAAGTTCCTGAGAATGCTTCTCTCTAGATTTTATATGTAATCCCGTTTCCAACGAAATCCTCAAAGCTATCCAAATATCCACTTTCAGATTCCACAAAAAGAGTGTTTCAAAACTACTCTGTAAAAAGAAAGGTTCATCTCTGTTAGTTGAATACACACATCACAAACAAGTTTCTGAGAATGCTTCTGTCTAGTTTTTATGGGAAGATATTTCCTTTTTCAACATAGGCCTCAAAGCGCTCCAAACGTCCACTTCCAGGTAGTGCAGAAAGAGTGTCTCAAACCTGGTGTATAACAGGGAACATTCTACTCTGTGACTTGAATGAAAACATCACAAAGCAGTTTCTGAGAATGCTTCCGTCTAGATTTTATATGAAGATATTCCCGTTTCCAACGAAACCTTCAAAGCTATCCGAATATCCACCTGCAGATTCTACAAAAAGAGTGTTTCCAAAATGCCGTATCAAAACAAAGGTTCAACTCTGTTAGTTGAGAACACACATGGCAAATAAGTTTCTGAGAATGCTTCTGTCTAGTTTTTGTTTGAAGATATTTCCTTTCTCACCACAGGCCTGAAAGCGCTTAAAACGTCCGCTTGCAGATACTACAGAAAGAGTGTTTCAAACCTGCTCTATGAAAGGGAATGTTCAGTTCTGTGACTTGAATGCAAACATCACAAAGAAGTTCCTGAGAATGCTTCTCTCTAGATCTTATATGTAATCCCGTTTCCAACGAAATCCTCAAAGCTATCCAAATATCCACTTTCAGATTCCACAAAAAGAGTGTTTCAAAACTGCTCTGTAAAAAGAAAGGTTCATCTCTGTTAGTTGAATACACACATCACAAACAAGTTTCTGAGAATGCTTCTGTCTGGTTTTTAGGAGAAGATATTTCCTTTTTCAACATAGGCCTCAAAGCGCTGCAAATGTCCACTTCCAAATATTAGAAAAAGAGTGTTTCAAACCTACTGTATGAAGGGAAGTGTTCAACTCTATGAGTTGAATGCAAACATCACAGAGAAGTTTCTGAGAATGCTTCTGTCTTGATTTCATATGAAGATATTCCCGTTTTCAACGAAACCTTCAAAGTTATCCAAATATCCACTTGCAGATTCTACAAAAAGAGTGTTTCCAAAATGTTGTATCAAAAGAAAGGTTCAACTCTGTTAGTTGAGGACACACATCGCAAATAAGTCTCTGAGAATGCTTCTGTCTAGTTTTTATTTGAAGATATTTCCTTTCTCACCACAGGCCTGAAAGCGCTTAAAACGTCCGCTTGCAGATACTACAGAAAGAGTGTTTCAAACATGCTCTATGAAAGGGAATGTTCAGTTCTGTGACTTGAATGCAAACATCACAAAGAAGTTCCTGAGAATGCTTCTCCCTAGATTTTATATGTAATCCCGTTTCCAACGAAATCCGCAAAGCTATCTAAATATCCACTTTCAGATTCCACAAAAAGAGTGTTTCAAAACTGCTCTGTAAAAAGAAAGGTTCATCTCTGTTAGTTGAATACACACATCACAAACAAGTTTCTGAGAATGCTTCTGTCTAGTTTTTATGGGAAGATATTTCCTTTTTCATCATAGGCCTCAAAGCGCTGCAAATGTCCACTTCCAGGTAGTGCAGAAAGAGTGTCTGAAACCTGGTATATAACAGGGAAGATTCTACTCTGTGACTTGAATGAAAACATCACAAAGCAGTTTCTGAGAATGCTTCTGTCTTGATTTCATATGAAGATATTCCCGTTTCCAACGAAACCTTCAAAGCTATCCAAATATCCACTTGCAGATTCTACAAAAAGAGTGTTTCCAAAATGTTGTATCAAAAGAAAGGTTCAACTCTGTTAGTTGAGGACACACATCGCAAATAAGTTTCTGAGAATGCTTCTGTCTAGTTTTTACTTGAAGATATTTCCTTTCTCACCATAGGCCTGAAAGCGCTTGAAACGTCAGCTTGCAGATACTACAGAAAGAGTGTTTCAAACCTGCTCTATGAAAGGGAATGTTCATTTCTGTGACTTGAATGCAAACATCACAAAGAAGTTCCTGAGAATGCTTCTCTCTAGGTTTTATATGTAATCCCGTTTCCAACGAAATCCTCAAAGCTATCCAAATATCCACTTTCAGATTCCACAAAAAGAGTGTTTCAAAACTGCTGTGTAAAAAGAAAGGTTCATCTCTGTTAGTTGAATACACACATCACAAACAAGTTTCTGAGAATGCTTCTGTCTAGTTTTTATGGGAAGATATTTCCTTTTTCATCATAGGCCTCAAAGCGCTGTAAATGTCCACTTCCAAATATTACAAAAAGAGGGTTTCAAACCTGCTGTATGAAGGGAAGTGTTCAACTCTATGAGTTGAATGCAAACATCACAGAGAAGTTTCTGAGAATGCTTCTGTCTTGATTTTATATGAAGATATTCCCGTTTCCAAAGAAACCTTCAAAGCTATCCAAATATCCACCTGCAGATCCTACAAAAAGAGTGTTTCCAAAATGCTGTATCAAAACAAAGGTTGAACTCTGTTAGCTGAGAACACACATCGCAAATAAGTTTCTGAGAATGCTTCTGTCTAGTTTTTACTTGAAGATATTTCCTTTCTCACCATAGGCCTGAAAGCGCTTGTAACGTCCGCTTGCAGATACTACAGAAAGAGTGTTTCAAACATGCTCTATGAAAGGGAATGTTCAGTTCTGTGACTTGAATGCAAACATCACAAAGAAGTTCCTGAGAATGCTTCTCTCTAGATTTTATATGTAATCCCGTTTCCAACGAAATCCTCAAAGCTATCCAAATATCCACTTTCAGATTCCACAAAAAGAGTGTTTCAAAACTGCTCTGTAAAAAGAAAGGTTCATCTCTGTTAGTTGAATACACACATCACAAACAAGTTTCTGAGAATGCTTCTGTCTAGTTTTTATGGGAAGATATTTCCTTTTTCAACATACGCCTCAAAGCGCTCCAAACGTCCACTTCCAGGTAGTGCAGAAAGAGTGTCTCAAACCTGGTATATAACAGGGAACATTCTACTCTGTGACTTGAATGAAAACATCACAAAGCAGTTTCTGAGAATGCTTCCGTCTAGATTTTATATGAAGATATTCCCGTTTCCAACGAAACCTTCAAAGCTATCCGAATATCCACCTGCAGATTCTACAAAAAGAGTGTTTCCAAAATGCCATATCAAAACAAAGGTTCAACTCTGTTAGTTGAGAACACACATCGCAAATAAGTTTCTGAGAATGCTTCTGTCTAGTTTTTATTTGAAGATATTTCCTTTCTCACCATAGGCCTGAAAGCGTTTGAAATGTCCGTTTGCAGATACTACAGAAAGAGTGTTTCAAACATGCTCTATGAAAGGGAATGTTCAGTTCTGTGACGTGAATGCAAACATCACAAAGAAGTTCCTGAGAATGCTTCTCTCTAGATTTTATATGTAATCCCGTTTCCAACGAAATCCTCAAAGCTATCCAAATATCCACTTTCAGATTCCACAAAAAGAGTGTTTCAAAACTGCTCTGTAAAAAGAAAGGTTCATCTCTGTTAGTTGAATACACACATCACAAACAAGTTTCTGAGAATGCTTCTGTCTAGTTTTTATGGGAAGATATTTCCTTTTTCAACATAGGCCTCAAAGCGCTCCAAACGTCCACTTCCAGGTAGTGCAGAAAGAGTGTCTCAAACCTGGTGTATAACAGGGAACATTCTACTCTGTGACTTGAATGAAAACATCACAAAGCAGTTTCTGAGAATGCTTCCGTCTAGATTTTATATGAAGATATTCCCGTTTCCAACGAAACCTTCAAAGCTATCCGAATATCCACCTGCAGATTCTACAAAAAGAGTGTTTCCAAAATGCCGTATCAAAACAAAGGTTCAACTCTGTTAGTTGAGAACACACATGGCAAATAAGTTTCTGAGAATGCTTCTGTCTAGTTTTTACTTGAAGATATTTCCTTTCTCACCATAGGCCTGAAAGCGTTTGAAATGTCCGTTTGCAGATACTACAGAAAGAGTGTTTCAAACATGCTCTATGAAAGGGAATGTTCAGTTCTGTGACGTGAATGCAAACATCACAAAGAAGTTCCTGAGAATGCTTCTCTCGAGATTTTATATGTAATCCCGTTTCCAACGAAATCCTCAAAGCTATCCAAATATCCACTTTCAGATTCCACAAAAAGAGTGTTTCAAAACTGCTCTGTAAAAAGAAAGGTTCATCTACTGTTAGTTGAATACACACATCACAAACAAGTTTCTGAGAATGCTTCTGTCTAGTTTTTATGGGAAGATATTTCCTTTTTCATCATAGGCCTCAATGCGCTCCAAATGTCCACTTCCAGATAGTGCAGAAAGAGTGTCTCAAACCTGGTATATAAAAGGGAACATTCTACTCTGTGACTTCAATGAAAACATCACAAAGCAGTTTCTGAGAATGCTTCCGTCTAGATTTTATATGAAGATATTCCCGTTTCCAACGAAACGTTCAAAGCTATCCGAATATCCACCTGCAGATTCTACAAAAAGAGTGTTTCCAAAATGCCATATCAAAATAAAGGTTCAACTCTGTTAGTTGAGAACACACATCGCAAATAAGTTTCTGAGAATGCTTCTGTCTAGTTTTTATTTGAAGATATTTCCTTTCTCACCATAGGCCTGAAAGCGTTTGAAATGTCCGTTTGCAGATACTACAGAACGAGTGTTTCAAACATGCTCTATGAAAGGGAATGTTCAGTTCTGTGACGTGAATGCAAACATCACAAAGAAGTTCCTGAGAATGCTTCTCTCTAGATTTTATATGTAATCCCGTTTCCAACGAAATCCTCAAAGCTATCCAAATATCCACTTTCAGATTCCACAAAAAGAGTGATTCAAAACTGCTCTGTAAAAAGAAAGGTTCATCTCTGTTAGTTGAATACACACATCACAAACAAGTTTCTGAGAATGCTTCTGTCTAGTTTTTATGGGAAGATATTTCCTTTTTCATCATAGGCCTCAAAGCGCTGCAAATGTCCACTTCCAGGTAGTGCAGAAAGAGTGTCTCAAACCTGGTATATAACAGGGAACATTCTACTCTGTGACTTGAATGAAAACATCACAAAGCAGTTTCTGAGAATGCTTCCGTCTAGATTTTATATGAAGATATTCCCGTTTCCAACGAAACCTTCAAAGCTATCCGAATATCCACCTGCAGATTCTACAAAAAGAGTGTTTCCAAAATGCCATATCAAAACAAAGGTTCAACTCTGTTAGTTGAGAACACACATCGCAAATAAGTTTCTGAGAATGCTTCTGTCTAGTTTTTACTTGAAGATATTTCCTTTCTCACCATAGGCCTGAAAGCGCTTGAAACGTCAGCTTGCAGATACTACAGAAAGAGTGTTTCAAACCTGCTCTATGAAAGGGAATGTTCAGTCCTGTGACTTGAAGGCAAACATCACAAAGAAGTTCCTGAGAATGCTTCTCTCTAGATTTTATATGTAATCCCGTTTCCAACGAAATCCTCAAAGCTATCCAACTATCCACTTTCAGATTCCACAAAAAGAGTGTTTCAAAACTGCTCTGTAAAAAGAAAGGTTCATCTCTGTTAGTTGAATACACACATCACAAACAAGTTTCTGAGAATGCTTCTGTCTAGTTTTTATGGGAAGATATTTCCTTTTTCATCATAGGCCTCAAAGCGCTGCAAATGTCCACTTCCAGGTAGTGCAGAAAGAGTGTCTGAAACCTGGTATATAACAGGGAAGATTCTACTCTGTGACTTGAATGAAAACATCACAAAGCAGTTTCTGAGAATGCTTCTGTCTACATTTTATATGAAGATATTCCCGTTTCCAACGAAACCTTCAAAGCTATCCGAATATCCACCTGCAGATTCTATAAAAAGAGTGTTTCCAAAATGCCGTATCAAAACAAAGGTTCAACTCTGTTAGTTGAGAACACACATCGCAAATAAGTTTCTGAGAATGCTTCTGTCTAGTTTTTACTTGAAGATATTTCCTTTCTCACCATAGGCCTGAAAGCGCTTGAAACGTCAGCTTGCAGATACTACAGAAAGAGTGTTTCAAACCTGCTCTATGAAAGGGAATGTTCAGTTCTCTGACTTGAATGCAAACATCACAAAGAAGTTCCTGAGAATGCTTCTCTCTAGGTTTTATATGTAATCCCGTTTCCAACGAAATCCTCAAAGCTATCCAAATATCCACTTTCAGATTCCACAAAAAGAGTGTTTCAAAACTGCTCTGTAAAAAGAAAGGTTCATCTCTGTTAGTTGAATACACACATCACAAACAAGTTTCTGAGAATGCTTCTGTCTAGTTTTTATGGGAAGATATTACCTTTTTCATCATAGGCCTCAAAGCGCTGCAAATGTCCACTTCCAAATATTACAAAAAGAGTGTTTCAAACCTGCTGTATGAAGGGAAGTGTTCAACTCTTTGAGTTGAATGCAAACATCACAGAGAAGTTTCTGAGAATGCTTCTGTCTTGATTTTATATGAAGATATTCCCGTTTCCAACGAAACCTTCAAAGCTATTCAAATATCCACTTGCAGATTCTACAAAAAGAGTGGTTCCAAAATGTTGTATCAAAAGAAAGGTTCAACTCTGTTAGTTGAGGACACACATCGCAAATAAGTTTCTGAGAATGCTTCTGTCTAGTTTTTATTTGAAGATATTTCCTTTCTCACCATAGGCCTGAAAGCGTTTGAAATGTCCGTTTGCAGATACTACAGAAAGAGTGTTTCAAACATGCTCTATGAAAGGGAATGTTCAGTTCTGTGACGTGAATGCAAACATCACAAAGAAGTTCCTGAGAATGCTTCTCTCTAGATTTTATATGTAATCCCGTTTCCAACGAAATCCTCAAAGCTATCCAAATATCCACTTTCAGATTCCACAAAAAGAGTGTTTCAAAACTGCTCTGTAAAAAGAAAGGTTCATCTCTGTTAGTTGAATACACACATCACAAACAAGTTTCTGAGAATGCTTCTGTCTAGTTTTTATGGGAAGATATTTCCTTTTTCAACATAGGCCTCAAAGCGCTCCAAACGTCCACTTCCAGGTTGTGCAGAAAGAGTGTCTCAAACCTGGTATATAACAGGGAACATTCTACTCTGTGACTTGAATGAAAACATCACAAAGCAGTTTCTGAGAATGCTTCCGTCTAGATTTTATATGAAGATATTCCCGTTTCCAACGAAACCTTCAAAGCTATCCGAATATCCACCTGCAGATTCTACAAAAAGAGTGTTTCCAAAATGCCGTATCAAAACAAAGGTTCAACTCTGTTAGTTGAGAACACACATGGCAAATAAGTTTCTGAGAATGCTTCTGTCTAGTTTTTACTTAAAGATATTTCCTTTCTCACCATAGGCCTGAAAGCGCTTGAAACGTCAGCTTGCAGATACTACAGAAAGAGTGTTTCAAACCTGCTCTATGAAAGGGAATGTTCAGTCCTGTGACTTGAAGGCAAACATCACAAAGAAGTTCCTGAGAATGCTTCTCTCTAGGTTTTATATGTAATCCCGTTTCCAACGAAATCCTCAAAGCTATCCAAATATCCACTTTCAGATTCCACAAAAAGAGTGTTTCAAAACTGCTCTGTAAAAAGAAAGGTTCATCTCTGTTAGTTGAATACACACATCACAAACAAGTTTCTGAGAATGCTTCTGTCTAGTTTTTATGGGAAGATATTACCTTTTTCATCATAGGCCTCAAAGCGCTGCAAATGTCCACTTCCAAATATTACAAAAAGAGTGTTTCAAACCTGCTGTATGAAGGGAAGTGTTCAACTCTATGAGTTGAATGCAAACATCACAGAGAAGTTTCTGAGAATGCTTCCGTCTAGATTTTATATGAAGATATTCCCGTTTCCAACGAAACCTTCAAAGCTATCCGAATATCCACCTGCAGATTCTACAAAAAGAGTGTTTCCAAAATGCCGTATCAAAACAAAGGTTCAACTCTGTTAGTTGAGAACACACATGGCAAATAAGTTTCTGAGAATGCTTCTGTCTAGTTTTTACTTGAAGATATTTCCTTTCTCACCATAGGCCTGAAAGCGCTTGAAACGTCAGCTTGCAGATACTACAGAAAGAGTGTTTCAAACATGCTCTATGAAAGGGAATGTTCAGTCCTGTGACTTGAAGGCAAACATCAAAAAGAAGTTCCTGAGAATGCTTCTCTCTAGGTTTTATATGTAATCCCGTTTCCAACGAAATCCTCAAAGCTATCCAAATATCCACTTTCAGATTCCACAAAAAGAGTGTTTCAAAACTGCTCTGTAAAAAGAAAGGTTCATCTCTGTTAGTTGAATACACACATCACAAACAAGTTTCTGAGAATGCTTCTGTCTAGTTTTTATGGGAAGATATTTCGTTTTTCAACATAGGCCTCAAAGCGCTCCAAATGTCCACTTCCAGGTAGTGCAGAAAGAGTGTTTCAAACCTGCTCTATAAAAGGGAATATTCAACTCTGTGACTTGAATGCAAACATCACAAAGCACTTTCTGAGAATGCTTCCGTCTAGATTTTATATGAAGATATTCCCGTTTCCAAGGAAATCTTCCTAGCTATCTAAATATCAACTTGCAGATTCTACTAAAGGAATGTTTCCAAAATGCTGTATCCACACAAAGGTTCAACTCTGTTAATTGAGGACATACAGCACAAAGAAGTTTCTGAGAATGCTTCTGTCTAGTTTTTATTTGAAGATATTTCCTTTCTCACCATAGGCCTGAAAGCGTTTGAAATGTCCGCTTGCAGATACTACAGAAAGAGTGTTTCAAACATGCTCTATGAAAGGGAATGTTCAGTTCTGTGACGTGAATGCAAACATCACAAAGAAGTTCCTGAGAATGCTTCTCCCTAGATTTTATATGTAATCCCGTTTCCAACGAAATCCTCAAAGCTATCCAAATATCCACTTTCAGATTCCACAAAAAGAGTGTTTCAAAACTGCTCTGTAAAAAGAAAGGTTCATCTCTGTTAGTTGAATACACACATCACAAACAAGTTTCTGAGAATGCTTCTGTCTAGTTTTTATGGGAAGATATTTCCTTTTTCAACATAGGCCTCAAAGCGCTCCAAATGTCCACTTCCAGGTAGTGCACTGAGTGTTTCAAACCTGCTCTATAAAAGGGAACATTCTACTCTGTGACTTCAATGAAGACATCACAAAGCAGTTTCTGAGAATGCTTCTGTCTTGATTTCATATGAAGATATTCCCGTTTCCAACGAAACCTTCAAAGCTATCCAAATATCCACTTGCAGATTCTACAAAAAGAGTGTTTCCAAAATGTTGTATCAAAAGAAAGGTTCAACTCTGTTAGTTGAGGACACACATCGCAAATAAGTTTCTGAGAATGCTTCTGTCTAGTTTTTATTTGAAGATATTTCCTTTCTCACCACAGGCCTGAAAGCGCTTAAAACGTCCGCTTGCAGATACTACAGAAAGAGTGTTTCAAACCTGCTCTATGAAAGGGAATGTTCAGTTCTGTGACTTGAATGCAAACATCACAAAGAAGTTCCTGAGAATGCTTCTCCCTAGATTTTATATGTAATCCCGTTTCCAACGAAATCCGCAAAGCTATCCAAATATCCACTTTCAGATTCCACAAAAAGAGTGTTTCAAAACTGCTCTGTAAAAAGAAAGGTTCATCTCTGTTAGTTGAATACACACATCACAAACAAGTTTCTGAGAATGCTTGTGTCTAGTTTTTTGGGAAGATATTTCCTTTTTCATCATAGGCCTCAAAGCGCTCCAAATGTCCACTTCCAGGTAGTGCAGAAAGAGTGTCTCAAACCTGGTATATAACAGGGAACATTCTACTCTGTGACTTGAATGAAAACATCACAAAGCAGTTTCTGAGAATGCTTCCGTCTAGATTTTATATGAAGATATTCCCGTTTCCAACGAAACCTTCAAAGCTATCCGAATATCCACCTGCAGATTCTACAAAAAGAGTGTTTCCAAAATGCCGTACCAAAACAAAGGTTCAACTCTGTTAGTTGAGAACACACATGGCAAATAAGTTTCTGAGAATGCTTCTGTCTAGTTTTTACTTGAAGATATTTCCTTTCTCACCATAGGCCTGAAAGCGCTTGAAACGTCAGCTTGCAGATACTACAGAAAGAGTGTTTCAAACCTGCTCTATGAAAGGGAATGTTCAGTTCTGTGACTTGAATGCAAACATCACAAAGAAGTTCCTGAGAATGCTCTCTCTAGGTTTTATATGTAATCCCGTTTCCAACGAAATCCTCAAAGCTATCCAAATATCCACTTTCAGATTCCACAAAAAGAGTGTTTCAAAACTGCTCTGTAAAAAGAAAGGTTCATCTCTGTTAGTTGAATACACACATCACAAACAAGTTTCTGAGAATGCTTTCTGTCTACTTTTTATGGGAAGATATTTCCTTTTTCATCATAGGCCTCAAAGCGCTCCAAATGTCCACTTCCAGATAGTGCAGAAAGAGTGTCTCAAACCTGGTATATAAAAGGGAACATTCTACTCTGTGACTTCAATGAAATCATCACAAAGCAGTTTCTGAGAATGCTTCCGTCTAGATTTTATATGAAGATATTCCCGTTTCCAACGAAACCTTCAAAGCTATCCGAATATCCACCTGCAGATTCTACAAAAAGAGTGTTTCCAAAATGCCGTATCCAAACAAAGGTTCAACTCTGTTAGTTCAGAACACACATGGCATATAAGTTTCTGAGAATGCTTCTGTCTAGTTTTTACTTGAAGATATTTCCTTTCTCACCATAGGCCTGAAAGCGCTTGAAACGTCAGCTTGCAGATACTACAGAAAGAGTGTTTCAAACCTGCTCTATGAAAGGGAATGTTCAGTCCTGTGACTTGAAGGCAAACATCACAAAGGAGTTCCTGAGAATGCTTCTCTCTAGATTTTATATGTAACCCCGTTTCCAACGAAATCCTCAAAGCTATCCAAATATCCACTTTCAGATTCCACAAAAAGAGTGTTTCAAAACTGCTCTGTAAAAAGAAAGGTTCATCTCTGTTAGTTGAATACACACATCACAAACAAGTTTCTGAGAATGCTTCTGTCTAGTTTTTATGGGAAGATATTACGTTTTTCAACATAGGCCTCAAAGCGCTCCAAATGTCCACTTCCAGGTAGTGCAGAAAGAGTGTTTCAAACCTGCTCTATAAAAGGGAATATTCAACTGCTGTGACTTGAATGCAAACATCACAAAGCACTTTCTGAGAATGCTTCTGTCTTGATTTTATATGAAGATATTCCCGTTTCCAACGAAACCTTCAAAGCTATCCAAATATCCACTTGCAGATTCTACAAAAAGAGTGTTTCCAAAATGTTGTATCAAAACAAAGGTTCAACTCTTTTATTTGAGAACACGCATCGCAAATAAGTTTCTGAGAATGCTTCTGTCTAGTTTTTATTTGAAGATATTTCCTTTCTCACCATAGGCCTGAAAGCGTTTGAAATGTCCGTTTGCAGATACTACAGAAAGAGTGTTTCAAACATGCTCTATGAAAGGGAATGTTCAGTTCTGTGACTTGAATGCAAACATCACAAAGAAGTTCCTGAGAATGCTTCTCTCTAGATTTTATATGTAATCCCGTTTCCAACGAAATCCTCAAAGCTATCCAAATATCCACTTTCAGATTCCACAAAAAGAGTGATTCAAAACTGCTCTGTAAAAAGAAAGGTTCATCTCTGTTAGTTGAATACACACATCACAAACAAGTTTCTGAGAATGCTTCTGTCTAGTTTTTATGGGAAGATATTTCCTTTTTCATCATAGGCCTCAAAGCGCTGCAAATGTCCACTTCCAGGTAGTGCAGAAAGAGTGTCTGAAACCTGGTATATAACAGGGAAGATTCTACTCTGTGACTTGAATGAAAACATCACAAAGCAGTTTCTGAGAATGCTTCTGTCTTGATTTTATATGAAGATATTCCCGTTTCCAAAGAAACCTTCAAAGCTATCCAAATATCCACCTGCAGATCCTACAAAAAGAGTGTTTCCAAAATGCTGTATCAAAACAAAGGTTCAACTCTGTTAGCTGAGAACACACATCGCAAATAAGTTTCTGAGAATGCTTCTGTCTAGTTTTTACTTGAAGATATTTCCTTTCTCACCATAGGCCTGAAAGCGTTTGAAATGTCCGTTTGCAGATACTACAGAAAGAGTGTTTCAAACATGCTCTATGAAAGGGAATGTTCAGTTCTGTGACGTGAATGCAAACATCACAAAGAAGTTCCTGAGAATGCTTCTCTCTAGATTTTATATGTAATCCCGTTTCCAAAGAAATCCGCAAAGCTATCCAAATATCCACTTTCAGATTCCACAAAAAGAGTGTTTCAAAACTGCTCTGTAAAAAGAAAGGTTCATCTCTGTTAGTTGAATACACACATCACAAACAAGTTTCTGAGAATGCTTCTGTCTAGTTTTTATGGGAAGATATTTCCTTTTTCATCATAGGCCTCAAAGCGCTGCAAATGTCCACTTCCAGGTAGTGCAGAAAGAGTGTCTCAAACCTGGTATATAACAGGGAACATTCTACTCTGTGACTTGAATGAAAACATCACAAAGCAGTTTCTGAGAATGCTTCCGTCTAGATTTTATATGAAGATATTCCCGTTTCCAACGAAACCTTCAAAGCTATCCGAATATCCACCTGCAGATTCTACAAAAAGAGTGTTTCCAAAATGCCATATCAAAACAAAGGTTCAACTCTGTTAGTTGAGAACACACATCGCAAATAAGTTTCTGAGAATGCTTCTGTCTAGTTTTTACTTGAAGATATTTCCTTTCTCACCATAGGCCTGAAAGCGCTTGAAACGTCAGCTTGCAGATACTACAGAAAGAGTGTTTCAAACCTGCTCTATGAAAGGGAATGTTCAGTTCTGTGACTTGAATGCAAACATCACAAAGAAGTTCCTGAGAATGCTTCTCTCTAGATTTTATATGTAATCCCGTTTCCAACGAAATCCTCAAAGCTATCCAAATATCCACTTTCAGATTCCACAAAAAGAGTGTTTCAAAACTGCTCTGTAAAAAGAAAGGTTCATCTCTGTTAGTTGAATACACACATCACAAACAAGTTTCTGAGAATGCTTCTGTCTAGTTTTTATGGGAAGATATTTCCTTTTTCATCATAGGCCTCAAAGCGCTGCAAATGTCCACTTCCAGGTAGTGCAGAAAGAGTGTCTCAAACCTGGTATATAACAGGGAACATTCTACTCTGTGACTTGAATGAAAACATCACAAAGCAGTTTCTGAGAATGCTTCTGTCTTGATTTCATATGAAGATATTCCCGTTTCCAACGAAACCTTCAAAGTTATCCAAATATCCACTTGCAGATTCTACAAAAAGAGTGTTTCCAAAATGTTGTATCAAAAGAAAGGTTCAACTCTGTTAGTTGAGGACACACATCGCAAATAAGTTTCTGAGAATGCTTCTGTCTAGTTTTTATTTGAAGATATTTCCTTTCTCACCACAGGCCTGAAAGCGCTTAAAACGTCCGCTTGCAGATACTACAGAAAGAGTGTTTCAAACCTGCTCTATGAAAGGGAATGTTCAGTTCTGTGACTTGAATGCAAACATCACAAAGAAGTTCCTGAGAATGCTTCTCCCTAGATTTTATATGTAATCCCGTTTCCAACGAAATCCGCAAAGCTATCCAAATATCCACTTTCAGATTCCACAAAAAGAGTGTTTCAAAACTGCTCTGTAAAAAGAAAGGTTCATCTCTGTTAGTTGAATACACACATCACAAACAAGTTTCTGAGAATGCTTCTGTCTAGTTTTTATGGGAAGATATTTCCTTTTTCATCATAGGCCTCAAAGCGCTGCAAATGTCCACTTCCAGGTAGTGCAGAAAGAGTGTCTCAAACCTCGTATATAACAGGGAACATTCTACTCTGTGACTTGAATGAAAACATCACAAAGCAGTTTCTGAGAATGCTTCCGTCTAGATTTTATATGAAGATATTCCCGTTTCCAACGAAACCTTCAAAGCTATCCGAATATCCACCTGCAGATTCTACAAAAAGAGTGTTTCCAAAATGCCGTATCAAAACAAAGGTTCAACTCTGTTAGTTGAGAACACACATGGCAAATAAGTTTCTGAGAATGCTTCTGTCTAGTTTTTACTTGAAGATATTTCCTTTCTCACCATAGGCCTGAAAGCGCTTGAAACGTCAGCTTGCAGATACTACAGAAAGACTGTTTCAAACCTGCTCTATGAAAGGGAATGTTCAGTTCTGTGACTTGAATGCAAACATCACAAAGAAGTTCCTGAGAATGCTTCTCTCTAGATTTTATATGTAATCCCGTTTCCAACGAAATCCTCAAAGCTATCCAAATATCCACTTTCAGATTCCACAAAAAGAGTGTTTCAAAACTGCTCTGTAAAAAGAAAGGTTCATCTCTGTTAGTTGAATACACACATCACAAACAAGTTTCTGAGAATGCTTCTGTCTAGTTTTTATGGGAAGATATTTCCTTTTTCATCATAGGCCTCAAAGCGCTGCAAATGTCCACTTCCAGGTAGTGCAGAAAGAGTGTCTGAAACCTGGTATATAACAGGGAAGATTCTACTCTGTGACTTGAATGAAAACATCACAAAGCAGTTTCTGAGAATGCTTCCGTCTAGATTTTATATGAAGATATTCCCGTTTCCAACGAAACCTTCAAAGCTATCCGAATATCCACCTGCAGATTCTACAAAAAGAGTGTTTCCAAAATGCCGTATCAAAACAAAGGTTCAACTCTGTTAGTTGAGAACACACATGGCAAATAAGTTTCTGAGAATGCTTCTGTCTAGTTTTTACTTGAAGATATTTCCTTTCTCACCATGGGCCTGAAAGCGTTTGAAATGTCCGTTTGCAGATACTACAGAAAGAGTGTTTCAAACATGCTCTATGAAAGGGAATGTTCAGTTCTGTGACGTGAATGCAAACATCACAAAGAAGTTCCTGAGAATGCTTCTCTCTAGATTTTATATGTAATCCCGTTTCCAACGAAATCCTCAAAGCTATCCAAATATCCACTTTCAGATTCCACAAAAAGAGTGTTTCAAAACTGCTCTGTAAAAAGAAAGGTTCATCTCTGTTAGTTGAATACACACATCACAAACAAGTTTCTGAGAATGCTTCTGTCTAGTTTTTATGGGAAGATATTTCCTTTTTCATCATAGGCCTCAAAGCGCTGCAAATGTCCACTTCCAAATATTACAAAAAGAGTGTTTCAAACCTGCTGTATGAAGGGAAGTGTTCAACTCTATGAGTTGAATGCAAACATCACAGAGAAGTTTGCTGAGAATGCTTCTGTCTTGATTTTATATGAAGATATTCCCGTTTCCAACGAAAGCTTCAAAGCTATCCAAATATCCACTTGCAGATTCTACAAAAAGAGTGTTTCCAAAATGTTGTATCAAAACAAAGGTTCAACTCTGTTAGTTGAGGACACACATCGCAAATAAGTTTCTGAGAATGCTTCTGTCTAGTTTTTATTTTAAGATATTTCCTTTTTCACCACAGGCCTGAAAGCGCTTGAAACGTCCGCTTGCAGATACTACAGAAAGAGTGTTTCAAAGCTGCTCTATGAAAGGGAATGTTCAGTTCTGTGACTTGAATGCAAACATCACAAAGAATTTCCTGAGAATGCTTCTCCCTAGATTTTATATGTAATCCCGTTTCCAACGAAATCCTCAAAGCTATCCAAATATCCACTTTCAGATTCCACAAAAAGAGTGTTTCAAAACTGCTCTGTAAAAAGAAAGGTTCATCTCTGTTAGTTGAATACACACATCACAAACAAGTTTCTGAGAATGATTCTGTCTAGTTTTTATGGGAAGATATTTCCTTTTTCAACATAGGCCTCAAAGCGCTCCAAATGTCCACTTCCAGGTAGTGCAGAAAGAGTGTTTCAAACCTGCTCTATAAAAGGGAATATTCAACTCTGTGACTTGAATGCAAACATCACAAAGCACTTTCTGAGAATGCTTCCGTCTAGATTTTATATGAAGATATTCCCGTTTCCAACGAAACCTTCAAAGCTATCCGAATATCCACCTGCAGATTCTACAAAAAGAGTGTTTCCAAAATGCCGTATCAAAACAAAGGTTCAACTCTGTTAGTTGAGAACACACATGGCAAATAAGTTTCTGAGAATGCTTCTGTCTAGTTTTTACTTGAAGATATTTCCTTTCTCACCATAGGCCTGAAAGCGCATGAAACGTCAGCTTGCAGATACTACAGAAAGAGTGTTTCAAACCTGCTCTATGAAAGGGAATGTTCAGTCCTGTGACTTGAAGGCAAACATCACAAAGAAGTTCCTGAGAATGCTTCTCTCTAGATTTTATATGTAATCCCGTTTCCAACGAAATCCTCAAAGCTATCCAAATATCCACTTTCAGATTCCACAAAAAGAGTGTTTCAAAACTGCTCTGTAAAAAGAAAGGTTCATCTCTGTTAGTTGAATACACACATCACAAACAAGTTTCTGAGAATGCTTCTGTCTAGTTTTTATGGGAAGATATTTCCTTTTTCAACATAGGCCTCAAAGTGCTCCAAACGTCCACTTCCAGGTAGTGCAGAAAGAGTGTCTCAAACCTGGTATATAACAGGGAACATTCTACTCTGTGACTTGAATGAAAACATCACAAAGCAGTTTCTGAGAATGCTTCCGTCTAGATTTTATATGAAGATATTCCCGTTTCCAACGAAACCTTCAAAGCTATCCGAATATCCACCTGCAGATTCAACAAAAAGAGTGTTTCCAAAATGCCGTATCAAAACAAAGGTTCAACTCTGTTAGTTGAGAACACACATGGCAAATAAGTTTCTGAGAATGCTTCTGTCTAGTTTTTACTTGAAGATATTTCCTTTCTCACCATAGGCCTGAAAGCGCTTGAAACGTCAGCTTGCAGATACTACAGAAAGAGTGTTTCAAACCTGCTCTATGAAAGGGAATGTTCAGTTCTGTGACTTGAATGCAAACATCACAAAGAAGTTCCTGAGAATGCTTCTCTCTAGATTTTATATGTAATCCCGTTTCCAACGAAATCCTCAAAGCTATCCAAATATCCACTTTCAGATTCCACAAAAAGAGTGTTTCAAAACTGCTCTGTAAAAAGAAAGGTTCATCTCTGTTAGTTGAATACACACATCACAAACAAGTTTCTGAGAATGCTTCTGTCTAGTTTTTATGGGAAGATATTTCCTTTTTCATCATAGGCCTCAAAGCGCTCCAAATGTCCACTTCCAGATAGTGCAGAAAGAGTGTCTCAAACCTGGTATATAAAAGGGAACATTCTACTCTGTGACTTGAATGAAAACATCACAAAGCAGTTTCTGAGAATGCTTCTGTCTTGATTTCATATGAAGATATTCCCGTTTCCAACGAAACCTTCAAAGCTATCCGAATATCCACCTGCAGATTCTACAAAAAGAGTGTTTCCAAAATGCCGTATCAAAAGAAAGGTTCAACTCTGTTAGTTGAGGACACACATGGCAAATAAGTTTCTGAGAATGCTTCTGTCTAGTTTTTACTTGAAGATATTTCCTTTCTCACCATAGGCCTGAAAGCGCTTGAAACGTCAGCTTGCAGATACTACAGAAAGAGTGTTTCAAACCTGCTCTATGAAAGGGAATGTTCAGTTCTGTGACTTGAATGCAAACATCACAAAGAAGTTCCTGAGAATGCTTCTCTCTAGATTTTATATGTAATCCCGTTTCCAACGAAATCCTCAAAGCTATCCAAATATCCACTTTCAGATTCCACAAAAAGAGTGTTTCAAAACTGCTCTGTAAAAAGAAAGGTTCATCTCTGTTAGTTGAATACACACATCACAAACAAGTTTCTGAGAATGCTTCTGTCTAGTTTTTATGGGAAGATATTTCCTTTTTCATCATAGGCCTCAAAGCGCTCCAAATGTCCACTTCCAGATAGTGCAGAAAGAGTGTCTCAAACCTGGTATATAAAAGGGAACATTCTACTCTGTGACTTCAATGAAAACATCACAAAGCAGTTTCTGAGAATGCTTCCTGTCTAGATTTTATATGAAGATATTCCCGTTTCCAACGAAACCTTCAAAGCTATCCGAATATCCACCTGCAGATTCTACAAAAAGAGTGTTTCCAAAATGCCGTATCAAAACAAAGGTTCAACTCTGTTAGTTGAGAACACACATGGCAAATAAGTTTCTGAGAATGCTTCTGTCTAGTTTTTACTTGAAGATATTTCCTTTCTCACCATAGGCCTGAAAGCGCTTGAAACGTCAGCTTGCAGATACTACAGAAAGAGTGTTTCAAACATGCTCCATGAAAGGGAATGTTCAGTTCTGTGACTTGAATGCAAACATCACAAAGAAGTTCCTGAGAATGCTTCTCTCTAGGTTTTATATGTAATCTCGTTTCCAACGAAATCCTCAAAGCTATCCAAATATCCACTTTCAGATTCCACAAAAAGAGTGTTTCAAAACTGCTCTGTAAAAAGAAAGGTTCATCTCTGTTAGTTGAATACACACATCACAAAGAAGTTTCTGAGAATGCTTCTGTCTAGTTTTTATGGGAAGATATTTCCTTTTTCATCATAGGCCTCAAAGCGCTGCAAATGTCCACTTCCAGGTAGTGCAGAAAGAGTGTCTCAAACCTGGTATATAACAGGGAACATTCTACTCTGTGACTTGAATGAAAACATCACAAAGCAGTTTCTGAGAATGCTTCCGTCTAGATTTTATATGAAGATATTCCCGTTTGCAACGAAACCTTCAAAGCTATCCGAATATCCACCTGCAGATTCTACAAAAAGAGTGTTTCCAAAATGCCGTATCAAAACAAAGGTTCAACTCTGTTAGTTGAGAACACACATGGCAAATAAGTTTCTGAGAATGCTTCTGTCTAGTTTTTACTTGAAGATATTTCCTTTCTCACCATAGGCCTGAAAGCGCTTGAAACGTCAGCTTGCAGATACTACAGAAAGAGTGTTTCAAACCTGCTCTATGAAAGGGAATGTTCAGTTCTGTGACTTGAATGCAAACATCACAAAGAAGTTCCTGAGAATGCT